>NC_000001.11:147559587-148184587 GCF_000001405.40 Homo sapiens | reverse complement strand
ATATTTTCTCTTTAACAACCAGCACTAGATGTTGAATTTTATTATATTATTTTTCTTTGTCTTATTATATTTTCAAACATTAAACCATCCTTGCATTTTAAGAATAATATTTAATGATGTGTCGGGAGACAATTCTCCATGGGTCTCTCACATTTCTGTACTCCTTGTGAGCACAGGCACTGACTGCTCTTTGGGAGTATGTTTTCAAGGATAGAGGCTTTTCCTCCATAATGAAGGGTAGGTTTGCTTACAGACTTAAAAATATAGTGTCTCTCCCTGGTGCAACAAACAAACATTCTTACTGATCCAGTGTCATAAAGTCTCCCTCTGGAGCAACGGGCAGCAGGCACATGTTTATTGCCCATTTTAAAAGATCTGAGTTTCCTGAACTCAGGCTTCCTCTCCTGTAATGCAATCCACTGAATGTGCAGGTGTCCACCTGGGCCCATATCACATGGCCCACCTGAGAACGGGTGGGCGAGGGGTCAGGAGCAGTGATGAACATACTGATGCTTATGCTGTTTCCTGTGTATGCCAAGAGCAACAAAATCCTTTGTCTCTGACCGTAAAGTCTCATTTCTTCTGCCACATGAAACTGGCAGGCTAACTTGTTAGCTTGCAAGTAGGGTAAGATGTCAGACCCTTTACAGTTGTTTGTTTTTTGGAGACAGGGTCTCATTCTGCTGCCCAGACTGGAGTGCAGTGGCATGGTCATGGCTCACTGCAGTCTCAAACTTCTGGGCTTAAGTGATCCAGCTACCTCAGCCTCCAGAGCAGCTGGGACTACAGGCATGCACCACCATGCCTGGCTAATTTTAAAAAAATTATTTTTGTAGAGATAGGGTCTTGCTATGTTGACGAGGTTGGTTTTGAACTCCTGGCCTCAAGTGATCCTCCTACTTCTGCCTGCCAAAATGCTGGGATTATGGGCATGAGCCACCATATCCAGCCAGTTCTTATTGTTTAAGTAACACATTCAGTTTTCTAGAAATTTACTTATGAATTTACATCAACCTTCATAAGTAGTATTGGTTTGTAATTTTTTTCTTCCACACTATCTTCATTAGATTATTATGGTTATGCTAATGCTACAAGGAATTTGTAAGTTTTCCATCTCTTCCTGTACTGAAACAGTATATACGATGTGCAAACTATTCCTTTAAAATTTGCAAAGACTTAGACTGAGCGTGGTGGCTCACACTTGTAATCCCAGCACTTTGGGAGGTGGAGGTGGGAGGATCACTTGAGGGCTGATGGCTTGAGTCCAGGAGTTCAAGACCAGCCTGGGCTACACGGTGAAACCCTGTGTCTACTAAAACTACAAAAATTAGCTGAGCATGCTGGTGCGTGCCTGTAATCCCAGCTACCCGGGAGACTGACGAAGGAGATCACTTGAACCCGGGAGGCAGAGTTTGCAGTGAGCTGAGATAATGCCACTGCACTCCAGCCTGCATAACAAAGTGAGACCCTGTTTAAAAAAAAAAAAAAAATTGCAAAGACTAGTAAAATGGTTTTCACTTAGAAACTTTATTGGAATTAATTATTTTTTCAACTTTTTTTCTATTGACAAAAGCCTATCCAGATTTACTACTTATCAAGTTAATCTTAGCTATTTATATTTTCTCAGAACATAAGTGAATTAAAAAAACTTAACTGCATATAAAATTGTCTTATCATTTAAGAGTCTCTCATATCTATAGTTATAACTCATTTCTCATTTATTTGTTTTTGTGAACTCTCTCTCTCTCTTTCTGTGGCTCTCTCTCTCTTTTTTCTGGACTTTCCAGAATTTGCCAGAACACTATAATTTTTAGTGTTTGCTTTCATTAATCTTTGCTTTTATTTTTGCTGGTTTTTTTTTGGCTTCAAAAGCTAACTTCATCTTTTAACTTCTTAAATTTAATTCAGCTTAATTATTTTATGTTACTCATGCTCTAATAAAGCAAGCACATAAATCTGCTTTTCCTACTGATAGTTTTAGTTCTATCTTGTAAGATTTGATATGTAATCTTCTAATCATTATTATTTTTTGAATAATCTATAATCATAATTGTTCTTTTCTTTAGTCCAATAGTTATTTATGTATATGTTTTCTAATTTACAAATAAACACTTTCCTATTTTAAATTCTTGGTACTATTTTCTAGTTTATTTTAGAATAAACATTTAGAATGTGGGCTGTGTACTTTTCCTTTGTGGGATTTTATAAAAATTATAATTTTGTTCTATTACACCATTAACTTCCAAAAATACTCCAGAGATGTTTGAAAAGTATATGTACTCATGTAAGTGTAAAACTTAAATTACAACAATTAGACTAAAAATCATTAACTAAATCTGTTTTATTTTAGTCCTACTTGATTTATCAAGGAATGAAAACACTGTTTGAAGACTCCAATTGTGTATATACCTATTTCTGCCAGTACATTGAAGAGCTATGTAGTTTAATACTAGTTTCTAAGTACATAATGGTTTCTACCTCTTATACTTTTATTGTGAAGTCTAACTTTTTTGGCATTCTAAATTTACATTCCTTGTTTTATCTAGTGAATTTTGCCTACACTTTGCCTTTTTATTTACCTAAGCCTTTTTACCATATTTTTATTTACATAAACCTGGTAGATCTTTGCTAATCTTTTCACTTTTAATTTATACATATATTTTTTAATCCAGTATATAGCTGGAGTTTTTTCTAACCTAGTTTAAGAACCTTGATCTTTTAATAAATAACTTTAATATATTTATATTCATTTTCATAACTAATATTTTTGCTTTTATTTTTTAATCTTAAAAGAGTTTTTTAAATTATTAAAACAAATTTTTGTGGGTACATAGTAGGTATATATATTTATGGGGTACATGAGGTGTTTTGATACAGCATGCAATGTGAAATATGCACATCAAGGGGAATGGGGTATCCATCGCCTCAGGCACTGATCCTTTGGGTTTCAAGCAATCCAATTACATTCTTTAAGTTATTAAAAAATATACAACTAAATTATTATTGACTACAGTTACCCTATTGTACTATCAAATAATAGGTCATATTTATTCTTTCTATATTTTTTTGTACCCATTACACATCTCCACCAGCCTCCCAACCCCCAACTATATTTCCCAACCTCTAGTAAGCATTCTTCTACTTTCTATGTCCATGACCTCAACTGATTTGATTTTTAGATCCCACAAAAAAGTGAGAACATGCACTGTTTGTCTTTCTGTGCCTGGCTTATTTCACTTAGCATAATGACTTCAAGTTCCACCCATGTTGTTGGAAATGACTGGATCTCATTCTTTTTTATGGCTGAATAGTACTCCATTTTGTATAAGTACCACATTTTCTTCACCCGTTCATCTGCTGATGGACACTTAGGTGGCTTCCAAATTCTAGCTATTGTAAACAGTGCTATAACAAACAGGAATGCAGATATCTCTTCAATGTACTGATTTCCTTTCTTTTGGTTATGTAACCAACAGTGGAATTGCTGGATTGTATGATAGCTCAATTTTTAGTTTTTTGAGGAACCTCCAAACTGTTCTACATAGTGGTTGTATTAATTTACGTTCCCACCAACAGTGTATGATGATTCCCTTTACTCCACATCATTGCCAGCGTTTGTTATTGCCTGTCTTTTGGATATAAGCCATTTTAACTGAGGTGGGTTGATATCTCATTGCAGTTTTGATTTGCATCTCTGATCACCAATGACGTTGAGCACCTTTCATATGCCTGTTTGCCATTTATTTGTATGTCTTCTTTTGAGAAATGTCTATTAAAATCTTTTGCCCATTTTTGATTGGATTATCGGATTTTTTCCTATGGAGTTGTTTGAGATCCTTATATATTCTGGTGATTAATCCCTTGTTAGAGGAGGTAGTTTGCAAATATTTACTCCCATTCTATGAGTTGTCTCTTCACTGTGTTGATTGTATCCTTTGCTGTGCAGAAGCTTTTTAACTCATATCATCCTTTTTAATCTTTTTTTATGCTTTCTCTGTCTCTCTGTCTCTGCTTCTTTGTGGCTGCCTTTTTTCTTTCTTTTGATATATGAACTAGGCTTTCTTTGTTCTTTTTCCTCTTATGATGATTGGAGTGTTTGTATTTACATAAAATTTTAATTAACATACATAATCCCACATTTCTCGAATCGTGCCAAGAATGAAACAATCTCTTGACTTCTTACTTTGTTAAATAATAAAATTAGCATATATCAGCTTTTTTAAAAATTATCTGTGCTCATAAAAAATAATTTCATTTTCAGGTATTTGCCATAGGACAACCCTGAGATCTTTGCTTAATTTCAGGAGCTAGCCAATAGTGCTACAATTATAGAAAATGTAGCTAGAAAATTTTAGATCCTCAATAGCAACCCTTCCAAATGCATTATTACAGTAATAAAGCCACTGAAGCCTTGAATAGTTTAAGACTTGTTGTAGGTCCCAAAACTAGCAAGTGGCAGGATTAGACCTAGAACTCAGATCTCCTGCCCAAACAGTACTCTTTCTACTCTATTATATATTTTATGAGCGACAGTTGAGACAGTGAACAAGCTTAAGTTTATCTGGGGTTACGGAAGATGGGGATAGACGAAGAGCCCTCTGAACATTAGAGAAAGGAATGATGGAGGAAGTCAGGAGTATTTGATTTTGAAAAGGAGATGATATGTGGCTTATGACTTCAAAGGAAATAAATATAACACAAAACACAAACTTTTCTTGCCTCCCTCTGTCACCTCAGAAGGGGTTTGGTGTTGGTGAAGAGATACTGTAATGTGATAATGAGTCTAAGAAGAGGACTTAGGTTGAGTCTATTTGGGTTATTTGGCTGGTCCTGTGCTCTGGATTTTCCTTCTGTTCACTTTTATTGAGTTTTACTAAGAAGACATCTGGTAAAATATTTTAGACTTAGGTTGATATTTAACATATAGGGCAGGCTGGTTTAAGTGAATACCCAGCCAACAAATAATAAGATAAGAAAATAACCCAAATAGCATCATATTTTATTGTTTCCTGATTGAAATCAAGATGCTGGTTAGTTATCTTTTAGTCTAAAAATGTAATTTTGGAGGAACATCAGCTCAGAAAAGCTCCAGCATAAGGAAATAGGTCAGCTTTTCTTCCAACATCAAGGATTTCCAAATTCAGCCCAGAAGACTTAATAAAATGTACCTAAGGGAAGCAGAAGACAGTGAAACTGGAGTTCAGCTTCCATGAACATGGATACACCCTTTGATCCCTATGTTTCCTATGACCCTCTGGGCAGAGCAATCAGGCAGCTAGTCATCTATGTAGGATTCAGTTTGTCATTAAGCTTTTTTCTTAACAGTACATAATAAACACCTGATGAAGTTTTGAGATTAGATCTCGAAGAATGCCTGATCCTTGTGATTTCTGAAGCTTATATGGGAGGGTGTCCAGGTGTTTTTAAGGACTATATTGCTCTCATCCATTTCACCCCTTTCCTCACATGTCTTTTTCTGCCAAGGAGTTGAGTGTGGTTGTAGATTATAATTTAATAATTGTCAAACATTCTGTAGACAGAGTTGTTAGCTCCATTTTGAAAATAGCACTTGAAAAATAATTACTGAGGTTCACACACAGAATTTCTCTTTAAATTGGCAAATGATTTTTGTGCATTTACTTGCTGGCTTGCATAATCCTTAAGTTTTAGAAATGTTGACACTGGACTGTGCCTACATAACCTTCAGCCCTTTACACATGGTATCATTGGTCCTTTGATACATACATGTTTACTATGATGGTCTGGGTGATATTCATGCTTTAATGCTTTAAAATATGACCCATTCCTTTCTGACTGGTGGCATCCCTTCTACACTGACTTCAGGTGGGTTTGACAGTGGTAAATAGCTATAACTCATTTCTTCATATAGATATATTACTGTTTTTGTCTTTGGACTCTCTTCAATACATTTTGCCCCTCATGTTCAATTTTATTACCTGTTTAGGTATCATGTCATGATCCCAGCTCACTAAATCTATCTACTAGAATACAAGTTTGGTGTTCATGTACTGATCATGTATTTGGGCCTTATTGATCATGCTTTTTCTCGACTTTGGGTGATTCTCAAGTTGAATGTAATTATCCATACTAGGGATGCCACTAATAAGTAGGTTAATTCTACTGCTTTCTAGAGTTTTACTCCAGTTTTAAAATTGATGCCATCAGGACAGCATTCCCTTTTCTTTTCTTTCCTTCTTTTTTTTTTTTTTTTTGAGACGGAGTCTTGCTCTGTCGCCCAGGCTGGAGTGCAGTGGCGCGATCTCTGCTCACTGCAAGATCCGCCTCCTGGGTTCACGCCATTCTCCTGCCTCAGCCTCCCGAGTAGCTGGGACTACAGGTGCCCGCCACCACGCCCGGCTAATTTTTTGTATTTTTAGTAGAGACGGGGTTTCACCGTGTTAGCCAAGATGGTCTCGATCTCCTGACCTCGTGATCCTCCCGCCTCGGCCTCCCAAAGTGCTGGGATTACAGGCCTGAGCCACCGCCCCTGGCAGCATTCCCTTTTCTACAGGAAAATAATCTGTAAATTTTTTTTTCCACCTACACACCGTGTAATAATATATGGCCAAGAAATGCAAACTTGGTGCGTTACAGCTCTGCCTTATCAATGAACTTACTCCATGGAACAGAGGTCGTGAGGCAGGCTTCGGTCATCCTCGTGGTTTCAGGGCATGGTTATTTTGCCAAACCCGCAAAGTGGTCTGAAGCAGTGATTACCAGGCCTAACTTCTCTCCTGAAGAAGCTGGGAAGTGTTCACAAAATATAGATCCTCCAGCTTCAACCTGATTAACCAAGTCAGATTCTGAAGGTTCCCAAAATCTGAGCTTTGAAACAGCTCTTTAAGCAACAACGATGTTGTTGGATAGTGAGAAAAACTACTGCTCTAGAGGCTCTTGAATTCTGCGTGTGCATATGTGCATATGTGTCGCAGGCACTAAATAGTAACAACTTAGAATCAGAAGATACCCTTCAAGCTCATGTCTCTCTTCATGGAAACGAAGTAGAGGTATTTGTAGGTTAAGGGACATGTCTAAGTGCACATAGCTAGTCAGTGGAGAATTGTGAAAAGCAAAGGAAAACAAAAGCCAAGTGTCCTGATTCTTAGTCCAGACTCATTTTCTCGAAATTAAGCTATCTTTGATATTTTCTTAAAGTGCTACCATTTATAAATTCAATAATTTTCCCAAGAGAGATAAGTTACATATAAGTTAAATGTCTTTTTCTCCTGAGCATTAGAGCATAAAATAGAATTTGAAAAGCAATAGGTTAACTCAACAATACAGCCTCACCACATTAGTAGCTGACACATGTTAACTGATTATTGAAAAAGTCATTTGTGGCACAGGTTGACATAAGCTCGTGTATTGAGAGAGGCCAAATAACGGTGTGTAACTAACACCGGTTTTGGAATCATAGGCCTGGGATCAAATCCTGACTTAACTATGTGATTCTAGGCAATCCTAGGCCTCAGTTTACATATCTGTAAAATAGGTATAATATTTTCCTTTTATGGTTATTGTTAGGTTAAATGAAACATGAATACATGAATGGTGCCTGGCACATAGTAACTACTAATAATTAATCTCTTGTGCTTATTAAATGCCAGCCACTTGACAGATTATTAAAACTCACACCAACCCCACAAGTGAGTGTTGTAATTATTCCCATCTTAAAATGAAAACTTGACACTCAGCTATGTTCAGTAACCTGCCTGGGGTCATGGAGGTATTTGGAAATTGAGACTGGAGCTCTGCCTATCTTAAATTTCTCAGATTCTCCTCTCTTATGCTGTCTTTCAATAAATGACAGCTGTCATTATTGCCCTCATCCTCACCCAGAACCCAGTATAATTCAGTGGCCAGGCACATGGCTCAGGTTTGAAGTCCAAGGAGCTGGATGTTTCTTTCCTTTCAATAAATGACAGACATGTGACCTTGAGTGGGCTCCTCAATTTCCCTATTCCTTGGTTTCCTCATTTGTAGGATGAGGAGGATAATCTAGTTTTAGGGTTGTTTTGAGGATACCTGGTAAGCTCTCAATACTTCTGCTGCTTTTTATGTACTTAGTCAGTCCAACATGCTAAATAAGAATGAATTCTGGGTCTTGTCTTGCCCATGTTTTCGAAGCTTCTACTAAAAGTTTTTGTTTTTTAGCACTTTCCCTGAATCTCAGGTGTGAGTGCAGTAAAGGTGTTGGCTGAAGGGGGATGGAAACAAACGTTAATTACACCTTCAAGATTTCTCCAGTCAGAGTTTGGTCCTTCTTCTGGTAGGTGGTAAACTCTCTTCAGTTATATGGCCCTGAAAATCCTTGAAGCTCCATATATTGAAGGGATAATGGGCCAATATGTGAACAGCATCTCACCACTCATCTTGTGATGTGCTTGGCAAACAAGCTCACAGCGACAGGGGCTCAGGATTTTCGGAATTCTATCTGCTCTGCAGATTGGAGCCCGACTCCAAAGAGGCATTGATAGGGGGAGCTGATGCAGAGATGACTGCGTGACATGATAGCCGAGATACTGGACAATTCACTGTGTACTGTCCATTTAAATGAAAGGTTAGAGTTAAGAGCAGACACTGCCAGTGCTACCAAGGGATAATTTTTTGTATGCACGTGTGCTCATGTGTTTATATGCTTTTAGCTTTCTTTTTGATAGTAAATATAGGAAAAGACCTTTCAAAGACTATACATGCTAAGTTTCTGAGAGGGAAGAACTATCATTAAAAGCATAAAACATCACATTATATTTGAGTTCAGTAACCTGAAGTTCAGCAAGTTTTCCACAGTCTCAGGTTTCCTAACAAGAAACAATGCACGTGTCTACTTCTGTACTTTCATAACACTTTATTCTGTGCTACAGAATAAAGTATTTTAACACCCCTTTATCTCTCTCCTTTATGCACAGTGTGCATAAAGATGAGAACATCATGAACCAAGATGAGGCAGAACGACAGCACAGGGGTGGTTTCCATTTCAAGCTAGCTGTTTTCTGCATCCTCCCACCTCCTTCAAGAGTTGCATGCTTGATTGAATTAACTAATACCAGTTGTGCTTTACATATTTGAGTTAAAATATATGTGTTACATGTCAACATTGTGCTAAAATGTATTACTGATTTTTTTATTAACAAGCACTGCTTTAATTTAGTACTGAAGAAAGTCTATGTTTATTGGACAGCAATTTTATACCTGTGTATGAATACCTGAGTATGTAGAAGAATCAGATATGTGATTAGCTAAACTTCCAAAGTTGATAGAAACTAGGTGATTATTTAAATTGCACAAAACCCTGTATTTTACTTAAATTTCTATAAAAGTAATAATGTCTTACATTTGCTTAGTGAGAAATGCTTTGCAGATGCCTTTGACATATATTATCTCCTTTGTTCCTCTCAAAATTCTTATGAACTAAGGAGAGAGTGACTATTGTCTGCATGTTTTATGGATAAGAAAAAGAGAAAGCATCCTTAGCACATTTGAAATGTATTACCTTTACAAAAAGGTAATTCATCATCACCTCTTTAGAAAGCACAATTCAATGTGGAAAGTAGGCCTACCTCTGTTTACTCTATGCATGTATAGTTAGTGTCCTGGTTATCTCTTGCTATGTAACAGATTATCCTAAAACTTACTGGCTTAAAACATCATTTTATTATGTCTCACTATTTTTTTGGTCAATAGTTTGAATAGGGCTCAGCTGGGTGATTCCTTTGTTCCATGTGGAGTCAGCAGAGATAACTTGATGATACCCAGCTGCCAAATGAGCTGGTCTGGAGATTCCAGATGGCTTCATTTACAAATTTAGTGATGGGGATGGCTGAAAAGCTGGTCTTGGCTGGGACTGGCAACTAGAGTGCCTACATGTAGCCTTTCCAACATGATATTAGGGTAGTCAGGGACTCAGTGTTCCAAGAGAACTTAAGTGGAAGTTGTTGGTTCTTAAGGCCTGGATCCAACAACTGGCCCAGCATCACTGCTGCCGTTTTCTGTTGATCAAAGCAAGTCATGGAGCCCACCCAGATTTGAGGGGAGGGAATATCTGCCCTACCTCTTAATGGAAGGGTATCAGAGAATTTGTAGCAACCTTTAATCTGTCACAGTGCACATTTTGGCCATTGATTATGTTCCTTGCCTATGGGAAAATACATTCACCCTTTCTAAAACCCCTAGACTCTCAACTCCTGATGGCATCAGAACACAGGCAGCATCAAGATCAGGCTCAAGATGCAGGATTTTATCATCCAAATCAGGCCCACATATGGATGAAACCCTTCAGGTATGTTTCTTCAAGTATGGTTCCTCTCGACCTGTGGACTAAAGAAACACATTATTTGCTCCTCCATCCCCAAAACACAATGTCGAGATGAAGGTAAGAAAAATGCAGTTGGCATTCTCATTCAAAAATAGAATGAAAAGCAAAGAGCAGTCCCTAGTCTGTAGTATTTCTGAAATCTTACTGGTCACATGTCCACATTCTTTTATTACATCTCAGTCCTGCTTCCTAGGAATTACATAGTAATATGACAAAATAATATAACTAATTATTTAACTACAATAAACATTTCATTTCTAAGCTCACCTTTTTCTATACAGTATTATACATGCATAAAACAAATCATTTGGCACTTCTGGCATTCCTATCAGAGATCCAAACCCAGCCAAATCCATCAGTTCATTAGGTATATATTCTATTGTCTAGATCACAACAGGCAACAGTATTGTCAAAATTTCTGCCACTTCATAACCAGGGTCACTTTTTCTCCAGCCTCCAATAGTAATTCCTGTAGTATCTTCCTCTAAGTATTCACTAGAAGTCTCCTTCAGGTTTTTCTATTCTCATTAACAGTGTCCTCAAGATCTTTGCAGCGTTTGCTCATTGTCTGGTTCCAAAACCATGGCCACATGTTTTAGATAGTTATGGCAGCACTCCACTTCCAGGTATCAAATTCTGTTCTTATTATCTACTGCAGCATAGCAAATTACTCCAAAACTTAGTGGCTAAAAATAACAATCATTTTATTATATCAGGACCTTGTTGCTTGGGCATTTGGGCATGCCTCTGCTGGGTGATTCTTCCGCTCCATTTCAAATTGACTGAGGACACTCAATGGTTTTCAGCTGGTGGGTCGGCTTGTCAGGAGGGTCAGGATGGCTTTCCTCACATGACTGCCACTGGCTAGAAAGTGGGGTTCAGCTGGGCTTGTTGTCTGGAGTGTCTACACATGGCCTCTCTAGTAGGGTGGCTTTAGGGTAGTAGAACTTCTTACATAGTGACTAAGTGTTTCCAGAGAGAGTGTTCCAAGAGACAGAAAGTGAAAGCTACCAGTTTCATAAGGTGTAGACTTGGAATCTGGGCTGGCTTCACTTTTGCTATGGCTTTACTGGCCAAACAGCCACAGAGACCACCCAGATTCAAGGCCATGGGATGTAGACCCTATTTCTCTGTGGGAACAGTGAAAAATTTTTAGTATGAAAGAAAAATAATGTTTAGTTTTTCATCTTGAATTGCCTACTAGTGCTTACAAGGCTGACTGACTCAATGAACTAATTCAGGTTTAGGAATTACACATTCGAGCTTCTGGTTCCATATCTCCCATTGCTTGGCTGCACTTGAACTGAGGTAAATAACCTTTAGGCTTTAATTTATATCATAGGCAAAACGGAGATGATGATAACTGTTGGCACCTACTGGTTCAGGGAGATGTTGTGCCTCTTTTTATTTTTTTTTAAATCAGTATTTAAAAAGTATTCTCTAAAGTGCTCTAGGAAGTAGAATAATAAATTGCCGTGACAAATTGGACCATTACAAATTCACCACATATGTTTTTATTAAGATAGAAAATTGGGTCTCAATATTGTGTAACATCAACAGGGATATGTAGGAACTCTAGTACTCACAGAAGTCTCACACCCCACACACACCAACCTGTGCCATAGCATACGCTTCCTCCATGTTTCATGTATGGCAGGCAATGTATGTTTTCTCACTGAATCTTTGCCACACTTTTTGGAGAGTTAGGTGCCATTATTAACATGTTAATCATGTTTTCTGAAACATTTTTTTTTTCCTGGAGTTTAAATTCTAACACATCTTTTGCATATTTATACATAATGCATCTTTAAAGAATCTAATGAAACCTTTAGTAGAGTCTGTAGGGGTTTTGTTTAAATTCTGTGGAAATCATCCCTTTTTATTTTTATACAAATATTCTTGCAAAATGAGATAAAAGCAGATTTATGAAGATATCAAGATGATATAACAAAGATGAGATACAAAATAAAAGCAGAGGCATTAGCAGGAGCTAGTTTTACTCATGGAAGCCAGAAGGAGGATGGGGTGGTTGATACTGTGGGAGGAGAGATGGGCTGGGAGCCAGGGCATCTGGCCCTGCTGTGCCATTAGATAGGAGCTAGGTATGCAACCTCAGAAAGCTTATTTCCTCCTCTAGGCCAAAGTTTTCTTCTGTGTCATATGACAGTATTAAACTAGATTAACTCTAAAGCCATTGCAACCTTAATATTCTTTTATTATTCCAAGTAAAGGGGATGAAACACTAAATCAACATTTCCAGGCATTAAGAAGGTGATTTGCAAAAACATTTCATTTATTCTTTCAACAAGTCTTTGTTGAGACTCCTATGTGCCAGGCCTTATTCTAGGTATTTAGGGGTACAGCAGTTAATAAAAACTCCCTTCCCTCATGGAGCTTACATTCCAGGTTGGGGGATACAGACAATAAATAATCTAAGTAAGTCAAACATATGATATGTTAGACAATCATAAGTGCTTAGCGGAAGATAAAGTAAGGAAGGTGGGTAGAGCATGCTGGGTGGGGTTTGCAACATCAAGTAGGCTAGTCTTGGAAGACTTCACTAGTAAAGATCTGAAGGAAGATGTGAGCCATAATGACTTTGCTTCCAGTTCATGGAGAGAATGAAAGCATTTTCAGGGAGAGGAAACAGCAAATGTAAAGGTGCTGACATCGAAGCATGTCTTATATTCTCAAAAAATAACAAGGAAACCAGTATAGCTGGAGTGGATGGAATAAATGAGGAGCAGGGTACCAGGAGGCATGAGAGAAGACTCTGGGGAGATGTTGAGGAGAGAGTGCCATTTGGCATGTTTTAATGAAATAACTTTATTGCTTCATTAAAACAGTGTAGAGAATAGACTAGAAAAGGTCAAAGACGGAAAGAGGAGAACAGTTAGGAGGCTACTGCACTAATCCAGGCAAAAGATGATGGTGGCTCAGACTATAACGGCAGCAGTAGAAGCAATGAGAAGTGATGGGATTCTTGATGTGTTGTGAATGTAAAACCAATAGGATTTTTTGTATGTTTAGAATGGGGGTATGAAAAAAGAGGACTCAAGGAAACTGCAAGGAGTTTTGACTTGAACTAAGAGTTGCTACTTGCTGAGATGGGGAAGACTGTGGGAGATGCAGTTTTTGTGATGCTGCTGTAGGCTATTAGGAGTTTAGTTTAGACATGTCAACTATTAGATGCCTGTTAGGTATCCATTCCATGCATGTATCATGTCTTATAAAGACATGAGTGTGAGTTTCAGGGGAGAGAGCCAGGCTGGAAGTACCAATTTATTACAGCTCTGAGATTGGATGAGCTTCCCAATGGAGTAAACATAGATTAAAAAAAAAAAAAGGTTCAAGGACTGAGCCTGGGGAGTAAAACTGCAGAGATGAGAAGAAGCATCGAGGGAAACAAAAAGAAGTGACTAGACAAGTAGTAATAAAACTGAACAAGCAGAGAGTCTGGAAGCTCAGTGGAGGAAAAAAAGTGTTTCAAAGAGGAGAGAGTGATTGTGTCCAATGCTACTGATTGTTTGCATAAAATGAGGACTGAGAAATGACCACTGGCTTAGCAAAGTAGGAGTTTTGGTACCTTGATCAGAGCAGTGTCTGTAGAGAGGTGCAGGTGAAAGTCTGATTAGAGTGAGGTCTAGAGAGAACAAAAGGAAAGAAATTGGAGACAGGGGATATGGACACTCTTTCAAAGAGTGTTGCTATTAAGGAAGTGTGAGAAAGGGGAATCGCTAGTAGGAATTGGAGTAAAGAGAGTCTTTTAAAAAATATGAGAAAACAAGATGTTTGAATGTTGGTGAGAGTGATCAAATAGAGAAAAAACAGGCAAAGTAGAAGAAATAAAAGAAAATCACTGGAACAGCGTCCTTCAATAGATGAGTAAAATAAGATCTAGCAGCAAGCTAAGGGGTTGATTTTGACTAGAAGCATGGCTAGGAGGAAAAGTTGAGCAGATGGGCACACATGCAGGAGAAAAGGAGGTGGTGCTGGAGGCTGAGTGCAGTTTCTTTTGATTGCTGTTATTTTCTCAGTGAACTAGGAAGCAAAATAATCAGCTTGGAGTGAGGATGACAGGGGCATTTAGAGGTTTGAGAAGGGAGGAGTAGGCATGAAACAGTTTTCAGGGGAGTAGGAAAGTTAATGGACTACGGAAATATTGTATGTTTGCTGGAGAGTATTAAGGACGTAACTGAGGTCAATACAGAACTCTTTGGTCTTCCAAAGTCATCTATGGCCAGTCCTTTTCAAACTGGTGTTCTTAGAGCAGGATATTCCTTGCAGCACTGAGAGGAGATGAAAGCCTGGAAGTGAATAAATGTCCTAAGATGCAACTGTTGTAACATAGCCACTTCTTCTAGAACACCACCAATATTTCCTTGGGAAATATTGAGATTTCTTTCCCTAACTCCTTTCTTCCTTTCTTTTCTGGTCCTCTTCCTTATTTGTGCTAAGATACAGCTAGAGTGGTCGTTTATGGGTTTCAGGGAGCAGATCCACTTCCTGTACCTGATGGGTTTGTTTTACTGTTGTATTGGATAGCTTTTTCTATGTTATACTCTGGTAACAAACAATCACCATTTCTCAGTGGCTTACAACCATCTGGATTTATTTCTCTCTCTTGTTACAGGTTGGCTGTAGGTCAGTTGCAGCTCTACATATCTTCATTCTGAAATTGAGTCCCTATTTAGGTCATGCCATTCTTTGGGCAGAGGGAGAAGAGCAATTGTGGAGCCACAAGATGGCTCTCAGTTTCCACTGGGAAGTGGTAATTGTCACTTTTGCTCACATTTCAATGGCCAAAGCAAGTCACATGACCAAGCTTGATGTCAATGGGATGGGAAATTATAAGCTTCTTTTAGGGAGGAGAACTCATAATTTGGAACAATCATATAATTAGCTGCAACTTTTTCCATGTGTGGCAGTAAAAAATCATCCTCAAGCAAGACAGTGGGGCAAATTACCTCTTCCTAACCATGATCAGCATTGAGCCCTCAGGAGTAACCCCAAAGTGACTTGACATTTGGTATGAATTTCTGGGTGCAATTTTATGTCTGGCCCTGTGGGCTAGATTATTTAGCTTTAGAATTTAGAAGCTGTCTTACCTTCAGGGAGGCAGTTCATGTATTTAATCACATACATTTTAGGTATTATAATAATAAAAGCAGCTATGCTAAATTTTACAAAATACATCTTATAAGCTGGAAGACAGAGGCCCATCCAGATCTGTCTTTGGAGACTTTCTTAAGTTCTACATACTCAAGATCAATTTTATGATAATATAAATACAATAGGAGAAAGAGCTCTGCTTGCAACTCAGTAATAAAAAATTCAGAGATGATAGGAAATTCCATATCTATTCTTGGCCTAGCAGGAGGAATTTTGTAGCTTGAGAAGGAGCTGGGATATTTCTCTAAGACACTGTGTAACCAAGTCTCAGGCCCATGATTCACCACTTCTTCTTCTTTGGTGCTCTGCAAAATGCCATGGGTTGTTCTGAGTGATTGCCTCACCGTGGCATGATAGACATGAGAACTCAAGACGAGCAATGAAAGTATCATGATTGACACAAATTCCAAGTATGTTGGCTTAACTATTTTCATGTTTGTTCTGTTAACACAGAAGAGACCAGGTTCTGCTGCTGTGTGTTCTTTAGTTGCATTTTAGTGAGACTTTTCCTCTCCCTTTATGAATATAGGATTCTGACAGCTGACAAATGACATTCCAAGAACTTAGCCAGAGCCCAGATTGTGCCCTGCTGTGGGAATTTCTCCTCATAGATTTGTCCAACAACTCTGCTCTGGAGAAAATGCTCAGGTGATGCATTCCCAGTGGTAGCTCAGTTCCCATCAACTCACCACTGGTGCCTGCATTAGGATGTTTTTCTTTCTTCAGGTATTTGTTTTCAGTCCATCTTCACCTCCCACCACAGTGAATTTACTGTCCGTGAAAGGGACTGGGTAGCTCTCCCCTGAGACTACCCTGGGTTTATTTTTAGCACAGGCAGTTTGGAAAAATTACTTTCCCTTGCTGACTGCACCAGGACTCTCTTAACTCTGACACAGAATTCTGGACCTTTCACATTGGATTGAGAATGAGTGGGTAATCCATGCCTTCACTTTAGAGATGGAGGAATCACATTACAACGGGGATAAAAAATTTGCCACAAGTTACCCAGACACTCAATTGAAAGAGCTTTTCTTTGATCTGTTGGTCTCAGATTTATAAGATGTTTAACAGTGTAAAAATTGCAAGTTAGTCTGACTAAATTGGACAGATTGCAGGTAAAAGCCCCGCTCCCTAAATCCCAATTGATCCCCTGAGCCATTTGTACTACCTAAAAGTGGTATTATTACTTTCAAGCTACATGCTCAAAAATTATTTCCCTTGGGAACACACACCTAACCCAAACAAAAAGATTACTACTTTTTTTCTACTCATTCAATACCCTTTGTCCCAGCTATCTTGTTTCTTTCTTCCTATGTCTCATTCAACATTATATTCACATGCTATGATCTCCCCAGACCCCTGCAGACTATTAGGTTGAACCACATGAAATTGCCAATATTCAGCTGGTTTTGACCAATAAAGGTGGTGATTTCATATAATTCAAGCAAACCCTATTAGAATGAGGTAGCAAATTGTGGAAGTTCTCATGCAGAACAATGCAAGTTATTGACCAAATCAACTACGGCTCCATACATGGAATCGAGTTGGATGTGTATCCAGGCTCTAATACAATCTGTTGTAAAATGCAGGCTAATTAGCATATTAAATGAGAATTTAATACTTGGAATATTAAAAGGGAATTTCAACTTCTGATAGGGAAAAAATGTATAACTGATGTGCACTCATGTATGTTAATATGCCAAGATTCTCTGTGTGCAACGGCTGTGACCACTACTCAGCATACGCAACTTGCTCAGGCCTTTGAAAACCAACTCTTTACATACTTTCTCTCCCCCACCACCCCCAACTTCCTCACTCTCTTTCTCTGTCTCTAGTCTCTCATAGTCAGACTTCTGAAAAGAGCAGTCTACACTCACTTTTCTACATTCTCTTTCTTATTCATCCTGTAGCTCACTGTAATCTGGTTTCTGTTCCCAACACTCCACTAAAATAGTTTCTGCCAAGGTCACTAATGAACTTTGATTGACAAATTCAACAGAAATGCTTCTGTCTTTATCTTTCTTAACTTCCCTGTTGCATTTGACAGATGTGCCAAGATTTCCTTCTTAGTATTTCATCTCTTTCTCTGACTTGCATGATCTGCCTTTCTTTTGATTTACAGATATTTTCCCAAACCAGATTTTCAGCCTTTTGAGGGCATAGGATTTGTGTCTTATTCAGCTGTGTATCCCAGGGCCTAGTTTAGTATAGCCTCTGCAAGGTGCTTATCTATATTTGTTGAATGAATGAGAAACAATGAATTAGCGAAATGACAGCACTTTGTTAATTATTAGTCATTGCAAATATTTAGTTTCTCTTTGGTTTAATCCCTATGTCTAGCAACTTCTCTACCTGACTCACTGCCATGCATAATTTTAATAATGTATAGCTGGCAGGGTGCCACATTCTTCATGTTTTCGTCTGAGAAATCCTACTTGATAGTTGGAGGCAAGGCAGTTGAGACTGAAATCCCTACTGGTTCCTTTTCACATGGCTTCCTCTAATTCTGAGCAGTTATAATATGCTGGGCTATCACTCATGAATTTTAGTAACTCCTAACTCCTAGGAAAAAAGATCTCTGTGTCCTTTTTTTCTTTTCCTCCCAAAAATGTGTCATTTTGAGATCCAATAAAGTGTGTCCAGCAAAAGGCCACTTGTTGCTTGCTTAACATATGACCTGAAAAACGGGGGATAAAACCTAACACAAGACTCAAGGATAACAAAAGAAACATGCCAATAGAAAATGCAATACACACACACACACACAATTTATGCAAGTTTAATTTCTGTTGTTTTGGTTGGAAAAGAGCTGCAGGTGTCCTCTAATTATAACCCCATTTTCACAAATATCAACTGTCATATTTAATCTGTTATATTCACCATATAGCCTACTGTTGCAGCACATTTCTTTCATTACAAATTTAGTAGCAGAGTTTCAAATGCTCAAACTAACATTCAGGCTAGTCAATTAATGCATTATTTACAAGTTAAATGTTATTAAAAACAGGTTCTTAATTTGCTAATGATTTACTAGACCCAAAGCAATATTCCAATTTTTTGTTGTTGTTGTAGTGTTTGAAAATGGAAGAACATTTAGAACAGTTGGGATGGGAGAGATGTCAGGGATACTTTGGCCTTTCTCATCCATTTCTGAATTTCTTTTCTGCATTCTTCCTTCTTGTGTGCTGTGTTTGATGCCTATATTAACCAGTTGCAGCATGGTTGAGAAGAAAGACTTATGAAAAACAAGACCAGCATAAATACTATTGTGAGGAGTGTTTTAAAAAATCACTGGGCAGTTTGGAATGACTAAATACACATGTTCCCCATACAATTTAGCATATTTTGATTTACAGTCCCATTCCAGCAGCACAACAGGTTAAGAAGTTTAGAAGTCCAGGAAATTAAATGTTATTGGCATTCCACTGTTGTCAGACTGCACACACTGAATATATGTCTCTTCAAATACACTTTGAAAGAGTTTAGAGTTTCTAAGGTTCTAGGGCCTCAGAATCATCCCAACAATCTGGATTTTCTTCTTTCTTTTAGTTTTCTTCCTCTTTTTTCTTTAACCTAGATCATGTTCTAAATCCATACCTTTCATGTTCCATAATTCCATGGCACACTACTTATTTATGAAAGATAATATGGGGGGTTGAGCTCTTTGATGAAAAATAATTCAGGTTCCATGAAGCCAGTTACCTCATCTTCATGCCTTTCTCTCCAGCTGTTTCCTTGGCCTAGAGGAATCCATTTTCTCCTCCCCACTTTTCTCTTAAAAATTTTAAAAAACCTAATTTTCTTAATAAAATCTTGTTAAATTTAAATGTAGCTCACAACAGTCATTCACTTCTCTGAATTCTATTTTTTTATATTATTATATCATATAAATTTAAAGTATACAACATGATGTTTTGATATACGTATGTATAGTGAAATGATTACTACAGTCAAGCAAGTTAACATATTCACCATCTCACATAGTTACCTTTCTTTTTTTACAGTACAAGTACCTAAAATCTACTATCTTAGCAAATTTCCAGTGTGCAATATAATATTATTGACCATGGTCCTCATGTTGCACATTGCGTTCTCTGAATTCTTATAACTCTTCACAAGAAAGTGTCATGTAGTCACTCACTTAAATTTATATTGCCTTTTATTTTCCTTACATGTAATTGTTTCTCTATAGGACAAGCTATAGAGTCAGAAAGATCTGCTATGAATTGATGGTGTTACCTAGGCCAAGCTATTTCTTTTCCCCAAGTCTCAACTTTTCTCATCTCTTAAATGGAAATAAAAACTCATATTGACTAGTTGTAAGAACTGGTGAGAGCATGCATGTGAAGAACCTGGTTAAATTGTAGCTGCCTGATACATGGCAGCTCCTGTTGCCATAATGAAATAAGACAATATATATAATTTGCCAGGTACAGTCCCTGGCTCATGTTTGGTACTCAATAAAATTTAATTCCCTTTGATACAATGAATAAGTCACAAGCATTTCTTGTTTTCATTTTCACTCAGAGTAAAGTTTTCTCAAGGGCAAAGACTAATTTTTTTTTCAAACTTTTCAGTTTGTGTGAATTAATGTTCCATCTTCTGTATTTTGGGAGGTATTCTGCACATCTCTCAGGAAACCCAGATGAAATTGAGTGCCTGCTGCCCACATCAGCAACCCAGGTAAGGCACTTTTTTGTTGGTTCTTCTTTGTTTCTCTTCTTACTCTCCCTGTTCTCTCCAATCCTCGGATCACCTTCTAAATACACTACTGGTATCCAAACCTTTGTCTCAAGCTCTACTATTGGAGGAACCCAAACTAAGTAAGGAAAAGATTCAAATGACAGAGAAAGACAATAGTGTACAAAATAGCAGAAGAACTTTCAGAGCTGTCCAAGGCAGCTAAGACAGGAAAATGTCAATGGAATAAGACAAAAATAGAATTCATTCATTCACTTATAAAAAAAAAAGGTACTTATTGAGCACCTAGTATGTACTGAACATTCTTAGGCCTTAGGGATATGGTAGTGATCAAAACTGGCAAGACATTTACATTGTAGTGAGGGAACATGCAATGAACAAGCAAATCAACATGCAAAATCATATCAGGGAGTGAGAAGAGCTTTGACAGTAAATGGCATAGTAAGAGACTGTGTGCAGGAAAGGTAGCTATTTTAGACAGTGTGATCTATTTAGAGTGAATAAAGGCCTACCTGGGAGGGTGATACTGGAACAGAAACTTGGTCAACGTGAGAATGACCCACCTTTTGTCCAATGACTATCTTCTCCTGAAGTGCAAGCAGAAAAAATCATGTGTGCTAGCCTGGGTATGGATAATAAGACAGGATCAAAATGCTGCTAGTTAGAAAAATGGGATGCACATATTTCTCAGTGTCCAATCTTTCAGACTGAGTGCTGGGCTACTCCAAAATGGACCTTAGGACCGGATATATGCCTACAGCTCATGGGTAAGGCCTTTCTGTAGCAATACCTGGGGGGATTTCATCATTTTATCCTTCATTAAAAAAAAAAAAAATCTTTTCTCCTGTCTTTCTTGTTCAGGGCATCTTTTTCTTCAATTTCTCAGATGAAAAGAATGCCTTTATTTAAATAAGACTTTAGGGCATATGCAGCGCATACTTTATCTCATTTGATTCCCACACAACTTTGTCCATTAAGTATTTTTATTATTTTTTATAGATGAGGAAACTGGGACTTGGGGGCTTTGCTTGAGAGAGCTGGGACACAAACTGAGTCTTTTGGCTTCAAGTCCATGATTCATTTCAATGCTGAGTCCACTGGCCCCTTAACCAATCTTCATCATTTTCCTGCTACCCCCATTGATGGCAACAGGATTTTATAAGCTGATGATCTTCACCTACAGGATCCCATTCCTCTGATGTTTCATCAGCGGGGACAGGATCAGGTTTCAGTAAATCTAGAAGATTAAAACTGGAAAGTCTGAGGATAATTCTATCAAGAGATCCTGTGTATTTAATGTTCTAACTTAGTCCACGTGCTGTACTTGATAGTATTTTCTCAGTGCCACATTAAGATAACAAGGATTTTCTTAAATGTAATATTTACCTTTAAGTATGTACTAAGGTGGCTGATTCTTAATGCTCCTCCTTTTGAGAAAACTTAAAGGTGAAATTGAACATAATTGCTCCTGATCCATTTCACTCCACCTAGTGGGCCTTTTGTTTGTTTTTCTTCCAAGACATCCCACTTGATTCTGCTTCTGGAGCCTAAGATGGGAAAATGGCAGGTGTCGCAGGTTGCAGGGGAAGGTCGGAGACCAGTTGAGGGCCCCGGAGTCTGTCTGGAAAGAGTTTTCCATCCAGCCCGTCTCGGTTTCCGCATCCGTGTGAGTCCTTTATGACGTCGGGAATGCCAAGGTCTGAGTCCTTTATGATGTTCAGGGTGCCCCGGTCTCACCCCGGGAGCCTCCTCGCTCCGGCCTGCTCCTGGCTACCCGGTGGGCGGCTCTGGCCCCAGCGACCCGCTACTGTTTCTCCATGCGCTGCCACTTCGCAAAGGCACATCTCTAGGTCAGTGGTCAGCTGCAGCCAGGGCGCTGCAACTCGCTCCAGGACTCGGGAATCAGGGCCTTGGTGGGCCTCGCAGAGTGCTGGGTGTGTCGCCTGCGGGCTCCTCTTTTGGAGAAAGGAGGGAGGGAAAGGCCTTGTGAGACGACTCCAGGAGCGACCAGCGACCCCCACAAGGCCCAAGTCCTCCCAGCGCACTCAGAAACAGTCACTTAAATGGCAATAAGGTTGAGAAAGACTCTCCCGTGCCCCCGTGCTGGTGTAGTGGCTGTGATTCAGTCCTTTCACCACCGCATCCCGGGTTCGATTACCGGTCAGGGAGTTGTTTTGCACTGACTGCCCACCCGCAGTAATCTTTCTTTACTCCGCTGTCAGCCGGCCTGCTCCAAGAGCCAGAGGCAGAAGAGTCTCCCTGCAAGGTGCAAACCCTGGCGAAGGAGGGCAAGTCCTGGTGGACGGCCTCTCATGACACACCCTCTTATTTATCTCCGTGTCCACCATTCGCAGAAGGGGCTTTAGAGAGCGACTGAGCGTCTCGCTCAGGTGTACACCACCGTGCAGAGATGGCAGCTCTCCTGGAGGTGTACCCAAGAAGCCCACCATCTTTGCCGCCTCCGCCATCCCAGAGGCGCCGATTGGGCTGAGCTGCAAATAACTAAGAGAGAGAGAGGCCAAGCCAAGTCGTGGCGTTTGTGTGCGGCACACGTCGTCAGCTGACACAGGCGGTCAGCTGAGCCTCCTCACCTCAGTTCGCAGCTAACATGCTTCTTAGGCCTTCGGAAGAGGCGACAGGAGGCGATGGCCGCGAGGTTGGGAGGGGGGTGAGCGGCGGGTGAGGTCCTCCAGGACCGCCCATTTATTGACTGGGTGGTACAGGAGGGCGATGTTCGCTTACCCAACAACGACAGCAGGTGGAGTAGGCACTAATGGAAAACTGTGGCCGGTGCCCTAAGCAGAAGGCAGGTGTAAAAATCACTAGGACATCAAAGGGATAGTACCACAGTCAAATCCCGCAATGTCTGTCTACACTCTACCAAGCAATTGTGCACCCTCCCCCTTTTCCATTCAGTACTCCCAAGAAGGGTTGGGACGAACCCTGTGTCCACTGTAAAGCTCAGGGGAGAGCGGGAGCGAGGGAGGTGAAGTGCACAGACTGGGCAGAGGCGGCGGGCAGAACTGCGGGGGTGAGAGGGCGCGGTGGCTGCGGGGCGGGAGCCTCTGCTGAAAGGAGGCCTGGGTTGTCCTGTGGGTGACTGTTGGTGGAATCTTTGGCAGCGAGTGGTTGGAAGAATGGCGACGGGCGAGCAGAGGGGAAGGTGGTGACCCTGAGCGTCTGGCTAGGGGAGAGGAGGCTGTACTGACACTCGTCTCCTCTTACCTGGCGAGGGACAGACCGTGGTCAAGAAGGGAGCTCTCCCTGGTTGAGGCTAGTCCACCACACTCCAGCTGCTCTGACCCCTGCGATTTCCCTACACGCGGGGCGCTTGTCTGCGGTGGTGTTTGCGCTACCCGGGGGCTGGGTTCACGCAGGCTCCTGACAGTCCTTGGCTCACCGCCCCCGACGCGGATATCGCCGCTAGAGACCCTTCCGCCACCCTCCTAGGGATCTTGAGGGCCTTCCTTGTTGTTCCGACTGAAGCTCACGAACAGACAGATGTGAGCTCTCTGTCTTTTACACGTTGAATTTGGCTATTGGCAAAAAAAGCCCTGACCCAGAGCTTGGGACTCCTCCCGGCCTGCACACGACTTCCCGACTCTTGCCTCCTAGCGCGGCTCTTGGCTAGCGGGCGGGCAGCCTCCACCCAGCGTAGAACCGCGGCAGCCGCAGCCCCCGCAGGCTGGCGGTCAGACACTAGCAGGAAAAGGGACACAAGGCCTGCGTGGTGGGAAAGCATGGGAGACGTCGCTTTCCCACCAGGCGAGAAGGTCTCCCTACAGTCTTTGGACAGAAGATGGAGGGAGGCACCCCTTCCAGGAGCAAGGCGGCTGCTCCTGAGGCCTGGCTCCGCACGGAGGCTCCTGGGTCCCGCGCGCCCTCTCCCTACCGGTTATAGCCAGAGCTGCTTCACACATCTCAGCCGGCTTCCTCTTCCGCCTCTGCCACCTCTTCCTCCCCAGCTCGTGGGAAAGACCTAGCCTCCTCTCCAACACTTGGAGAGGGAGTTGGATGAACGTCTCCTAACCCCAGTAGGACAGAGATCCTGAGGTAGGAGGGGACCCCTTGCCTTGCTGCTTCTTTTGGCACCGCTGACCCGGGCCCAGGACTCCTCGCTCCTCCTGGAAGGCCTGGGTCGTGTAGCCCACAGAGGTGGCCACGTGGGCATCTCCCCCACTGCTCCTCATAGAACCGGAGGCATTATCCTGCCGGGCCCACTCTTACCCATGAAAGAAACTTGGGAAATGCTCCCGGGGAAGCCGGGGATCTGGGCGCTCGACCACTTCGGTGTGAATCTTCCGTCCGCTCATCCTTCCTTCGGAGGGTCTTGGGGAGAGGAGAAATGCTCAAGGACGATGCGCTTTGCAGCGTCTCAAGGGAAACTAGATCTCAACGGATACCAGAAGTCTGGAGCGTCTTCCTGGAGGAAGGCGGCCCGAGGCCTGCGGTTGCAGGGAGGCTTGCGGAGCACAGCGCCCTCTCTCAGCCTGAGCTATCCAGTGGCTTCCAGCATCCCAGCTGGCCGACTCCACTTCCTCTCTCTTCCTCCTACTGCGGGTCTTCTTCTTCTCTTTGGGGACCGAATCTCGCTCTGTCGCCCAGGCTGGAGTGCAGTGGCGCGATCTCGGCTTACTGCAACCTCCGCCTCCCGGGTTGAAGCGATTCTCCTGCCTCAGCCTCCCGAATAGCTGGGACTACAGGCGCGTGCCACCACGCCCGGCTAATTTTTTGTATTTTTAGTTGAGACGGGGTTTCACCCTGTTAGCCAGGATGGTCTCGATCTCCTGGCCTCTTGATCCGCCCGCCTCGGCCTCCCAAAGTGCTGGGATTACAGGCGTGAGCCTCCGCGCCCGGCCTACTGCGGCTCTTCTATCCTGGTGTTCTTTGAATGCCTATCTTCCTTTTGTGCCACAGAACCTCTCACGCCCGCCACAGGTTGCTCATTTCCTTGGTTGTTCTGAACTTTAAATAAGTTAATGTATGTAAGAGTGCCATAAATGCTCAGTAATTGACATCTGTTATTTTCATCAGTAACATCATCTGAATCATCTGTATTGTCTATTTTTAACAACTGCATTTTTCATTGTCCAAATAAAGTCACATACATTTGAACATTATATAATGATTGAATAATAAAATTATTCTGCTATTTTACAATAAAAATTAATGTTGCAGAGAGTATTCTTACACATATATCTTGGCAGAGGTAAGCCAGAGCCTGTTCTTGTATCCATCCTGTGGCCAACCTATCAATGTAGACACCTTTAATGAGATTTTGCCAGCAATGGAAGCCTTCAGGAAAAATGTCCCTAGCTCCTTACTACTTCCTATCAAGGACACGGGACAATTGGCACAACATCCTGGAATAGCTGAAACGGAGATTTTATTCTCCGCTCTCCTCTGTTGTCTTTGTCTTTTTACAACTTCTTAATGACAGTGCTGGTGACAAGAGTGTAACTATGTCACTGTTCTCCTGCTGTCCTTGCCTGTGTGGGTCTTCTCACAAACCCGACTTTCCTCCAGCGGCTTCACTGAAAAACAGAAGGGGGCTGCCTGGGGGAGTGGGGCGGGGAGGGGAGGAGGAAATAACTTGAATAGGGCGGAAGCTTCTCACAGGCCAGGAGAGGGTAAGGAAGGGAGTCAAGGACAGAATTTTCTTCAGCAAACAGTAAAAGGGGAAATCCGGGGACGCTAAGAGTTTTTAAACCTTTGCTCCATCACATAAGTAATCCATGATTTTCCGTTACACAAATCAGGACTCCCACTCCTCCCTCCCTCCCCACCCCCAATCCTGATTCCTGTTTACAAAGAATGCTCAAAAACACAGAATTATGTGTAACAGTTCCCAGTTTACTCAAGAAATTCTCAGATTACAAAGAGACTTTACAAATAAACAAGTGAAGAGAAGAACCTTCGTGGGTCCAACATATAGTATGGCCATGGTTTTATACTCAAAATATGGAAAGACAACCTCAGAATAAGGAAACTTTTGGAATTGAATAAATCAAGTTTATCATTAGAACGCAGAGAAAAAAACACTCTCCAAATGTTTCTGATCTTCTGTTTTAAACTGCTCTTAGACTGGGGAGCGGGAGAGCAAGGGAATCCGCCAAAGATTTTTGGATGAAAATTCACCACCCCTTGTCTACCATAGTCACACCTCAATGCCCCTCAGATTGGAATCCTTTGGAAGGAGAATCCAAGAGGTATAAAGCAAAACCAGAAAAAAAGCAAAACTCGCAAATTCTGTAGTTCGTTTTCTCTCATTAAAAATATAACTATCAGGCTAACACCTGTTGACACACAATACCAGGGACACAGAATCTCTCCCGGAAGACCGACGGGCCCACGGAAGGCGCGGATGCCAAGGTGGTTGAGGAGGTTAAGTAACTCGGTGTTTGGGCATACCTCTGCGTGGGACTGTCTCCGCCGCGCCCCTCATCTCTACGCGGATAGATTCCCACACGCTTCCCTTTTCCTTGGGCCGCTGAAACCTCTCCGACCAACCGCCGAAGAGTCTCCCTGGACCCCGCAGCTTCTCTCCTTCCCGGACCTTCTTGATCCTCGCTCCATAGTGAGACGTGGCCTAACGTAGCGGAAAGCCCAGCACGCGAATCCCTCTGATGGGCTTTGGGTTACCCAGGGGTTTGCCGGGAGACTAGATGAAAGTAGCAAAGGTTTTAATTCCCAGTATTTAAAACTGCAGCAACCCACCGGAAACACTCCCCACTTTCAAGGACAGGCTTCGAGCACAGGAACGTAAATTCCGGGATTATTAGTTCGAGCACAGAGAATGCTCCAGAGGTGGCACGCCCCTCAGGTTAGCTTCTAGCTGCCACGACCAAGGTCCATAAATGCAGTACAGCCTGTATAATATAATAACTTCGTTGGGTAGAAACGTAGTAGCCCTTCCTGCCGGAAGGGTAAGAAGTCCTGCATGGCCGGGAGTCGTACCGGAGTCGCCGGCGTGGGAGACAAAAACCTCTACCGCTGAACTACCAATCCCCTACCGGGAGCAGTTTCACCAGATCTAATTTGAAGTCTCTGGACGGCCTTTGAAGCGGTGGTTCTAAAAGAGGTTTGCATAGGAAATTCATCCAGCATTTGTCTCTGGTCCCAGATCTGGCGAAAACTTCTGGAAATTTCATTTCCTCACTGATGAGGTAATCTTTTTGCCAACCCTTGCCTTGGTACTTTCCAAACCCTTTCCTCCCAACCCTGAGGCAAACAGGCTTTCGAAGACCCAGGAGCTAGAGATTTAGGGATGTGTCCAGGTTACTCCGGAAGATCTGTGGGATGACCGAACTTCTCTTCATCTACATCTCTTTTGAGTCATTTGAAAACGCCAAGTATCTTGCTTCTAAACCCATATATTTTAAGAAACCTACAGAAGTGGGAGTGAGTGAAAGTTCACTCCAATATTTCTTTTCTTATCCACACTCTCTTTGGCCACTCCAGGAGGCTATGTCGAGTGGCACAGTCATCCCAGGGACCCAGAGCTTTTCTCCTCAGATGCGTCTTTGGAGTCTCTAGTAAAGTCCAAGAATCAAAACGACTGTCATCCAACTTTTGTGTCTTACAGAGATCTACACAAGAGAGAAAGTGAAAATTTCACTACAGAATTTCTTCTCTTGGCAAACTGTGGAAGGTTTACGGCAAGCCTTTGCTTCAAGTGCCTGTTGCTTTGTTAGCTCTGTTTTCCAAAAATATCTGTGTCAGCCTATTATAGAACTTTCCCACCTCCATCCTCCCTGCCCCCTCATGCCTGCCCATAGCACTAGAGATTATCTTTAAGGAAAAAAAAAAAAAAAACTATGAGAGGTTATACCAAACGGAGCATTGATGGTTCAGTAATAGAATTGTCAACTCCCACGCTGGAGACCAGGGTTCAACTCATAGGGTGAATGCATCTCATGTCTGAATCTCCTCTTGCTCCCTTCTTTCTTTCCTCCCTCCCAAGCTTACATACCTTTGTTACCGGCTGGTGTTGTGAAGTCCCAGGTTCTTGGTGTCTTTAACAAAGAATTGGAAGTGACACACACACATGTAGCAAAGCAGCAAGAGACTTATTAAGCACAGTAACACTCTCAGAGAGGGGAGAACGGGCTGACTTCTGCAAAATGAGATCAGCGTCAGTTTGGTGAACTTTGGGCTTTGGGTCTTTTTACATGTTTTTTTTTTTTTCTTTTTTCTCCTCTTCCTGGGGCTGCCTAATCTCTACCCAGCATGTGCCTTCTGATTGATAGGTGGGTTGCTTAGTTACTTGGCCCCTGTGTGCTTCCGCATCACCTCCATCCCATAATTTTAAGTACACCCATGATATGCAGTCCATATGCATTAGCTTTAATGAGCTGATTATCATACGGGGTCATTTTAAGGCTACTTTTTCTCTGTCATATGCATGCCTTTTACTGGTTTGTTCTGGATCCTGCCAGCCATAAACTTTTACTCACTACTCCATCTCACTTTTGTTTTCGCTGCTCAACTTCTGCTTATCTTGCTTCTTGCTCACCCACCTCTTTATCCTGCTTCCGCTCCTACTCAGTTCACCCTTTATCCAACTTCCACTTCCCTCTGCTGTTCTTCTGCCTCACCTTGACTCCTCGTTGCTTGGCCTGTTGCACACCAAATTTACTGCAAATAAAACTCTCTCTGATGATCTTCTACTCCACCTGTGGAGTTCCACAGTATGAGCAGCAGAGTAGCAGGAGCTGGAGCAGAGGTGGTGTTGGGTGAAACTCACACAGTGAAATTTCACTTATGCAAATGCTCAAGCACTTGTGAGAGGTTAGAATTAGCTCTTTCTTTGGAATGAACTATTTCAGTGAGATGTTAAGCTTACACTTAAAGTGTAAGCTCTTTCACCAAATTAATTGATGTGCTCAGGGTGAGTGAAATAAAGGGGTAAACCAGGATTAGTGCTGCAGGGTCAGAGCTAATGACACAAGCTTCTCTCCTCAGGTCTATTCATTTGAGATACATCTCAGGCACTTAAGCACAGCAATGCTACGTTGGTGCCAATTATATACATACACACATATAAATATATAAAAAGCATATAATATAAACATTACATATGTAAATATAAATTGTACCAATAAAATCAACACCAAGCTTGTTTTTAATCATTCACTCAAAATGTATTGAACAGCTACTGTGCAGTGTTGGGACTCCTTAGAAACTTAAGACAAAAATATTGGGCGTGATAGTGTGTGCCTGTAGTCCCAGCTACTCAAGACGCCTAGGCAGGAGGATGGCTTGAATTCAACAGTCCAAGTGCAGCCTGGGCAACATAGTGAGACTCAGTCTTTTTTTTTTTTTTTTTTTTTTTTTCTGAAATGGAGTCTTACTCTGTGGCCCAGGCTGGAGTTCAGTGGCACAAGCTTGCCTCACTGCAACCTCCACCTCCCGGGTTCAAGTGATTCTCCTGCCTCAGCCTCCCAAGTAACTGGGATTACAGGCATGCGCCACCACACTCAGCTAATTTTGCATTTTTAGTAGAGATGGTGTTTCACCATGTTGGCCAGGCTGGTCTCGAACTCCTAACCTCAAGTGATCCACCCACCTTGGCCTCCCAAAGTGCTGGGATTACAGGCGTGAGCCACCGTGCCCAGCCAAGACCCAGTCTTTAAAATAATAACATAAAATAAACCCATAAACCTCAAACAAAAAGCAAACTATGATTTCAATCATTGTGAAGCTCTTGATCTAGTAGATGAGTTATATATATATATACCAAAAATATTACAATTTCAGAGAAGTGCTATAGGGTCTAATATTTAATAACTTATGGCATTTGACTGACGGTAGTCAAAGCTCTTCCCCCATTTTCCAGGGGGTATAAATTAAGGAAAGTTATTTAGTATTTACTAAATTTGGGCTTCTTCATATGCAAGGGGGTTATGATAATAATACCTACCTCGTGAAGACAGTATGAGGACTAAACAAAATTGTGTATGTATAGCTTTGGCCAATACCCATAGACACTGAGCGCTCAACTAGGTGTTAGCTACTAGATTTTAAATTTTAAATTATTTTTATAGTTTTTAAGATAAAATTTACATTCATTGAAATGTTAACTGAATTTTTTGTAATTCCTACCCCTATCAAGACAGACCATTTTTAGCACCCAGAAATTTCTCTTGTGTGCCTTCCCAGTCAATATCCTGTTAGAAGGAACTGCTGTTATGATTTTTTCACCACAGATTAATTTTGCCTTTTCTGGAATTTCAAATAAATGGGATGGTATGCACTCTTTTGTGTCATTTATTTATCTTCACATACTTTAAAATAAAAAGGTCCAATTGGGGATGTAGTAAAAACCTCTTTCCCACCAGTAGCCACCAGTCAAGAGTCTTTCTTTCTCTCTCTCTCTTTTTTTTTTTTTTTTGACAGGATCTTGCTCTGTCATCCAGGCTGAAGTGCAGTGGCATGATCATGGCTCACTGCAGCCTCTCAACCTTCTGGGCTCAAGCAATCCTCCCACCTCAGCCTCCCACACAGCTGGGACTACAGGTGTTTGGGACTACCAGCTAATTTTGCTTGTATTTTGTGTAGAGACAGGGTCTCACCAAGTTGCCCAGGCTAGTCTCAAACTCCTGAGCTCAAATGATCTGTCAGCCTTGGCCTCCCAAAGTGCTTGGATTACAGGCATGAGCCACTGTGCCTGGCTCGCTCTTCCTCTCTTGAAGCAACCAATGTTATTCGTTTTATGTGGACCATCCCAGGGCTATCATTATTAATTCAGGTGTTTATACAAGGCTCTCTGAGAACTCAGTTTTAAAGATTACCCAAAGAGTCCCTGCAACAATCCAGCCTAAAACGATATAAAATCAGTTTTAATATAACTGAAGTTTTTAGATTCTGCCTCCAAATATCAGATTGTGACATTTTACCTTTCTCTGACTTTATGCCAAATTTACTTCAACTTCTAGCATCTATCGTTCTCATTTAGGAACAAATATGTATTTCACAAATGTGGAAATACAACCATGAGCCAAACAAAACCAAATCCTGGACTTACGGAGCTGATGGTAGATTCCCCAACATAACCACTTGATTACAGTTTTATGCAATGTGATGGGAGTAAGGGACCACCGTAGGGAGGTCAGAAGTTGCCTCTCAGAGGTGGAGACTACAGCTGTCGTCAGAAGGATGAGGGTTGGAAGAATCTTCAGGCACAGAGCAAAGCATGAGCAAAAGCTCTGTGGAGTCCAGGAAGCTGAGTAAATAGGGAATAAAAGAGGCCAGTTTGGCTGAAGCAGAGAGAGCAGGATGGAATTGGTCTGACCTGTAAGAAGACATGGAGAGGTGGGCAAAGCGCCTGGCCATTCAGGGCTTGGTTAGTTAGGAGGTTTTGTCTAAGAGAACGGGAAGGTGTTTAAGTGGTTTGGGCTGGGAAGTGACAGGGTCACATTACATTTTGAAAAAGCCACTCTGCCTGTTGTGTTGAGATTAGAGAGGCGATAAAGGGGATATGGGTAAACCACAAGGAGACTAGGTCAGTAGTCCCTCCACCCCCACTCCCCAGGTGAAGGTAGCCTAGACTAGGGTGGTGATGGAGGAGGTAGAAGAGGACAGATTCAAGGAAAATTTGGAAGGTAAAAACCAGTAGGATTTGCTGATGGACGGAATATAGGAGGGGAAAGGTAGATTATCAGGGATGTATCTTAGTTTTCTTATAGAAGATGTATTTAGTTGCAATGCAATTGTTAATTGAAATTGACTTTAAATAATGGCACGACTTAAAATTATGCAAACATTTGCCTTAGATAAAATTTCAAGTTTTCAAAGTTTTTAGCTGGGTAGATGGCATGGCTTTACTTCATATTTCTTGGTATTTCCTAATCTTGTTAAAAAAAAAGTTTTTCTTTTTCTCAAAGGCTTATTTCAGTGGAAGCCCATCTGCGAAATCTGTTATAAATTTAAATTAGAAAATAAATACAAGTGCCATTGACACGTTGGTTATTGTTTTTGCGAGTGACCTAAGGCCACCTCTCGCGGGAGCTGGGGGCTGCCTTCCGACTCCTGTGCGTCTGCGCCGCGGGCCGAGCCCGGAAGTCAGACTATGGGGCGGTGCGGCAGCGCGAAGCCTGCAGTCCTAAACGCGGGGTAGCTCCGGGCTTCCGAGGGGGTGTGTCTCCCGCCTCTTTAACCTGGCAGGGGCGGTTCAAGTGGCCGGGGAAATCAGCGAATTGCAGGGTCAAGGGCTGGTGCTTTGAAAGAGAGGCGGAGGGGAGAGAGGGATTTTCCCGTCCCCGCTGCGCTCTGTCCTCCATTACTCCTTTTCTCGGCCCGCGGCCCGAACCCGCTGTGCGGTAGAGGCAGCCGGGTCCCTTTAAGGCCCAGCTGCGCCTGTGCCTTGGGCTCTCCTGACACGGCCCATCCGGACCCTGAGGAGCCAGCGGGCCGCAAGCAAGTTGCTGGGCGGCGGTGGAGATAGCGGCGGTGCTGGGAGGGGTAGGTGAGGGTCGCGAGGCTGCCTGAGCTTCTGAGTGAGCCTGGTGATTTTGGGAACGCGGGACGGGCGACCTGCGGCGCCAGGAGCGGGGCCGAGGTACGGCGGCACGGCTGCAGCCTGGATGGGAAGTTCAAGTTTACTGCGAAGTCCACCCAGCGTTCCGGAGGTGAGGGCGCCGCGCCAGGCCGGGCGGGAGGTGAGTCTGGGACCTGCGGGCTCACAGCTGGGCTGAGGCGCGGCGGGCTGGGCCGCCGCAAGTTTTGTTAGGCGAGCGGGGCGGTTGCGCCGGGCACTGCCGGGCTCCGCAGGGCTCCGCCGGGGCCTAAGTTCCCTGCGCTTGATTCCTCGCCTGCCGCTGCAGCCCGCAGCCCTCCTCTCGTGGGCGCTGGGGAAGAAACTCCCTGGCAGGTGTTCTGTGGCATCCCAGGGGGTGGAGGGACGGAGCAGCTTCGGGGGCACGTCTTCGGAAGTCCTGTGGAGCACACTGACTTCGCACCCCACCCTCGAGGCCGTTCTTTCTGGGAACTTGAGGGGCAAGAGCGCTCGCGCCCCTGACTTGCAAAGTTGGGGTCTTTATTGGCCTCCGGGATTCTGCTCCTGGCGGTGTCTCCAGGCTGGTGATGGGCAAGCCAGGTGTGCCAGGTCCAGGATGCATGTGAGGAGCGTTTGTAGCGATCACTGAATCATCTCATGACTAGCGGGGCAAGCCTCCAATTAACCACAGGATTTCTGGTAGGTTGGACTGTGGTGTTGGTGTTTGCAGTCCAAAGAGTTGCTGTGATTTTTCTGTGCCTGTCTGTCTTTCTTTGAGGCTTCTTAGATCATCTCATTTGGCGTCCTTTCACCCAAGAGTTAACCAAGCGAGGAATGGTTTCCTCGCTTTCCTCCTACCTTTTGCTGGTGGAGCTGCTTTCGAAAAGAAGCACTTTAAGAGGCCGACGCGGGCGGATCATGAGGTCAGGAGATTGAGACCATCCTGGCTAACACAGTGAAACCCCGTCTCTACTGAAAATACAAAAAATTAGCCGGGCATGGTGGCAGGTGCCTGTAGTCCCAGCTACTCGGGAGGCTGAGGCAGGAGACTCGCTTGAACCTGGGAGGCGGAGGTTGCAGTGAGCGGAGATATCTTGTCACTGCACTCCAGCCTGGGTGACAGAGCGAGACTCCCTCTAAAAAAAAAAAAAAAAGCCTTTTCTTGCAGTGGTATCTTTTCTTTGAGTTACAGTGTTGTTCATCCTTTCTTTGCCGAAAGAATGAATACCAGTGCTTCACGAAGTTAAGGAAAACTGATGTGCTGGTGGTTTTTAATCTTTGTTCTGAGCTGTTATGCATTAATAGCTTTCTTTTTGTTTTTAAATTTAATTAGTAAAATTTCACCAGTGAACCAAAAGCTCTTTTTTTTTTCTATTCTAAAATGCTAGCTTTAAGATTTCTGAGAACTTTGTGTCAAAGAAATCTTCGAAAAGTTACTGAAGTATACAGAAGAAGTTCACAATTTTAAACGTGCAGGTGATCTGGGCGTGGTAGATCACACCTGTAATTCCAGCATTTCGGGAGGCCAAGGTGGGCGGATCACTTGAGCCCAGGAGTTCCAGACCAGCCTGGGCAACGTGGCAAAATGCCATCTCTACTAAAAATACAAAAATTAGCTGTGTGTGGTCAACAGAGCCTGGGAGGTTGAGATTGCAGTGAGCAGTGATCGTGCCAGTGCACTCTGGCCTGGATGGCAGAGTGCAACCCTGCCTCAAAAAAAAAAAAAAAAGTACAGGTCATGTGTTTTTACTAAATGAACCACCACAGATTAAGAAATAGAACATTACTATATTGGGGTATATATGTAGAAGTGGCATTGTTGGTTTTAGAGCTATATGAATGATAAAACTTTAGTATTACATATGGCTGAACATTTTCCCAAAGTGTTTTATCAGTTAGCAGGGAATATTCCAGTTACCCCACATCCTTGCTGATGCTTGTCAGTTAAAAATTATTTTGTTATTCTCGTAGAGGTGCAGTAATATATCAATGCGGTTTCAACTTCCATTTTCCTGGTATTGAGATTGAGTATCTTTTATTGCCATTTATATGTCCTCTTTTATGAAGTGCCTGTTAAATCTTTTTTTTTTTTTTAATTTTAAATCTTTAATTTCCGTTTTCACGTATTTTCTTCTTGCTTCCAAAAGGAAAGGAGTGCGTAGCTCTGTTGCCTGTACATCGTCCACAGCCCCTGGGTCGGGGCGGGGTCCCCTGGGCCGCCCGGGGGGGTCCACATGCAGCCCCTGGGTGGGGGCCGGCGCGGGGTGAGGTCCGGGGGCCGCCTTATTGCTGAGGTCCGGCTGGTTGGGGCCGCCGCTAGGCGCGCTGGCTGGGCAGCTCCTGGGAGATGAAGCGACGCAGGCGCTCCAGGTACTGGCTGTAGAGCTCGATGTCGTTGTGCCCGGCGCCCTCCACCCACAGCGGCTCCACCGCCTTGGGGCAGCGCTCGTAGAGCGCCAGCCCGTGCGAGAAGTCGATCACCTCGTCCTCCCTGCCGTGGATGATGAGCACGGGAGACGTGATCTTGGACACCTTCTCGATGTTAGGGAAGGCGTCGAAGCAGTAGGTCTTCTTGGTGTCGCGGAAGGCGACGCGCATGCCCGAGGTGAGCGGCGAGTGCAGCACCACCGCGGCACACTCGTAGCGCGAGGCCAGGTCCATGGTGGGCACCGTGCCGATGCTCTGCCCGTACAGGATGATGCTGTCCGGGCTGATGCCGTACCTGGCGGCGCCGGAGCAGGGTCAGCCGCGGCCTCCAACGCGCGCGCACCCTTCCCACCAGCGGGCGTCCCCGGGCCCAGCTCCGGATGCGACCCTCCAGTCTCCCCACTCAGCCAAGTCAGTGGGTCAGGCTCAGGCTCCACACCAGTCCCGAGGGCCACCCCCAGCCCCCAACACCGTGGCGGTGGGCGAAGCCAGCGGCCCCGCCCCGTTCCCTGCGCTGCCGTTCACTGGCGTTTCCTAGCTAGGATCTGCAGGGATCCTGCCTACGGAGTGCCCCTGGGGCGGGGGTAAGGGAGGCCCTGGCGCCTCTCCTCCTCCTGGTCACCCCTAGGTGCACACTGGGAACTGTGTGGCCCCCACATCCTGAATGCTTCATACCTTCCTGCCCGGGTTAGAAAGCCGTTCCTGGTGCACTGGCCAGGACAGCGGACACTCTTCCTCCCTGCAGCCCTTGCCCACCCCCTTGGCCATGAGGAATTCAGGCAGCTGTGTCCCCAAATGTCTCCACCCAATTTTGGACTCTCGGAGTCCCCACGCCCAGTGAGATGCCAGTGCAACCCAGGTCAGCATCGAGGGTGGTGGCTGCGGAGGTGGCACCCCCTCCCACCAGCACCTTCCCTTGGGAGTGGACAAGTCCTCGGCCACCTCAGCACCACCAGCTCCCACCCAGGGGCACCCTCACCCCCAGGTCATTGGTGTGCGGCCCCTGACCCAGCTGATCCAGCACCAGTTACAAGGCCTCCTCGTGCCCAGTCCCAAGCACGCGGGACCCACCTGCCACCCTGCCCATGCCGGGACCCCACAACTCTCCTCCCACACGCTCTAGGCTCTGATCCCAGGCAGACGCCCTCTTGCAAGGCAGGAGCATGGGCAGGTGTGCGTCCCCTCTGCCTGGCATTCGGACTCCACCAGCAGGGCTGTCCCCGTCCCTGGCCTGGAATCCCAGCCTCCTGGCAGCACTCCACAGCTCGCCACTCACCCATGCCCCAAAGGATGCTGCCTGGCTGGTGCCTGTGGCCCCAGCTCTGCCTCGGCCTCCCCGGCCTGCTCCCTGGCAGCCATGGTCAGTAGTGTGCTGAGCCAGCCCAGCCCTGCCACCTGCTACAGGCAGGAGCCCCCAGCTGCCACCTGGATGTCACCACTCAAACGAACGGGACACATCCCCAGTGGAGGCCCTGGGCACGCTCTGGCCTCCCCCTCATGGCTCTGGGCCTAGGTTCCTGCAGGACAAAGGGGCAGCAGGACAGATGGCCGAGCAGACAGAGCTCAGAGCTGGCCATGGCAGGTGTGACTCTGCCAGTGGCCCAGGCAGTAGAGACAGGAGGGGCCGAGGAAGCCGCATGAAGTGGTGATTGGTGTCAGCGTCCCACAACTGCCGGGAGGCCCCTGGAGCCAGGGTGGTGCCAGGGGACCAGCTCCCAGGCCCACAGCAGGGACTGCCTGCATATCACCAAGGCAACGACGACCCCACCTCCCTAGGGCCTCTGACTTCTCAGAGCTGTGCCTGGTCCCTGCGGGAGCAGGTCAGACCAGTGGGCTGGGCAGGGCCAGGACGAGACAGGCCCAGTGGATGGCGAGCAGGAAAAGCCACCAGAGGCCCAGCCGGGTCTCCTCGTCCAAAGCAGCACTGGCCCGGGCGCTGCTCAAACACCGGTGAAGGGCCCAGGCAAGCACAGGGCTGGGGACGTGGATGACTAGGAGGGCTGGATCTGGAATCGAGGCTGGCCCAGACCTCGGATGTGTGCTGCGGGTCTGCACCTTACCCTGTAGGCCCTGCCCCAGGATGGCCAAGCTCCGCAGCCACAGGGCCTCATGGGCCAGTCCTCCGGACCTGGATGCAGCAGCCTCGCCTCACTTGGCCCCAAGTGCTGCCTCAGCCGATGGGCTCCCAGCCACACGTGCACAGACCCCCAGACCACCACCCACTCCCTCCCGCCAGGTGGCATCCACACCCCTGTGACAAGCTCAGCCCCTTCCCATCCTCAGGCCAGGGGTTCCCAGGGAGCCTGGCTCCACAGGCCAGGGTGTGGGAGGACCGCCTGGCCACACCTCAGCCATGTGGAGGCGGCACCTGCACACCCAAGCTCGCCTGTCCGGCTCTCTGGCCCTGTGCATCCACTGTGGCTCCCCTCCTGCAGGGCCGCCCACCTTCCTCCCAGGGAAGCCCGCCCCCCGGCCCCCCGCCTGGTCCCCTCTTGGGTGTGCCCAGGCTGAGCTGCCCCCAGGGTCGCCCTCACCTGGTGCGCAGGGCCTGCCAGGTGGCGTCGATGTCGGCATAGAGGTTCCTCTCGGAAGGCCTGCCCGAGCTGGCACCGTAGCCGGAGGAGTCGTAGGTGAAGATGTTGCAGTGGAGGCGGGAGCCCAGGCCAATGTAGAAGCTGCTCATCTGGCCCAGGTCCACGGCATTGCCGTGCGAGAAGAGGACCGTGTACCTGGCACCAGGCACGCAGCGAACATACATGCAGGAGACACGGTTGCCGCGGGCGCTCTTGGTGGGGAAGACCTCGATGGTGTCCAGCTCGCGCTGGCTGTACTGGAAGTCGGCACGCTCCGTCAGGTGCAGCTTCCAGCGCCCGGGTGCGCCCGAGGAGGCTCTCAGGGTCCCCAAGGGGGCGGCCCCGGCCCCACCAGGCCCCAGCTCGGGCTCAGGCACCAGGGAGTAGGTGGCCTCCGGCGGCAGGAAGGCGAGCTTGGCAGCGATGCGGCCGGGGCAGGGAGGGCAGCAGAAGAGGCAGCAGAGCTCACTCAGCGACAGCCCGTTCATGGCGGGCGCCGCCCGGGCCGGGCCTCCACCGGGGCCCCCGCCAACAACGCCGCCCGGCCTGGCCCGGCAGGGGAGGGGTGGGGTGCTCCGAGTCGCGGGCAGGGGGGAGAGCGCCCCCCCAGCTACCGCCCCAGACAGCAGCCCCGTTAGGAGGCCAGGGCCCAGCCCCATCGCGGTCCAAGCCGAGCCCCAGGGAGCCTCGCAACCACAGGTCTCCATGTCGTGCCGTGGGAAGCCCACCCCGGCCCGCGCCCCCGGGCCCCAGGGCCGCGCTCCATGGCTCCCGGCCGCCCGCCCGTGCGTCCGTCGGTCCCTCCGCACCCCTGCCCCTAAATCTTTTTATCCAGTTTTCATTGATATGCTTTTCTGTTGATTTGTAATACTTTATTCTGGATATGCATCCTTTCTAGGATATATATGGATTGCATTTCTCTTTTTTCAATCTGCAGCTTGTGTTTTCACTCTTTTAATGACGTTTTTTCATGAATGGAGATTCTCTAATTTTTTTTCTTTTTGAGACAAGATCTCACTCTGTTGCCCAGGCTGGAGTGCAGTGGTACAATCACAGCTTAGTGCAACCTCGACCTCCCAAGGCTCAGGTGATGCTCCTGCCTCAGTCCCCAAGTAGCTGGGACCTACAGGAGACCACTACCATGCTCAGCTGTTTTTTGTATTTTTACTAGACATGGGGTTTTGCCATGTTGCATAGCCCGATACGGAATTCCTGGGCTCAAGTGACACCTGCCTCGGCCTCCCAAAGTGTTGGGATTATAGGCATGAGCTACCGCACCCGGCCAGAGTATCTTAATTTTAATGAAATATACTTTATCAATCTTTTCCTTTATGGTTACTGCTTATTGTGTCCTGTTTAAGAAATCAATGCCTGGCCAGGTGCGGTGGCTCATGCCTGTAATCCCAGCACTGTGGGAGGCCTAGGCAGGTGGATCACGAGGTCAGGAGTATGAAACCAGCCTGGCCAACATGGTGAAACCCCGTCTCTACTAAAAATACAAAAATTAGCTGGATGTGGTGGCGGGCACCTGTAATCCCAGCTACTCAGGAGGCTGAGGCAGGAGAATTGCTTGAACCCAGGAGGCGGAGGTTGCAGTGAGCCGAGATTACACTACTGTACTCCAGCCTGGTTGACAGAGCAAGACTCTGTCTTGTACCAAAAAAAAAAAAAAAAAAAAAAAGAAAGAAAAAAGAAATCAATGCCTAGCCTAAGAATATGAACACACTTTTCTATATTAACCTTATAGCAATTTTATTTTAGTTTTTGCATTTTTTTTTTTCAGACAGGGTCTTACTCTGTTGCCCAGGCTGAAGTGTGTTGGCATAATCTCAGCTCACTGCCACCTCCACCTCCTGGCTCAAGCAATCCTCCTGCCTCAGCCTCCTGAGTAGCTGCGACTATAGGCGTGTGCCACCATGCCTGGCTAATTTTTGTATTTTCTGTAGAGATGGGGATTCAACATGTTTCCCAGGTTGGTCTCAAACCCTTGGGCTCAAGTAGTCTGCTTGCTTCAGCCTCCCAAAGTGCTGGGATTACGGCATGCACCACCATGCCCAGCTAATTTTTTATTTTTTGTAGACAGGGTCTTCCTGTGGTGCCCAGACTAGTTTCAAACACTTGGGCTCAGTTGATTGTCACACCTTGGCATCCCAAAGTGTTGGGATTACAGGTGTGAGCCATCACATCTGGCCATTTTAGTTTTAATAATTTTTATATTTTTCTAATTTAAAACAGGTACTAAAATCTCTTACAGCTATTATTTGTAAATATAGTATTCATTATTGTTATTATTTTTTTTTGTATGTGTTCAATCTCATTTTCAATATAAGCTCCTGGAAATTAGAGATTTTGTTTCTTTTATTCACCACTGTATTCTCAGTACTTGACCTCGCCTGGCATGAAACAGATATTGAATAAATATTTGTTAAATGAATGAATGAATGAACATACTAATACCATATTCAGCAATCTCCAAGTGTCACGGTTTTCACCATCTAACAAATAAAATAGCTTGTATAGAGCAGAATCATAGTCAAGCTGCCATAAAAGGAAATGCCAATGAAAAATAAACCTTTGTATGTGTAGCTGCTAAGATTTTGGGGCTTTTGTTACTGCAGCATAACCTAGTGAAAGCTCAGTGAGACAGCCTGTAGAATATACGGGTACAGATAGACCAGATAGACCAGTAGATGAGATTCCAAAGAAGCATTAACTACGCCCACACACTCTTAATTCCCTAACAGAAAGAATCGAATTCTTGTTCACTAAGATCTACCTCAAATATTCCTTACTTTGTGAAAACTTCCCTGGCTACTCAAATATTTAGTCAGAACTCTATTTTTTTCCCCCCAGGCTGGAGTGCAGTGGTGCCATCATAGCTCACTAACCTCTAACTCAAGGCTCAAGGAATCCTCCTGCCTCAGCCTCCCGAGTAGCTGAGAGTGCAAGTGTGCGCCACCATGCTCGGCTAATTTCTCATTTTTTATTTTCAGAGATGGGGTCTTACTATGTTGCACAGGCTGGTGAGGACTGTTGATTACATATGACAGAAACCCAACCAACTCTAGTTCCCCACCACCTTTCAATCTGCTCCTGCCTGGGTCTTCCCAGTCTCGGTAAATGGCAGCTTCACCCTTCAAGTTGCCCAAGCCCCAAATCTCAATGTTAACCTTGATTTCTCTCTTTTATCTCATAGGCATTCTGAAGGCAAATCCTGTTTAGACCCAGGCAAAGGTTCCTGGTGACCCAGGCTCTCATGAGCAGATTGTCCCTTATCATTCTCCTGAGGATGTCTGGAGCTTCAGTGCTGTGTGCTCTTGGCCTCCACACTGGGGGTGCCACCAACTCCCACTGTCCAGGGCTTCTGGTGGACTCTCCGAGGCACCGATGTAGAAACTTACCCATTCAGTGCACCAAGAGCAGCTTCACATGGTGTGGGCCGACATGAAGAGCTGCCAGATCCAACAGGTAAAAATCCTGAGGCATTGCCAGCTCGATGGGGTCAGAGAGTCCTCTTTCTATTATGACTCAGATGTGAAGGGAAGATGCCAAGGGCCCTAAACATCACAGGGCCTTGCCTGGCATCAAACAGATATTAAATAAATATATGTTAAATGAATGAACAAATATTCACAGCGTGTGCCGCCCTGGACTTGCAGTGCCATGGTCGGGTGAAAGTGATTTTACTTCAGGAGAGGACATGTTCTCTTCAGGACTTTTCCTTGGTAGCTAGATCTGCATCCCTCTCCTCTCTCTTCCCCTCTCACCCCCCATTCTCTGCCCCCATTTCTCTCTCTGTTTCCACCCTGCTGTCCTCTTTCACCTGCTTTCTCCTCTTCAGCTTTCATGGCTCACCCCCTCCCTGTCCACCCGCATCCCCCAGGCTAAGGCTCTGCACTGTCCTGGGTGGGGAGATGTGTGTGGTTTTAGGCAGTGCCCTCTAGATGTGTCCAGGATGGGGAAACATGGCTCAGTTGCCAGTATAATGGGTTAAAAGAGAGACCACTTTTGAAGGCCGATCCCATCTCCCATTCCAGAATCCTGTAGGACTTAGAATTTATGGGCCACAGTGGAATTCTTGGTTCCCCAGGACCTTGTGGTGGACGCCTTCTTTCACTGACCATTCATGGGGTGACTATTAGGTACCATGCCCTGCTCTGGGCTAGAGGCCCCATAATGAGTAAATCTCAGGTCACTACCCCACGGAACCCACCACTGCAGGCATTGAGAGGGGGAGAAAGAAAGGGGCATGGCCTGTTTGTATCCTTCTCACGTGGCTGCCCACCAGGTCCTGGGGGAGTGGGAGCCAGTGCAAGGAGGGAAGTCCAGTGAGAATGACAAATGGACGATGTCAGACCCAGGGGCTGAGGCCCCCACCTGCAGCCGGGCAGCTTCTGGAGTGGACAAGGAGCAGCAGGGAAGGTTGCGGCCTGGTGTTCTGGGATCCACTGTCTCATCTCATTCTTTGGGGCACCAGAACTTATCCAAAGACAAGACTCAGTGTCTCTGGCAACAGCGGGCCAGAGGAATAATGTGTTTCAGAGGAGGAAGAAGGGGTTGTACCCCATGGAAACAGTATATAGTTTTACAGTAGTGCGTCTCTCTCTAATAACTAGTTAGCATGTTCCTGTTAATGGAAATACTGGTGGTGTAAGTTCCCCTGGATGTTCTCATCTTCATGTAAATTTGTTCATTTCCTTCCTTCCTTTCTTCCCTACTTCTCTCCCTTCCCTACTTCCCTCCCACTCTCTTTCTCTCTCTCTTTATTCTTTCCCTCCCTCCTTCCCTTCTGCCTTCCCTCCCTTCCTTTCTTCCTCCCTTCCTCCCTCCCTCCCTGCCTTCCTTCCTCCCTCCCTTCCTTCCTTCCTCCCTCCCTCCTTCCCTCCCTCCCTCCATTCTTTCCTTTCTTCTTTTTCTTTCTCTCTCTCTCATGCTCTCTCTTTTTCTTTCCTTTTTGTTCTACTATTTTAAATAGACCACACTGCACTGAAATCTACATTGCTTATCAAAATCTCTGGAGCTGCTTCTGTCTTGTGGGCAGGGAGCTCATCCTGTAGCCCTTAGGTCCTCCCAGCCTCCTCCTCCTCTGATTTGTGGGTGCCACTGGGGCAGCTGCTGAGTCTCAGTGGTTCCTAGTCATCACCAAGTTCTGCCCACCTAGATGGTTTGCACCTGTCCTTACCAGAACCCTGAACTGTCTAGATGACTGAGGCTGCTTCTGCCTAACTGATCTGCTAGCTGTGTTCCGGGGGCACCCCAGGGTTAGAGGTAAATGGCATAGGCATTGAAATCTCCAACTGCTCTGACTCCAGGTTGGTGCACTTCAATGCCAAGTACTAACCAAACAATAACAGGATGCCACCAAAACCTTGGTATGGGGCTGCTGCATCCTAATTAAAAAAAAGTAATAGATGTTATTTTTTAGAACAGTTCTAGGTTTACAGAAAAATGGAGTAGATAGTACAGAGAGTTCTCCTAGGCTCCCCTGTCCTCCAGCACACAATTTCCCCTATTAGTATGTTGTATTAGTGTGGTCCATTCGTTACAATTGATGAACCACTGTTGATACATCATTATCAACTAAAGTCCATAGTTTACATTAGAGTTCATTCTTTGAGTTTCACAGATTATGGGTTTTGGCAATTACGTAATGTCCTAAATCCTCAATACAGCATCATGCAAAATAGTTTCACTGCTGAAAATTCCCTGTGCTTCACCATTTCATGCCTCCTCCTCTCCTCCACCCCTGACAACCACTCATCGTTTTACTACTTCTATCTTTTTGACTTTCCAAGAATGTCCTAGAGTTGGAATTACAGTATGTAGGTTTCCAGACTGGCTTCTTTCTAGCATTATGTAGTTTAAGTTCCTCCACGCCTTTTCATGACTTGATAGCTTGTTTTGTAAAATCCCTGAATCAGATTTCATTGTATGGCTACAACACAGTTTGTTTATTCATTCACTTGGTGAAAGACGTCTTGGGTACTTCCAAGTTTTGACAATTATGATAAAATTGCTGTAAGTACTTACGTGCAGGATTTTGAATGAACTTAAGTTTTCCAAAGTGACTACACTTTTGATTTCCACTAGCTATGGAGAGTTCTGGTTGTTCCTGATCTTTGACAGCATTTGGTGTGTTCACCGTTTTGTGTTTTAGCCATTCTGATAGGTTTATGGTGATATCTCGTTGTTTTAATGTGCAATTCCCTCACAAATGATTTTGAGCATCTTTCTCATATGCTTATTTGCCATCTGTATATCTTATTAATGAGGTGTTCAGATCTTTCACCTTTTTTTTTTTTGCTTTGTGTTGTTTAGTTCTCAGAATTCTTCATATATTTTGGACAGCAGTTTTTCCATCAGATTATTTTGTAAGTATTTTCTCCCAGTCTGTGACTTGCTTTTTCCATTCTCTTAACAGTGTCTTTCACAGAACAGAAGTTTTTAATTTTAATGAGGCTCAACTTAATTTTTTTTCATTAGTAGATTGTGCTTTTGGTTTTGTATTTAAGAAGCCATCATTGAACCCAGGATCCCCGAGATTTTCTCCTATGTTATCTCCTAGGATTCTTATGGTTTTGCGCTTACATTTACGTGTAAGATTTATTTTATAAAGGATATAACATGCATACCTGGATTTATTTAGTTCTTTGCATGTGGTTGTCCAGCTGTTCTAGCACCACTAGTTGGAAAGGCTATCTTTGCTGTTTTAAATTGTCTCTAAACCTCCATGGAAGATCAGTGGACTGTATGTAGGCCTGCTTCTGGGCTCCGTATTCTTTTCCATGCATCTATTTGTGTGTGTTTTCTCTTTTGACCAACTTCACACTATTTGGGTTACTGTAGCTTAATGTAAGTCCTGAAGTTGGTAGTGCCAAACCTCAGGGAGTTTTTCTGAACTTCATCATGAGAACCTGGTTGAGATCATTGTAGTAAAACTTGGAAATGTGTAAGATTCCCCCTTAGTCTGGTCTTCAAGGAGTTTTTAATGTTCTAGCCAGGCTACCCTCAGCTTCTAGTAACCTGTCAATATCATTTAAGTGCTCCTCCCACTTGCTGTCCCCAGTAGCTTCTCTTCCCTGTGACCTGTGACTCCTTATGTGTTAGCCTGTGTTTCTCATTTTTAAGGTGGCAGTTTTCCCTGTGACCTCAATTCTCTGATCCACCCTAGAAGGGTTGACTTTCAGTTTGTTCAGCTTTTTTCTAGCTGTGAGGACAAGTGATGACTGCCTAGCTCTTTCCATGTTGAAATAGAAACCCAAAAGTTTGTTTAAAGAATTACTTGTTATAAAAGTCCCCCATTGTTAATGTACAACTCAATGATGTAAGTTGATTTATCGAATTGTGCAGCCATCAGCAGAGTTCTACTTCAGCATATTTTGTCACTTCCCAAATTCCCTTGAACCTGTTTGTAGTCATTTCCTAATCCCTGGTCCCCATGACTGGGTCTGAATAGAATAAACATTTGGAAAGCAGATTTCATTATATTTACATTTTCCTGTGTTTGGGACTTTATGTAGTGGACTATTGTGTTCGTTTTGTGACAAATAGAGAAGAGATTGCATTCTAGGGATGGTTTTCGGGGGAACATAATAGTAGTCCTGTTTATGGCTCTCCTTGAATTGGTTCTTCTGTGCTGGTGACTGGTATTTGTTACCAAACCTTGTCTGGTGAGCACAAGAAAAGGAATTTTTTAAAATCTCCTATTAAAATTGAGATGATACATTTTCACATAATAATATTTGGAGTTAAGTAGTGAACCGTCTTTATTTTATTTTATCTTTTTTTTTGGAGATGGAGTTATTTCTCTTTTCCTTGGGCTCGAATGCAACGGCGCCATCTCAGCTCACTGCAACCTCCACCTCCTGAGTTCAAGTGATTCTCCTGCCTCAGCCTCCTGAATAGCTGGGATTACAGGCGCCTGCCACCACACCTGGCTAATGTTTGTATTTTTGGTAGAGACAGGGTTTCTTCATGTTGGCCAGGTTGGTCTCTAACTCTTGACCTCAAGTGATCCACCTGCCTTGGCCTCTCAAAGTGCTAGGATTACAGATATGAGCCATGGCCTGACCTGAACTGTGGGGAAAAGAAAGAGAGATCAGATTGTTACTGTGTCTGTGTAGGAAGAAGTAGACATAAGAGACTCCATTTTGTTCTGTACTAAGAAAAATTCTTTTGCCTTGAGACGCTGTTAATCTGTAACCCTACCCCCAACCCTGTGCTCCCTAAGACATGGGCTGTGTCAACTCAGGGTTAAATGGATTAAGGGCTGTTCAGGGTGTGCTTTGTTAAACAAATGCTTGAAGGCAGCATGCTTGTTAAGAGTCATCACCACTCCCTAATCTCAAGTACCCAGAGACACACTACACTGCGGAAGACTGCAGGGACCTCTGCCTAGGAAAGCCAGGTATTGTCCAAGGTTTCTCCCCATGTCATAGTCTGAAATACAGCCTCATGGGAAGGGAAAGACCTGACTGTCCCCCAGCCCGACACCCGTAAAGGGTCTGTGCTGAGGAGGATTAGTAAAAGAGGAAGGAAGGCCTCTTTGCAGTTGAGATAAGAGGAAGGCATCTGTCTCCTGCTCATCCCTGGGCAATGGAATGTCTCGGTGTAAAGCCCGATTGTATATTCCATCTACTGAGATAGGAGAAAACCGCCTTAGGACTGGAGGTGGGACATGCTGGCAGCAATACTGCTCTTTAAGGCATTGAGATGTTTATGTATATGCACATCAAAAGCACAGCACTTTTTTCTTTACCTTGTTTATGATGCAGAGACATTTGTTCACGTGTTTACCTGCTGATCTTCTCTCCACTATTATCCTATTGTCCTGCCACATCCCCCTCTCCGGAAACGCCCAATAATGATCAATAAATACTAAGGGAACTCAGAGGCCAGTGCAGGCATGGGTCCTCCGTATGCTGAACGCCAGTCCCCTGGGCCCATTTTTCTTTCTCTGTACTTTGTCTCTGTGTCTCTTTCTTTTCCAAGTCTCTCCTTCCACCTAACGAGAAACGCCCACAGGTGTGGAGGGGCAACCCATCCCTTCACTGAACCATTTTTATTCTTTCAGAAATGTGATTGATAACAGTAAAGCCACACTCCTCAAGTGCCTGAAATACCCCTCATTGTCTTCTTCAGGTGGCAAGGGCTCTGGAACAGCCACATAAAGGTGAGGGCAATATTTTTACTGTAGTTCTTTCATTGATTGGTCGATTGATTGATTTTTTTCTCTTAGAGGGTTAGCATACATTTATCTGAAATTGAAATTCAAGAGGAGAGACAGGCACCTGTACTAGTTTTCTCTCGCTGCCTATTATCACATTACCACAAACCAGTGGTTTGAAACCACAGAAGTCTGGAATGAAGCGGCCGGGTTCTCTGATCAGAGTCATGTGAGACTAAAATCCGGGAATGGGCTGGCTGTGTTTTTTTCCTAGAGCTCAAGCTATTTTTCCAGGTTCACTACAGATAATGAAAGAGTTCCTATTCTTGTTTGTGGGGGACTGAGGGCCCTTTTTCTGTGCTGGCTGTCAGCGGGGAGACAGTCTACTCTGACTCCAGAGGCCACGTGCTTTCCTCCTTACCTGTCTGTTTCATCTTTCAACCAATAACAACTTATGGAGTCCTTCTCAAGCTCCCACCTTCTCTGACTTCATCTTCTCCAACCAGCCACACAAAGCTCTGTCATGTATGGAGTGATGTGATTAGATCCAGTTCATGCGGTAACCTCACCATCTTAAAGTCATATAACTGGCATATAACAATGTAGTCACAGGAATGGTGTCTCATCACCTTAAGAGGCTTTAGAGACAAGGGTGTGGCATGTTTGGGGACCATTTCAGAAATTCCATCTACCACAGTAGGACACTCACATTCCCCCATCTGCAAAGTGCATTTACCCTCTCCCCTGAGGTTTCCAGATTTCATGTCATTAAAGCATTAGTTCAACATGAAAAATGTCATGTAGACCACATCAGATCAAAAGCTTAAAATCCCATCTAAAACATCCACACCAGGTGTGAATGAGGCTTCCGAGAGTGTCCATTAAGTGCAGATCCTTGACATAATTCCCTTACCTCTGTCGACCTGTGAAACTGAACAAACAGCTTATCTGTCCCTAATGTGAAATGATGGGACAGGCATAGAATAACAACTACAGTGATTCTAGTTCAAAATGAGGGAACATGGAGGGGATAAAGAAGTCACTAACCCAAAATAGTTTGGAAATGGAGCTGGGCAAAATCCCGCAGGAGTTTCTTAGTAAGGATCCACAGCCTGGGACTGACCCTCTGTCCTGTGGGTCTTTGCCTCTGGGCTCTCTGCTCTGCATTTCTTGAAACCATTATTATTTATCATTTTTCTCACACTGTTTTGCGTATGGCTCCTATTGCACTCAAAATGTTTTTGAGATTCATCCATGTTGTTTTGTGTGTCAAAAGTTTGTTCCTTTAGCCATTCCATGGAATGAATGTATCACATTCTTGTATTGATAGATATTTGAATGTATATTGATAGATATTTGAATACAAGAATGTATCCATTCTTGTATTGATAGATATTTGAATGTTTCCAGTTTTTCCTATTACGAATAAAACTGCTATGGACATTCTTGTATATATCATTTTCTGCACATATGTTTTAATTTCTCTTGGATAAATGCTTAGGAATTACTGAGTCATAGAATAGGTAGTTGTTTAGTTCTGTAAGAATATGCCAGACGTTTTTTCCCAAAGTGTTTATACTATTGTACATTCCAACCATTAATGTATGAAGGTGAGAAAGCTTTCGCTACTTCCAAAGAGGCCTCTCTATATACATGTAATTTTTTCTAACTGGAGACAGGCTGATGACTTCAGGGACATGAGCATGGGATACCTGTCATCACCACCACCATGAAGTTGGGATTCAGGAAGGAGTTTAATCATGTAAAGAATCCTGTGACCAGTATGAGCTTCTCTCAGGCCACACAGGGCACTCAAGTGAACAGGGTCATGGTAAGAAAGTGTCTCATTGGTAAAACCTTTTCCTCTGGGGAGGTAAATAAATTATTTGTTTCTTCTTGGTAGCCCTTGAAGATAAGGATGGTCAAACAAAATAATATCATACCTGGAGAAACTCAGATCTTGCTAAGATTTACTGGTTGGGAATCCAAAGTTAATGCCAAGAAGCAGCTGCCAGTTGGGATCAAATGTGAGCCTATGGATCAAGGTGCGTACTCAAACACAGAGAGCTTTCTGAAAGATGCTACCAGTAGTTTTTCCAGGGCAGAGATGTGTCCTTTATTTTTCTCTCTAATCTAGCCCATATGCTTAGCTGAGTTTTCTTCATATCACTTTAAATGATGATGTCCCTTGTTCAACAATTTTCTAAACATTCTTTAGATAATAATTTTATGGGCATTCTTTATTGCATTAGGCTTAAATTTAATGCATCTTAAGGTTTTATTGCAAAATATTGCCTTGTTTCCTTTTTAAGATGATACAATTTATAATATGCAAATTTGCTGTCTGTCCCCTCCCTTTATGTACATAGAAAATGAGCAAACAGGTGGCCATGAAACAGATGGTCATAGAATTGTTTCAGTGCTTGTGAGTGCAGCAACCCAAGAGTGTCTTATCTGAAATACCACCAGGAATGTCTGGACACAGTAGACAAAGGTTTTTCAACAGGATGCCTTAGGATACATGCTTCCAAAAACAAAGTAGCCAAAAAGAAACCAGAGTCACAGAATATCAGAGCCAGAGGAACATTTGGAGGTAATTCAGTACCTCCTCCTTTTCAGCCTACAGGGGAGATAGTGGAAGAGAAGCAGGGATGGGTCTGCCTTCTGTGCCCACAATTCATTGGAGATTGTTGTGGTGAAGAATTTCTTTTATGATGAAGGAGAAATAAACTCCCATCAGCTTTAATTCAGGCAGGTTTATTGAAAAGGTGAAGAAGCATCTTGCAGAAGCAAAGCATGGTTGAGGCTTGTGGGCTCTGTCTGGACAAATGAGCAGCCGACAGTGGCTGGTGCTGCCCCTGACTCTAGGGCCGTGTGGTCTGTGGTTGTCTGTGAGCATCTCTTCTATTCTCTTGCATCGTCCCTCAGCCTGGCAGTCTCTGTGTACTCTTCAACACATAATTGAGTGAGGCTGTACCAGCCCCAATGCCATGTAGCACTTTATGTCAAATTAGAAAGGCATGAAATAAACTGGCCCTTTATAATACAACTGTTGGAACAACAGTTGAAAATAACAATATCTTGACTCCTGGTTGAGTGCTTTATGCTGAGCTTTCTTTTCTGAATATGAGCACAGACTTGGGGATATTAGTGTCACCTAGCGTTATTAGCTAGTATTCTCCTTTTGTTTCCCCATAACATCCCCTCCTCCTTCCCACAGATCCACTTTCCACTCATTTCCATCCTGTCTTACGCCACTTGGGGCTTGTCCCTTCTAGAATGCATCCCTGGCTCCCCTGTGTGCACACTTCTAGTTAGGTTTAGCAATGTGGGCACCCGATGGAGCCTGGAAGTGAGAGGAAGGTGAGGTCCGTATTTCTTCCCTCTCCCTCCCTGCTCTGGCACTGAGTATCTGACAATAGCTGCATCTGTCTATTACTTCAGTGGCCACTCTTCCACAGCCCCAATTCTCAGTGGGTCCCATAGCATTATTTACCTTTGTTCCTTTAGCTCCCACCAAGGAAGACCCAGAGGCATTCTCCTCACCAAGGCATTAAGAAATGCATGGGTGAGGGGAACAGCGGCGTGCATGTAAAGGTCCTGTGGCGCCTCTCCTCTACAGGCTGGAGGTCATGGCGGGAGATGCTGCATGGATTTGCCCTCCCTGCTGTCAGAACAACAGGGTTCTGGAAGAGTAGAGGACAGGCCGTGGGACTTGGCTGTCTAGAGACAAGGCGGGAGGGATTTCCTTGAGAGGCAGGGACATGTGGTGGTTACTAATCATTGTGAGGTGTCTGGGATGTAATGGATGGGAAATCTACTAAGAAGTCAACTTATGTAATAATTAGAAAAGCTCTAGTTCTGAGGACAGAGACCTGTTGGAGTCACCATAGTGGAAATTTATGACCTGGTATCCAGTTCAGATACCTGGAGCTTCTTGACTGGGGGGAGATTGGATCCCTTGGGGAAGAGTGAAGCCTTCAATGCTGCCACAAGTGTGATCCGCCCGCCTCAGCCTCCCAAAGTGCTGGGATTACAGGCGTGAGCCACCATGCCCGGCCTCTTTTTTATATTTAAAAAATATCATTTTATATATTACCAGGGCAAAAGAGAAAACTCGTATGATTACGTGGTCATACACAGTAAAAGCATTTGGCAAAATTGAAAACTTTTTTCATGATTTATAAAAACAAACCCCAGAAAATGCTCAGCATGATGAGAACAGAAGGCAACACTTCCAACCCCATTAAGGGCAGATTTGAAGAACCCACAGGTAACATTATATTAAATGGCATAAGATTGAATGCTTTTCTATTAAATCAGAGAAAAAAGTAGAATACCTGCTGTTACTCTTTTAATTCAGCATTATACTAGAGCTCTAAGTCAATGCAATAAAGTAAGAAAAATTAATAAAGTATTGAAAAGAAAGAATTGAAGCTGTCTTTATTCACAGATAATGACTGTGTTTGTTAACAATGCTAGAAATCTACAAAAATCTACCAGAACTAATCAGTGAGTTTGGTAGTGTTGCAGAATGTAAGCTCTCAATGTAAGTGGTCTTTTGTATTTCTGTATATTAGCAATGAGCATTTGGAAAATGAAATAAGAATACAATTTCATTTAAAGTAACATCTAAATACATGTTGTGCTTATAAATAAATTCAACAGACTGGGCACCATGGCTCACACTTGTAATCTCAGCACTTTGGGAAGCCGAGGTGGGCAGATCATGAGGTCAGGAGATGGAGACCATCATGCCTAACACAGTGAAACCCCATCTCTACTAAAAATACAAAAAATTAGCTAGGCGTGGTGGCATGTGCCTGTAGTCCAGCTACTTGGGAGGCTGAGGCAGGAGGATCACTTGAACCTGGGAGGCAGAGGTTACAGTGAGCCGAGATCGCATCACTGCACTCCAGCCTGGGTAACAGAGCAAGACTCTGTCTCAAAAAAAAAAAAAAAAAAAAAAAAAAAAAAAAAAAAAAAAAAAAAAGGAAAGTCAACAAAATTTATGTAAGGCCAGTACACCAAAAACTACAAAAAATTGCTTTGAGAAATTATGAAAGAACTAAATTAGTGGGGAGATAAACCTTGTCATGGATCAGAAGAGTTGTTATGTTTAAAGAGTCAGTTCTTCGTAAATTGATCTCCAGATCCAATGCAATTCTAATAAAAATTCCAAGTGGCATTTTGGTAGAAATTTTCAAGCTGATTCTACCATTTATATGGTAATGTCAATGATCAAGAATAATAAAATAGCAATATTATAAAAGAATAATGGTGAATGAATTCACTACCTATTTCCAGAATTACTCTACAGCTATGAAAATCAAGATTATGTGTTTTGTTGAAAAAAAAAAATAGAATATATATCAGTGGAAGAGAAGAGAGAATCCAGAAATAGATACTCACATGTATGTCTAATTGATTCTTAGGACATATATATATGTATACACACCCCCACACACACACACACAAACATGTGTGTGTGTGTGTGTGTGTATATATATATATATATTCACCGTTTTGAAGATTATCATCTCCAAATAGGGAATATATATATATATATATACACACACACACATATATATATTGCAGTCTGATAAGATAAACAGCACAATGAAACAATTTCTCAAAAGACTTGAATAGATACTTCAGAAAAGAAGATACATGAATGGTCAATTAGCATAGGAAAAGATGCTCCACTGTTTAGTCATCAGGGAGATCAATCAGTGCAACAATGAGATACCAGTACATATCCATAAGAATGGCTAAAATTAAAAAGGCTGAAAATAGCACATGTTGGTGAGGATATAAAGCACTTGGAAGTCTTATACTTGTAGGAATGAAAAATGGTATTGCTCCTTTGAAAATCTAACAGTTTCTTAAAGGTTAAACATAACACAAATCAGATAGACAGTCATTCCATTCCTAGGAATTTACACACTGTGTCTGCACAATGATCTGTATGTGTGTTTCCAGACCAACCTGAGGGGCGGGCTGCTATTTCTCGTGGCTCAGTAACGAGACACAGATGAACTGGGGAGGAAGAGAGTTTTGACTTCTGCAACTGGTTACAGGGAAACGGCCTGGAAATTATCACCAGACCAACTCAAAATTGGAAAGTTTTCCTGAGCTAATGTACCTTCTAAGCTATATGTGTATGTGGAAGTGTGCATTCATCTAAATACATAAGTGATTAACTTCTTTTAATCTATAACTAAGTCTGAGTCCTAAAGACCTTCCTCTGGAACCTCAGTTAAATTCACTTAATCTAAATGGGTCTAGGTGCTGGGGGCCCTTATCTTGTCTCCTGCTAAATCACAGAGGTTTGGAGAGTCCCTTCAGATCTCCAATAAACTTGTCTGTGGAGGCCTGGGGAGTTTCTTCAGACCCCCAGTAAAACTCGTTTAATACTAAATGGCTCCTGTTAAGAATGCCTTCGTTATTTCGTCATGCTTTAAGGCCCAGGAAAAACCTAGGCAAAACTCTTGGTGGGCTTTTGTTACATTCCAGCCTTTGTATAAGGGCACTGGCTTCTTTTTTTTTTTTTTTTCCTCTTAATATTTAATTGAACCACTCAGTCGCTACTGAAACAGTTTTTAGGGAGGCCTGTGTTAGTGAGACCTGGCCTGCTACGTATGGATGCTCATGATAGTTTCTTCATAATAGCCCAAACGTGGAATGATAGAAATGTCCAATAATAAGTGAAAGTACAAACATACATGGTATAGCCACATGAAGGAATACTACTCAGTATTTACAAGACATTACAGATGGATTTTAAAATTACATTGATGCATGAAAGAAGGCAGACACAAAAGAACACAGGTATCATTTCATTTATAGAAAATGGTTAAAAATGCAAACGGACCTGAAGTGACAGTGGCTCCTTGGGGCTGAGGGTTGAAAGGCTGATGAACTGCAAAGGGGTACAAGAAACTTTTGGGCATAGGGAATTTCCTCTATCTTGGTTGTGGCAGTAGTTCCGTTAGTGCATCCATTTGTAAACGTGCATTGAATTACACATTTTAAAGTGGTGCAGTCTGTTGTACCGAAATTATGCCTTTATAAAGTTGATTTCATCATCTTAATTTCTCCATACTAGCAATTAGCAGCTAGAAAATGAAATTCAATAAAACATAATAGAGATTAATAGCCAGAATCATTACATGCTTAACAATACATGCAATGAAGCAGGTACGAGGCCCCTAAAAGCAATTGGTGAGAAAAATTAAAGAAGGCTAAATAAATATATATCATGTTCATTGATTGGAAGACTCAATTTTGTTAGCATATTACATCAACACAATTCTGATTAATATTTCTAGTAGGAGATTTTAGAGAAATTTGAAAGCTAGTTTCAAAATGTATTTGAAAATCAAAGAACCTAGAATAAGCAAGTCGGTCTTGAAGAAGCAATAAGTTGGAGGACTTGCTCTGCTAGATTTCAAACCTGATTTTAAAGCTACAGTAATTTAAAAACAGTAGTAATGGTGTAAGTATTCATAAATATATCAAAGCAAAAGAATACAGATTCAAACAATATGCCCACATATGTACAGTTATTGATTTTTTTTAGTAGAATCTTTTTTATTCATAAAAAATCCATCAAAACAAAAAAGTTTTCCAGCCACACACAGGAGGGGTATGGGTGGGGGAAGGTGTCTGTCCATCTATCCCTGGCCCCCAGCCCATGTGGTTTTGGCAGCAATAAGGTGTGTGGGGTAATGACTCCTGAAATTAAAATGGTGTGTGTATGTGAAGGAAAGGCGGGCAAAGCTGTGGGGAGCGGTGGAGTGGAAGGAACAAAGGAGGTCAGTACTGGGAACGCTGAAGGTGGGAGGCCATTTCATAACATTACTTGTTGATGAAATTGCCATGGATACCTTCTTTGCCCATCAGCAGGCCTAGCGTCTTGGCAGTCATGGTGACAATGACGTTGAAGGTGGGGGCTCCACCGATGCTCTTCATACAAAGATCCGTGGTCAATTCCCCATCCTGCAGCAGTGAGTCCAGGACCACAGTATATTTCTGGCCCCCCAGTGTCAGCCCATTCATGACAAAGCTTGACCAGTCTTTGCCAACCAGGACACCAACCTCAGCTGGCGTGATGTTGAGGAAGGTTTTCCCTGGGACGGTGGCACAGATGGAAGGTGGGTCCTTGTTGCCCACAATGGCCGTGTCCTAACAGGTCCCGTCCGCCACGAGGCTGTAGATGGAGGTGTCCACCTGGCCTTTGCGTTGCTGCAGGGGCTCCTCTGGTCGCTGCTGCTGGGGCCGCCTGGGCTGGCGGGTGGGGGAGGCGGAGAGCTCGATGCAGGTGCTGTCCTCCTCGCCACGACTCTGCTAGCTGTGCAGTAGCCCTCGCTCCGCCACTTAAAAAAGAAAAAATATATATATAATATATATATACACGTGTTATATATATTGTATATTATGTATATACACGTATTATATATATACACGTATGTATATACACGTATATATAATATATATTCGTGTGTGTATATATATTTTATATATACGTGTATACATGTATATATGTGTATATATATATAATATATATACATGTGTATATATAAATAATACATATACACGTGTATATATATTATATATATATATACACGTGTGCCATGTTGGTTTGCTGCACCCATTAACTCGTCATTTACACCAGGTATATATCCTAATGCTATCCCTCCCCCAGCCCTCACCCCATGACAGGCCCTGGTGTGTGATGTTCCCCGCCCTGTGTCCAAGTGTTCTCATTGTTCAATTCCCACCCATGAGTGAGAACATGCTCGCACCGCCGCTTCTAAATGTTTTAAAAACAAAGACACCAATGCCCTTCATTGGGGAAATGAAAGACTTTTAAGTAAAACGATTTTGAGTGAAATAATATTTGTTGTTTTAAAAAGTTAATATTAACCACTCTCCATCATATATTGAAATTAACTTAAGATGTGAAAGTTAAAATTAGAAACCTTGTAAAGGAAAAATAGGAAATAGTTTCATGAACTTGACACAGGAAAATATTTCTTAGACTAGATACTGTAGCACTCACCACAATAAGAAATCAAGCGAATTGCACTTCATTTTTAAAAAGCTTCTCCTTATTATGTTGTTGTTTAACAACTTAAACGCTATCTCTAGACCAGGAATAATTATTTGCTATATAATACAGCAAAAAATATGTATGTATAAATGGACTCATTCAAAATATATAAAGAACTCCTATTACAAAGAAATTGACAAACAGCCCAGTATATCAATGAATATAAAAATTTGAGAAGATATTTTCCATAAGAAGATATCTAAATGAACATTAGGCATGAGAAAACCAAATTTTAGGATATCACTACACACCTGGCATAGTTTAAAAGACTGAAAATATTAAGTGTGTGGGAATGTAGAGCAACTGGAAATGGCCTACATCTTTCATAGAAATGTAAAACAATACAAATACTTTGCAAAACTCTGTCCAACATTTTCTACCCATTCACCAAGCAACTCCATCCCTAGCTATAGATACCCAGGAAAATAAGTATGTATCTTCACAGAAATAATTGTATGAGAATATTCATAGTTACTTATGCACAGTAGTTATCAAGTAAACCTGTCTCCCATCAGAAAAATGGATATAAAATTGTGTGATAATCATACAATCAATAGGATATTACTTGGCCAAAACAAAATGAAACAAGGGAAAAACACAATCAAACAAATTAGTGGCATATATACCCACCTGAGTAAAGAGAAGTCGGCCGTGTGCGGTGGCTCACGCCTGTAATCCCAGCACTTTGGGAGGCCGAGGCGGCAGATCACGAGGTCAGGAGATCGAGACCATCCTGGCTAACACAGTGAAACCCCGTCTCTACTAAAAATACAAAAAAAAAAAAAAGAAAAATTAGCCGGGCGTGGTGGCGGGCGCCTGTATTCCCAGCTACTTGGGAGTCTGAGGCAGGAGAATAGCGTGAACCTGGGAGGCAGAGCTTGCAGTGAGCCTAGATCGCGTCACTGCACTCCAGCCTGGGCGACAGAGTGAGACTCTGTCTCAAAAAAAAAAAAAAAAAAAAGTCAAAACAAGAGAACATACTAAATGATTCCATTTTTTTATTTATGACTTCATGACTACCATTAAGAAAATATAACCTGTTGGGAAACTGTTTCTGCCTTGATGATGTTGTACAGACAAGAGATAAACAGTGAGGAATATGCTTAGATGTATTGGGAAAGACACGGGTCTGTGGCATTGTCACAAGGGTACACGAATACTGAGAGTGAATGCTGAAGGAATGATCCCCATTGGTGGTGACCCTCAGGTGAGACTAGGGTGCCTGTGTTTCAGCAAAGCCTGGGCAATTGGAATGCAGGGCTCCTAAGATTCCATGACACCCCTACCTTCTAATTCTGTTATTGCAACTGCAGACGGTTACCTGGCACGCTGGCCACAATCTACCTCACTCTTATCAGAGTCTGAGCAGTGCTTTCAGCTCTGAGTTGAGGCACCTCGAACCTTGTTTTTGTGGTGAAGGATCCTAAAGTGCTGTGGGGAGTGATCACATTTTTCACAACAGTAAGTTAAGAATTTCAGTTACTGACATCCCTCAGTCCTGATTAAACCTATTTGATTTCACCAGTTTTTAACCCATCATATGTTTGGGTTTCTTCTCCCCAGTCCCTGACTCCACCTCTTCTGCCACAAACGTCAGCATGGTGGTATCAGCCGGCCCTTGGTCCAGCGAGAAGGCAGAGATGAACATTCTAGAAATCAACGAGAAATTGCGCCCCCAGTTGGCAGAGAACAAACAGCAGTTCAGAAACCTCAAAGAGAGATGTTTTCTAACTCAACTGGCCGGCTTCCTGGCCAACCGACAGAAGAAATACAGTAAGATCTATAGGCTCACCATCATGAAAGTGATGAATGTGAGACACTAAATGCTCTCTCCATCAAAAATAATTTCATCCTTCCTGTACTTCTAGGAAAACAGAAATGGGTATTTTAACATTTTGTTAAAGTTGGAAGACAGAGGTACCAAAGTATTTAGCAACTTTCCATGTTTGCAATCAGATGGGGGTGGGACTAGAGTTAAACTCACAGTTATTGATTTCTAACACAGGCACAGAACGACCTGTTTTCTCCAAGAGGCTCAATCATGTTTTCAAGAATCCTCTCTGTACCATATAAGATCCTGCAGACAAATAACATCTAGTCTGTTGTTCTAAATGTCTAGGACTAGTGAACTTTTATTCAGTTCAAGTTTCTGTTGAGGCCCAACAGGCAAAGCTCTGTTCTAGTGACTCTGAGGGGAACTTGGTGATAGTACCCAGTACCTGCTCTGAGGGGCTTCAAGAGGAGTCTGCTCCTAATAGAACCTGTGCTATCTATAAGTGACAGCATCAAGAGCAGGGAGTAGGGGCCGTGCAACGTGGCTCACTCCTGTAATCTCAGCACTTTGGGAGGCTGAGGCGGGCAGAGGACGAGGTCAGCAGTTTGAGACTAGCCTGGGCAACATGGAGAAACCCCGTCTCCACTAAAAATACAAAAAGTAGATGGGCGTCGTGGCGGGCAACTGTAATCACCACTAATCGGGAGGCTGAGGCAGGAGAATCCTTTGAACCCAGCAGGCAGATGTTGCAGTGAGTCAAGATTGCACTATTGCACTCCAGCATGGGTGACAGGGCAAGACTCGTCAAAAAACAAACAAACAAAAAGATAAATAAATCAAAAATAAAAATAAAAAGCAGAGAGTACCTTGGTGAGAGTGAAGTCTGCTTCCTGGTGCACAGGCTCTTGTTCCTAAAGAGGAAGAAAGATCACACCCGAGAACGTGTGGAAGCAGCAGTGCAGTGTGCAAAGCAGGGACCCTCAGCCTGTCTCCTGGGCTCCATCCATGTTGCTTGTCTTGTCTGTCCCTCAGTTTCCTCATCTGTTCAGAGGGTACTACAATAATGCCTACCTCTGTAAATTGCTGCAATGAATTACATGAGGTATTTCCTGTCGATCTCCTTGAACATTAATTGGCACAGTGTAAACACTATCTATTAGTTCTTCATTCTGATGTTTCTAAATTAACACAAACTAATCTTATGCTGTTTCTAAATTAACACAACTAATCTAAATCTTAATGCTGCCTCTCATACTAATAAAGTATTTGGGCATATTTTCTTCATGGCCTTATTGTCTTATGTCTCACACTTTAGGCTTCAGATATGATTCTTAAAACCATATCTGAATATTGATTTAAAAATGAAATATTTTTAAAGTTCTTGACATATTTGTCCTTGAAATACCCAGTAAAAGGGAAACCATCAGTCCCATAGTCCTAGGGGCCTTCCTGACTGTACAAGAAATCACTACTTCATGCCCCAGTGCAGTGTTTTAGAGGAGAGGCTGCAAGGCTTGGGAAAGTGGCCCCGCATTCAGAGTCAGACCTCAGGGGCTGTGAGTTCTGACTCCACTTCGTTGTGGTTGAATCATCTTGTCAACTTCCTTGATGCGCCCTTGAGTTTCTCTTTCTTCGTCTTTAAATTTTGGAGGATCAGATGCCAGAAAGTCAGAAGACTGAAGAGTAAAGATGTGGAAATCCCTGTCTAGACCCTGGTACTGGGGAGAGTTTTGTCCTTGGGATGGACCTGGCTCCTGCCCTGTAGGCAGTGACCACAGCAGCATGTCCAGCCTTCCACTGAGGCAGGCGTGTCTGTCTTTTCTCAGAGTATGAAGAGTGTAAAGACCTCATAAAATTTATGCTGAGGAATGAGCGACAGTTCAAGGAGGAGAAGCTTGCAGAGCAGCTCAAGCAAGCTGAGGAGCTCAGGTGAGGGGACCCCGTAGGGGGAGACAGGCAGGTAGGTGTGTAGATCTCTGAAGTACAGCAGCTCGGCGGGGAGAAGTAAGAACGAAGCTGGGCCAGGGGAAGGGCAGAAATTGCCATGGCAGGCTCATGACACACAAATATTTATCAGAGAACAAGGATAATAATAAGTTCTGTGTTGCAGTTGTTTCTTAGAGCCTTGTTTTCTCTTTTTCAAACAAGTAATTGTTGAGGTGAAACTTACATAACACAAAATTCACCAAAGGAGTGGGAACCACCCAGCAGCATTCAGTATAATCAAAATGGTGTGCTATTGCCACCCCACTTACCCTTAGTGAGAATCACCTCCTGACTGACTGCGTCTTCTCATTCTTTCACTCAATCAATGTTGCCTTCTCGACCCTGTCATTCTTTTCTTCTTTCGTCTTTTCAATTCGCCCCATCTGCACCTGGCCTCATTTCTGTACATGGCTTTGTATCTAGTGGCCGCAAGATGCACTATGTGTATTTTCACATGGAAATGTCCATGGCCAGAGTGAGGAACTGAAAGGATGTCTTTTTGAAACGGAATTAGGAAGACACCTACTTTTATTTACAGAAGGGAAAGATGAATGGAACATCATCGAGGATCTTGCAGGAGCCCTCTCTGATAGAGGGAAAGCCTGTAGACCATTTTCTGTTCTTTCTCTTGGCCACAGACATTCCTTTCAACATGTGCTGACCTTCTGCTTGAAGGTCTCCTTGAGAACATTGTCTCAGAAATCTCTGTTGCAATATTTGAACGGATCACTCAATGCTTTTCACTGTTAAATTTTCTCTACCGTCTCACCTTAGGCAATATAAAGTCCTGGTTCACTCTCAGGAACGAGAGCTGACCCAGTTAAGGGAGAAGTTACGGGAAGGGAGAGATGCCTCCCGCTCATTGAATGAGCATCTCCAGGCCCTCCTCACTCCGGATGAGCCGGACAAGTCCCAGGGGCAGGACCTCCAAGAACAGCTGGCTGAGGGGTGTAGACTGGCACAGCACCTTGTCCAAAAGCTCAGCCCAGGTAAGGTGGCCATAGGCCCTGATGACCCAAAACCCCAGGCTTATGAGAGGCTCCAGACCTCCATACTTTCACAATGACAGTTGTATCAGTGGGGTTTTTTTCTACTACACATATGTGGCCATGACATGATCAGGACTTCCTGAGTAAGAACAGAAATGGGAAACCCATCGGTTTGGAGGTCACAGTATTGCAAGTGTCCCTCCTTCCTTGATGGAAGGTGGTCTTTGGAGCAAGAGGCAGCATCTATCTAGTTTTAAAGGACAGGAAGGAGGCTGTGATGGGAGGGCGCTTGTTGGAGTGAAAAGAGCTCTGGGCTAAGAATGAAGGTTCCCAGGCTGTCTTTTTGGCAATGTTCTTAGTAAGTGTCGGTGAGTGAGTGATTTATCTTTCCAGAGTTTCTCTCTCTCCATCTGCAAAGGCAGACAAATTGTCTCTTGCAAGGGTCTGAAGCATCCAAATATGGGAACACTTACGAATGCTTTTCAAAATGAGATGAAGCCCCTCTCCGTGTGGTGTTGGAGAAGGCACTTGATGTGGGGGCATTTGGTGGTAGGAAGTGCTTCAGACTGGAGCACTCCCCATGGATAGAATGTCCCTGAATAACACAGCAGAAGCCACATGGAGGGCCTGTGCAGTCTCATGACGCATAGAGGACTGTGGGACAAGTTTGTCCTCTCCTAAGAGAATGAATGAGGTTTGAAATGCGAACTGTGACAGGACACCAAGCCTGTTCCTGGGAATCAGATCTGTGGCAGGATGGGGGAGACAGCTGCCAAAGTCCAGAGAGAGGCTGCACAAGCCTCCAGTGATATGGGAAGCAAAAGGTCTTTTCAGTATTTGGCCACATCTTGATGGTGGCCCTCCACATCAGAAATGCATTGCCTGATGGACCAGGAAACCATGCCAGGGCATTTTGTGAAGGATAAAACATGAGAGTTTTCAGTACAATGCTGAACCATACATAGATATTCATGTCTCTGTGCACGTTGGGCTGACTGTGCTTGCAGAATGTGAAGTGGGAAATATCTGAACGAACATTTTGTATTTATAGAAAATGACGAAGATGAGGATGAAGATGTTCAAGTTGAGGAGGATGAGAAAGTACTGGAATCATCTGCCCCCAGGTAACATTGAATACTCAGGAGCAAGTAATGGGTGGTAACATATGAAAATGTCTAGGAGGCACGCCCTCTCTGGCATCTATGATGGGCCAAAAGCCCGCATTCCCTTGGCCACAGTATGTGAAATTCAACCCAGCTTAGACACAGGGTGCGGCAGCTGTTGTGTTTCTCTATGTGTGCCAAGTGTCATGTCTGTACCATACAGGGATAGCTGAGTCTTCATCCTCTTCAGCTCCTATCTGTCCAGTGCACTGAACACCAGCTGCTCTCTTCCTCTCTGGCTCCCATGGCAGCGAAGCTCTGTTGCAGAGAGAAGAGGATTGCCTGTTCCCTCTTAAAGGGAACCTCCATTTGTTTTCTGGGACCACTCTCTTAATGCCGCTTGTCAAAACCAGCTAGGACTCCTTGGGGTCCAATCCCTCTGTGTTTAATCTTCTGTCATCTCTGTCCCACCTGGCTCATCAGGGAGGTGCAGAAGGCTGAAGAGAGCAAAGTCCCTGAGGACTCACTGGAGGAATGTGCCATCACTTGTTCAAATAGCCACGGCCCTTGTGACTCCATCCAGCCTCACAAGAACATCAAAATCACATTTGAGGAAGACAAAGTCAACTCATCTCTGGTTGTAGACAGAGAATCCTCTCATGATGGATGTCAGGATGCTCTAAACATTCTCCCAGGTAGCCTCTATTTTCCTTGTGTCTCATACCTCTGTCTAGGCTATGGAAGATCAATTCTGAGGACAGGCTGTATATACACATATTGTTATTGTTTTAGTCAGAAACTAGGATGGAGCTAGGTGCTGTGACTCACACATATAATCACAGCACTTTGGAAGGCCCAAGTGGGAGGATGACTTGAGTTCAGGAGTTGAAGACCAGCCTGGAGTATATGGTGAAACCCATCTTTACGAAGAATACAAAAAATTAGGCAGGCATGGTGCTGCCCGCCTATAGTCCCAACTGCTCAGGAGACTTAGGTGGGAGGATGGGCTGAGATGATCCTCCCACCCTCATTCACTTCTGTCAGGCTAGACTCTCTCTCCTTTTCATTGGCTTGTCTTAGCTATTAATAAGTCTTGGCTGGGCGCAGTGGGTCACACCTGTAATCCGAGCACTTTGGGAGGCCGAGGCGGGTGGATCACGAGGTCAGGAGATTGAGACCATCCTGGCTAACACGGTGAAACCCCGTCTTTACTAAAAATACAAAAAAAAAAGAAATTAGCTGGGCGCGGTGGTGGGCGCCTGTAGTCCCAGCTACTCAGGAGGCTGAGGCAGGAGAATGGCATGAACCCAGGAACCGGATCTTGCAGTGAGCCGAGACTGTGGCACTGCACTCCAGCCTGGGAGACAGAGCGAGACTGCATCTCAAAAAAAAAAAAAAAAAGTCTCTGACCAGGGACGCTGGCTCACATCTTAATCCCAGCACTTTGAGAGGCCAAGGTGGGCGGAACACCTGAGCTCAGGAGTTCGAAACCAGCCTGTCCAAGATGGCGAAACCCCATCTCTACTAAAAATACAAAAATTAGCTGTCATGTTACTTGGCGCTTGTAATCCCAGATGCTTGGCAGGCTGAGTGATGAGAATCGCTTGAACCCGGGAGGCAGAGGTGGCAGTGAGCTGAGATTGTGCCTCTGCACTGCAGCCTGCGCGACAGAGTGAGACTCCGTCTCAAACAGAAAACAAAAAACCAAAAAAGGAAAAAATTTAAAAAGCAAAATGAAATCTTTTGTGCTACACAGAAACATTGGCCACTCATGGGATAAAAATCTCAGGGCCAAGCCTTGCTTTATAGAAACGTATAAGCAAGTGTAGAAGTGTTTATGTCTTGGTTTCAAGGTGACTGCATAGCTAAGACAAGTTGACTTAAAGGAGATCAAGACTGGAGATGACAAGAGTGAAACCAGGGAAACAACATCTTCAAATAAGTAAACAAGGCTACCAGTGACATCCCTCAGTCCTGATTAAGCCTATTTGATTTCACCAGTTTTTAACCCATCATATGTTTGCCTTTCTTCTCCCCAGTCCCTGGCCCCACCTCTTCTGCCACAAACGTCAGCATGGTGGTATCAGCCGGCCCTTTGTCCAGCGAGAAGGCAGAGATGAACATTCTAGAAATCAATGAGAAATTGTGCCCCCAGCTGGCAGAGAAGAAACAGCAGTTCAGAAGCCTCAAAGAGAAATGTTTTGTAACTCAAGTGGCCTGCTTCCTGGCCAAGCAGCAGAACAAATACAGTAAGATCTATATGCTCACCATCACGAAAGTGATGAACGAAGTCCTGTCTTCTCTCTGAGAAACTAAGTGCTCTCTCCATCAAAAATAATGTCATCCTCCCCATACTTCTAGGAAAACAGAAATGGGTATTTTAACATTTTGTTAAAGTTGGAAGACAGAGGTACCAAAGTATTTAGCAACTTTCCATGTTTGCAATCAGGTGGGGGTGGGACTAGAGTTAAACTGCCATTTATTGATTTCTGACACAGGCACAGAATGACCTGTTTTCTCCAAGAGGCTCAATCGTGTTTTCAAGAATCCTCTCTGTACCACATAAGATCCTGCAGACAAATAACATCTAGTCTGTTGTTCTAAATATCTGAGACTAGTGAACTTTTATTCAGTTCAAGTTTCTGTTGAGGCCCAATACACAAAGCTCTGTTCTAGTGACTCTGAGGGAAACTTGGTGATAGTAGCCAGTACCCGCTCTGAGGGGCTTCAAGAGGAGTCTGCTCCTAATAGAACCTGTGCTATCTATAAGTGACAGCATCAAGAGCAGGGAGTAGGGGCCGTGCATGGTGGCTCACTCCTGTAATCCCAGCCCTTTGGGAGGCTGAGGCGGGTAGAGCACGAGGTCAGGAGTTTGAGACCAGCCTGGGCAACATGGAGAAACCCCATCTCCACTAAAAATACAAAAAGTAGATGGGCGTGGTGGCAGGTGACTGTAATCACCCCTGCTCAGGAGGCTGAGGCAGTAGAATCCTTTGAACCCAGGAGGCTGAGGTTGCAGTGAGCCAAGATTTTGCCGTTGCACTCCAGCCTGGGTGACAGGGCAAGACTGTTAAAAAAAAATAATAATGATAAATAAAAATAAGAATAAAAAGCAGAGAGTAGCTTGGTGAGAGTGAAGTCCTGCTTCCTGGGGCACAGAGTCTTGTTCCTAAAGAGGAAGAAAGATCGCACCCGAGAATGTGTGGAGGTAGCAGTGCAGTGTACAGAGCAGGGACCGTGGGCCTGTCTCCTGGGCTCCATCCAAGGTGCTTGTCTTCTCTGTCCCTCAGTTTCCTCACCTGTTCAGAGGGTACTACAATAATACCTACCTCTGTAAATTGCTGCAGTGAATTACATGAGCTATTTCTTGTCAATCTCCTAGAACGTTTATTGGCACAGAGTAAACACTATCTATTAGTTCTTCATTCTGCTGTTTCTAAATTAACAGAAACTTCATTAGCATTTGGGCATAGGATTTCCTTCATGGCCTTATGGTGTTATGTGTCACACTTTATGCTTCAGATATGATTCTTAAAATCATAACTGAAGATATGATTAAAAAATCAAAGATTTTTAAAATCTTTCACATACTTGTCCTTGAAATTCCCAGTAAAAGGGAAACCATCAGTCCCATAGTCCTAGGGGCCTTCCCGACTGTACAAGAAATCACTACTTCATGCCCCAGTGCAGTGTTTTAGAGGAGAGGCTGCAAGTCTTGGGAAAGTGGCCCCGAATTCAGAGTCAGACCTCAGGGACTGTGAATTCTGACTCCACTTCGTTGTGGTTGAATCATCTTGTCAACTTCCTTGATGTGCCCTTGAGTTTCTCTTTCTTCATCTCTAAATTTTGGAGGATCAGATGCCAGAAAGTCAGGAGACTGAAGAGTAAAGACGTGGAAATCCCTGTCTAGACCCTGGTACTGTGGAGAGTTTTGTCCTTGGGATGGACCTGGCTCCTGCCCTGTAGGCAATGACCACAGCAGCATGTCCAGCCTTCCACTGATGCAGGCGTGTCTGTCTTTTCTCAGAATATGAAGAGTGCAAAGACCTCATAAAATCTATGCTGAGGAATGAGCGACAGTTCAAGGAGGAGAAGCTTGCAGAGCAGCTGAAGCAAGCTGAGGAGCTCAGGTGAGGGGACCCCATGGGGGCAGGCAGGGGGGCAGGTGTGTAAATCTCTGAAGTACAGTAGCTCAGTGGGGAGACGTAAGAGCTAAGCTGGGCCAGGGGAAGGGCAGGAATTGCCATGGCAGGTTTGCTACACACAAATATTTATCAAACAGAGAAGAAGGATAATAAAAATTTATGGGTTGCAGTTGTTTCTCAGAGCCTTGTTTTCTCTTTTTCAAACAAGTAATTGTTGATGTGAAATTTACATAACACAAAATTAACCAAAGGAGTGTGAACCACACAGCAGCATTCAGTATACTCAAAATGGTGTGCCATCACCACCCCACTTACCCTAGTGAGAATCACCTCCTGACTGACTGCGGCTTCTCATTCTTTCACTCAATCAATGTTGCCTTCTCGACCCTGTCATTCTTTTCTTCTTTCGTCTTTTCAATTCGCCCTATCTGCATCTGGCCTCATTTCTGTACATGGCTTTGTATCTAATGGCCGCAAGATGCACTATGTGTATTTTCACATGGAAATGTCCATGGCCAGAGTGAGGAACTGAAAGGATGTCTTTTTGAAACGGAATTAGGAAGACACCTACTTTTGTTTACAGAAGGAAAGATGAATGGAACATCATCGAGGATCTTGCAGGAGCCCTCTCTGATACAGAGGAAGCCTGTAAACCATTTTCTATTCTTTCTCTTGGCCACAGACATTCCTTTCAACATGTGCTGACCTTCTGCTTGGAGGTCTCCTTGAGGACATTGTCTCAGAAATCTCTGTTGCAATATTTGAACGGATCACTCAACCCTTTCCACTCTTAAATTTTCTCTACCGTCTCACCTTAGGCAATATAAAGTCCTGGTTCACTCTCAGGAACGAGAGCTGACCCAGTTAAGGGAGAAGTTACGGGAAGGGAGAGATGCCTCCCGCTCATTGAATGAGCATCTCCAGGCCCTCCTCACTCCGGATGAGCCGGACAAGTCCCAGGGGCAGGACCTCCAAGAACAGCTGGCTGAGGGGTGTAGACTGGCACAGCACCTTGTCCAAAAGCTCAGCCCAGGTAAGGTGGCCATAGGCCCTGATGACCCAAAACCCCAGGCTTATGAGAGGCTCCAGACCTCCATACTTTCACAATGACAGTTGTATCAATGGTGTTTTTTTCCACTAAGCTTATGTGGCCATGACATGACCAGGACTTCCTGGGTAAGAACGGAGATGGGAAACCCATGGGGTTGGAGGTCACAGTATTGCAAGTGTCCCTCCTTCCTTGATGGAAGGTGGTCTTTGGAGTAAGAGGCAGCATCTGTCTAGTTTTAAAGGACAGGAAGGAGGCTGCGATGGGAGCAGGCTTGTTAGAGTGAAAAGAGCTCTGGACTAAGAATGAAGGTTCCCAGGCTGTCTTTTTGGCAATGTTCTTAGTAACTGTCGGTGAGTGAATGACTTGTCCTTCCTGAGTTTCTCTCTCTCCATGGCAGACAAATTGTCTCTTGCAAGGTCTGAAGCATTCAAATGTGGGAACACTTACAACTGCTTTCCAAAATGAGATGAAGCCCCTCTCCGTGTGGTGTTGGAGAAGGCACTTGATGTGGGGGCATTTTGTGGTAGGAAGTGCTTCAGACTGGAGCACTCCCCATGGATAGAATGTCCCTGAATAACACAGCAGAAGCCACTTGGAGGCTTGAAATCTTCTGATGCATAGAGGACTGTGGGACAAGTTTGCTTCTAAGAGAAAGAATTAGGTTTGAAATGCAAACTGTGACAGGACACCAAGCCTGTGCCTGGGAATCAGATCTGGCAGGATGGGGGAGACAGCTGCCAAAGTCCAGAGAGAGGCTGCACAAGCCTCCAGTGATATGGGAAGCAAAAGGTCTTTTCAATATTTGGCCACATCTTGATGGTGGCCCTCCAGATCAGAAATGCATTGCCTGATGGACCAGGAAACCATGCCAGGGCATTCTGTTAAAGATAAAACATGAGAGTTTTCAGTTGAACGGTGACCCATGCCTAGATGTTCATGTCCCTGTTGCACATTGGGCTGACTGTGCTTGCAGACTGTGAAGTGGGAAATATCTGAATGAACACTTCTGTATTTACAGAAAATGATAACGATGACGATGAAGATGTTCAAGTTGAGGTGGCTGAGAAAGTGCAGAAATCGTCTTCCCCCAGGTAACACTGAATACTCAGGAACAATTAATGGATGGTAACATATGAAGAATATCTAGGAGGCACACCCTCTCTGGCATGTATGATGGGCCAAAAACCCGCATTCGCTTGGCCACAGTATGTGAAATATAACCCAGCTTAGACACAGGGTGCGGCAGCTGTCATGTTTCTCTATGTGTGCCGAGTGTCATGTCTGCACCGTACAGGGATAGCTGAGTCTTCATCCTCCTCAGCTCCTATCTGTCCAGTGCAATGAACAGCAGCTGCTCTCTTCCTCTCTGGTTCCCATGGCAGCCATGCTCTGTTGCAGACAGAACAGGATTGCATGTTCCCTCTTAATGGGAACGTCCATTTTGCTTTCTGGGACCACTCTCTTAATGCCGCCTGTCAAAACCAGCTAGGACTCCCTGGGGTCCAATCCCTCTGTGTTTAATCTTCTGTCATCTCTGTCCCACCTGGCTCATCAGGGAGATGCAGAAGGCTGAAGAAAAGGAAGTCCCTGAGGACTCACTGGAGGAGTGTGCCATCACTTGTTCAAATAGCCATGGCCCTTATGACTCCAACCAGCCACATAGAAAAACCAAAATCACATTTGAGGAAGACAAAGTCGACTCAACTCTCATTGGCTCATCCTCTCATGTTGAATGGGAGGATGCTGTACACATTATCCCAGGTAGCCTCTGTTTTCCTTGTGTCTCATACCTCTCTCTAGGCTGAGGAAGATAAACTCTGAAGACAGGCTCTATAAACACAAATTCATTTGAATAAAAAACTGTGATGGGTTTCTAAACAGATATCAGGGAGTTTTTTTGTCCTTCTCAGCTAATGTCATGCCTTTGTTTGCCAGTCCCCAGTATCAAGTTACTCGACCCCAGGCAAGTGTGACAATCTCATAGTCACCTCAGTGCAGGAGGTGCACAGGCAGTATCTGTCAGGCCTCCTAACTTCGATTCAGTATCTCTTGTCATCTGTGATTTAGTCATCTGTCCCTGAACAATGTCCATGGAGTTTCTATGCCTGTTTAAGGAACCTGGCAGCCTTGCCTTTGTATTTGGAAATATTTTTCCCCAGGTTTCACTGCTCTCAGCTTTCATCTGGATCTCCTTTAAGTCAGCTTGCTTAGCTGCACAGTCACCCTGAAATCAGGATGGAAACTTTTCTTCTTTACTTTGCTGATATATTTCCATAAAGCAAGGCTGGACCCTGGTTCTCCACCCTGTCAATGCAATGGCTGATCCAATGTTTCTTTGTAGCGTCGTAGATTTTTTTTTTTTTTTTTTTTTTTTTTTTTTTTTTTTTTTGTGATGGAGTCCTGCTCTGTCACCTAGGCTGGAGTGCAGTGGCACCATCTTGACTTGGTGCAACCTCTGCCTCCCAGATTCAAGTGATTCTCCTGCCTCAGCCTCCTGAGTTGCTGGGACCACAGGTGCACAACATCACATCTGGCTAATTTTTGTATTTTTAGTAGAGACAGGGTTTCCCCATATTGGCCAGGGTAGTCCTGAACTCATGACCTCAAATGATTCACCTGTCTTGGCCTCCCAAATCACAGATGCTTTTTAAAGCAAGAGTTGTTCAAATTTATCTATCAGTCGTGTTTCATGTATAGATGCCTCTAAACATTTAATGTCCATGTTACCTGGTGATATAAGTCCGTATTGCAGCAACACTCTTAGAAAATTGTTTGACCAATTTTTGGAGATTTTTTTGGGGAAAAAATTTTGTTTAACTTTGACTCAGGCAGGGAATATGGCATTATGGTCTACACGTAGAGGGAGATTTTGGCCTGTGGGTCTGGAAAGCAGGGTCATCTAATTCTCACCAAAGTTAATCTAGGGCACCCTAGAATATTCCTGTCAGAATCCTTATTCTTGCACTGAGAATAGTTATGTCCTTGTGCTATGACTGGACAGTGATTTGTTCATATGTGAAGTATGAATTGCTTAATGTGACCTGCTTCTCTGAATTTATTTACAGAAAATGAAAGTGATGATGAGGAAGAGGAAGAAAAAGGGCCAGTGTCTCCCAGGTAATGTTGTGGAATTGTTGGCTGTTAATTCAGTAGTGACATCTGGAGATTGTAGATTTAGGGAAAATGAGGAAGTGATGAATAGAACTATTTCTTCCATTCACCCAGCTACAAATTGTGCTGATTTACAATGTTGTATGTCATTTGTGGCACTTGTGTTGGTTTTAATTTCATAGTCCTCTCAAGATAGGAACTTGCCATCAGATGAGCCAGGTGAACTAGCCAAACAGGGTTTTCTTGTTGATCTTTTCAAAAAACCAGCCCTGGATTCATTGATTTTTTGAAGGGTTTTTTGTGTCTCTATCTCCTTTAGTTCTGCTCTGATCTTAGTTACTTCTTGTCTTCTGCTAGCTTTTGAATTTGTTTGCTTTGCTTCTCTAGTTATTTTAATTGTGATGTTAGGGTGTCAATTTTAGATCTTTTCTGCTTTCTCTTGTGGGCATTTAGTGCTATAATTTTCCCTCTACACATTGCTTTAAATGTGTCCCAGAGATTCTGGTATGTTGTGTCTTTGTTCTCATTGGTTTCAAAGAACATCTTTATTTCTGCCTTCATTTTGTTATTTTCCCAGTAGTCATTCAGGAGCAGGTTGTTGAGTTTCCATGTAGTTGTGCAGTTTTCAGTGAGTTTCTTAATCCTGAGTTCTAATTTGATTGCACTGTGGTCTGACAGTTTGTTGTGATTTCCATTCTTTTACATTTGCTGACGAGTGCTTTACCTCCAACTATGTGGTCAATTTTGGAATAAGTGTGATGTGATGCTGAGAAGAATGTATATTCTGTTGATTTGGGGTGGAGAGTTCTGTAGATGTCTTTTAGGTCTGCTTGGTGCAGAGCTGAGTTCAAGTCCTGGATATCCTTGTTAAGCTTCTGTCTCATTGATCTGTCTAATATTGACAGTGGGGTGTTAAAGTCTCCCATGATGATTGTGTGGAGTCTAAATCTCTTTGTAGGTCTCTCAGGACTTGCTTTATGAATCTGGGTGCTCCTGTATAGGGTGCATATATATTTAGGATAGTTAACTCTTCTTGTTGAATTGATCCCTTTACCATTATGTAGTGGCCTTCTTTGTCTCTTTTGATCTTTGTTGGTTTAAAGTCTGTTTTATCAGAGACTAGGATTGCAACCCCTGCGTTTTTTTGCTTTCCATTTGCTTGGTAGATCTTCCTCCATCCCTTTATTTTGAGCCTATGTGTGTCTCTGCATGTGAGATGGGTTTTCTGAGTACAGCACACTGATGGGTCTTGACTCTTTATCCAATTTGCCATTCTGTGTTTTTTAACTGGGGCATTTAGCCCCTTTACATTTAAGGTTAATATGGTTATGTGTGAATTTGATCCTGTCGTTATGATGTTTGCTGGTTATTTCACCCGTTAGTTGATGCAGTTTCTTCCTAGCGTCAATGGTCTTTAGAGTTTGGCATGTTTTTGCAGTGGCTGGTACCGGTTGTTCCTTTCCATGTTTAGTGCTTCCTTTAGGAGCTCTTTTTGGGCAGGCCTGGTGGTGACAAAATCTCTCAGCATTTGCTTCTCTGTAAAGGATTTATTTCTCCTTCACTTATGAAGCTTTGTTTGGCTGGATATGAAATTCTTGGTTGAAAATTCTTTTCTTTAAGAATGTTGAAGGTGCTGGAGAGGATGTGGAGAAATAGGAACACTTTTACACTGTTGGTGGGACTGTAAACTAGTTCAACGATTGTGGAAGGCAGTGTGGCAATTCCTCAGGGATCTAGAACTAGAAATACCATTTGACCCAGCCATCCCATTACTGGGTGTATACCCAAAGGATTATAAATCATGCTGCTGTAAAGACACATGCACACATATGTTTATTGCGGCTCTATTCACAATAGCAAAGACTTGGAACCAAGCCAAATATCCAGCAATGATAGACTGGATTAAGAAAATGTGGCACATATACACCATGGAATACTATGCAGCTATAAAAAATGATGAGTTCATGTCCTTTGTAGGGGCATGGATGAAGCTGGAAACCATCATTCTCAGCAAACTATTGCAAGGACAAAAAACCAAATACCGCATGTTCTTACTCACAGGTGGGAATTGAACAATGAGAACACATGGACACAGGAAGGGGAACATCACACACTGGGGCCTGTTGTAGGGTGGGGGGAGGGAGGAGGGGTAGCATTAGGAGATATACCTAATGTTAAATGATGAGTTAATGGGTGAAGCACACCAATGTGGACATGTATACATATGTAACTAAGCTGCACGTTGTGCACGTGTACCCTAAGACTTAAAGTATTAAAATATATATATATACATACACACAAAAAATAATAAAGGAAAACTATACATATGGAAAAAAAAGAATGTTGAATATTGCTCCCACTCTCTTCTGGCTTGTAGGGTTTGTGCCAAGAGATCTGCTGCTAGTCTGATGGGCTTCCCTTTGTGGGTAATCCGACCTTTCTCTCTGGCTGCCCTTAGCATTTTTTCCTTCATTTCAACCTTGGTGAATCTGACAATTATGTGTCCTGGGGTTGCTCTTCTCGAGGAGTATCTTTATGGTGTTCTCTGTGTTTCCTGAATTTGAATGTTGGCCTTCCTTGCTAGGTTGGGGAAGTCCTCCTGGATAATATCCTGAAGAATGTTTCCCAGCTTGGTTCCATTCTCCCCGTCACTTTCAGTACACCAATCAAACGTAGATTTGGTCTTTTCACATAGTCCCATATTTATTGGAGGCTTGTTCATTTCTTTTTACTCTTTTTTCTCTAAATTTCTCTTCTCGCTTCATTTCACTAATTTGATCTTGAATCACTGATACCGTTTCTTGCACTTGATCGAATTGGCTACTGAAGCTTGTGCATGCATCACGTAGTTTTCGTGCCATGGTTTTCAGCTCCATCAGGTCATTTAAGGTCTTCTCTACACTGTTCATTCTGGTTAGCCATTCGTCTAATCTTTTTTTAAGGTTTTTAGCTTCCTTGCGATGAGTTCGCACATCCTCCTTTAGCTCAGAGAAGTTTGTTATTACCGACTTTCTGAAGCCTACTTCTGTCAGCTCGTCAAAGTCATTCTCTATCCTGCTTTGTTCCATTGCTGGCGAGGAGCTGCGATCCTTTGGAGGAGAAGGGATGTCAGGTTTTTGGAATTTTCAGCTTTTGTGCTCTGGTTTCTCCCCACCTTTGTGGTTTTATCTACCCTTGGTCTTTGATGATGGTGACCTACAGATGGGGTTTTGGGGTGGATGTCTTTTTTGTTGATGTTGATGCTATCCCTTTCTGTGTGTTAGTTTTCCTTCTAACAGTCAGGTCCCTCAGCTTCAGGTCTGTTGGAGTTTGCTGGAAGTCCACTCCAGACCCTCAAACAGAGATTTCTTGGTGTCGCCTATTCTCTCCCATGTGTTTAAATCCAGGGAGAGATGTATATATGCTTTCTTCCCATTTGTTGGTAGTATGTTGGCTAGTATTTTTGCAAGAAAAGAAATTGAAAAAGTAAATATATTATATCAAAATATTGGGAAAATGGGGCCCTTAATACACAAGATCTGTGTCTGCACTGCGTCAAGAACTCTCTTCACTTGAATGCTGCGTGTAAAATTCAACCCAATTTATGCAAAGTAGTTGAAGCCCTGTGTCAGTTCTCTGTGCTGCAAGTCATGATGGTAGTTTACAGGGAGAGTCTGGGTGCCCTGAGTTGGCTCATCTGTGGCAAATGTACTGAGCACATGCTGCCCATTTTTGCTCTGTCCCCAGAGCAGTCACCCTCCACCCTGTATTTAGAAGGATAGTTTTATTTCTCTTGAAGGAAAAATGCCTTTGGTTTCTGTGACCACTCCATTCTGTCTCCCATCAGATCATCTGGGAGGTTTTGTTGTCTAATGTCTGTTGGTTAAATCTTCTATCATCCCTGTCCTGCCTGGCTCATCAGGAATCTGCAGGAGTCTGAAGAGGAGGAAGTCCCCCAGGAGTCCTGGGATGAAGGTTATTCGACTCTCTCAATTCCTCCTGAAAGGTTGGCCTCGTACCAGTCTTACAGCAGCACATTTCACTCATTAGAGGAACAGCAAGTCTGCATGGCTGTTGACATAGGCAGTGAGTACTCCATTGTGAAGGTGATAAAGCTCCAGTTCATGGCCCAGGTAGACCCCATAATCTTTGGGCCTTGTGCCCCTGGTTGGGCTGAGAGTTGCCATCACTGTGGGCTGAACCTATATATCAATGTAGATTTCAATCACTCTGGAGTCGAGTCTGAAGCACAGGCATGGGGTGGGTCAGTGAGCTTTGCTCTCTTCCTAGTCTCAGGCCATGCCCATGCCAACCTGGACTGACTGTCACGACATTGAACTCAAGGCAGGTGTGGCAAACTCACACCAAACTGTGCAGCACATGCCCAGGAGTTGTCTGTCAGATCAGCTCATCTGAATTAAATGTCTCTTGCCAGCTACAAAATTCCTTATGAGTTTTGTTCCCAAAGCATGTCTGTGTGGTTCTTTACCTGCCCAAGGCCAGTGTCACCCTTGTCTACCTCTCAGTGAAAGATGTGACCCAGGTTTCACTGAATTTATCCCCATTTTCTGTGTCTTCTAAGTTCGCTTGTTTTAGCTCATCTGTCCGTCATGTTCCTGGTATGTTTTCTAGATAAATGGCTTACTTTTCACCCACAAAAGCCATAATAGCTGATGCTTCTGTGTAGAACCAAGTTTCATTTTGACTCAAGAGCTGGTACATTGCACCCCTTCATCAAATCTCTGTGTCCACAATCTCATAAACTATCAAATTCTGGGTATTTGATGAGAGAAAGCTTAATATTGAAGTATCTCTCCTATGAGGTGTTAGAACTATTTGCCTACAATTTATTGGGGAAAAAATTGCTCATTTGTGTACATAAACCTAGGACAGAGCACATAGGGAAAATAACATTCCAACACAGGGGAATTTTGCCCAAGGCTCATGAAAGAACCCAAGCCAGTTTTCTCAAGACTTGACCTCAGGCCTACTGGAATATTTCTCTCAAAGTCTCCTGTTTTCACACTGACAAGACTGATGTCCCTGTGTTAGGATTGGACAGAGGAATGTTTCTGTGTGCAAGGAAGAACTGCTTAATGTAAGAGGCCCCATCTGAATTTATTTGCAGGACATCGGTGGGATCAAGTGAAAAAGGAGGACCAAGAGGCAACAGGTCCCAGGTGAGTCTGAGAAATTGTGGACAGTTAATTTGATGTTGACACCTGGAGATGCCAAGTCCAGGGAAAACAGTACACGCTGAAAATCATGATTTTGTCTTGTCAGACAAGTCTGAATTATGCCTACTGCATTGTTTTTTGGTTCTCATTAGAGTAAATGTTTAGGTTTCCATTTCTTCCTACCCTTATCATTTACTAACCTAGTGAAGGTTGACCATACCTCAAAAGCTGTATTCTCATGGTGACTGCAGGGAAACTTGAGCACATTTTATGCAAAATTATTGAGGCCATGCTTTTCATGATCACTGTTCACTGTGTGTCCTGAGAGCACAAATACAGAGTGTCCTTTGACTCCCTCATCAGTGTGTCACCTGGCCAATTGACTGAGCTCACACTGTGTGTGTGTGTGTGTGTGTGTGTGTGTGTGTGTGTGTGTGTGTGTGTCTTTCTCTTTCATCCTTTTCTACCTGGCCCTAGTCTATCCCAACATAAAGGCAATAATTTGTTACCTCATTAATGGATCTGTCCTTTTTCTTTTCAAACTCTTCCTCATGTTAGCCATGAAATCTAGCTGGGGCTGTGTGGTTTCTGATTCCCCCTGGCTTATTCTTTACTTTTTCCCACTTTTCCAGGCTCAGCAGGGAGCTGCTGGATGAGAAAGAGCCTGAAGTCTTGCAGGACTCACTGGATAGATGTTATTCAACTCCTTCAGTTTATCTTGGACTGACTGACTCATGCCAGCCCTACAGAAGTGCCTTTTACGTATTGGAGCAACAGCGTATTGGCTTGGCTGTTGACATGGATGGTGAGTACCTTTCTATGAAGGTGATAAGGATCCACTGAGTCTTCTGTTTAGGGTCATATTCCTACTGCAAGTGGCCCTTACTGAGCTGAGAGATGTCATTGCCACAGGGAGGACCTATAGGCACATGTAGGTTGAGTGAAACTCTAGTTCCACTTGGAAGCCCAGACAAGGGATGGGTCAGTGAGCAAGGCTCTCTTCCTAGTCTCAGGCCATGCCTGTGGCACCCTAATCCTACTCTCAAGATGTTGGATCTGGGCAGATGTGACAAATTCACACAACTCTGATTTTGTCTCAATTCTGTAGATCTTGTAGATTTCATCCTTCACTCTACTTTCAGCATCTAAAATCCTCACTACCATGAACAATCTGAGTATTTGATGAGACAGGGCTGAATAGTGCAGTTTTTCTCCTAGCAACCATTTGGGGGCATTTGCTTTAAATCGATTGGAAAAATATGGCATAACCATTTGCACAAACTTGGGACAAATGATATTGGGATAACGATCTACCAGAATAGGGAAGTTTACCCACAGTTTCTGGGACAAAAACCAAGGAATCTCTATCATGATCAGCCTTCAGGCCTCCTGAAGAATATCTCTCACAGTGTCCTATTCTCATGCTGAGGAGCCTGAAGTCCCTGTGTGAGGATTAGACAGTGGATTGTTATGTGTGTAGGAGAACCAGCTTCATATGTCTGTCCATGTCTGAACTTATTGCAGAAATTGAAAAGTACCAAGAAGTGGAAGAAGACCAAGACCCATCATGCCCCAGGTAACTTTGAGCAATTATGGATGCTTAATTCTGTGTTGACACCTGGAGATGCCAGGTCCAGGGAAAACAAGAGTGTGTTCAATTTCATGTTTTCCACGAAGGTTGAATTACTCCCACTGACATTGCTGTTGGTTTTCATTGCAGTAGATGTTTAGGTTTCCATTTCTTCCTCCCCTTGTCATTTACTAACTTACTATAGGTTGACCATACCTCAAAGGCCGTATGGCAACTGCATGGAATCTTGAGCAAGTTTATGGAAAATTATTGAGCCCACTCTTTTCATGATCACTGTTCGCTGTGTGTCCCGAGGGCACTAACTCAGAGTGTCCTTTGACCCCTTCATCAGTGTGTCACCCGGCCAATTCGCTGAGCTCACTTTCTCCTCTCTCTCTCTCTCCCTCTCCCTGTCTTTCTCTTTCATTCTTTTCTACCTGGCCCTGGTCTATCCCAACATAAAGGCAATAATTCATTACCTCATTAATGGATCTGTCCTTTTTCTTTTTAAACAGTTCCTTATGTTAGCCATGAAATCTAGCTGGGGCTGTGTGGTTTCTGATTCCCCCTGGCTTATTCTTTACTTTTTCCTACTTTTCCAGGCTCAGCAGGGAGCTGCTGGCTGAGAAAGAGCCTGAAGTCTTGCAGGACTCACTGGATAGATGTTATTCGACTCCTTCAGGTTATCTTGAACTGCCTGACTTAGGCCAGCCCTACAGAAGTGCTGTTTACTCATTGGAGGAACAGTACCTTGGCTTGGCTCTTGACGTGGACAGTGAGTACCTTACTATGAAGGTGATAAGCCTCCACCTGGCCTTCCAGATAGGGGTGATATTCCTGTTCCAAGTGGCCCTTACTGACCCGAGAGACTTCATTGCCACAGGCAGGACCTATGGGTGCATATAGGTTGTAATGAAACTGTAGTCTCAGCTGGAAGCCTAGACATGAAATGGGTCAGTGAGCAAGGCTCTATTCCTAGTCTCCAGCCATGCCTATGGCAACCTGAGCCCACTCTCAGCACATTGGACCCAGGCAGATGTAAAAAATTCACAGAACTATGATTTGGACTCAAGGGTTTGTAGATTTCCTCCTTCATTGTAATTTCAGTGTCTAAAATTCTTGCATCCGTGAACGAGCTGGGCATTTGATGAGACAGGGCTGAATACTTTAGTTTTCCTCCTAGAAATCCTCTGGGGCATTTTCTTTGAACTGATGGGAACAATAAGGCATAACTGTTTGCACAAACTTGGGATAAATGATTTTGGGATAACGATCTACCAGAATAGGGATATTTCACCCTTGGTTCTGAGATGCAAACCAAAGAATATCATGACCAGCTTTCAGGCCTCCTGAAGTATATCCCTCACATTGTCCTGTTCTCATGCTGAGGAGCCTGAGATCCCTGTGTGGGGATTAGACAGTGGACTGTTATGGGTGTAGGTGAATTGGCTTATTTTGTCTGTCCCTGTCTGAATGTATTGCAGGAATTAAAAAGGACCAAGAAGAGGAAGAAGACCAAGGCCCACCGTGCCCCAGGTAACTGAGCAATTGTGAACAGCTACTTCTGTGTTGACATCTGGAGACTCCTGGTTCAGGGAAAACAGAGCGGGCTGACATTATCGATTACATCTTTTCAACCAAGCCTGAATTATTCCTACTAACATTGCTGTTGGTTTTCATTGCAGTAGATATTTAGGTTTCCATTTCTTCCTCCCCTTATCATTTACTAACCTACTGCAGGTGGACCAGACTTCAAAAACTGTATTCTCATGGTGACTGCATGGAAACTTGAGCACATTTTATGGAAAATTATTGAGCACAGTCTTTTCATGATCACTGTATGCTGTGTGTCCTGAGGGCACTAACTCAGAGTGTCCTGTTACTCCCTCATCAGTGTGTCACCTGGACAATTCACTGAGCTCGTTTTCTCTCTCTCTCTCAGTGTGTGTGTGTGTCTTTGTGTGTGTGTTTGTGTGTGTGTGTGTGTGTGTGTGTCTGTCTTTCTCTTTCATTCTTTTCCATTTGGCCCTGTTCTGTCCCAACATGAAGGCAATAATTTGTTACCTCATTAATAGATCTATCCTTTTACTTTTTTAACCACTTCCTTATGCTACCCATGAAACCTAGTTGGGGCTCTGTTGTGTGTGATTTCCCCTGGCTTATTCTTTACTTTTTCCTCCTTTTCCAGGCTCAGCAGGGAGCTGCTGGAGGTAGTAGAGCCTGAAGTCTTGCAGGACTCACTGGATGTTATTCAACTCCTTCCAGTTGTCTTGAACAGCCTGACTCCTGCCAGCCCTACGGAAGTTCCTTTTATGCATTGGAGGAAAAACATGTTGGCTTTTCTCTTGACGTGGGAGGTGAGTACCTTTCTATGAAGGTGATAAGGATCCACTGAGTCTTCCATATAAAGATCATATTCCTGCTCCAAGTGGCCATTACTGAGCTGAGAGATGTCATTGCCGCAGTGAGGACCTATAGGCACATGTAGGTTGAATGAAACTCTAGTTCTACCTGGAAGCCCAGACATGGGATGGGTCAGTGAGCATGGCTCTCTTCCTAGTCTCAGGCCATGCCTGTGGCACTCTGATTCTACTCTCATGACATTGGACCTGGGCAGATGTGACAAATTCAGAGAACTATGATTTTGACTCGAGGGTTTGTAGATTTCCTTTTTCACTCTAATTTCAGTGTCTGGAGTCCTCACAACCATGAACAATCTGAGTATTTGATGAGACAGGGCTAAATATTGCAGTTTTTCTCCTAGAAATCATTTGAGGGTATTTGCTTTAAATTGATTGGAAAAATAAGGCATAACTGTTTGCACAAACTTGGGACAAATGATATTGGGATAATGATCTACTAGAATAGGGACATTTTACCCAGAGTTTCTGGGAGAAAAACCGAGGAATTTCTATCACGACCAGCCTTCAGGCCTCCTGAAATATATCTCTCACAGTGTCCTATTCTTATGCTGAGGAGCCTGAGGTCCCTGTGTGAGGATTAGACAGTGGATTGTTATGTGTGTAGGGGAATCAGCTTAATGTGTCTGTCCATGTCTGAATTTATTGCAGAAATTGAAAAGAAGGGGAAGGGGAAGAAAAGAAGGGGAAGAAGATCAAAGAAGAAAAGAAGAAGGGGAAGAAAAGAAGGGGAAGAAGATCAAAACCCACCATGCCCCAGGTAACTTTCAGCAATTGTGGATGCTTAATTCTGTGTTAACACCTGGAGGCAACAGATTCAGGGAAACCAGAGTGTGTTTGATGTCATGTTTTCAACGAAGGCTGAATTACTCCTACTGTCATTGTTGTTGGTTTTCATTGCAGTAGATGTTTAGGTTTCCATTTCTTCCTCCCCTTATCATTTACTAACGTACCATAGGTGGACCATACTTCAAAAGCTGTACTCTCATGGCCACTGCATCGAATTTTGAGCATATTTTATGGAAAACTATTGAGCTCACTCTTTTCATGATCACAGTTTGCTGTGTGTCATGAGGGCACTAAGTCAGAGTGTCCTTTGACTCCCTTACCAGTATGTCACCTGGCCAATTCACTAGCTCACTTTCTCTCTGTCTCTGTCTCTGTCTCTGTCTCTGTCTCTGTCTCTCTCTCTCTGTCTTTCTCTTTCATTGTTTTCTACCTGGCCCTGTTCTATCCCAACATAAAGGCAATAATTTGTTACCTCATTAATGGATCTGTCCTTTTTCTTTTCCAACCACTTCCTTATGTTACTTCTGAAATCTAGTGGGGCTCTGTGGTGTCTGATTTTCCCTGGCTGCTTCTTTAGTTTTGTCTCCTTTTCCAGGCTCAGCAGCGTGCTGATGGAAGTGGAAGTGCCTGAAGTCTTACAGGACTCACTGGATAGATATTATTCGACTCCATCAATGTACTTTGAACTACCTGACTCATTCCAGCACTACAGAAGTGTGTTTTACTCATTTGAGGAACAGCACATCAGCTTTGCCCTTGACATGGACAATAGGTTTTTTACTTTGACGGTGAGAAGTCTCCACCTGGTCTTCCAGATGGGAGTCATATTCCCACAATAAGCAGCCCTTACTAAGCCGAGAGGTGTCATTCCTGCAGGCAGGACCTATAGGCACCTGAAGATTTGAATGAAACTATAGTTCCATTTGGAAGCCCAGACATAGGATGGGTCAGTGGGCATGGCTCTATTCCTATTCTCAGAGCATGCCAGTGGCAACCTGTGCTCAGTCTGAAGACAATGGACCCACGTTAGGTGTGACACGTTCACATAACTGTGCAGCACATGCCGGGAGTGATCAGTCGGACATTTTAATTTGAACCACGTATCTCTGGGTAGCTACAAAATTCCTCAGGGATTTCATTTTGCAGGCATGTCTCTGAGCTTCTATACCTGCTCAAGGTCAGTGTCATCTTTGTGTTTAGCTCATCCAAAGGTGTTACCCTGGTTTCAATGAACCTAACCTCATTCTTTGTGTCTTCAGTGTTGGCTTGTTTTAGCTGATCCATCTGTAACACAGGAGGGATCCTTGGCTGAGGATTGTATTTCAGAACCACCAACTGCTCTTGACAATTGTTAACCCGCTAGGCTCCTTTGGTTAGAGAAGCCACAGTCCTTCAGCCTCCAATTGGTGTCAGTACTTAGGAAGACCACAGCTAGATGGACAAACAGCATTGGGAGGCCTTAGCCCTGCTCCTCTCAATTCCATCCTGTAGAGAACAGGAGTCAGGAGCCGCTGGCAGGAGACAGCATGTCACCCAGGACTCTGCCGGTGCAGAATATGAGCAATGCCATGTTCTTGCAGAAAACGCTTAGCCTGAGTTTCATAGGAGGTAATCACCAGACAACTGCAGAATGTAGAACACTGAGCAGGACAACTGACCTGTCTCCTTCACATAGTCCATATCACCACAAATCACACAACAAAAAGGAGAAGAGATATTTTGGGTTGAAAAAAAGTAAAAAGATAATGTAGCTGCATTTCTTTAGTTATTTTGAACCCCAAATATTTCCTCATCTTTTTGTTGTTGTCATGGATGGTGGTGACATGGACTTGTTTATAGAGGACAGGTCAGCTGTCTGGCTCAATGATCTACATTCTGAAGTTGTCTGAAAATGTCTTCATAATTAAATTCAGCCTAAACTTTTTGACGGGAACACTGCAGAGACAATGCTGTGAGTTTCCAACCTCAGCCCATCTGCGGGCAGAGAAGGTCTAGTTTGTCCAACACCATTATGATATCAGGACTGGTTACTTGGTTAAGGAGGGGTCTAGGAGATCTGTCCCTTTTAGAGACACCTTACTTATAATGAAGTACTTGGGAAAGTGGTTTTCAAGAGTATAAATATCCTGTATTCTAATGATCATCCTCTAAACATTTTATCATTTATTAATCCTCCCTGCCTGTGTCTATTATTATATTCATATCTCTACGCTGCAAATTTTGGGTCTCAATTTTTACTGTGCCTTTGTTTTTACTAGTGTCTGCTGTTGCAAAAAGAAGAAAACATTCTTTGCCTGAGTTTTAATTTTTGTCCAAAGTTAATTTTAATCTATACAATTAAAACCTTTTGCCTATCACTCTGGACTTTTGGATTGTTTTTTACATTCAGTGTTATAATATTTGATTATGCTGATTGGTTTTGGTGGGTACTGATGCGAATTAATAAAAACATTTCATTTCCATGTTTATTTTCTAATCTCTTCCACATTGTAGGCTATGTTTACCATACGTAGCAGAATGTATTTACATTTCTTGGTTCTAGTCATTTGTATTCTTCGTGAGTGTGTGTGTGTGTGTGTGTCTGTGTGTGTGTCTGTGTGTGCCTTTGGCATTTAGGAAGGGTTGTATAGCTCATGTTAAATATTGCACTAAAAATGTTTTTGATGGTTTTCCTCCCTTTGAACTAGACACACTTCTAATATTTGGTTTATAGTTTTAAATTATAACTTTCAGCATCAAATATTTCCATACAACAGTCAATTACATGATGTGTTTTCTTTTTCCTACCTCCTTTACCTGCCACTTCTCATAATAGTATTTGAACCTAAACATATACCGGTGACATTCTGTGATTATCATCCTGCCCCTACCTTGGTTTTTATCCATTGTGGTTTAGATCCATAATGAAATATATTAACGCTCATGAGCTATTCAAAAGTGAATGTCACTGTCATCACTTGCTGAGTGGTACTCATCCTTAACAGAGTCCTCATGAGGGAATCAGGTCTCGCTGAGTTTAGCATGTTTAATAATCTTTTCTCACGGTCTCGATACATGGATCACATTACTAGATATAAGGTGCTTGTCCAAAATGATTTTTCTGGAGCTTTTAGGAGATATTGTCATCCTTGGGGGACATACATGGTGTATGTTCTCATTGTGGGATTCTATTTTGTTCTACCAGGACCTCTAATTTCTGCCAGTTACTTCATTCATTTGTTCTCTTCGCCATGAGTCTCCAGAGGATACTTCCATGGTCCGTGCCTCCCCATCTCCCAGCAATTCTGCATTTCCAAGATTGGCACCTCTGGTCCTCTGCACGGTGAAGCCCCTTCCTTTCAATTCCCCAGTAGCCAGTGCTCTAATCCACCAGGTCTCAGGCATGATCTATGTTTCTCCACACTCGCTTTCTGAGGAGAGTTTTGCCTGGGTTCTATCATGAACAGGCCCTCCCTGCTGTCCTGGCCTCTATTTGCATAGTGTTTCCTGCTCCCTCTGCCGTCGTGTGGCTCCCAGTCCTGGCTAAAGAAAATCACCTGAGGGCCACAGTGTTCCCTAGCCCTGGTGTTTAGGGCAGGATTATGGGTGAGATTTTTGAGTCTCTAAGTTGACCCCTATGGCTCTGAAGTGTAAGTTGAGAAATTCAGCTGTTATCATCCTAGGTGGACTTGCTCCCTCCTATCCTCCTACTTCAAATGCAGAACTTCAATCGTTTACAAAAGAAGACTGAATCGTATAATAGAACACACCCTTATTCATTGGCTGGCTTCACCAATCATCTCATGGCTGAACTTGTAAAAATACAATCTTAGCCACATACCTATGAAATGTATATGTGTGTGTATATATATACATGAATTTGCTTCTGAGATTATGGAGGCTGAAATTCCCAAGATGGAAGGAAAGCTGGATATCCAGGAAAGCATTTGTTTCCCATTAGGCCTCTTAATTCTCTCCTGGCCCTTGATTGATTGCATGAGGCCCACCCCTATTAAGGAGGGCAATCTGCTTCACTTAGTCTGCCCATCCCAATGTTAATCGTATCTGAAAGACTCTCTGGAACACAACCAGAATCATGTTTGGCCAAATGTCCTGGCACCCTGGTGCTCGGTCACAGTGACAACTACAAGTAACTATCACACATGCCCTTTGTCATATTGGTGATTTCCACTGTTTTTCTCCCAAACTGCAGCTTATATTTGTTCTCTTAATACTGTTGAGCAAAAACTTTTAATTTTTATAAAGTCGAATTTATCAATGTTTTCTTCAATGGTTTGTGTTTATTGATAATAAAGAACACTTTGCCTAACTCTGTGTCATGAAGATTTTGTCTTATATTTTCTGCTATACTTTTTCTAGTTTTATAGTTTATATTTAGTTGCATAATCCATTTTGAGTTAATTTTTGAGTTAGTATTGAGGTTCAGGTGAATTTTTTTCCTATGGGGATAAAGAAAAACAAATTGTGTAAAAAAAGTTGTTTCTACACAATTTGTTGACAAGAGAATGCCTTCTCCACTGAATCATATTTGCACCTTTGTCAATCCATTGGGTGGTTGAGACTGGTGAGAGGACTGTCCTGGTGTTTGGACAGAGAGACAGGGCATGAAGTAGGGTGGTTCTTATGGGAAAAATTAAGGAAGACACATTTTTGCATGAGGAATAGGAAATCCCCAAGCACAATTGGGGGTACCTTCTACCAGCATGTTGTAGCACACTCATCTGTGCTCTACCTGTCCTGCTGCAAAAGCTTGGGTGTGCATAGACACTGAGGTTGAGTGGTGTCTTTGGGCATTTTGAGCATTGACACCAAAGTTCCAGCATCAAATCTTAGAATATCAAGCAGCCAGATGGATCACCTGAGGTCAGGAGTTCACGACCAGCCTGACTAACATGGTGAAACCCCATCTCTACTAAATACAAAAAAATTAGCCAGGCATGATGGTGCATGCCTGTAATCTGAGCTACTTGGGAGGCTGAGACAGGAGAATCGCTTGTGTACCTGGGAGGTGGAGGTTGCAGTGAGCTGAGATCACACCATTGCACTCCAGCCTGGGCAACGAGAGCAAAACGCTATCCCCCCGCAAAAAAAAATAAATAAAAATAAAAGAATATCAAGCAGCCAAAGAAGCAGGAAAACATGACACATAATGAAGAATCTAATAATCTAGTTGAAATTGACAGACATGTTGGAAATAGAAGAAAAGAACATTAGAGCAGTTAGTATAATTGTATTTTAATTAAATAGGGAGGTTGAAGATTTTTTAAATATCAAATTCTGTAAATAAAAAGTATGATTTACAGTCTGAAATGGAAGAAGGCAGTGGATTAAACATTGCAGAAGAGAAGATTATTGAACTAGAAGGAATACAAGTTGAAACTAACATAAATCAAACACACAGTAACAAATGACATGAAAACATAAAAAGACCATCGGCATCAAAACTTTAAACCCCCTAGTATAGGGCTAAATGGAATCCCTGAAGGGCGTGTAGTGGAGAAGAGAGACAAAGATATTTAAAACATACTGGATGAAAGATTTAGAAGCTCCATGGAAACCATAAACTTCAAATATTACAGAAATATGATTATTCTAAGAACAAGAAACATGAAGAAAACTTCACCAAGGAACGCCTTAATCAAATCCATCAAAACCAGTGATAAAAAGGAAATCCTAAGAAGAATAAAAAGGGAAAGAACATGTTACATACAGAGCACTAAATATAATGATGGCATAAGATTTCTCATACAAACAAGAAGTTTGCAATAAAGTACTTAAAAAAAAGAAAAACTGTCACCTACAATTCTACACCTGGCCAAATTATCTTTTAAAAATAAACATGAGAAAAAGTATTTTTGAACAGAAAACAAAATGATCTCAATTTGCAGATGGTGTGATCCTATGCATAGAAAATCCCAAATAATACCTACAGATGCAAACACACATACATGCACACAGAGGCCAGACACACACACACACACACACACACTCACATACACACACTACTAGAGTTAATAAGCGAATTCAGCAAACTTTCAGCAAACAATCAGTAAAAGAGGACGCAAACAAATGGAAGAACATTCCATGCTCATGGATAGGAAGAATCAATATCATGAAAATGGCCATACTGCCCAAGGTAATTTATAGATTCAATGCCATCCCCATCAAGCTACCACTGACTTTCTTCACAGAACTGGAAAAAAAACTACTTTAAACTTCATATGGAACCAAAAAAGGGCCCTCATAGCCAACATAATCCTAAGCAAAAAGAACAAAGCTGGAGGCATCATGCTACCTGACTTCAAACTATACTACAAGGCTACAGTAAACAAAACAGCATGGTACTGGTACCAAAACAGAGATATAGACCAATGGAACAGAACAGAGGCCTCAGAAATAACACCACACGTCTACAACCATCTGATCTTTGACAAAATGACAAAAACAAGCAATAGGGAAAGGATTCCCTATTTAATAAATAGTGCTGGAAAAACTGGCTAGCCATACGTAGAAAGCTGAAACTGGATCCATTCCTTACACCTTACACAAAAATTAACTCAAGATGGATTAAAGACTTAAATGTAAGTCATAACACCATGAAAACCCTAGAAGAAAACCTAGGTAATACCATTCAGGACATAGGCATGGGCAAAGACTTCATGATCAAAACACCAAAAGCAATGGCAACAAAAGCCAAAATTGACAAATGGGATCTAATTAAACTAAAGAGCTTCTGCACAGCAAAAGAAACTATCATCAGAGAGAACAGGCAACCGACAGAATGGGAGAAAATTTTTGCAATCTATCCATCTGACAAAGGGCTAATATCCAGAATCTACAAAGAACTTCAACAAATTTACAAGAAAAAAAAAAAACCCCATCAAAAAGAGGGCAAAGGATATGAACAGACACTTCTCAAAAGAAGACATTTATGCAGCCAACAGACATATGAAAAAATGCTCATCATCACTGGTCATCAGAGAAATGCAAATCAAAACCACAATGAGATACCACTCATGCCAGTTAGAATGATGATCATTAAAAAGTCAGGAAACAACAGATGCTGTAGAGGATGTGGAGAAATAGGAACGCTTTTACACTCTTGGTGGGAGTATAAATTAGTTCAACCATTGTGGAAGACAGTGTGGCAATTCCTCAAGGATCTAGAACTAGAAATACCATTTGACCCAGCAATCTCATTACTGGGTGAATACCCAAAGGATTATAAATCATGCTACTATAAAGACATGTGCACACCTATGTTTATTGAGGCACTATTCACAATAGCAAAGACTTGGAACTAACCCAAATGTCCGTCAATAATAGACTAGATAAAGAAAATGTGGCACATATACACCAAAGAATACTATGCAGCCATAAAAAAGGATGAGTTCATGTCTTTTGCAGGGACATGCATGAAGCTAGAAATCGTGATTCTCAGCAAAATATCACAAGGACAGAAAACCAAACTCCGCATGTTCTCACTCTTAAGTGGGAGTTGACCAATGAGAACACATGGACACAGGGAGGGGAACATCACACACTGGGGCCTGTTGTGGGGTAGGAGGCTGGGGGAAGGATAGCGTTAGGAGACATACCTAATGTAAATGATGAGTTGATGGGTGCAGCAAACCAACATGGCACACGTACACCTATATAACAAACCTGCACGTTGTGCACATATACCCTAGAACTTAAAGTATTTTTTTAAAAAAAAGATTATTTCTTTGAATAAGCGTTCTACTCTTTGCTCCTTCTCAACTCCCTCTTTAAGGCCAATGAATCTTTGATTTTCTCTTTTCAGGCCCTCTTCTAGATCTCTTAAGCATTCTGTGTTCCTGCTCATTCTTCTTTTCTTTTTTCTCCTCTGACTGTATTTTCAAATAGCTTGTTTGCATGCTCACTAATTCTTTCTTCTGCTTGATCAATTCTACTGAGACCCACTAATGCATTTTCCAGCTCCAGCATTTGATTTTTTTCTCTTACTTCAGTAATCTTGTTAAATTTCTTATATATTTCTGAATTGTTTCTCTGTGTTTTCTTGAAGTTCATTGAGCTTTCTCAAAATAGCTATTCTGAATTCCCTGAGAGGTTACACATCTCCATCTCTCCAGGGTTTGTCACTGAGTGCCTTACTTGGTCCATTTGTTGAGGTCATATTGGCTTCAATGTTATTGATACTGTTGATGTTTGTCAATATCTGGGCATTGAAGGATAAGGTATTTATTCCAGCCTTTGCAGTCAGGTCTTGTTTCTACCTGTCCTTCAGAGGACCTTCCAGGAATTCAAAGTGGGCTGACGAGTTCCCTAAGCCAGTGATCACTGCAGCCATTTTTGTACTACAGGGCACCCTAGGCCCAGGTACACTGCAATTCTTACAGATTGTTAGGTCTCCAGCCCTGTGGACTTGGGAAAGATCAGGGATTATTCTCTGCATTCCCAGGTAAAGCCCCTAGCTTACTTTCCTTTCTTTCCCCCAAGCAAAAGGAATCTCTCTTCAGGCTGCACTGCCTGGAGTGTGGGGAGGTGTGATACAGGCATTTCCATAGCTGCTGCAGCTGCTGCCGTCATACTGGCTCACACCACAAGTCCAGGGTGTTCCAGACCTATGCAGCATCAGGGCTTGCCCAAGGACTGCGGCCACTACAGCCTGCCTGCCACTGAAATTTATTTGTAGCCCAATAAATTTCCAGTGATAAAGCTGGCCAGAATTTTGGTGGGTTCTTCCTCCTGGGGTAGCTGATTCCCCTGTGGCCCAGGGTGGGTCTAAATGCTTCTTTTGTGGGCACCAGCCTGGAATCAAGTGCTGTGGGGTTCTGTCCAGTGTCATGTGTCACTATGGCAAGACTAAGTTTCAATATAAAGTCCCACATTTTCCTCTTTGTCCCCAAGCCATTAGATTCTCTCTCAGAGAATTTCCTGTGGTTGGGGGAGAGGTGTCATAGGCAATGCAAGACTGTCCTTCCTCCCTTCTTCAATGCATCTTTTCTTGTTATCATGTTAAAACCAGGTGCTATGATCTCTCACCTGGTTAGCCCTCGTGAGAGTGTTTTCTTGCATAGATAGTTGTTCAATTTGATGTTCCTTCAGGGAGACCATTGCTGGAGAATTCTATTCTACCATCTTACTCCACCTTTTACCTGTTTATTTTTTAAATGTTTCTAGTAAATAATTGTGAAGTGATACGTTTATTTTAATCTTGGGGATCAAAAGCATGTAGCTAAGAACTTTTCCCAAGGAATATTTTAAAATTTTTATATCAATGTTTATGGAATGACATACTTTTTGATTCAAGGTTCTTAAATGTAGTTTTAGTTTTGATTCAATGTTATAGAACACTGTTTTTTTAAACTGTTATCTGCAGCCCACATGTAATGGAATCACCTGGGGTGCTTATATTAAAAAAATGCAGATTCTAGGGCTCACACCAACTAAATCTCCTGGGATTGGAGACCAGGAGGTAGTTCCTATAATCTCCACAGCTGCTTCTAAGGTACACCAAGTTTAAGAACCATTCTTTCATATTTTCAGACTGGGGATTCTTACAAAATGACAAAGAAGGAAAACCTTAATCTTTTAAAGTTAGAGTTCAAGCATTAGACTGTGCACTTCTTAAACACAGTTTGTCTTTCCCATTTTCTCTTTCCAGTTCTTTATACTGTCAAGGAATTGGGGCAGAAATGGGAAACAAAGCAGTGAAAGAAAAACTATTTATTTCTTTATACACATCTTGCTTTAATAATCACCAAAAAGACTTTCATTTTCTGTCACCCACCCTGTCCACCAGTTATGTTGGCCTTCAATATATGGCGATAGCAACATAAATAAATCTGTATCATACATCTATACACACAAGCACATTCTATCAAAACTGTGAAGACACAGACTAGGCTTTACTATGGCTGGGGGCCTCTCCCATGCCACTTAAAAATGAGCACAGGTTTGCTCTATGCAAGAATTTCAACAGAATTGGTCTGGCCATCAGTCCCCAATTTCCCCGAGGTAAGATAGGACGACAAAATGGGACAAGATATTTGAAGTGAGGTCAGTCCAATTTGGATATCATAGAAGAAAAGAAATAGGATGTGCTAGGTTAAGCCTGAGATGGTATCTGGGAAGTCACCACATTCATGATGTGAACTCAAAGAACGCAGGTGCTACAGTGCAGACCAAAACCCAGCCTGACTTGACCCAACAGGGTCAGGTGTGGATCTGTGAGTAGTGCTCACTGAGCCCCCACGAGCAGTGTCTGGCAGGGCACCGCTGCTCCGTAGTGTGCTTTTAGAACCTGCCAGAGGAGCTCCAGCAATAGGACCACGTGCCCCATTCATCAGAATCAGGGTCCTATATTCACTGAGTTTTCCATCTCAGGACAGCTGATGAGGCAAGAAATGTGCTCTTGCTAGTTCCCAAGCTGCTGGGGCTGTTGAGAGGCAGGATCACAAAACCTTCTGTGCAAACTACGCATCTTTTTCTTAGTGCTGGGCCAAGTGGACCTTGGCTAATCGTATTCCATAGCTGTCAGAAAGGCTTTCTGCCTTTCTGCCAGCTCCACCAGGATACAACTCTGACTCCCTCTTCTGGACCCTCCAGTGGACTTGGAGGAATGAGGCCCAGATGCTCCTCAGCAGATAGGTAGCTGCACAAAAGGGGGACAGGCCAACCTTTCCTGCTGTTTTAAGGACTTCCGGTGGCTGCGCTTCTTGCATGGTTCCTGGAAGGCAAGGGTCACAAGGCTGGAGTACATGGCAGAGCCCTTAGGGATTTCACCTGCAGACAAACATAAAACAAACCAAATCAGTGTATATTGCCAGGCCCTACTGATGGCTACCCGAAGCTGGAGTGAGAACTATGGGGTGACCAAAGCCAGGAGCACAGTGAGAGCCAGTTAAGAGGATGAGCTAAGAGCATGCACTGCAGTCTGGAGAAGCAACAGGTGCCCGAGGTTAGGGGGAGCCTCCCCACCTCCCTGTGTCCTGAGATCCCTGCTCCAATTCACTGCACACTGGGTGGCTGGATCCTACCACTCCCTCTTCAGGGGCCAAGTGACTCTCCAAATCACTTTGTCTCAGCAGAAAGGGGCCTTTGTCATCTCCACCCAAGAAAGAAGTGCTTAGCATGAAACATGCACATATAGAAGCAGCCTGTTGTAGGAAGAAGAGGACACTCTGCAGGGAAGTCCTCTGTTAAGTTTATGTCCAGTCGCCATAATGAGGATGTGGAGGGGCCAAGTCCACAGGGACCTCAGAGCTCAACTAAGTCCAGTTCCATCTTTGACAGGTGAGGGTGCAGCAGTCTCACAGAGACTAAGGGACAAGCCAAAGCCACACACCAGTTAGTGATAAGCCAGGGATTAGGACCGAGGCCTCTGGTCCTTTCCAGTGATCTGTGGGAGGTGGAGGGGAAAGCTTCCACACTGGAGAAAACCAGTGGATACTAGAAACATTTGGGTTACCTTTCAGTGGATACTAGAGACTTTTTGGATTACCTTTTCTGGGACAGGAATAAGGCTTTACAGAGGCAATCCTGTAAGTGCTGCTCTAAAGAGGCTCAGGAAAGAGAAGAATTATCAGAGAAAAACAAAACGGAATTAGTTTAGAAAAAAAAAAGTGCAAGTTAAACTGGCCCAAGTCATTTTCACACTATGGAGATCAACATTCTCTCAGGTTATGGTTTAGAAACATTTCTAGGAATATGCTCAATTGCTTATGGCAAAGCTTTGAAGTCCACGTTAAAAGGTTTAGTTTCTGATTTTTAAACCATTTCATATACCTCAAGTTTTTCTTCAAAGCAATTCCTAGGGAATGATTAAACACTTAGTGTTTTAAGTAAATGTAGATAATGTCTGATATATATATAACATTTTTCCCCTGAAGGTTCAGTTGTTATTTATTAACAAATTCTCTTTTAGACAAATGAGACCCAACAGATCTCTTTTGTCGTGTTACTTAAAGAAATATCAAAATCAAATTGCTGTTCTTAACCCAGGAGTGTGCAGTGAAATCAGTTTATTAGGTTGCAAATTGCTTTTACTTTTTCATGAAGAGTAGAACACATAACTGGCCTCAAGATCCCTCTACCAAAAGCTCATTCAGAGGCAGACTCCCAAATGTCTAATGACTTCCAGAGTGAGCTGAATTGCATTTCTCCAGTCTCCTGACCTGGCATCAACGAAGAAAAATTGGAGTAAAAAGGAGAGATGAGGACAATGTGAGAGTGAACCAAGATACAGGGGCAGGAGCTGATGGGGTGGGAGGGTGATGGGAACAGAAACTAGCAGGAAGCCCACTGAGGACCTGTGATCTTACAAGTGGACTGGAAATCTTCTCCTGGAAGGCGAAAGCAGGCCAAGCGTCACCTACAAGATCTGCTAACAGATGGTGATGGGTTGGGGACAGGCTTGGTGCCTCTGACTGGTGCAGTAGTTTCCTTAACTCTAGGTTAGTCCTTGCCTTCTTTAAAACATCATGTGTTCTGGTTACTGAAACAACAAAAGAGCACCACAGAGTAGAAATCATCAGCAGAAATTAACCCTACTTGCTTAGCATGAGAATGCTAAAGCATTTATTTCTCTCTGGCCATTCAGCTTGGAGTTTCCTGCTATCCACCCCCTGTCCTCCCCTCCCTCTGCATCCACAACTGCTCGGGGCACAGGAGGTTTGGGGACATCAAATCAGCCTCAACTCCCAACATCCCCAAGCCCCCCAGTCACTGCTCATCAGCAGCACAAGTGGGGCATCGGGAAGACTGCCCGTTTCTTCCCCCATTCCCTCTCAGGGAACCTACGCTGGCTGACGATGAACTGCTCCATGCTCTCTTTCTGCTGGTTGGCGATCTTCAGATGCTCAGCTGTGCTCTGAAGGAGCCACTCCTGTTTGGATACTTTGGTTCTCAGTTCTAGAAGTTCCCTTTCTGTCGATTCTCTCTGGATAAGAGGAACAGACTCTTACTGACCAGGCAGAAGACATAAAGCACCCTGTGCTTTGTGGCTCTTTCCAGTTCAAAGGATTCTACAATCTTCTCAACCCTCCTGAACTGGATTTCCTCCTTCACAGCCTTGAATACCTCCAGCTGAGGACAGTTTAGGATGAGGCCATTAGGCAGGAATAATGAGACTCTGGAATTCCCCATGCAGACTAGCACAGGCCTACACACCTGTAGCTTAAGAGAACCTCGCCTCAGGCTGGTATCAAACTCCCAACTCTGAAGAGGACCTTGCTTTAGTCCTGATATCAGTTCTGTCACTCTCCCTTCACAGGTAAGATTGAGAGTTCAGAAGTGTTATGCTGGGGAGAGAGATCTGGACTCAGGAAAGTTTGCAAGTTTGTAAATATTTGTGCCAACATGAAGATGGCACAACACCCTCTCCCTGGAATTAGCATAGTTGGATCCAAAAGGTATTGGTGCCATTGACCTGGAAGTAGAATCCCTGGGGAGGGGATCCTGAAACCTGCCTACATGAGGGTCTGCCAATCAGAGTTAGCCTGAGCTCTGAGCAGATCCTGAGGGGAGGCTGACTTTCCCCAGGCCTGGTCCAGCAATGCCAGCTTAAGTTGTATGTTGGGATTCCAGGCAGTGGCTAAAAAGGCTCAGTCTCATGGGGGCATTCTGTGATCATTTGACCACGGGACCTGTGGGGTGGGAGATGTGCTAAAGCTTTAACTGAATTTCAGCTCATCCAAACTTCAGAGAGGTAAAGAAACTGAACATTTATGGATTGCCAGGGTTATGATGTCTCCGCCTTCTCCACACTCCTTCCTCCTCTTCTTTGATTTCTTATCCAGGGGTCAGGGGGCTGGTGGGGAATGGGATGTATTTAGAGCTGCAATGAAAGCAGCCACCAAGGGTCAGAGATGTCCCTCCAGGGACACTCCTCTAAGTTCCTGTCTATCCCAATTCACTGTGTGGCTCCTGATTTTCTGGAAAAGCTGTGACACTGAGGAGACAGAACAGTATTGGAGGGCAGGAGAACTGGGTTTGAACCAAGAAAGGACACTGGCGTCTTACCACTTTGCCAGGCAGCACAGGGATGTGGGTGCTTGGCAGGGCCACTCTCCAGAACATGGTGAGGAGGGAAGCCGACTCCTCTAGGGCATGGTGCAGGGCACTGGTGCTGCTCCAAAGCTCATGAATGCCTTTGCTGCCTAGCACCTGGGGAAAGGTAACACCACAGGAGCGGAGAGATTACTTTTTTCCCCCTGCGTGGGCTCAAGCTTCCTTTGTGAGTGAGGTGCAGAACATGGGCCTGCTTGAACCTGTGAAGCCCTCGCACAACCATTTGCAGCTCTCAGAACTAAGGTGCTGCTCCTTTTACCAGGAATGCCTTCCTCCACCTGCAGAACCCACAAGGCTTTCAAAACTCACCCCCCTTGCTATGTCCTCTATGAATCTGTTACCTTCCTTGCCTGAGATAAATGACCACATTTGCATTGGTGCTCTCACAGCACAGAGGATGATTTCTCATACTGCGCCTGTAGCCCCGTACTGTGCTTATCTACTTGGGTGTGTGTCTTGCATTCCAGTGTGGGGGCTCCATGGAGGCAGGGCTGTCCCTATGCATCCATGGGTCTCCAGCAGCTCAGACAGCATAGCCACAGGTTCCTGGTCTCTCTCACTGGCAAGGTGCTCTCAGAAGCTTCGCTGACTGCCTTCCCTCCCCTATGCAGTCTGCACAAGGAAATGCCTTGGCTGCCAGGCTTCTCACCCCTTCCACATGTGGGGGCCATACACCTGCAAATCCTTCAGTTTCTGTCCATCCCATTGAGTTGACTCTGCCCACATATGGTCATGTGCCTGCATGACTGTGGTAGATAATAAGCTACCAAAGGCTGCTAGGCAATGCCACCTGTTTCTGTGGGGCTGAGGGGAAATATCCAGTCAGCTACATCTGGAACAGAGCAGAACTCACAGTGAAAATAGGAGATAGAGAAGAAAGGGCCTGGCTGCTATGCATGGAAGAGGAAGCCTCAGCTGTTGAGAGATGCAAAGCATGAAAAAACAAAAATGGTGGGAGAAGGAGTTAACATCAAAGGAAGAAAGGGCACAAGAAAAGAGTGCACCTAAAGCTTCAGGTGTGATTACCCCTGTGCCTTGGGCTTCAAGGCCAGGGAAGCTGCACGCTGATCTCACAAGAGACACTATCTTTTTGACCAGCAGCTTGCCCTCCACAATCTGCTGTCTTAGGGCACTGTAGTCATCAATGTGGCCAATGACATGGCGGCCATGCTTATTGGCAAAGGAGCCATCAGTAGCATCACCCTCCAGCTTGGGAGGGGCCTTCATTACTGGAGAAGTATCCAAACCCAAGCCTGAAAAAGAAAATGACAACACAACAGAATCTTCTGTTATTCATAATGATATCCTCAGTTTGCTCCAACTAAAAAAGAGGCAGGGAACAAGAAAAGGACGAGGCTGGGAACAAGAAAGGAAGCCTTGGAATGTACAAGGGTGGGGCAAAGTCCATAGAGATCTTCTGGCTTCTATATTTTTATAACCTTTCTTACATTATCTTTTAATGATAAATTTGCCAGGAGACAATTTTTTCCTTATTGGCAAATGAAATAGGATGAATCATAAATAATAAGTTTCTGGGTAGAGAAGACACAGACAGGGAAGTCAAGCTGGATACAGAGAGCATTTTCAAGAATAGAGAGATTATGGTGCAATGAAGCAAAAACAGCAGTAGGAAAACTACAGGAGGATGAACAATGGCAAGAAAGGCAGCCACAGAAGGTGCAGGGAGTAGGGCTAAAGGCCTTGGGGCATGCAGAGAAAACTCTCTAAATACAGATAATATGTTTAGAGACAACAAAAGGTTGTTTGCATTAATCACTTTCCAACATCAGTCCCTGGGCCCTTTAGTTGCCATATTTACCATGTGTTCTGTTGATTATGGCCGTTTCTGAGCCAGGAGTAGAGGAAGCAGAGCTGGGGAGGACCAGAGCTGGGGAATTCATACCAACATCCCGGACTGGAGGGGACACAGCTGAATCTAGGGGGTAAAGGCAACCACAGTTTTCAGGAGCCCTGGAACACACTGCACATGAAGCACATGCACACCTAGCCGTCCCCACTGAGACCTAAGGTGGCAGGACTCTCCTCTTACAGAATTATCCATACCCCACAAGCAAAAGCAAAAGCCCATGAGTCACTGAGTTCAGAATGTTTCCATTCTTCAGAACAAAAAGATATTCCTTTAAAGGAGGGGTGTTCCAGGAGAATGTAACTTCTAGTTTGAAAAATTATTAGGTGTATTTTTATAAACCAAGTCTTGAGTATAATTTGTGTGTGGTATCTAATACGATGCCCCGTAACTAAATGTAATATGTATAAATATACATAGTACATATTAAAATCTAGAATCAAGGGATCAAGGAATGAATGGATTCATGGGGGACTAAACTCAACATTCTAGTCATCATTCTGATGAGGTAATACTGAAAGAAATTGACTTGTATGAGAAGAACGGAGAGAGAGGGCTTGGTGGGTTAACATCTTGCTGGAGACTAAAAAGCAACCCTATGGTGGAGGAATTGGAAAATATCACAAAGAAGGTAGAAAAGGTCCTACTCAGGCAAGTGTGGCCCAGTGCCTGCTTTCCAGCTCAGGCCTCAGGGGTGCTAGAGAAAGATGGGCAGGGACTGCACCAGTGGGGCTGAGTCTTGGCTGCTGTGTGGGAAGCCAGAGAGAGAGGAAGGCCTGGTTAGAAAGAAGGAAGAGTTGGAGACATCACTGAACACCACAACCATCAGGGCAGCCCAGAGAAGGGCAAGGCATCCACCTAATGTAAGCTGAAAACAGCATAATCATGTTATTGTCACCTTCATTTGACAAATAAGGTTACTGTCAGATAAATGAGCATCTACAAGAACCAGAGAAAAATAAAGATTAACATGACCCAGAAATAGCTGGCAGGAGAGTTTGAAAGCTCAGCTTTAGAGAAACTGAACAGAAGTGGTTCCTGATTTGAATAAAATTGAAGGTATGGCCATGGAGGTGAGTGGAGATGGTGTACTAAACGGTGTATCAAAAGGAGAAAAGGACAGAGGAAGTAGAAATTGAATGATTTAAGAGACTAGGGGGACACCATTGACATTTCAATGAAAACTGGGAGAAGTGAGATTGATGGGGGATATTGAGAAGAGAAGGGGGACCTGGTCAAACACGCCTATCTGAAAAGGCAGGCAAGGGGTGGGGTAGAGAAAGCGAATGATGACCGCCCGAAATAAATCACCCACCATCCAGGACTTCCCCAGAGCCCTGTTTCCTTAGGGGCAGGAACATTTTGCCACACAGTTGAGTTCCCCACCTGTGAGGGAAAGGGGGACTAGAGAATCTGGGAAGGTCGGCAATACTGAGACAGGGCACAATGAGCTGGAAGGAACACAGACTGAAAATCACAACATCTGGTTCTGATCCTGGCTTTGTCTATAACTTCTCTAAAGCCTCGCTTGTCTGTTAATATCTCAGGACCTAAATTTTCTCATGTGAAATACAGAGATAGCAAAACCTGCTTTACTTCAGGTGAAATTATATATGTGAAAACACTTGGCTAAAACTAAAGCACCAAGCAAATCCAAGAAAAAGATATGAACATATACAGCTGCTAATTATTGAGCAATTCTTAGTGTGCCAAGCACTTGTAAATGATCTCATTTAATGGTCAAAATCATATAAGGTATATATTATTATTATCCTCATCTTAAATGTAAGGAAACTAAGGCTTAAACCTCTGAGACTTTAAACACCTTGCCCAAATCAAACGACCTCTAAGCGGTAAACTCAGAATCTGGAGCCCAGTCTGACCTAAATCCCACGCTTTCACTCAGGCTGCTAGACTAGAGCATCTCTGATTTCAACCTGACCATAAGGAGCATGGACCAGGCAGACATCCTGGTGATCTCCCCACTGGCCAAGGGCTTTCTAAGTCCCTTTTCCTTCCTACCTTGGAGGAGCAGCTGCTTGTTTCCAGGGTCAGCGCTGGCTGGGAAGTTCTGGTTAACAGAGGAGGGGCTGAGGCTGGCTTTGCCAGCAGGCTATCCAGCTGCTGTTGCAGCTGCAGTCACAGACAATTGTTCCCCTGAATGCTCTTCTCCAGCTGCCCTCTCAGACCTCATACCTCTGCCACCAGGTGGCTCAAGTCACTGCTCAAAGGGATTTGGTGACAGACATCCAGGCTGTAAGCTAAGAGAGAAGAGGAGTCTGGTAACATTGACCCAAGTATTTCCAAGCACTTGTCAGAACCCTCCTCTGTGACATTCTTTTCTGCCAAGGACCCCACTATCATCTGAGTCTCATGCAACCCATCTGTGATGGAGATGTCACCATTTCTGTGTGTGGCCGGGGGATGGCACTGAGATGGCACACATCCAGTCTGAAACTTCCTTGCGGTTTAAGTTACACACATGCACCTATAGAGCATTTGATTGGCAGATAAGGATAAGTCCATATTTCATCTCCATAGTAACCTTAGTCCTGTAGGCTAAAGTATAGGGTCCTCCAAGGTAGAACGTCAGTACTGAGCTAGAGAAGGGTAGGGGATGAGGGAGAAAGAGATTTCACAGTCTTCACTCTCAAAAATGAAAGAGGAGAAGGAGGAGGCCTTTTGGTAGCATGTGAGAATGCGAGTTGGGCACATTAGACCAGGGATTATAACTGAGTTTTTCAATTTCTCTCTCTCTCTCTCTCATATATATATATATATATATATATATATATATATATATATATATATATATGTGTGTGTGTGTGTGTGTGTGTGTATGTGTGTGTACATATATATACACCTACATATAGTGTGTATATATATGTTGTGTGTGTATATACATACTATATATAGGTGTATACATGTACATATATACATGTACATATATATACACACATATATACAGATACATATATATACAAATATATATATGTACATATATTTACCTCCATTCACCACATGTAGTCTATTTCTTTGTACTGGGGATGAAGAGATCTAAGAAATATTCTACAAGGCTACAATCCCTTATCTGAAAACCTTAAGGCCAAATGTATTTCGAAAGGTAAAATTTGTTTTAGTTTTTAGCAAGGCAACAGGGTGCATATATCATATATAACATGTACCCAGTTGCAGGTGAACCACAATCCTTAATCAAACATATAACTATTTCTGCAATGAGCTATGTGAATATCCTAAGTAGATAAATAAAGACTTATGAATATCCTCATGTCAGATCATCTAGATTTTGTCACTAAATGAGTATTTGAAAAATTTAGTTTGGAGATCGTATTGAATTTTGAAATTACAGATAAGGGATTATGGAGCTTTAGTGGTTGTAGCTTTGAAATGAGTCCTAAAAGGCAGGGAGAAAAGCATGAAAGGAAAGGGAGCTCAGGATGAAGTCGTTTCAGAGACTTTGGTAAGTAATCTACTCTTGAATTTTGCCCGAAGTTTTATGATGTTCCTCTCTCTCTTTCTCAATCCAAGTTCTCACTAAATTTTGCTTATTTTTTTAAGAGACATTTTAAAATCTATCTATACCCTTTCATCTTCCCAACAGCACCTTATATTAGACTGTCATCTCTTAATGTGTCACAATATCACTAGACCCACCCAATAGGTTTCCCAGATTCTAATGTCTCCCAATTCCAGGACATCCCCTGAGACTTAGCATCCTAAAGTTCTGTTTTCATCATATGCTTATCTTCTTTGAAAAAGAATAGACTTAGTTTCATTATCTACTCTACAGAATGTCAACTTTCACCCTGACCTGTGAGCTTTCACGGTTTGGTGGCTCTACTCCACCATCCTGACTTCTCACTCCCCCAACCCCAAGCTTCTCCTGTGGTCAGGCTGGTCCCACTGACCCAACACTCACCATGACTGTGTACTTAAGCTATTCTCCCAGCCTGGTGAGCCCCCTCTATTTCTTCAAGTTCCAGTTCACCTTCTCTTTAGAAAATCAGGAAACTAAATCAGGATTTATGATAATTCCAATCTAAATTCCACTGCCCTTCACGCATTGTTTAGCCCCCTGGAGGGACATAAAATACATGAGTTCTTTTTCACCTGACACTTCTTCAAATATCCGAAGCCAGTTCTCATGTCCTCAAGATCTTTTGAAAGCCTACATTTCTTTAGTTTCTTTGACCAGTTGGAGATTTCTGGTCCACACCATTGTGCGCCCTGTCTTCATTATGTTCCCTAGTGTGTCAATGCCCTTTTCAAAGATAGTGCCCCTTAATCTAACAATATTTTAGACCATGGTCTCCACAGGTGAACATCACACTTACACTACTGTAGTGTCAGTTTGAGCTGGCATTTCTAGCAACCTCTGGCCTATGACTTACTTGTGTGATCATGTTTCTACCAAACCCCATACTCTCAAGTCCACGAATGGCCGCCTGTCCTATATTTCTACCCTCATCCTATATTTCTACCACTGATATTTTTAATCGAGCTCAGGATTTTGCTTTTTATCTTTGCTAAATTTCATGACATTGATGTCAGTCCTCTGTCCCAGCCTGCTGTGACTTATTCACATTATGTTTTGAATACCCTTCTCCATTTAAAGAATGAAGAAATATATCAAATTCTCAAATATTAGATTATTATTTCAGCAGGCAACAAAGTCTTCAATAAATGTCCTTAATATTTAAATCCAGGATTGAAATTTAGGTCCTATCAGTGGTATTTCTATAAGGGTTTTTTGTTTTCGTGTCTTTTAATTTTCTCCTGTGGGCAGGCTGGTCCCCACTGACTCAACACTCACCATGACTTTGTACTTAAGCTATTCGCTCAGCCTGGTAAGCCCCTGTATTTCTTCAAATTCCAGTTCACCTTCTCTTTAGAAAATCAGGAAACTAAATCAGGATTTATGAAAATTACATGAGAGGGCAATAAGCTGAGCGCCAGATGTCACTAGGGAAAGGGTCAGGGTGGGAGCGGACTGCCTGCTGCATTGGGCTGAATGGGTTGTCAGTATGTATCACCGACAATATTAAAGGCCTTTTCAAATGATGATATCATTAGGACAGTTCTTTTGCTTTCAAAAATGTTATAATTTAGACATTGATAGGAATGTCTAGATTTTCTTAAAATAATTAGGAATGATCAGGCCGGATCTTGTTCGTGTCACCAACCTGTCACCTTGGGCTTTGTGTATGAGAGTTCTTATTGGGAGCCCCAGGCTCGGGTGGGAGTTTCTGAGACAGAACTCTGTAGCTTCCCATGATCTCCACAACTCCCAAAGGAAAGACCTCACTAGCATCCTATGCAAGGGCAAAAAGCTCATGGGGTGAGGGGAGAAGAACACATACCTTTCAGCCCCTTCTTGGAATTGCCATAAAGTGCCTCATAGATTTGTAACTCTGACTGGAGGGACTCAAAGAGCTGCTGTTTCTCTTCACACTGTTGCTGCAGGAGAACCAGCTTGTGCTTCAGTCTGACCAGGGAGAGGCAAGGCCCACTGAGATGGCAGAGCCACTCAGCCACACCAGAGCAACAGGCTGAGAGCCAGATGTCAACTCAGAGGGTCATAAAGGGTTACGGTTAGGGTTACCTCTGAGCCCCAGATGTCAACTCAGGGGGTCAGGAAGATCATCACTTTTATTTCACAGATGTGGAAATGGTGGCTGAGGGAGGTCAAGTAACTTTGCTTGAAAACACACCATTACCTACATTAGTTCAGAGCAGAACAGACACACCAGCACAGTCTCCTTACTGCTCCTACAGTGCTCTTTGCATCCTGACAAGCAGTTACAGGGCTTATGCTGGGACCAAGCATCACAGCCAGTATAGAAGCTTCCTAGGTGATGGTGAGACTAATGTCCTATATCTAATTGGAAGCATGGGGACCCTTCTTTTTCATGTCTCTGATATACTGAAGACTTCTATAACAGAGTTTTACTCTCTCAACTTGGGAGTGACAAGGCATTCCCAGAGAAGTCCTTTCTTCTGCTCAAAGCGCCCCTCCCCCCACCCCACTGACACACAAAAATCAGGAATGGCAGAGGGAACATTGAGGTTTCCAAAAGAGGACACCAATTATCTTGCCAATATCCCTTCTTATAATGTAAGAATGAATGTAAGAATGAAGAATGCTACCTTCTCTGTCAATGGGTCCCCTCTTACCTGGAGTCGTTTTCCTGGAGGGAAAGGCGTTCCTCCCTGAAATGCAAGACCTCTTGCTGCTTCTCCCTCAAGTCTTCCAAAAGCTGCTGCCTTTCCACCTTCTGGTGCTCCAGCTCCTCTTCCAGCTCTTGAAGGTGGGATCGAGAGGACAGCAGAGCCTCCCTCAGGCTTTCCATCTCCTGGGAGTGCTCTGGTGAGAGGAACACAGGAGGATTGATTTATTTTCATGGGGCCAGAGCTCAGCAGGAAGATGACCCCAAGCACATCCGCCCTGACAAACAGAGCTAAGGAGCAGGGAAGGAAGGCCCTATGTTGGTGGGAAGAGCATGCTGGCTCAACATCCCCCGCAGCCTGGAGAAGGGTACATCTCTGTCTTTGCAAAACCCTTCATTCCACTTATTTAATCTGTCCTACCTTGCTCTTAGAGAAATTCTGGTTTCTAATGCTCACCACTTTCCAAGTGCTCACATACCATCTGTTCAATAATCTATCCTGATCGCTGTTATTTAACACGATGGCAGAATAGAAAACCAAATCCAAAACCAGCAAATTTAAGTAAACACAAATTTCTATAATACCTATGTAGATAGAATAATCCATAGCATAGTGGGCGAAATGATGATACATACCTCCAGAGCAACAGCTTTATCATGTATTCGCTGGCGAAGTTTCTCAAGCAACGTTTCATTTGCTTCAAGGGTTTTGTCTGAGTTATCTCGATACTGTAGGAGCTCCCGAAATTCCTGAGACCAAAACATCGTTTCTTTTATTCTTTTATCCAATATTAACTAAATTGCCAAGTAATTTGTTAGTTATTCAGGATAAAAAAACAAGATGTGATCACTCTCCTCAAAAGTAACAAGTTTAGCAGAGATAACAGACATAAATTGTAAAGTATTCTGCAACATACACCAGACACAACACATAGAATTAACTGTTGTGCAACATACGCTAGCCACCAGGGGAACACAGGATGCACTGCCTAACTCTGCCTGCAGGTGTCAGTAAAGACCTCACAGAGGAGGTAATATTTGCAGTGAGTCTTAATTAAAGGACTAGGATTTCCTAAGTGAAGAATGGAGAGGAGGACATGTTAGAGAAAAAAAAATATGCACACTATGCATACAATGAAAAAATTGTACATTCAGTGAAATGTAGTGGATTCAATGTGACTGAAGCTTAGAGTAGGTGGCAGAACAGATCAGTCTCTTCTTAATGCTCCATCTTCCCCTCAAACTTTCATTCTATCATCAAAATTACTCTTTGGAAGTTTCTGTACAGTTTGTCTTCATCTATTACACTGAGATCAGTAGCCAAATCTTTTGTCTTCCCAACACCCAGAAAAGTGTTTGACTCACAGAGGTGCTTAATAACTATTTTCTGAATATTAAGTCTTTATAAAAGACTTCATAAAAGACTGCATAAATCAGGGCTATATGTACTGTTTCTTACACTTGTTAGTAAGCATCTTAATTCACAAATTATATTTTCTATTTATTTTAAATCCTCCTGATTCCCACCTCTCAATGTTTTCCATATAGCAGGGACTCAGCACAGGTGGATTAATATCTTAAAATTATATAAACAAATTTCAGAGTTCTATGAGCCCAGTGTTCATTGAAATCATGTAAACTCACCTGAAGCAACTGCTCCTTGTGACTCAGACTATGGTTTAGGTGCTGGACGTTTTGTTCCTGGGTTCGAATCTCATTGTATTTTTCAGCCTCCCAGGCACGAAGCTGTTGGCTCTTATTCTGCAATTCTTGTAGCTGCTGCAAGGCTTTTCGCAATTCCTGAATTAAACATATTACCTTTTTAAAGAGATCAAAATTGTCACATGATTATCAGAAATGACAACCAGACTTGTAAAGCACTTAAAAGCCATCACTCCCACTCTCACCAGAAAAAAGCTGAACAAACCGAACATCAATAACTACTTATATGCAACAGAAAATGGAGGTCCTAAGACATGCCAACCCTATGAAACCTGGAGCCATGGGCAAATACAGAGAATCACAACTTACCTGGATCAGAAACCACCACTGGAGCCAGCATTGGGTAGACATACTTCAAAGGGAGTTGGCTAATTGCTGGAGCTGACAGCAGCCTAGCCTGAGAGGTAAAAACTCCTGGGGGCCTAACTAGTGGGAGCCTCCCATACCTTCATGAGTTTTGTCTCCAGAAGACTTAGGGTGAGAATCAGAGAAAACTCCTTGAGTGCTTCTGGAGGGGAAGGAGAGGTAACTGTTGAAAAATATGCCCGGTGCATTCTGTTCTACTTAACAAACACATGCCCTCAAAAGAAAATTCTGTTTCCAGAGTCTAACCAATGTAGGGAAAGGGAAATACCCAACTCCAGTGACCTCTAGCCATCCTGTCTCACCTAAGAGGGAACAAAATTTGAGAAGCACTTTTGAAGGTCACAGCCCAGGGGCACAGGCCCACCACAAGACTGAGACCTAATCATAGGATTATGGAACACTTCCCTCCCCTACTCCTTACCACTGTATCAATAGTCATATACATACATATACACACACACACAGTATATATAAATACACACACACTATACACACACACATATATATAGTAAGAGAGAGAGATTTATTACATTTGATCCTCCATATCTGTAGGTTCTGCATCCATGGATTCAACCAGGCCTGACTCCAAAATATTTTTTGAAAACTTATTATTGTGTTTGCACTGTACATATATGGACTTTTTTCTTTGTCATTATTCCCTAAACAATACCACATAACAACTATTTACATAGCATACGGGAGGATGTGAGTAGGTTATCTGTAAACTCTACGTCATTTTGAGAGGTGACAGCGTTCTGGCAGTCCTCACAGCCCTCGCTCGCTCTCGGCGCCTCCTCTGCCTGGGCTCCCACTTTGGCGGCACTTGAGGAGCCCTTCAGCCCACCGCTGCACTGTGGGAGCCCCTTTCTGGGCTGGCCAAGGCCGGAGCCGGCTCCCTCAGCTTGCAAGGAGGTGTGGAGGGAGAGGCGCGAGCGGGAACCCGGGCTGCGCCCGGCGCTTGCAGACCAGCCGGAGTTCAGGGTGGGCGTGGGCTTGGCGGGCCCCGCACTCGGAGCAGTGAGGGCAATGAGGGGCTTAGCACCCGGGCCAGCGGCTGAGGAGGGTGTACTGGGTCCCCCAGCAGTGCCAGCCCACCGGCGCTGTGCTCGATTTCTCGCGGGGCCTTAGCTGCCTTCCCGCGGGGCGGGGCTCGGGACCTGCAGCCCGCCATGCCTGAGCCTCCCGCCCCCTCCGTGGGCTCCTGTGCGGCCGGGGCCTCCCCGATGAGCGCCGCCCCCTGCTCCACGGCGCCGCCCACCGGTTTTTCTGCCACTTTTGCAAGGGCGAGGTCAGCCCCAAACTACCGGTAAGAGCGCTGTGTTCTCTATACTTGGGAACCTCATAGATTCCTGGCCCCGATTTCCCGGAACTGGGTCTGGAGCTTTCTGCACATCATTGACTCCCCGGACATCGGTCTGCCGAATACCTGCTGCCCACTTCTAAGCCGCCGGCCCTAAACCCTGGGCATCACGGCCTCGGCCCCGTACCTCCTGCCCACCTCTTAATTCATCCTGGGCTGCTCCACCTGACCTCACCTCTTCACCTCCCGTGTCCTTAATTTTTTTTTTTTCTTAGCAAGTTTCCCTCTGATAACTCTCCCCTCAATTTTCTTGCATTCTTTTATACCTGGTCTTTTTCCTACGATGACCTCCCCCCACACTTCTTCCACTGTGTCTTCTCACCTTCCTCTGTGTTCTTTTCCACTTTTCACCCCCCACCGCCCCCGCCACCTCCCTTGTCAGTGAAGCGAAATAGCGGATTGCTGAGGATTGTCACTCTTCGGTTTTTTCTAGGGAAGGAAGCACAGAAAGGGGGTTGGAAGGTATCTGTGGGGCGAAAAGGGGGATTTTGCTCTTCAGTGGTTTCCAGGGTCCTTGTGACAGTGAAGACAGCAGCGTACTAATGACTTGCAGACGGTCTGCACTCCTATCGCTGTTGAAGGAAATGGCTTTAGGAAGAAGGCAGGACGTACTGTTTCAACTTCGTTTATTTTGGTTGTCATGCTGCCAGTGTCTTTAATATCATTGTTCCGCCCCCCGCCCTGTCCCTTTCTTCACCTAAGAAAAAGAGCCGGGACAGAATGTTGGGGATGCTTCCTCTGACGTGAAATTGGTTTTCACGAGTTTCTGCCAGAGTGTTAGCCCCTTGAGAGGCAGTGCTGTGGTTGGGAAGAAAACACTTTTGTAGGTCAGGCGCGGTGGCTTAGGTCTGTAATCCCAGTGCTTTGGGAGGACGAGGCAGGAGGATTGCTTGAGGCCAGGAGTTTGAGACCAGCCTGGGCAACAGAGTGAGACCCCTCTCTACAAAAACAAACAACATTTATGCAGCATACTAGCCAGCACCAGCATCACAAACCCAGAAGCTGTTTTGGGTTGGCTTGTAGCTACTACGAGGAGCTCCCCCAGGGTGAATGTCAATCCTGTCCTTGGCCAACTGTCTTTATGGTTGTTCCTTTCCTTACAAGTGTCCAGGTTCAGTCTTGTGATAGAGTGGCAACATAATGTATGTTTCTATTTATGGTGTCTCAGATACAGTGTAGGAGAAAACCTTCTGAAGTGAGTCTGTATATCTTATTTCTTAGAAACACAAATGGAGTCCAGTGAATAAGTGCTTAAAGGGTGTTTTATAGTCTTCTCTCACTCAAAAGTTTTGTTTAAGGCATTATGATACATTCTTTCCTCTCTACTTGCCGCACCCCCTACTTCAGAGTCATAGTTTCATCTAAATGCTACTTAGCTGTTTTTCTTTTTTCTTTTTTTTTTTTTTGAGACAGCCTCTGTCTATCACCCAGGAGCATGATTTCGGCTGACTGCAACCTCCACCTGCTGGGTTCAAGAGAGTCTCCTGCCTCGGCCTCCGGGTAGCTGGGACTATAGGTGCACGACCACCGCACCCTGGCTAATTTTTGTGTTTTTAGTAGAGATGCAGTTTCACCATGTTGGCCAGGCTGGTCTCAAACTCTTGACCTCAAGTGATCCACCCGACTCGGGCTCCCAGAGTGCTGGGATTACAGGCGTGAGCCACTGCTCCCCGCCTAAATGCTACTTAGTTTTGTTTGCTGATTTTGCTGTGTGTTTATGTTTTTTTTTTTTTTGGCCATATTTCAGTGCTGGGAAGAGCAGGTGTCTAGTTTTTTTCCAGCCAACATCAGAGCCTGCAGAACTCTTTTACCATAGAGAGGGAGTCTGGAATTCAGCCAGTATGTGTGTGACCAGTGGTGTGTTGTTGAATGTGATGCCTTGTTGAATATTCCATCCTTAGCTTTTTTGATCTTTAAGTTGCTGTTCACTATTTTGCCTTTAAGAGTGAGAAGTTGGCCAGGCGTGGTGGCTCAGGCCTGTAATCCCAATACTTTGGGAGTCCAAGGCAGGCAGATCGCTTGAGCTCAGGAGTTCGAGACTAGCCTGGGCAACATGGAGAAACCCCGTCTCTACCAAAAAATAAAAAAATTTGCCGTGTGTGTGGTGGCATGCACCTGTAGTCCCAGCTATTCAGGAGGCTGAGGTAGGAGGATTGCCTGACCCCAGGAAGCAGAGGTTGCAGTGAGCTGAGATCGCACCATTGCACTCCAGCCTGGGCAATAGAGCCAGACCCTGTCTCAAAAAAAAAAAAAAAAAAAAAAAAAAAAAAAAAAAGAGTGAGAAGACAGTCTAAACTTCCCCAATTGATTATATCTTTTCTTCTCACCTTTAAGTCCTTACTTCAAAGGGATAATTTGAAAGGCTGAATAGGTGTTTTTCTAAGCCTTAGTTAATGCCTGGAGAAGTTTCTTGATCTTTTTGGTGTGATATATTATTTGTCATGTCTGATTTGTAAATTGAGGCCTAACACAATTGAGTATAACCGGATTCTTCCTAAATATATCCAAGGTTCTCTGCTGAGTGTCCTGGAGGTGATAGGGAGTGATATGTGGCTCCTGCCCTTAAGGATCTTACAGCTTTTGGGGAAAGACAAGGCAAACATAGAAAAAGTAACAGCATAAAGGGAATGAGGATATGTGCTTTAGGATTCAGAGAGGGGAATTTCATAGCATTGGTGTGGCCAGTGGGATTTAAATTGAGTTTTGAGGGATGGGTACATTTCAGATTGAGAATTCCAAAGACTGTGAGGTAGCAAAAGGAAGAGGGAGTTGATGAAGAAGGGAGAAATATTTAATAAATCATGTTTTTTTCACAACTAAAAGTTGTATACTATATTTTTTATAGTGTTCAGCATGATTTGATATATGTATACACTGAATGGTTAAATCAAGCTATTTAACATGCATTACCTCACATACTTATTTTTGCGTGGTGAGAACACTTAAAATCTGTCTTAGCAATTTTCAAATATACAGTATATTCCCTTTTATTTTTTTTTGAGACTGAGTCTCGCTCTGTCACCAGGCTGGAGTGCAGTGGTGCGATCTCGGTTCACTACATCCTCCACCTCCTGGGTTCAAGCAATCCTCGTGCCTCGGCCTCCCAAGTAGTGGGGACTACAGGCACGTGCCACCATGCCCAGCTAAATTTTGTATTTTTAGTAGAGACGGGGTTTCACCATGTTGGCCAGGATGGTCTCCATCTCGACCTTGTGATATGCCCACCTTGGCCTCCCAAAGTGGTGGGATTACAGGTGTGAGCCACCGCACCCGGCCTCTTTTTTTCTTTTTAAATAGAGACAGAATTTATTCTGTCTTGTTGCCCAGGCTGTTCTTGAATTTGTGGGCTCAATGTGTCCTCCCACTATATCCTCCTGAGTAGTAGTAGATAGGTGCGTTCCACCATGCCTGGCTAATTTTTTTTTTCTTTTTTGTAGAGATGGGATTTTGCCATGTTGCCCCGGCTGGTCTCAAATTTCTGGGCTTAAGCAATCTGCCTGCCTCAGCCTCCCAAAGTGCTGGGGTTACAGGCATGAGCTATTGCGGCTGGCCTGATATGTGGTATTTGTTTTTAATTCTGTTTATGTGATGAATCACATTTATTGATTTGCCTATGTTGAACTAACCTTGCATCCCAGGAGTAAAGACTACTTGATTGTGGTAGATTAGCTTTTAATTTTTATTTATTTATTTTTTTGAGACGGAGTCTTGCTCTTTAGCCCAGGCTGGAGTGCAGTGGAACGAGCTCAGCTCACTGCAACCTCTGCCTCCTGGGTTCAAGCGATTCTCGTGCCTCAGCCTCCCAGATACCTGGGATTACAGGTTTGCACCACTAGACCTGTCTAATTTTTGTATTTTTGGTAGAGATGGGGTTTCCCCGTGTTGGCCGGGTTGGCTTTGAAATCCTGACCTCAAGTGATCTGCCTGCCTTGGCCCCACAAAGTGCTGAGATTACAGGTGTGAGCCACCACACTGGCCTGCATTAGCTTTTTAATGTGCTGCTGGTTCAGTTTGTTAGTATTTTATTTAGAATTTTTGTGTCTGTGTTCATTAGGGATATTGGCCCGGGGTTTTCTTTTTTCATTGTGTCTTTGCCAGGTTTTGGTATCAGAATGCTGCTGGCCTCATGGAATGGGTTAGGGAAGAGTCCCTCTTCGATTTTTTGGAATAATTTCAGTAGGATTGGTACTAGCTCTTCTTCGTGTCTGGTGGGGTTTGGCTGTGAGTCCATCTGGTCCAGGGCCTTTTCTGATTGGTAAGTTTTTTATTTTTCATTATTTTTTGAGACAGGGTCTCACTGTGTCACCCATACTGGAGTTCAGTGGCATGATCACGGCTCACTGCAGCCTCGACTTCCCAGACTCAGGTGATCCTCCCACCTTAGCCTCCTGAGTAGCTGGACCTACGGGTATGTGCTACCACACCTGGCTGTTTTTTTTTTTTTTTTTTTTTTTTGAGAGATAAGGTTTCGTCATGTTGCCCAGGCTGGTCTTGAACTCCTAGGCTCAAGCGATCCGCCTGCCTTTGCCTCCCAAAGTGCTGGGATTGTAGGCATGAGCCATGGCCCTGGCCAGGTTTTTTATTACTGATTCAATTTTGGAACTCGTCATTGGTCTGTTCAGAATTTCAGTTTCTTCCTGGTTCAGTCTTGTGAGGTTGTATGTTTCCAGGAATTTATCTGGAATTTTAGGTTTTCTAGTTTGTGTGCATAAAGGTGTTTGTAATAGTCTCTGAGGGTTCTTTGTATTTCTGTGGGATTGGTGGTAATGTCAGTTTTGTCATTTCTGATGGTGTTTATTTAGATCGTCTCTCTTTTTTTCTTTATTAATCTAGCTAGTGGTCTATCAATTTTATTTTTTGAAAGAACCAACTTTTGGTTTCGTTTATCATTTATTTGTATGGATTTTCACATCTCAATTTCATTCAGTTCAGCACTGATTTTGGTTATTTCTTCTGCTGGCTTTGGGGTTGGTTTGTTCTTGTTTTTCTAGTTTCTCTAGGTGTGATGTTAGGTTGTTAATTTGAGATCTTTCTAGCTTTTTGATGGAAGTGTTTAGTGCTATAAACTTTCCTCTTAATACTGCTTTAACTGTATCCTAGTGATTCTGGTATGCTGTATCTTTGTTTTCATTAGTTTCAAAGAACTTTCTGATTTCTCCCTTAATTTCATTTTTTACTGAAAAGTCATTCAGGAACAAGTTGTCTCATTTCCATGTAATTGTATAGTTTTGAGAGACCTTTTTAGTATTGATTTCTATTTTAATTGCACTATAATCCGAGAGTGTGGTTGGTATGATTTTGGTTTTTTTGCCTACGCACTTCTCAAAAGAAGACATATATGCAGCCCAATAAGCATATGAAAAAATGCTCAGGATTACTAATCGTCAGAGAAATGCAAACCAAAACCACAGCGAGATACCATCTCACACCAGTCAGAATAGCTATTATTAGAAAGTCAAAGAATAACAGTTGTTGGCAAGGTTGTGGAGAAAAGGGAATGCCTATACACTGCCGGTGAGAATGTAAATTAGTTCAGCCACTGTGGAAGGCAGTTTGATTTCCCAGAGAACTTAAAACGGAACTACCATTCTGCCCAGCAATCCATTACTGGGTATATACCCAGAGGAATATAAATCGTTTTACCAAAAAGACACATGCACTTGTATGTTTATTGTGGCACTATTCACAAGAGCAAAGACATGGAATCAACCTAGATGCCCATCAGTGGTGGACTTAATAAAGAAAATGTGGTACATATACATCATGGGATACTATACAGCTATTTAAAAAAAACAAAACCGAAATCATGTCCTTTGCAGCAACATGGATGCAGCTGGAGGTCATTATCCTAAGTGAATTAAAGCAGGAACAGAAAGCCAAGTACCACGTGTTCTCACTTAAAAGTGGGAGCTAAACATTGAGTACACATGGGCATAAACATGGACACGAGGGCTTACTTGAGGTGGTGAGGGTAAGAGGAGGATGAGGGTCAAAAAACTGCCTATCTTGTACTATGGTCAGTTGCTGGGTGACGAAATAATCAGTACACCAAATTCCAGTGACACAGTTTATCCGTGTAACAAATGTACATATGTGCCCCCAAACCTAAAATCAAAAAAAATATGTATAGAAAACAAAGAGCAAAATGAAGGACCTAAAACCTAAAAACCATTTATAGTCAATATATAAAAAGGCTTAATACCCCAGTCAAAATCAGATATGGATAAATTTTATAAAAACAAAGTAAACAAAGAGGGTACTGACTCTTGTGATAGTTGGATACCAAGAACCATCCCTCACTGGGGCATGCTGTGGCTCACACCTGTTATACCAACACTTTGGGAACCCAAGGCAGGAGAGGATTGCTTGAGCCCAGGAGTTTGGCACTAGCCTGGGCAACAAAGTGAGACCCTATCTCTACAAAAATTAAAAAAATTAGCCAGGGGTGGTGGTGTGTGTCTGTGGTCCTAGCTACTCAGGAGGCTGAGTCGGGGAAGATTGCTCAAGCCCGGGAGGTCGAGGCTGCAGTGAGCTGTGATTGTGCCATTACACTCCAGTCTGGGTGACAGAGCAAGAGCTTATCTCAAAAAAGAAAAAGACTCCATGATTTAATCTAATCAACTTCAAAAACCCAACTCATTCCTCCACACGCCCTGTGCCTTGGCCATAGCATTTACCTCACCATTCTCCTATGCATTATCTATTTTTAGACCTCTGTCTCCCTTTGTTTAAAATGTTCTCCCAGCCTGGATAACATAGCAAGACCCTGTCTCAACAAAAAAAAATAAAAATTAGCTGGGTATGGTGGCATGTGCTTGTAGTCCTAGCTACTTGGGAGGCTGAGGTGGAAGAATTACTTGAGCCCAGGATATTTGAGGTTACAGTGAGCTATGGTTGTGCCACTGTACTCCAGCCTGGGCAACAGAGACCCAGTCTGGATGAGAGAGAAGAGAGAGGGGAGAGAGGAGAGAAAAAAGAAAAGAAAAGAAAAAGAAAGAAAGAACCCATCATCTATGAGTGCTGTCCTCACTGAACACCAGAGGCTGGGTATTGAGTTTACATCAGCTTTTAATGAGCTCTCACTAGGTTTCTTCACCCATTCAATGGGAAGGTCTGCTTCAGAGCCATAATTGTGTTCAACGGGACTAGGTTGCAAGGTTTAATAACTCTTCTCTTCTTTTTAAAATTTAATTACTTTATTATTTCACCTTTTTTTTTAAAGCCACATGTAGGCTGAATTCATTTAATTTGACAGAATAACACTCCTTACTGCTAATCCTGATCAATTTTAGCTTTGTGTGTCTTTGGGTTGGATCCACTCAGATAAGAGGACAAAAGAGGGCCGGGCATGGTGACTAGTGCCTGTAATCCTAGCACTTTGGGAGGCCAAGGTGGGCGGATCACCTGAGGTCAGGACTTCAAAACCAGCCTGGCCAACATGGTGAAACCCCTGTCTCTACTAAAAATACAAAAATTAGCCTGGCGTGGTGGTGGGCGCCTCTAATCTAAGCAATTTAGTGATTTGAGCTGGGCTCGGGAGGCTGAGGCAGGAGAATCGCTTGAAAACCCAGGAGGCGGAGCTTGCAGTGAGCTGAGATCGTGCCATTGCACTCGCAAAAAGAGCGAGACTCCATCTCAAAAAAAAAAAAAAAACCATTCAAAAAGAGGACAAAAGGTTCATTTGGAAAGAGGACATTAAGAAATAAGGAGAAATCATGAAGGGAATTTTAAAATGAAAACATATTTAGTGGCATTGTTTTCTGTTAGGTTTCAAAAAAGTCTCCATTCCAAGTGAGTATTGGTTTAGGAATTTCTTTCTCCTTATTAAAAGTGTTTTCCTATTTACAGTGAAAATAACTTTAGTAAAATTTTGTGAGTACTAAACTTGGATTTTAAAATCAGAGATTTCGATTATATAGTCTGGAGCCTCAGGATTTTAAGTTTCTGTAGGATTGGGTAAAATGCCATTGTAGATTTTTTGGTCATCAGATTATAGAATAAATACTTAAAGTAACTTCAGATTATTATTTTCAAAACCATAGCAGAAACTCCTACCTTACCTATCTTATTGAGAGACAATGTGAAGCCAAGACTAATGGAGTTAGTATGCTACATTGATGATGAATGACTGGGTAGTACACCACAGAGGGCTGTGTCATGGAGCGTAAAGGTGTTATTCCATTCCTACACCCTACCATCCGTCTTTCCCCATTAAATCAAGGTCAGGGAATGTTACCTTATGTGATTAAATCTGGTAGAGTCATCATTAAACAGGTGAGATAAATCATATGCAGAGTAACCTACTTTTGGTATTGATGAGACTAGGGTGGTTCTTAAGTATTTTATGGAGATCAGGGTATCTTCCTAAATCCAGATGAAGAGATCAGGTTAAGGACTGCTCGCTTTCAGGCTCCACCTGAAGAAACTATGTAGTAGGCTTCTCTCCCTCTATCTTCTTATTTTATCATCTTCTTTGATCTAATAAAATGTTTTCCTTATCAATAAGTAATGTTATCTAGGTGCTAGAGAAGGCATTCATCATTGTATTGTACTTGCAATAACTCTAATACAGGAAAATGTTCAAACCACCCATAATAAAAGTAGCTAAAAAGCAGATTTCTTAAAGACTTTGTGACCGTTTAAGCTCAACTGACCTTTCTAAGTTGCATGATTCTTAGAAAGGTCCCAGAGAGATGTCTATCTGGTGCTATATAGCAGTTGCTAATTAAATATTTTTTAATTGAATGATTGATATGAATTGAACACCCAGTAATTATATTTAAAAAGTGATGACTTCAGTGTTTTGACATCTTTAAAAGGCTACAGTGGTACAAAATGTAGGTGCTACCATGTGAAATTTGAACGTACAGTGAAGTACGTATATTCACTGCAATATCTAGAAATAAATATGTATTCTTATAGGTAGAGGCTAGTTTATCCTTGTAATTCTACTGATAAATATAAATGTATATATTGGGGAAATTTGTGGGACTTTTTCAGTATAAGGAAGAAAAAAATCTGAAAATTGAACTCACTGCAGAAGAAATTTTTTTGTATTTTCGGGGGAAGTACCAACTAGATGTGCTAACACTTTGTATTTCTTTATGTTTAGTTGCCTCTTTTTTTTTTTTTTTTTTTTTTTTAACAGAGTTTCCCTCTTTCACCCAGGCTGGAGTGCAGTAGCACGATCTTGGCTCACTGCATCCTCTGCCTTACAGTTTCAAGTGATTCTCCTGCCTCAGCCTCCCAAGTAGCTGGGATTACAGGCGCCTGCCACCATGCCTGGCTAATTTTTGTATTTTTAGTAGAGACGAGGGTTTCACCATGTTGGCCAGGTTGGATCTCTCACAGCCTGCTGAGCAATAAATGAGATAGCCTAGAGCAGTGGTTTTCAATTTCAGGTAGTTTTGTTTCCCAGGGAACATTTGGCAAAGTCTGTAGACAATTTTTTATCTTTTTTTTGGAGACAGAGTCTGACTTTGTTGCCCAGGTTGGAGTGCAGTGGCGTGATCACGGCTCACTGCGGCTTCCACCTCCTGGGCTCAAGCAATCCTCCCACCTCAGCCTCCCAACTAGCTGTACCACCACACCCGGCTAATTTTTTAATTTTTTGTAGAGACAGAGTCTCACTGTGTTGCCTAGGCTGGTGTCAAACTCCTGGCCTCAAGCAGTCCTGCTTCGGCCTCCCAAAGTACTGGGATGGTAGGTGTGAGCCACCACACCCAGCCTGTAGACATTTTTGATTTTTGTAACTAGGGGCTAGAGGAGGGTTGCTACTGTCATGCAGTGGGTGGAGGCCAGAGATGCTGCTGAACATGCTGCAGTGCACAGGATAGACCCCTCAAAACAAAGAATTATATTGGGCCCAAAAAGGTAAGAGGGCTGAGGTTGAGAAACCCTGGGATAGATAGAGGGATAGTCGGTGTCATCTTGTGCTAATTGTGTTTAAGGTTTTGTTTTGGTGTAGGTTTGATTTTTAATTTTGGGATCCCAGTGAATTTTCAGTAAGAAAATTGAGACCGTATAATTTTAGGCAAACCTCTGATGGGAGAGAGGGTTTAGAACAGGAACTAGGGCTCAGTTAGTGGCTGCAATTCCATTATAGCAGTATCTATTGGAGTTACTTTCTGTCTTTGGAATTACTGAGACCAGAGGAATTGGATTACCCCTCTCAAGTTACATACTGTAAGGGCAACTTATAAAAGAAAACTATCCACATTTTTTTGTCAGTTGGGAATTAATTGAGATAGAAACACTGCATGTAATTTAGTAAGACAGCTGGAAATCCCAGTTTGAAAACAAAATGAAAAGCAGACAACAAGCCTAACTTTTAGTTTTACTTTCTGTGTTTCTCTTATACCTCTCAGAAGTTTCATAAGCTCCAGAAATTTTGTGTTTAACCTTTTAGTTTCTTCAAATTCTTGGTTGAGAGGGTATATTGGAGTTATTAATCTTTGTTCTAAAATTCTTCGGGTGACTTCTCGCTGAGTCATCTGACCGTCTCAGTTTACCTAAGTATATCCCATTGTAAAATGATACTTAGGTGCACGTATTGGAAGCTTGAATGAGGAATGGAGCTGTATAATCCTAATTGAAAGGCAGTGTAAGAATCATGAGCAATCCTTATTTGCAGAGAAATAGGGCCATTACCGTATTAGAAGCATTTTAGGTTGTTGTTATAGTTTCACATACAGAAGTTTAGGTGCTGAAAAATTATTCTTTTTTAGAAATTTCTTTTTTCAATTGTTTGCTGTTCAGAGTTTCTCAGAGGTCCCCAGATGCATGTATATCAGTTAGAAGTAGGACAGGTATGGTGGCTAACACCTGTAATCCCAGCACTTTGGGAGGCTGAGGTGGGTGGGTAACTTGAGCTCAGGAGTTTGAGACCAGCCTGGGTGATATGGCGAAACCCCATCTCTTAAAAAAAAATTAAAAGAAGAAGTGAGTTGGCACCAGTGATTTTTAAACCAGGCATACTTTTCTTGTATGATAAGTAGACTGTTGGTGACTCTTTTCCCAAAACAGACCAGTTAGATTTTGTTTTTTGTTTTTTTCTGAGACCTGAAGCCTCACTCTGTCACCCAGGCTGGAGTGCAGTGGTGCAATCTTGGCTCACTGCAACCTCCGCCTCCCATGTTCAAGCAATTCTTGTGCCTCAGCCTCCCGAGTAACTGAGATTATGGGTGTGCGCCACCACACCTGGCTAATTTTTGTATTTTTAGTAGAGGCGGGGTTTCACCATGTTGGCCAGGCTGGTCTCAAACTCCTGACCTTGCAAGTGATGCGCCTGCCTCGGCCTTCCAAAGTGCTGGGATTACAGGTGTTAGCCACCACGCCTGGCCAGACCAGTTAGTTTTGTCTTCCTTGAAAATCTGTTAGGACAGATTAATCTCTCTCCTTGATAATTTGAACAAGTGTCACAGGAAACTTCTTAGTAGACAAGGTAATGTTTACCTCCTTGCCACTCACTTTGATGTTGTACAGATTTGGATAGACTTTTAACCCATAGTACCATCTTCCAGAAGTTTCATTTTGCTTACCTTTCACCATGCTTAGAATTTACATTCTCAAAAGAAAAAACAGTTATAGTTACATGCTCTTTCTTACCTTTTGCTGGATTAACTGAGACCTGCAGGTATCCTACAATGATGCTGATCTTCTAGCCCGTTAATTCTCAGACCTCTCAGATTCAGTGCCCTCTTCTTATAAGTATTTTGAAATACTCTCTTTAGTGAAATGAAATCCACAGGTAATACAGCTTTTCTACATATATGTGTGTGTGTGTGTGTGTGTATATATATATATATATATATATATATATATATATATATATATATATATATTTTTTTTTTTTTTTTTTTTGTGAGACAGAATCTCTGTCAACCAGGCTGCAGTGCAGTGGCGTGATCTTGGCTCACTGTATCCTCTGCCTCCTGGGTGCTTCAAGCGATGCTCGTGCCTCAGCCTTCCAAGTAGCTGAGATTGCAAGCGTGCATCACCACACCTGGCTAATTTTTTTGTATTATTATTTATTCTTTGTAGAGACAGGGTTTCACCATGTTGGCCAGGCTGGTCTCGAACTCCTGGCCTCAAGTGCGCCCGCCTCGGCCTCCCAAAGTGCTGGGGTTATGGGCGTGAGCCACCACACCCGGCCCTACATATATAATTAAAAAAATTATCTTGCAGTAAGATAAAGGATAAATAGAAAATATTTCTGACAGATTAGCTTGACATGACAGCTACCTGAGTAGACTGCTATGAGGGTATTTGCAACTTAAATACCAGGAGAAGCAAACCAGTACAGTGAACAATTCTTTGCAAATGTACAAATAAAACTCAAGTACAACTTCTTTCTTCTTCTTTTTTTTTTTTTTTTTTTTGGTAGTGATGGGGTCTCACTTAGTTGCCCAGGCTGGTTTTGAATTTGTCTCAAGCTGTCCTCCTCCTTGGCCTCCCAAAGTGCTGAGATTACAAACGTGAGCCACTGCATCTGCCCCAAAGTACAGTTTTCTCTTACTTTATTCAGCAGTTGCTTTTCTGGACATTTAGTACATATTAAAATTATGGACTGGGCACGGTGGCTTACGCCTGTAATCCCAGCACTTTGGGATACCAAGGCGGTTGGATCACTTGAGCCCAGGAGTTGGAGACCAGCCTGGGCAACATGGTAAAACCCTGTCTCTACAAAAAATTTTTTTAAAAATTAGCCGGGCTTGGTGGCACGTGCCTGAAGTCCCAGCTACCTGGGAGGCTGAGGTGGGAGGATTACCTGAGCCCAAGAGGTCAAGGCTGTAGTGAACCGTGATCACACCGCTGCACTCCAGCCTGGGTGACAGAGTGAGACCCTGTCTCAAAAATAAATAAATAAATAAATAAAATTATGCAGAAGGACTTGGTGCTTATACGTAGAATGTAATTAGGTTCTAGGCTTTGGTAATTATACAGATTTTTAAAATCCAGTTAACTATTCATAAGGAAGTTTGAGAATAAAGACATTTTTTCTTTGTGCTGGACTTGCCTATGCTTTCCTGGCCTCTGCCAACTGAATGTCAGTAACACTTTTTTTTTTTTCTGCAACTTTTATTTTAAGTCCCGGAGCACATGTGCAGGATGTGCAGGTTTTGTTATGTAGGCAAACCTGTGCCATGGTGGTTGGCTGCACAGATCAACTCATCACCTAGCTATTAAGCCCAGCATCCATTAGATATTCTTCCTGAGGCTCCCTCAACAGGCCCCAGTGTGTGTTGTTCCCCACCATGTGTCCTCCTCATTTAGCCCCTACTTACAAATGAGAACGTGTGATGTGTGGTTTTCTGTTCCTATGTTAGTTTGCTGAGGATAACGGCTTCCAGCTCCATCCACATCCCTGCAAAGTAATCACTCGTCCTTTTTATGGCTGAATGGTATTCCATGGTGTATATGTACCACATTTTCTTTATCTAGTCTCTCACTGATGGGCATTTGGGTTTATTCCATGTCTTTGCTATTGTGAATAGTGAGAAGCACTTCTTAACTGCTGTGACAACCAAAGCACTTCCATAGATGTCCCAACTATCCCCTAGATGATTGTATTGTCCTCATTAAGAATGACCTCTAGTCATACAGGAAAACATTTTTCTGTTTTATCATTCACTCTTCTTTTTTTTTTCTTGCTTATTATTCACTACTTTAGCACAGCCTTTTAGTCTAAAAGACAAAGATTTACTTGGCCTTTAGACAATTCCTATATGTCTTTAAATTTCTTATTTCCTCACCACTCTTATTATTGATGTTTTCTTTTTCATAAGTGTTAGGACAGTGCCTTGGTACATAGTAGATACTCAATTAGTATTTGTTGAATGAAGGAAACTTAACTGTAGGCTTTTTCTTCTTGCCACTTTCTGCTTTTTGTACCTGTTGAAAATGATGGAGGTACCAGTGTTCATAAAAACCTTGAAAACAGGCTGGGTGCAGTGGCTCATGCCTGTAATCCCAGCACTTTGGGAGGCCGAGGCAGGCAGATCACTCGAGGTCAGGAGTTCAAGACCAACCTGATCAACATGGTGAAACCCCGTCTGTACTAAAAATACAAAATTAGCCAGGTATGGTGGCGCATGCCTGTAATCCCAGCTACTCGGGAGGCTGACGCAGAAGAATTGCTTGAACCTGGAAGGTGGAGATTGCAGTGAGCCAAGATCGCACTACTGCACTCCAGCCTGGGCAACAAGAGTGAAAGTCTTGTCTCCAAAAAAAAAAAAGAAAAAAAAAAAAATTAGCTGGGTCTGGGTGCAGTGGCTCACACCTATAATCTCAGCACTTTGGGAGGCTGAAGCGGGCAGATCACCTGAGGTTGGGAGTTTGAGACCAGCCAGCATAGTCTGGAATTCAGCCAGTATGTGTGTGACCAGTGGTGGGTGTTGGGGCCTTCCAAACCCTTTCCCCCCAACCTTGACAAAAACATCAGTACTTTCCCCAAAAAGGCCTTCAGAACCCAGGGACCCCGGTTCGGAAAGCTGGACTCTTGGCACTATACCTGGAATACTCCCGGAGACCTGGGTGATAATTGAGCTTCTTTCCTCATATACCTATTTCGAATTCCTGGAAAACTCCGAAGATCAGATCTTGCTTTTTAACTTCTTATGCCTTACAGAGACCAAAACAAGAGCAAAGAAATGGACATTGCACTCCAAGATTTTTTCCCTTCACCATGCCCTGGTTGGCCACCCAAGGAGGCCAGTTCAGGGAAAAACAGTTCCATTCGATTCCATTCGACTTTAGTTAGATGCTAGGATATTACTCCTTTAGCTAATATAAAGCATTGTTTTGCTGTTTGCCTTTGTCTGATACCCATGTTTTCACTCTCATTCTTTTGTTTCCAATAAGCCTGGTACAGATTTGCACCACTCTTTTTGTTGTTATTGTTGTTGTTTGTTTTCTTTTCTTTTTAAATGTTTTACTTCCAGTTTTACTTTAAATTTAGGGGTACATGTGCAGGATGTGCAGGTTTGTTCCATAGGTAAATGTGTGTCATGGTGGTTTGCTGCACGGATCATCCCATCACCCAGGTACTAAGCCCACCTTCCATTAGCTCCTCTTTCTGATGCTCTCCCTCTTCCCAGCCCCACCTTCTGGCAGGCTCCAGTGTGTGCTGTCCCCACCCCCATCCTATCTGTCCACATGTTCTCATCATTCAGCTCCCGCTTATAAGTGAGAACATGTGGTATTTGGTTTTCTGATCCTGCATTAGTTTGCTAAGGATAATAAGCACTGCTTTTAATATTTAACCCTTTTCTGTCCATTAAACTGTTAGAGCCAGCATTTCCTTTTCTATCCAATCTGAGAGATTTAGATTCATTACAATTAGCAGTAATTAGTGTTATGTTGGAGATGATGGGCATAGTCTCATTCCCAGCATCTCATTGTATGATTTCTCTGTTTTTGCTTTGTTTTTTAAAGTCTCTTCCTGCCTTTCTTATCTAGACTGGTCTGTCTGGGTGAACTTTCTGTTTTCAAAATTCCATGTCCTTAGCACAGGGCACATTATGGTGGCTGCTCTGAGCAAGGCCCTTAACTGTCTCTCCTTTTCTCTGTTTATCGCATTCCCATTCCCTTGTCCACTTCCAGAAACTCGTTCTGAGATGTTTAGTATACGCTCTTTTATCCCACACTTTCTCTGCGTATTTCAATAAGGGGATGTCTTTGGAAAACATACATTGTTCTTGAACAATGTGTTAACCATAAAATGTGAGTTGGTTCCCCAAACCCATTCCAGCCTCTTTACTCCATTCTGTGTACTAGCTTCTCAATTTTTCTATTCTAACAGTAAAGTTTATGTAAAAATGGGTGAGGGGAAAGAGTCAAGCCAATTTAAAATGAACAAAACACTTGAACAGTGTTTGTTCACAAAAGAGGATTTCTTCATGTCCAAATGTCAAAAGAAAGAATTATCAGCATCGTCACTCATTCAGAAAACACAAATTTAAAATGCCGTGATACACCATTACACGCCCATCAGAACGGGCAACATTTAAGAGACAGGGAAAACCACTAGCTTATAAGAGTGCGGAGCAAATGTATCCCTTGTTGCTGGCAAGAGAATATGATGGTGCAACCATTCTAAAAGAGTGTCTGATAGTTTCTAATAAAGTTAAAAATATGCCTGCTCCATGACCTGGCCATTCCATTACCAGGTTTATACTCAAGAGAAATGAAGGCACAGGTCCATAAAAAGGCCCATAAACACCTTATTCACAATAGCCAAAAGTAGAAATATTCCAATCTTCCATCAATGGTATTGTATTCATCAATAACATCAAAACGTTGAGATACATGCCATAAAATGAATGTATCTCAAAACCATTGTTGCATTCAAAAAAGAAACAGAATCAGTATATTCCTTTACGTGAATTTCAAGAAGAAGCAAAAGTAACCCATGGAGATAGAAATCAGAATGGTGATTGCCTAAGTGGGGATGGGGTGAGGACTGACTGGAAAGGGGCTCTGATGACTTTTTGGGCTGGTGAAAATGTCCCATAACTTGATCTGGGTGATGGTTTCTTACGTCAAAATGCACTGGGCTGTGCACTTCAGATTGGAACACTTTGGTCTGTGTGGATTATACTTCAGTCATTTACTGATAGCAAAAATACATAAACAAATAAATAAATAAAAACAAATAACAATTGGGTGTTGGGGAATGACATTAAGTTTAGATTTTATTGTATTCTTTAGGCTTTACTTAAAATTCCCAGTTGGAGTGCAAACTATCCTCATGTCCTCTCGCTTGTTTCTGATTCGGCCTTAAAAGGCCCCACGGATGATTGAAATATCTGAACCAGAAAAACGGTTATGGCCACATCGTGGTAATAGTGGAGGATTCCAATAAGGCTGACTGAGAGGGAGCACCTCACCTTTTGGGTGCTGCACTTGCTCAGAGAGGGGGCAAAAGCCCAGCCTTTCAAGATGACTGGACCCCAGCATGCAAGGTAGGGGTTCCTTCTATTCTCACCACTGCACAGAGCTCCGAAGGCACTGGTAAGTTGTAACCTCTCTAGTCGCAGGTAAAAGCGCAGCCTAGGCAGAGGTTGGAGTCTAAAGGAAAGGAGGAGTGCCACGCCCCAGGAGGGACACTGCCATGACTGGGATTCCACCCTTGGCCGCGATGCAGAGTACTAACCAATATACCATCACAGGAAGCCGCCTGCTTTCTTCTTTAAACTTAATATAGGGCTGCTTCGGCCTAAGGGTCCCCATGATTTTCCTTCTTTCTTGGTGTCTCTCCATTTTTCCTGGCGTTCTCCCCACTCTGCTACAGTAGAAAAGATGATTTTTGTCTCTCAGGGATCCGGTCCTTACCGCTGAACAAAGCTACTGGGAAGTTTCCTCGCCAGGGTCGCCGCCTCTGCCGACTTCCTTGCTCTCCTCCTTGCAGTTACCCGTTGGACCCACCCAGTGCCCCGCTCCCGCCCTAGTGCCCCAGGCACCCACCCAAAAACAGCGCAGCTGAGCCCCCGCAGCTCCATCGCGCAGAAGGTTTACTGGAGGCCTCAGCCCGTTGTCCGCCCCACGGGATGCCAGGAAATCCATCGGAATAAACGCTTTTTAAAAAGAATTTACCGCCGGGCGCGGTGGCTCACGCCTGTAATCCCAGCACTTTGGGAGGCCGAGGCAGGCGGATCACGAGGTCAGGAGATCGAGACCATCCTGGCCAACACGGTGAAACCCCGTATCTACTAAAAAGAAAGAAAGAAAGAAAGAAAGTAAGAAAGAAAGAAAGAAAGAAAGAAAGAAAGAGAAAAAAAATTAGCCGGGAGTTGTGGCGGGCGCCTGTAGTCCCAGCTACTGGGGAGGCTGAGCCAGGAAATGGCGTGAACCCCGGAGGCGGAGCTTGCAGTGGGCCGAGTTCGCGCCACTGCACTCCAGCCTGGGCGACAGAGCGAGACCCTGTATCAAAAAAAAAAAAAAAAAAAACTTACTTTCCCTTCGCGACCAGCCTGGGCAACACGGTGAAATCCCGTCTCTACAAAAAATACAAAAATTAGCCCATCGTGTGGCGCACGCCTGTAGTCCCAGCTCCTTGGGGCGCTGAGGCAAGAAAATCGCTCGGCCCCAGGAGGTCGAGGCTGCAGTGAGCCGTGTTTGCATCACTGCACTCCAGCCTGGGCTACCAAGTGAGACCCTGTCTCACAAACAGAACAAAACAAAACTTCCCCATGGAAAAACAGTTCATGATTTCTATTTTCAGAGCTCTTCAAAAGACTAAAAACTGAATGCGACGATGGATTAATTCAAGTCCTAGTCGTGCGCTCTGGTGAGTGCCATACCCTGTTTCCCGCGAGGGGACCCACGAGCGACCCTCACCATCATCCCTGCCCTGGTGGAGCCCCCGTGCGGGACACAGGATCCGAAGATGGCAGCGGAAGCTCCGCAGCGGCCCCGAAAGCGACTGGGCAGGGTGGGCACAGGCTCCCTCAGTGGGTGAAGGCGGCGCAAAGAACGCGAAGATGCATCCCAGGAGCCCACCGGGCGTTCAGCTTCCCCTGAGCCTCGAGGCGGCGGCTCGGGTCGCTGACGGGGGCGTTTCCTCGGGCTTCTGAAGCAGGCGAGGGGCAGGGCGGGCGAAGGCCATTCGGCTGTCCTTCGTGCTCTAGAATATCCCAACGCGCAGGTGTCCAACACTACAATTCACCGCTCTAATCTCTCCGGTTTTCCAAGGACCTGGAACTTGCACAGTCGTCCTGCCAGGAGGGCCCCTGAAGATTGAGGGGATGGGGAGTTTGCTGAGTGCACCCTTCCTATAGCACCCAGAAGAAGGCACGGAACGTGTACCTGCAGCGCAATTCGTTAGAGCATTCTGCTGTTAATAGAAAGGTTGGTAGTTCCAGCCGGGGCCCTGGGGCTTTATTTTAACCTGTTTCTGTTGATGGGACAACCAACTCCTGATTGATCACCAGACACACATGTCCCCACTTCCTATCCACCTTAAGTCTGAGGCTTGGCAAGGGCCACCGCGCGTTATACCTATCAAACTCAGGAATCCCATAGACCTTAGAAAGGATCTCACCTGTGGTGTGATAAAAATCTTCCTTGCTCCCATGACTTGGGTCAGTTAGGTGGACATTTTGTGCTTCAAGTTTTTCATGTTTAATAATAGGAGGCCTATTACAGTAGTATCCTATCCCCAGGATGTGCCTGGGTTTACTGATTGCTCTATCAATAATGTGACCAGTGGAATCAGTCATCCTCATGGTGATCATCGCCAGTGTTTGTGAGAACAGCATTTCTTCTTGAGTTTGTGCATGATTTATTTAACCCTTTTCAAAATGTTTTTGAAGTGAGGTGCGTTTCATAGTTTTAGGATTACAAATGATGCTGCAATCACCATCATTCTTGTACACATATCTTAGGTCACTTGTGCAGATATTTCTATAGTGTGGACAACAGGATGTGCTAATTTTACATTATAGAATTTATTTAATGTTTCCAATTTGAGTACATTCTGCAAATTTATCTTTCGTGGGAGCGGTACCAAATCGTATTCCAATTTGTTTCTCAGTTCTGTTAATGTCCCCTTTGTCATTTACTTGCCGGCACAACAAACTTTCTACACATGGATGTATGATATTCCAGCCTTGGTCACCCAGGTTGGCATGCAGTAGTGCAAACATGGCTCACTGCAGCCTCGACCTCCTGGGGCCGAGCGATTTTCTTGCCTCAGCACCCCAAGGAGCTGGGACTACAGGCGTGCGCCACACGATGGGCTAATTTTTGTATTTTTTGTAGAGACGGGATTTCGCCGTGTTGCCCAGGCTGGTCGTGAGGGGAGAGGCACCCTCCTGGCTTAACTGAGGGGTTGTACAACAGAAGGACATGGTGGACATCGCACACAGAAACTCTGTGACATAGGATGAACTGCTAAACTTCTAAGATATTTTAAAGTCCTCCAACATCCGTGATTGTTTTCTGTGATGACCAAGTCACACTGGTCCAGAGAAGATGGGCCACAGCGACCTCTTGGAAAGCTTTCTGTCAAGTCCCTTACACAAGGGGAGCAAAATCACAAAGGTCCCAGGCAATTTTTTTCTTCTCCCCTTTCCTCTTTTCTTCATAAATCTTGGTTTTTCTTTTATTTGCCAAAACCAATCTAATGCCCTTTCTCCCTCCTATACAATGGTAAATTAGCATGCAGATAGCTGTCCCTGTATTATTATTTGATAGGTTTTTTCAGGGGCTATGTCCATAACAATTAGCACATCTGAGAAACATCACTGGAGCCAACAGAACCCTCCACCCAACAGGCATCTTGTGTAGACCTGAACCCTCAGAGCTATTAGCTCCTGTTTCCTTGCTTCTTTTAATGAATATCATGAATAGAAATTGAGCTCTTTGGCTTTTAATCACTAAGTATGGCTGTAGTACATGTCTCTGTCTCCCTCTATGTCTTCTCTCTCTCTCTCTCTCTCTCTCTCACTGTTTCTTTCTCATTTTTGCATTATTATTTTCTGTCATCAGTGGCACCAATGTGGGTTTCTGGTTTTGATGTTATGGAGTGAACTTCTGGGGACAATCTCTGTTAGGTGGTGGTTGACAAGGATCCATTCCCTGATTGGCAGTACATGACAGCTAATCTAGTCTGTGAGTCTTTCTTGATTGTCCATTATCCTAAAGATTCTGGTCTTTCCTGACATTTGAGACTGCAGCAATGAGAAGGTTTTCATATCTTGTCTATCTGATGTTTGGTAAAAGTCTTAGGGACACATTAGCTGTCAATATCTGCAAGAATGGCATCTCTGTAATAAGGATGATCTTAATACACAATATGCCACACCCCATTTCATAAGAACTCTTGGCTCCAGGAAAGTGCTATACCTAAATGGATCTTAGCACAGGAAAGAAACTAAATTCCTAGCATGTGAGGGGAACCTTTCTTTGATTGGCATATTCAAGTTTTTCACAGCTGAAAAGTATCAAATTAATCTCCTCTAAGGATTGTGTAAATTACAGCACAGGAAGGAGAAAAAAGACAATTATAACATCCCAAATAGGCAACTGAGTCAGCAACATGAGCACTTGTGATAATTATACAAATCAAGACCTCATAATTTCCTGGAATTTAAGCAAGTCCAGCCCTTAGTAAAAATGGATGAAAAGCAATGACCTGTAAAAGTTGTCAGAATGAAAAATGGAGTCACGTATGCCAAATCCTAACAAAATTCAATCAGGAGATCATAAAGGAGGGGTGCTCACACACACATGCCTGTGATAAAAACTATTACAAGAACTCTCTGAAAACCACAACTTTGCACAAAGGCCACCACAACCTTACCCAAAGAATCTCTCTGCAACGACATCTGCCCAGCAACTGCCTATTCATCCTTGGACTGATGCCACCCTTGTGATTATTCCTTGTGGCCAAGGATAATTGTTTCAAAACAACTATGTAACCTTCCTCATTTTCGCTGTTAAAGGTTCCCCTTCTCAGCCTGCCTGGTTGTGCCTTTGGGTCCTCATACGATAGTGCGCATATCCTGGATTGAAATCCTCTGTTTATTCCCAAACATTCACTTCTTTGGAGAACCACTCTCTCTTGGTTGTTCTTTTAGGTTGGCAACTTCGTACTCTGGAAAAGAGAATAACCTGCTAGACTCAAAAGTGTATCACAGAATTACTGAGATTTTTGGCAGAGGGGCCCTCCAGGTATCCAAGGGTGCTTAATGATTCCTTTTGTTTCCCTCACTGATAAGCATCCTTGATAGACACCACTGCCTCTGTTTCCACTTTAAATGATATTACTTATGACATTTAGATGCTTTAGAATGCCCAGTATTTTAATGGATTTTTTTCATATATAAATACACAGTATTTTCTCAGGAAACAAAGTAGAATACTTTGTCTTCCTCTGGAGGGTATAGACAAATCGAGTATCTGATCAATATAAAGGAGGTACTGCCCCAATTGTCTTATTATTACTATATGATTATTATTAATTTTCAGAGACGGGGTCTCTATTCCTCACCCAGGCTGGAGTGCAGTGGCATGATCTAGCTCACTGCTGCCTTGAACCCCTGGACTCAAGTGCTCCTCCTGCCCCAGCCTCCTGAGTAGCTGGGACTGCAGGCACATGCCACCATGCCTGCCTAGTGTTTTTATTTTTCATAGTTACGGGGTCTCACTGTGTTGCCCAGGCTAGCCCAATTAGCTTAAGAACAGTAATAACCATGTGTTTAAATTTACAATAAGAAAACTAAGACTTTTTATGAAAAAAACCCCACCTTTTTCTATGTATGCTTTAAATGTGATGTTTCTCTGAGGGAAAAATCCTGCTGCTGAGTTTCCCAAGAGGAAAAACAAGCTGCAGGTCAGCCGAGACAGAGATGGGATTGAGGTGATCTGTGCCTCTGGTGCCTGCCAGGGGCAGAGGGGAATTCATCTTCAGAGACAGAGAACACGACTCAGTCCTTTCATAATTTTTCACAGAGACCCACCATTCAGTCATAGTATTCTAGGCATATAAAGAAGCAGAGGCAAGAGAAAACAAACTCAAAACAGGAAACAGTAGGTTTTTCACAGATGATGGAGACATCGAGGTTATAAGACAGTAACATTCAAATGATATGATTTAGATGTTCAGAAGAATGGAAGAGACGGTAAAAATTTTCACCAGAAAATAATAACCTATTTTGAAATAAAATGGAAATTATACAAATAAAATACGGTAATGGTAGAAATAACATAGAGATGTAATAAATACTTATAATTGGAAAGAAAATCTATTAAAGTTAGAAATAAAATGCAATAGTTATTATTTTAAAAAGTCAATAGATTGGTGTAATGGCAGTTTGGATCCATGTGAAGATGGATTACTAGCCTGAAGATAAGTAAGCGGAGACTTTCCAGACAAGCGGAGAGAGAGCTAGCAGGAAGGAAAACTAAGAAACAAGTGTGTGTATATATATATATATATATATATATGAGTTATGTCATAAATGCTTAAAATAAATTGTCACTAATGTCCTGGAAGCTGGAGGAGACAGAAAATGGGACAGAAGCAATACTGAAAAGAAATAGTTCTTACCTATGGACAATTAAGAGAAACAAACCCAACGAGGCATCAAGGCACATGTGCAAGAAGAGCTATGAACTCCAAGCAGCATAAGGACAAACAAACCACACCGAGGCATGTCATCAGGACACTGCTGAATGCCCAAGGCACATGGGAAAACCAGAGCAGCCCCCAGAGGGGGAAATTCCTATTGTGTCCAAAGGTCAGGTGCTAAATTCACAGCAGTGAAAAAGTAAGACATCATAGAGTTCTAAAATACTACCATTTTCAACTGACTGCTGGCTCCTAACCCAAGACTACAGATCTTTCAAGTGAAGGTGAAGTGCAGACCTTTCTGGAGAAGCAGCACATGCTAACTAAGGGAAATGCGAAAATGTGAAATATCCCCGGGGAATGTGGAAAGGGAACGAAGGAACGCAGGGCGATGTGTAGGTTTAATGTGTGGCTCAGTCAAATAGTACGTTTTACTAATCCAATGATCATAATGATGTCCATGTGACTTAAAATATATGGTGCCTTAAAATTAATGAGAGTAACTTGAGAATCACAAGGAGGGTAAATGGAATTAAGATGTTCCAGACTTCTAGCATTGTGTAGGAAGAGTAAAAAGGTCTAATTTACTCCAAACTTTATTATACAGATTTTACAGTATGTATATAAGTAAAAAATATATCTCAGGGTTAAACCAATACTAAAACAAGTATTCATTTTGGGATTTTGGCAGTTTAAAAATAATTAACATTATTTTTATATTAAAAATGTAAATGTAAAAAGTGTACCATGAAGCTTAATAAATGTATAGACCCTTGTAAGTATCAACTAGACCAAGCCACATAGAACATTTCCATCAACCCAGGAAGTTTTCCATCAAAGTACCTCAAAGAGGGAGCCACTGTTGAGTCCTGATGCTTCATATAAATGGAATTACACAGGAGTATCAGACAGGTACATTAAGATAAATTTGTTTTAGATGTTCAAAAGATACTTTTATAGGCAACTTTTGCTAAGTATAGTGTTTGGAGGGTTTTACCCATGTTACTGTGTTTTTTCATACTTTTCCTACTTTTTTTTTTTTGCTTGTTTTTGTTTGCTGTGCATGAGGTCATTTTATGACTATATAACAGTAGGTATTAAATTCTTCTGTTGATGAAGACTGTGTTGTACCCAGTTTTTCCTTAGTATAAAAATAAGGTTGCTATGAGCATTTTTTGTAGAAGCCTTATTGGATGTATGTGTTCATTTTTCATGGGTAATGAATGAAAGTAAATTTGCTTCCTTATAGGGTAGGCTTAACTCTGCAAGAAACTGCCAAATATTAGAAAAGGTGTTGTGCTAAATTGCAGTCCAACAAACACCGCACAGCAATATCGTACACGCTCTGAATGAGGAAGAAGGAGAGGCGGCAACTTTCAAAATCAGGTTTTCTGTGTTTCCTTACATTTTCTCGCAAGCCTTTAATGACATTTTTGAAGGTGGCTATGGGGACATCAAGTGTCATCACCAGCCTATTCAAGTCTTGCCACAGAGCCATGGAGATATACCCCAGGGAAGCCCAGCCAAGTGTCAGGCTTATAAACACCAGGCAGGAATAGATACCTACGAAATGAAAAGGGTCAGGTGATCCCTCCCTCTCCTCCCATGTCTGTGCCTCTCTTTGCAGCTGCCTTGTCCCTAAAAATCATCGCTCCACTTATTTTGTCGAAGATAAAGCCAGACATTAGTTAAAGCAGAGAAAACAGATTTTATTCAGTAACTACTGATAGTAGAGAACGGGGCTGAGCTGTGTTCCCATTTGTACAGAGGTGATGGCATTATAGGGGGAGAGGGAGGTAGGGGAGAGGGCAGGGGGCAGGGCACAAGTGAAACATTGTGAATGTCTGCCTCATCAGGCCAGCTGTGTCTGCTAGCTGACAATATTAGAAGATAGGATTCTAACCTCCCACAGAGACTGGAAGACAGAGGCTCAGTCCTTCCTGAGAACTACAGCTCAAAGGAATGGCTTTCAGATCCTAGGGAAAGACACACTGGAGTCCCTAGGAGATACAAACACATCTCAAAGGGATGGAGGAAGGATTCCCTTCTTAGTAAGTGCTATACAAAAGGGAGATCCTGAACCTACCATCATCAGCAGGTATTGGCTGGAACTAAAGTAAGTTCCTCTGGCAGCCTTGAGCTTTCTGGGGTAGGCATTGTCATGGGAGCCTACAGTCACCCTCCAGACAAAGCCTTATGTCCCAGAAGCCATGATAGATCTCTTAGCCCAGAGATTTAAACTGAGTCATTGTGTGCTGAGTTTGGTGTTTCTCACTTTCCATCCCCCCATTCCATGGCTTAGATTTTAGTCCACTCTGTCAGATGTACAAGGCCACGGGCCATTTTCAGTGGCTTTCAGTCAGCCCAGGCATATCTATTGAGACCTGAATGAAAATTAAAAAAAATTAAAAAACCCCATGAGATTGAGAGTGGGCCCCACAATAGGTATCCATTACCCATATTCAAGGAGATGGACATGAATATTTCTAGGCTTTATCAAAATGGAAAGTGACTTATGGAGTCAGGATGAAATTCAAACTTACATTAGCACTGCATATAGCTTATTGATATATTTTTATATCAAAGCCATGACAAAATGACAATCCACAAGTGCAAAGGTATGTAGGGGTTGGGGAGAGACTCCATAAGGTCAAAATTAACCTCACTCTATTTATTTATTTTTATTTTTAATTTTTTTGAAATGGAGTTTCACTCTTGTTGCCCAGGCTGGAGTGCAATGGCGGGATCTTGGCTCACTGCAATCTCCACCTCCCGGGTTCACATGATTCTCCTGCCTCAGCCTCCCGAGTAGCTGGGATTACAGGCATGCGCAACCATGCCCGACTAATTTTTTGTATTTTTAGTAGAAATGGGGTTTCACCATGTTAGCCAGGCTGGTCTCAAACTCCTGAGCTCAGGTGATCTGCCCGCCTCGGCCTCCGAAAGTGCTAGGATTACAGGGGTGAGCCACTGTGCCCGGGCAACCTTACTTTCAATGAAACTGTTACATGTTGCTTCTGTAAGAGAAAGGAAGACAATGTTGGGCTGGAATACATTAATTGTCATGGGATAAACAGGCAGGACATGATGCTACATTTGTTAGTCACTTTTATTGAGAGTATTTGTGAAGATGAATTTTTCTGTCAGTTTGAACGGGCCATGGGGTGCCCAGATATTTGGTTAAACATTATTTCTCACTGTGTCTCTGAGAGTGTTTCTGGATGAGATTGACATTTGAATCGGTAAACTGAGTAAAGCAGATTGCCCTCCCCAGTGTGAGTGGGCCTCATCCAACCCACAGAAGGCTTGAATAGAATGAAAGGCTAAGAAAGAAGTCTCTGCTCCACTGTCTTTGAGCTGGGACATCAGTCTTCTGCCTTGGGCCTTGGACTTGGTAGAGAACTATATTCCACTCTCCTGGGTCTAGAGCTTACTCAGTGTAGACCTTGGACTTCTCTGCTTCCATAATCACATTAGCCAATGTAAATCTCTGTGTGTGTGTGTGTGTGTCTGTGTGTATCCTGCTCGTTTTCTTTTTCTGGAGAACTAAGACTAATGTAGTAATATATACCACTTGCCAGTCTTTGTCTCTATGCTTTTAAAAGGTATGTAATAAATAAATAAAACCCTGGAGGTTTCTCAAAGAAGAACAGCAAAGGAAATGAATTCTGACAGGTTTTGCACTGAGGACATTCAGGTGTGAGGAAAACATGAAAACCACTATGCTAGGGAAAGCAAATGCTGTTGAGAATGTCTCACAAACACAACTTACACGTCAGTAGGTAGGTTTGACCCTCAGAGTGGGCACATTTTACTCTAAGTGCACTTTCGGTGAAACTTAAGATGAATCTAGGACTCTCACGATGGACGTATTTCTCTCTGTGTGTATACATATATCTATAGAGAGAGAGTGTGTGTATATATTATATATATATAATATATATACACAGAGAGAATGTGTATATATATATTTTTAATATATATATATACACACACATATATATATATACACAGAGAGAGAGAGAGAGAGAGAGAGTCTTACTATCTAATCCAGGCTGGTCTCCAACTCTGGGCCTCAATCGATCATCCCGCCTCCCCCTCTCAAAGTGCTCAGATTACAGGCGTGAGCCACCTCATCCAGCCCATTTTCATATTTTTAATTTAGTTCAACCATTGTGCAAGACACTGTGGCGATTTCTCAAGGATCTAGAATCAGAAATACCATTTGACCCAGCAATCCCATCACTGGGTATATACCCAAAAGATTATAAATCATTGTACTATAGAGACACATGCACACGTATGTTTATTGCAGCACTATTCACAGTAGCAAAGACGTGGAACCAACCCAAATGCCCATCAATGATAGACTGGATAAAGAAAATGTGGCACATATACAGCATGGAATACTCTGCAGCCATAAAAAAGAAGGAGTTCATGTCCTTCACAGGGACATAGATGAAGCTGGAAACCATCATTCTCAGCAAACTAACACAGGAACAGAAAACCAAACACCGCATGTTCTCACTCATAAGTGGAAGTTGAAAAATGAGAACACATGGACACATGGAGGGGAACATCACACACTGGGGCCTATAGGGGGGTGGGGGGCAAAGGGAGGGATAGCATTAGGAGGAATACCTAATGTAGATGGTGGGTTGATGGGTGCAGCAAACCACCATGGCACATGTATACCTATGTAACAAGCCTGGACGTTCTGCGCATGTATCTCAGAACTTAAAGTATAACAATTTTTTTTAAATTTAAGTACACATTCCAAAAATTATATAACAAGTACAGGAAGCCTCCTTTATGCCAGTTTTACAAAAACAGAAAAGATGATATATCAATGACAAGGCATCAAAGTGGCAACATAAAGTAGTGAGAGAGAGAAAAAAAGTTATTTTGGAATTCTATGCCACAATGAAAAATCTCTAAAAAATGTGACTGAAATAAGGACATTTAAAGACATACACATGCGCAGTGGCTCACACATGTATCCCAGCACTTTGGGAAGCCGAGGCGGGCGGATCACTTGAGGTCGGGGAGTTGGAGACCAGCCTGGCCAACATGGCAAAACTTCGTCTCTACTAAAAATACAAAAATTAGCCAGGTGAGGTGGCACATGCCTGTAATCCCAGCTACTCAGGAGGCTGAGGCATGAGAATCACTTTTACCCAGGAGGTGGAGGTTGCAGTGAGCCCAGATCATGCCACTGTACTCCAGCCTGGGTGACAGAGTGAGACTCCATCTTAAAAAAATACAAATAAAAATAAAAACATACAAATAAATGAAAGCATTCACCGACCCACACTACAAGAAATGTTGAAGGAGTCCTCCAGGCCTAAGGATAAGGATACCAGACAGAAATCTGAACCTACACAAATAAATGGAGACGACTGGAAATCGCTATGTATGTACTTAGATGTTGGGGTTTATAACATGTCTAAAATCAAATGACATGGCAACACTAGCATAAAGGCCAGAAGGGAAGGTATAATGTCACTTGAGGGCAGACTGATAAAGATATATTCTAGAAACCTTAAAGCTATCACTGACATAACAAAAGAAAGAATTATAGCTAATAAGCCAAAAAAGGAAAGAAAATAGAATGATATAAAAAACCATGTAATCACTATGCTGGAGCAGCTGCTCTCCAGGCCTCTATCCTATAGAAATACACCAGTGGCCAATGAGAAGTGTACAAGAATGATGACTGCAGCATTGTTTGTAATCATAAAGTAATAGAACCAACGTAATTTCTTTCTTTCTTTCTTTCTTTCTTTCTTTCTTTCTTTCTTTCTTTCTTTCTTTCTTTTTTTTTTTTTTTTTTGAGACAGAGTCTCCCTTTGTCGCCCAGGCTGGAGTGCAGTGGCGCGATCTCGGCTCACTGCAAGCTCTGCCTCCCAGGTTCACGCCATTCTCCTGCCTCAGCCTCCCGAGTAGCTCGGACTACGGGCGCCCGCCACTACGCCCGGCTAATTTTTTGTATTTTTCAGTAGAGACGGGGTTTCACTGTGTTAGCCAGGATAGTCTCGATCTCCTGACCTCGTGATCCGCCCGCCTCGGCTTCCCAGAGTGCTGGGATTACAGGCGTGAGCCACCGCGCTCGGCCAAACCAACGTAATTTCAAAGATACATGAAAAGGTTTTATTTATTAAACAAACACAACAATTTAACAAACAAACAATGGAAGCAAGTCCTTATGCCAAAAGGAACACAGAGGGTCATGATGATGCTACTCCTCCAAGGATGTCAGGGTTCCCAGACGCCTAGTTTTCGGTCTAATTTTTCTGGAAGATCTTATTCTTGGGGAGCTACAGATTCTCACGTTTGGGGCTCTTTCAGGTTCTATCTCCGTTTTCCCCTCAATTCCTCCCCATTCTGCTACAATAAAAAAACAATTCTCACCTCCGGAAGATCCCGCCTCTGCCTCCGCACGAGCCTTTCAGGTCTAGATGTCTGGTCTACCGCTCTCCGGCTTCTTTCCCCGCTTTTGCTTTTCCCTTCCCCCGCTCCCGCCCTCCAGCCCCACGACCCGACCACTGTCCAGCTGAGCCCCCGCGGCTCCACTGCGCAGAAGGTGCACTGGAAGCCCTGCCCGTTGCCCGCCCCGCGGGGTGCCGAGAAATCAATCTGAATAAACGTTTCGTAAAAAGAACTTCCCCCATGGAAAAATCTCTCATGATTTCCATTCTCAAGACTCTTCAAAGGACTAAAAGATAAAGGCGACGACGGATTCATTCAACAAGTCCTAGTCGTGCGCCCTGGTGAGTGCCAGACCCTGCTCCCCGCGAGGGGATCCACGAGCGACCCTCACCACGATCCCTGCCCTGGTGGAGCCCCGGTGCCGAACGCAGGATCCGAAGAAGGCAGCGGAAGCTCTGCAGCGCCCCGAATGCGACTGAGCAGGGAGGGCACAGGCTCCCTCACTGGGTGAAGGCTGTGCAAAGAACGGGAAGAGCCATCCCGGGAGCCCACCAGGCGTTCAGCTTCCCTTGAGCCCCCTGGCTGCTCGAACCCGGGTCGCAGACCGGGGCGTTTCCGGGGGCTTCTGAAGCAGGCGAGGGGCAGGGCGGGCGAAGGCCATTCGGCTGTCCTTCTGGCTCCAGAATCTCCTAACGCGCAGGTGTCCAACGTGACCAGCGCGATTCACCGCTCTAATCGCTCCGGTTTTCCAAGGCCTTGCTCAGTCATCCTGCCGGACAAGCCCTGAGGCTGGAAGGCACAGGGGAAATTTGTTGAAGGCGCCCTTCCCATAGCGCACAGTAAAAGCAGTAGTTCTTGTCTCTGTGGCGCAATCGGTTAGCGCGTTCGGCTGTTAACTGAAAGGTTAGTGGTTCGAGCCCACCCGGGGACGCTTGCTCTAGCTTTTAAAGCGTTCGTGTATTATCGATCACTAGAGAATCTCCCCCGTTCATGTATTATCGATCACTAGAGAATCTTCCCTTTTTCTTCCCATAGTCCTAAGTCCTATAGGTTCCAGGCCAGCCAGGGATGCTTACTGCAGGGAAGGTTTTATCTTCTCAGGATTCTAGGCACAGTTAACAGAGATCCCTGTCAAGGGCCATTCCCCACACTCCCCACACCCTCGCCTCACAGATCCGATTCAGACAGAGAATCTCCTGAAATGTCATGCTGTCTTGTGCCTGTGTACAAGAAACAGAGACCAAACGAGTCACTTCTGGTGCCGACAAAATCCTCATGCTGCCCCTTATAGGCTTGGATGGGTTATATGCCAACCTTAATTTTTTCATTGTTAATAGGAGGCCTAGAGAGATATCCTATCCCCAGGATGGGCCTGGATTTACTGGTTGCTCTATCAATACTATGGATAGAAAGTGGAATCATTCATCATCATAATAATCCTCTTCATCATTTTTGAAAACAGCATTTTTTTATCAGTCAGTTTGTGCATGATTTATTTAACCGTTTTCAAAATGTGTTTGAAATAAGGTTGGCTTCATGGTTTTAGGATTTCAGAGAATCCTGAAATCATCACTCTTGTACACATATCTTTGGCCACTGATAGTTCTATACTAGCGTAGAGAACTGGATGTGCCACTGCTATATTACAGGCTTTTTAATTTTTATTTTTAGTTTTTGTGACAGGGTCTCATTCTGTCTCTAAGGCTGGAGTGCAGTGGCCTGATTGCGTCTCACTGTAGCCTCAACTTCTCAGGCTCAAGCGATCCTCCCATCTCTCAGCCTTCCAAGTAGCTGAGACTGCAGGAGTGGGCCACCATGCCCTGCTAATTTTTATTTGTTTTGTAGAGAAGGGGTTTCACCATGTTGCACAGGCTGGTCTCCAAACTCCTGGGCTCAAGCAGCTCCGCGGCCTTGCAAAGTGCCAGGATTTACAGGCATGAGCAACTGCAACGGGTCTTATGTAATGCCTCTAACTTCAGCACTTTTAGCAAATTTATCTTCTGCGGGAGAGGTATCAAATCATATTCCAATTTATTTCTCAACTCTAATACTGTCCCTTTCTTCATTTACTTGCTGGCACAACAAACTTTCTCCCCCTTCCCCCGCTTTTTTTAGACTAGGTCTCACTCTGTCACCCAGGATGGAGGGCAGTGGCGTGATCTCAGCTCACTGCAGCCTCCACCCCCTGGGCTCTAGTTATCCTCCCACCTCAGCCTCCAGAGTAGCTGGATCTGCAGACATGCACCACCGCATTCAGCTATTTTTTTTTTTTTTTTTTTTGTAGAGATAGGGCCTTGCTATGTTGCCCAGGTTGGTCTCCAACTCCTGGGCTCAAGAGATCTATGTACCTCAGCCTCCCACAGTGCTGGGATTTCAGGCGTGAGCCACTGTGCTAGCCATGAGCCCATGATATTCTAATAAGGGGACAGGTGCCTTCCTGGCTTAACTAAGGGGATGATACAACAGAAGGACATGGTGGACATGACACATAGATATTCTGCTGCATAGGATGGACAGCTAAACTTCTAAGACATTTTATTTTATTTTATTTTTTGAGACAAGGTCTTTCTCTGTTGCCCAGGCTGCAGTGCAGTGGCACAATCATAGTTCACTGTAGCCTGAACCTCCTGGGCTCCAGTGATCCTCCCACCTTAGCCTTCCAAGTAGCTGGGACTACAGGTATGCACCATCATACTTGGCTATTAAGAAAAATAATAATTCTGTAGAGATGTGGTCTCACTAAATTGCCCAGGCTGGTCTCCAACTGCTGAGCTCAAGTGATCCTCCTGCTTCGGCCTCCCAAAGAGCTGTGCTGAGATTACAGGCATGAGCCACCATGGTTGGCCCTGTTTCTTTTTAAAATTTAATTAATTTATTTTGAGTCAATATTTTATTTTCTCTGGAAAGATAAAGGGAACAAGTTTTTTCCAGAAACACACATATGGTATGGGCCCAGTGATACCCTGATCCACCCCTTAGGCTTCAATTACCCATTTTAAAGTAGTTCATAAGCTGACTCGTTGGAATTCAGACAAAATGATAGCATGGGGAAAGCAGTGTATTGAAAATCATCGCCTACCATTGTGCAAAAGGTTTATTCTTGCTGTACTTTCTGTTCTGTCCCAAACATAATCCTGGAAAACCCCTTCATGTGTCACAGGGACATTGTATCTTTAGGACCTTTTGAGACATGGCAGTTAGACTTTATCCAGCTGTCTCCATCTCAGGGTCACAGATACTTTCTGGTGCTAATTTATACGCGCTGTCGCTGGAGTGAAACATTTCTGTGCCAATGAGCCACAGCCCAAGCAGCTGGTAGACTGTGATTAGAGAAAATCATTCCTCATGGGGAGTGCCATCTGATCTCCATAGCAACTGAGGAACACACCTTATCAGTCAGATAGTTGGATCCATTTGTAACGTTTGACCTATGTCCCAACATTTCCATTGTGCCTATCACCCCTAATCCTCTGGACTAGTGCAACTTAATAATGATAAGATAAAAACTCAATTGGCAAAGCTAACAGAAGTTTTTAACCTTCCCTGGCCAAAGATCCCCCACTGTTTCTGGAAAACTTTCACTCCCTCCCTTTGAAATTAGAACAGGAAGACCCATGCAGTGGTTAGATGAAGGGGCTTATGAACCTGCACTGCACTTCTTAAAGGTAACATTCTCCATTATTTCTAAGGTCTCACAAAACTTCTTATGAAGAGCTCCAAATTAATAAAGGATGCCTTTCATAATGAGCTGATGGGAGATGAAAATATCAAAAACTATGCCTATAAACTGGAGATGTCGCTTACTGGAAACAACATCAAATAAAATACTCCCTCCAAGTCCACTGGAGGGCACCACGTAGGTATTATTAATATTAATTTATTTTTTTGAGATGGGGTCTCACTCTGTTGCCCAGGCCGGAATGCAGTGGCGTAATTATGACTCAATGTAGCCTTTATCTCCTGGGGTCAAGCCATCTTCCTGCCTCAGTCTCCCAAATAGCTGGGACCAGAGGTGTGGGCCACTGCACCTGGCTCACATCAGGTATTATTGCCTAATCTCTGTGGCAGTAAATATAAGGGCATTGACACACAGATTCATGTTTCTCATATCTAAAAGGCAACCCTACCAGAGTGGACATCTGTCAGTGGAGGTTTTCACTTAAAGGTGACCTGCCATCTTCCTGACGAAGATGGCAAGTAGCTGACATCTGTTGTAGCCCACTTCCACCCAAGATACTGGCCTGTATAACCAGCTGTTCACAATTCCAGTGCTCACTGCACCTGGAAGAGTTAGTCTCTTTTTCTCTTGACTGGAATACATACACCATCAGGGCTCCTTTAAGTTGTAGGGGTCGTATCCTATTGGTTTTGGTAAAATCAGCCTATATGTATATTCTCTAAAGATATGACACACTAGTCCTATTGCACGTACATGTATATACATATACATACATACATAGCAAAATGCCTATGATCAGATTTCTGTTTTACTGTCCTTAATTAATTTGATTACATCAGGGAGGGATAATTCTCTGATCAGAATCTCACAAACCATTGCCACTGTGGGAAATGTGACAAGGTGCTGGGTTTGCCACCTTAAACCACCAACCACTTTTGACCATAATGACCCATTGGTACATCCTGTGCCAAATTTCACCTGTATTCCTCCTGATTGAACTCACGATGCAACTCGGGGTTACATCAAGCAAAACCTGTTTATCGAATCTGTCTGACTCATCCTAACCTTCCTGCCGTACGTCTCAGTTTAACCCATCATAATTGTACTGTCAAAATAACTGCCTGTAATCCCAGCACTTTGGGAGATCGAGGCAGGAGGATCACTTGAGCCCTGGAGTTTGAGACTATCTTCCTGGGCAAAATGGTGAAACAATCTCTACAAAATATACAAAAATATACAGTTGGGTGCATGGTGGCACCCAACTGTAGTCCCAGCTACTCAGGAGTATGAGTTGAGAGGATGACTTGAGCCCAGGAGTTCGAGCCTGCAGTGAATCCAGATGACACCACTGCACTCCAGACTGGGCAAAAGAGTGAGACCCTGTCTCAGAAAGTAAATAAATAAGCTGGGCGTGGTGGTGTGTGCCTAACTCCAGCACTTGGGAAGCTGAGGTAGGATGATTCATTGAGCCCTGAAGGTCAAGAGGTCAAGACTGTACTGGGCTGTCATGTTGCCACAGCATTCCAGCCTGGGCAACAGTGAGACCCCGGTTGCAAAAAAAACCAAAGATCAGAAAGAAAACGAACAAAAAATTGTTGCCTCACTCTGAAATGACAGTGGTAAACACCATGATGCTATTGGAAAGTTAAGAGAAAAACACTCCCTCCTGCTATCAGGATCCAACCTGCCCTCTTGCTCTAACATGTCTGACCCATGCATGGTTTAAATGCCGAAAGCTGATGTACCCAAATTATACTACACTTACCTGTTGTGCACCAGCATTTATTTGGTCTGTGGAGGAGATCACCATCCATGGCCCTTAAATGTCTAAAGACATGGAATGATGAAGTGCAATGTCTTTTAGGATATTTGGTCATGCCTATATATATATATAGCTCTGAAGAAACCCAACATTGGATGAGTGGGGAGGCCGAGGCGGGTGGACCACCTGAGGTCAGGGGTGCAAGACCAGCCTGGCCAACACTGTGAAACCCCGTCTCTACTAAAAATACAAAAATTAGCTGGGTATGGTGGTGTTCACATGTATTCCCAGCTACTCAGGAGGCTGAGGTAGGAGAATCACTTGAACCTGCGAGGCAGAGGTTGCAGTGAGCCAAGATCATGCCACTGCACTTCAGCCTAGGAGACAGAGCGAGACTCCATCTCAAAAAAAAAAAAAAGAATTGGATGAGTGTCCTCAAACTTTTCACTAGGCATGCCCACCACTCTATTTTATTAATAGATGGAGATCCTATTGGGAGAAAACTTGCTAATTACCTGCCTGACCATTAAGAAAGTAGCTCCATACATTTTTGGGGGAGCACGCTTTTGCTTTGATGGGATGTTGCTTCCCGTGGTTCGAAATCCTTCTTTAACCTTAGGTAACATTGCTGATAAAAACCGGGCATGGGGGCTCTGGCCTATAATCCCAGTGACTCAGAGGCTGAGGTGGAAGGATCACTTAAACCCAGGAGTTCCAGGCTGCAGTGACCTATGATGGCGACAGTGCACTCCAGCCTGGGCGACAGAGCCACTCCTTCTCTCTGAAAGAAAAATAAAGAGTCCAGGCTTGGGGGCCTATGCTTGTAATTCCAGCACTTTGAGAGGCTCAGCTGGGAGGATTGCTTGAGCTCAGGAATTTGTGACCATTCTGAGCAAGATAGCGAGACCCTGTCTTTCAACAAACAAACAAAACAATCAAACAAACAAAAACAAAATTAGCCAGGCATAGTGGTGCATGTCTGTAGTCCCAGCTACTCGGGAGGCTGAGGTGGGAGGATTGCTTGAGCGAGGGAGGTTGAGGCTGCAGTGAGCTGAGACTGCACCACTGCACTCTAGCCTGGGCAACACAGCAAGACTGTGTCTTAAAAAAAAAAAAAAAGAAGAAAGACAAAAGAAAGAAAGAAAGAAAGAAATATTGCTGATGAAACTGTAGCCTCTTTCACAGCTCAACAAAAAGCTATTTATTCACTGGCTAAGATTGTACTAGATAATTGCATTACTTTAGATGATATATATTTTCAAAGACAATATTATTCTTATTTAAAAATGGTTAGAACCTGGGCACGGTGGCTCATGCCTGTAATCCCAGCACTTTGGGAGGCCGAGGCAGGTGGGTCACCTGAGTTCAGGAGTTCGAGATCAGCCTGGCCAACATGGTGAATCCCCATCTCTACTAAAAATACAAAAATTAGCTGCACACAGTGGCGTGTGCCTGTAGTCCCAGCAACTTGGGAGGCTGTGGCAGGAGAATCACTTGAACCCAGGAGGCAGAGGTTGCAGAGAGCCGAGATTGTGCCACTGCACTCCCGCCTGGGAGACAGAGAGAGAGCCTGTCTCAAAAAACAAAACAAAACAAAAACAATGGGTAGATACAGCAGCACTTACAAGAGTTCATAAAAGGAATTGTACATTGTCAAGTGATAGTGTGGAGAGAGCAGCCCCCTGCCCACCTGGTTGTGATCTCTGCACAACGCTTGCCCACAACCACCTTCTCCACTTAGTACAACGCAGCCCAGAACACCAAGGGGAGAGCCCCAGCAACAGCAGCCTCCGCAGCCCGCTTTAGATGATAGATTTAGCTGAGCAGGGAGGTGGATGTGTGGTGTTTACAACCTCTTGTTGCGTATACAAAAATAAATACTCCCATGACGTAGAACCTCATCTAGAAAAAATTAGAAGTCATTTGGCTACAAGAAATCATGAAAGAAGAACTGGGATGTGATGTTTTCCCTGATGTTTTTTCGTTGGCTCCCTAATGGAATAGGTTCCCTTACTGTTCTGGCATACGGATTCTCTTTGTGATTCTCATTCTTGTGTGAATTATATCTGTGCTATTCAAATTATTAATGTTATATATTTCCTGTTTTACTTCTGAGAAAACTGATTTTATGGTATCTGAAGACGAGAGATGATTAAACAAGTGACAGCTGTAGATTTAACTGAAGTCTCTCTCTCTTCTTTTCTTTTCTTCTTTTTTTTTTCTACTCTGTGACGTACTTTCAATTGGGCTTTGGGGCGCTCTTAAAAATTCCTCAGTGAGGCAGCTCCTTTCCTCCCCTGCCCTCACTGTGGGAAAGACTATCCGGGAATGAGTGTTCCTGGCAAAGAGGGACACCTTGGCTGAGCTTTTGATCATCTATGCTTTAAAGAAGAAAGATTTTTAAAAGAATTTTTATCTGAGGAATGTGAGCCACTTCACATGATCAGAGAGACATTAAATCAAGACAGCAACCACTTTCTGCTTCCTTCCTTTTGAGCTATGTATTCATCTGTTGCAACTGCTTGCTATCACCCCAGGTAGCTGTAAATTAATCTAATAATGCCACACCAAACACTGTATCCCACACCCTATAACAAGGGATAGCCAAGCTCTCATCAATGCTATTTCTGAAAACCAATGAGAATTCCTGACAGGCACCTTTCTGTCAGCCCATTGTGCATCCCCCCTTTTGACCTTTAAAAACCTGCTTGTGACAAAGGCCAAAGGGAGCTCAGATCCAAGGTTCTTTTGGTGTGAGTCTTCCAGGCAGCTGTCTTCATGTTGGCTCAAGTAAACTCTAGATTCTATTTTGTGCTTCAGCCTCTTTCTTTTAGGTCAACATGTTCAGCAACAGTAGAATAAATAAATAAATTGGCCTATATTCATACAAAGGAATACACACAGAAACAAATAACCACATGAATAACATGAAAAATTCATAGATGTAAGACTGAGTGAAAGAAGTCAAACCTATGCCTCTGCTCCTGAGACCGACTTTGCAAAAATTATAACTGGGAGAATTATCACAGCGAAAGAGATCTGACCTAACTGCTTCCGTCTTGCTTCCAGCATCCAAGCTGTCCTTGTTCATTCCTGGGCACAGGCCAAAATAACTTTGAGAGGAACTTAGTTTATGGTTTAGCTGTGAAACAAAGATGATAACAGCCCTTTCCCAAAACAAATCCCCTTCCTGCCTGGGGAGTAGACTGCCTTTGCAGGACTAACAAATTAGCCACAAGATTAGAAATGATGGTTTAGGATCATGCAGCCTCCAACTTATGAGATTCTAAACCTCCCTGAATTGTGCCTGGGGATCACATCACTATTGTAAAACCTAAGATCAGTGCGTGAGGTATTTTGTAGCCCTGCACTTGATGCATCAGCTGGCACCACCCAGATGGATAAACCAGCTCATCTGATCTTGTGGCCCCCACCCACGAACTGACCCAGCTCAAGAGGATGCTTTAGCTCCCTTTGAGTTCATCTCCGACCTGACCAATCAGAACTCCCAACTCACTGGCCCCCAGCCACCAAATTATCCTTAAAAATTCGGGTCCCAGAATACTCAGGAAGACTGATTTGGGTAATAATAAAACTGGTCTCTCACACAGCTGGCTCTGGGTAAATAACTTTCTTTATTGCAATTCCCCTGTCTTGATAAATTGGTTCTGTCTAGGCAGCAGGCAACATGAACCCATTGGGCAGTTATATTCCCCCAAAACCCACTATACACTTTATGATTCAGTTTATATGAAAGCAAAGGACAGGAAAAACTTGCCTGATAGATTTGGAGTCTGTGGAGTATTGTCAGAGTTTGGTGTTGTATTCTACAGATTAAAAGTAATCTGTTAAGCACCTCAAATAAAGTTTCCCCCAAATATATATATATTTTTTCTAAATTTGGACCACTTTGTTTCTGTCTTTGCAGAACATAAAGTGTTAACATGAGGTAAGTGCTAAGGTCTGGAGAAGGCCGTGGAAGAGATGACAAACTCCAGCATCATGCCCGAGTGTCCAGTGTGCTCTGCTGGGGCAGCATATTTGTACATTGCTGTATTTGAAAGAACCCTACAAGATTCCTGAAATTGGACCACCGTCCTTATAACACTACTAGTGGTAAAACAAGTAAGGATGGCTGGTTTGCAGTCATCTGAGCAGCCTCTCTAGTTTCATAGATATGGTTTCTCTGATATCGAACGGCTTCCAATTTCAAGTAGAATGCTACATCACAAGGATAATGATGTGAAGTGAACCAGTTTCTTGTGTAATCCTCCATGTTTTAGTCTGCGCATTACAAGCCATTATTTGAAGAAGGGTGGACAGGCTCCAGATTTCTGCCAAAGAGGTCCTCGGCAACACAGGCTAAGAACCGGCTTCTGGGCAGTCGTGATGGCTCACGCCTGTAATCTCAGCACTTTGGGAGGCCGAGGTCGGCGGATTACCTGAGGTCAGGAGTTCGGGATCAGCCTGGCCAACATGGTGAAACCCCGTCTCTACTAAAAACACAAAAATTAGCCGGGCTTGGTGGCGTGTGCCTGTAATCCCAGCTATGCGGAAGCCTGAGGCAGGAGAATCGCTTCAACCCGAGAGGCGGAGGTTGCAGGGAGCCGAGATCATGCGACTGCACTCCAGCCTGGGCGACAGAGCGAGACGGCGCAAAACAAAAAACAAACAAAAAACTACAACAGAAACACCCGCTTCTTTGGGGAAGACCATGGGCGGGGAAGAGAGGGAAAGGAGGCAGAGGCAGACATCACTGCCCCCGCAGGCTCTGGCACCATGTTGGTCGGCTGAGTGGCGGAGGGTGGGGCAGAAAAGCAGACCGGGACGAGGAAGGCGCTGTCGGTGACATCACGGATAGGGCGACTTCTATGTAGATGAGGCAGCGCAGGGGCTGCTGCTTCGCCACTGGCTGTTTCACCACGAAGGAGCTCCCGTGCCGTGGGAGCGGGTTCAGGACCGCTGGTCGGACCTGAGGGTCCCAGCTGTGTGTCAGGGCTAGGAAGGCTCGGGGGTGCGCGGGGCAAGTGACCATGTGTGTAAAGGGTGAGGTATATGGAGCTGTGACAGGGCAGAAGTGTGTGAAGTCATACTTACCTGGCAGGGGAGATACCATGATCACGAAGGTGGTTTTCCCAGGGCGAGGCTTATCCATTGCACTCCGGATGTGCTGACCCCTGCGATTTCCCCAAATGTGGGAAACTCGACTGCATAATTTGTGGTAGTGGGGGACTGCGTCCGCGCTTTCCCCTGAATTTTTGTAATGAAAAAATAGACTCCCCTATAAGGGTTATTCTTAAAACTGCAGTTTTGTGGCTTGGGTGGCATGTTAAGTGTTCTCCTTACAGTCGCAATGATGGGAAACAGAAAGTAACGTGTTATCCTCTCCGCCGCCGTGAGCTCTTTTAACACTAAGTGGCCGCAGGGCTCTTCTCTTCCCTTTCTACTTGGGGCTGCTTTTTGCAGATCGCTTCATAGTCTCCAGTCTTTTGGGTTCTCATGCTCTGTGAAAACCTTCGTGTTTTTTCATAGCCCCCAGAGTCACCCTTCACACAGCCTCTGCTTCTAACCGCAGCCTCCGCAGGAGTTTGTAGGATGTCTGTGCTAGCGGGGAATGTGTTCTCACCTCCTAGAGCCAGGGAAGAAACTACGCAGTCGGGTGCTGTTCTTTGGGATGAAAGCAGGGTCCCCGTTCGGTTGTTAACATAACACGCTTGCTTTCTGTAGGGGAAGGGAGGTCTCTCCCGGCGCCCAGGTGCCCTTGCTCATGTTCACCGAGGCCTGCAGGTCAGAACCGCAGTCTCACCTGTCGCCAGAATGTGCTGCGATCTACCCCAACTACCCGAACTACCCAGCAATAAAATAGGACACATTACGGAAACATGAAATAGCGTGGATCATCTCAAAAACATTATGCCGAGTGATGAAAAGAGTGCACCCTGTGTGGCGCCATCAAGGTGAATTTCTACAACAGTTAAAACTAACCTGTATAGTGACAGAAACTACATCATTGACTGCTGGCCTCAGGGGGAGGGCGGAACTGACTGCAAAGGGCACAAGAGGACCTTTTAGAGTAATAGACACGTCATCAAACTTGAAATGGATGCATTGTACCAAAGTCAACTCACACCTTAATCAACCTGATTGTAAAAGGGAATAAGAAAACCACTCCAAATCTTAATGTCTTCTACTTAATTTAGTGTACGTTTATCCTTAGAAGATTCCTTTAGAAAAATATCTCTCTAACTGTAATCGGGAGTTGAGGAATTCCTTCGTTTCTGTTTCTGTCTCTTTGTCTGCAGTTAAGTTCATGCACTATTAAATGGAATGTTTGTAAAATAAAAATAGAGTCTCAGCTAAATTTTATAAAAGCATACATATATGCGTCTTTATTATTTTATTATTTTTTCAAGTATATATATCCTTCTTTATTATTTTTTCTTCCTTTTTCTTTTAGGGATAGGGACAGTCTAGCTAAAATATACATTCTTCTCCCTGTAGATGTACCACAAGACTGTAACTCCAGGGTTGCCCAAATGTTATGAGAAGTTATTTTTGAACGTAAGGTTTTCAAAAATTTTACATATGTTTACATCTTCTCTACTGTTAGTATGGTCTATGCTTAGCATGTATAGTTTAACAATGATTTGGAAGAAAAATATGTAGGTATGTTAATAGTAGTTAATTCCAGGAGGTGTGAATATGGATGACTGGTTATCTTCCGCTTTATGAATTTTTTATATTTTTAAATGGAAAATTCTCAATGACCTGGAAGTTAAAGAACAGATTAGATATGGAAGGGGTGTAGGGTAGGTGAGAGGAAAATGTAAAGGGAAGGACAAACCCAGTTCTGGCAGGACCATGTTTAAGTTGAAGGTTTCTGGGGAGAAGTTGTTGGGATAAGAAGGATACGAAGGAGGCAGGAGAATCATGAAAATATTTAGGACAGTGTATTTATTGCCTGTCTTATCATTCCTCCTCCTTTTGTGTTTCTTCCAAAGAAATACACAGACTTATATTTCTTTTCAAGCATGCTTACCATTTGTGTTTCTCTTTTATTAATGTAACTGCCTGGTAGGTTTATCTTGCCCATTGCCCAGGTAAGCCAATGGAGCTGAGAACAGCAGGCTTTCTAAAATAGAGAAAGAATTTAATAAATGCAGAGGCAGCTGAGGGACCAGGACAGGGGTTTATTATTACTCAAATCTGCCTCCCCCAAAATTCAAAGACTAGGGTTTTTTTTTTCTTTTTTCTTTTTCTTTTTTTTTTTGGATAGTTTGGCAGGCAAGGGGCTAGGGAATGTGCAAAGCTGATTGGTTGGGTTGGGGATGAAATCACAGTGTCAGAGCTTGTTTACTGCACTGAGTCAGTCCCTGAGTGGGGGCCACAGGACCAGATGAGCCAGTTTACCGGTCTGGGTGTGCCAGCTAGTCCATCATAAGGCAGGGTCTGAAAAATACCTTGAACACCAATCTTAGGTTTGACACCAATAATCTTATATACAGGCACAGTTGGGGAGCTTAGGAATCATGTGGCTTCTGGCTGCATGGCTCCTGAGCCATAATTTCCAATCTCGCACCTAATTTGTTAGCTTTGCTAAGGAGATCTGATCCCCAAGATAGGAAGGAGTTTGTCTCAGGAAGACATCTTTGTTTCAGACTTAGACTTGGAACTAAACTCCTCTCATAGTTAGCCTGGCCTATGCCCAGGAACGGACAAAGGCAGCTCAGAGGTTAGAAGTAAGATGCAGTCAGTTAGGTCAGATTTCTTTCACAGTCATAGTTTTCCTATGTCAGGTTTTTCTCACTGTCATAATTTTTGCAACGGTGGTTTTGTTAGGAGCAGTATAAATGCAGTGGTTCTGAGAATGTCTTCTGGAGACAGGCTGCCTTCACTTCAAATTCCTGCTTTCAAATCCTCCTTTGCTGGCTGAGTGACCCTGGACAGGTCACTTAACGTCTTTGTGCATCTCACATGGAAGATGAAGGTGATAGTGTGACCTCGGCCTGAGGTAAGGACTAAATGAGTAAACACATGCACATAATCAACTGTGCCTGACATGTGGCACTTTGTGTTGCAGACACAGCTGATGATGTGCATGTGTTACTCATGTGCATGTTAGCTCTTGTATTTTGCCTGCAACACTGCACAAAGAGCAGATGTGACGAAAACCAGTTGTATTGAAGTTACAGCAGTGATACTTTCCAGTGGCCGTGCACCCTCCCAGGGAGACTGCAGCAATCTTCTCACCAGCAGTAACCTCCTGGGCTGGGAGATCCCAGGAAGGCCCCTCAATCTCCAGCAGGTTTGACCCTCAAGGAGCTTCGGGGAATGAACTAGAGAAGTATTTCTATCTGGGAGGAACTGGGAGTTTATTAGCTCATGTGTTCAGCTCATCCAAAGGGGAATAATGATTCAATTTCTTGCTTCAAATCTGCCCCAGTAAAATTCTTATAGTTTTGCCCAGGTGCAGTGGCTCACGCCTGTAATCCCAGCACTTTGGGAGGCCGAGGCGGGCGGATCACCTGAGGTCAGGAGTTCGAGACCAGCCCGGCCAACAAGGTGAAACCCCATCTCTACTAAAAATACAAAAAGTAGCCGGACGTGGTGGCAGGCACCTGTAATCCCAGCTACTTGGGAGGCTGAGGCAGGAAAATGGCTTGAACCCGGGAGGCGGAGGTTGCAGTGAGCTGATATCGTGCCATTGCACTCCAGCCTGGACAACAGAGTGAGACCCTGTCAAAAAAAAAAAAATCATATAGCTTTACAGTGGAAGACATTTGTACATGTCGGGGAGGAAATATGACTTTTCCTCACCCAGCCTAGGTTCGCTGCTGAGACCCTCACAGCAAAACACAGACTAACAAGGGAAGAGCATACAGATTTATTTAATGTAAATTTTACATGACAGGAACGCCTTCCAAAGGAAATGAAGGCCCATGGAAACAGCTAAACCTCAGTTTTTGTTTTCGTTTTTTTAACAGTAGGTTTATTCAAGAATGAATAGTCATGGAGAAGTATGATAAGTCAATAAAAGTATGATCTAACAGTAACAAAGTGGGGGAAAGGTAGCCAGGCCTCTGTGTTCAGGCTCTTCTCTGTGTCCCTGTGTCTTCAGAATCAAGGATGCACCTTTCCTCTGGGTACAGAGAGGGCACCTCTCACATAAGAGTCTTATACTGGACTTCAGGGAGGAAGGGCAGGGGGAGGGTGACAGTGACCTTCCTGCTTCTGTGGTTTACTCATATTCCTTTAGCATAAAATATTCAATACCCCAAGATGTTATACTTTGGAGTAGCATGTCCTGAATCCCATCATGCACATGCAGCAAAACCCAGAATCTTTGAAGAGTGATGACTACAAAATATTTAAATTCAAAATACAAATGATGGCCAAGTGGGGTGGCTCATGCCTGTAATCCCAGCAGGGAGGTGTAGGGAGGCCCAGGCAGGCGGATCACTTGAGTTCTGGAGTTCGAGAGCTGCCTGGCCAATATGGCGAAACCCCATCTCTACTAAAAATACAAAAATGAGCCCAGCACACGGTGCACACCTGTTGTCCCAGCTACTTTCAGGGGGAGGGGAACGGGTGGGCTGGCGATCAACTGAAACAATATCATATTTAAGAATGATTCTTTTTTCCTATAGGGCTAGTCAAGTGAAGCAGTGGAAGTGGAGAAGGAACAAAGAAACCTGTAACTGGTTGTGATCAAATATTTGTAAACAGGAATGAATTTTTATGCACTATACACTGTTATCAAAGTTACATATGCTGCAAAGCTGGTGGTGAACAGCAGTGCCCTGGTCCCTTCCTACACTTATCTGTAGGGATAACAATTTTTAATGCACGCAACCCACCTCTACATAAATATCGTTACTCTTTGACTGTCCAATTTTCCATCCCAGGTCCTGCAGTTCTGCCCGCAAGGGGAAACGGAGTTTGTGTTTCCTTACCTGCCAGTCCACTCCAAGGAGCCAAGGCGTCAACCCCCCTCAACCCCGGCTCGTCCTCCAAACTGAGCCCCTCAAAGACTGCGGTATTTTTCAGTCCTTCGTAACCGCTCTCAGCCCCAAAATATGAAAATGAGAGCGATGGTCCTGAGCGCCTGGAGTGACATCTTAGTTCGCTCCCAAGACCCATCAGGAACCTCATCCCAAGTGCTCTGAAGAGCAGGAGAAAACATTTTTAACTAAGGCGTCTTCTCCTTGGGGCAGGGTCCTGACGGGAGAAGGGGGAGCCCCATCTTCAGAGACTCGCCCCTCAGAGCTGCTCAGGTTCCTCTTCCCCGTGGCCCTGAGGGAGCTCGGCCGGGGCGACCCAGGATCAGAACCCGCGCTCCCAGCCCGCGCGCTTGAAGATGCCGCCGCGCGGATCTCTCTTTCTGGCTGAGATCTTGGGACGAAAGAATGAGATTTCCCGGAGTCAGGTTCCAAAGCTTAGTGAAACAGCGACTTTTAGGGCCCGCAATAGAGACGCAGGAGCTAGAAATTCGGCATAAAAATCTGAATATGAAGAACAGAGCAAATTAACATTCGGAATCGGATGGGCCATCTGAATAAAGCAGTGCTACTGCCAAGTTAGGTCTGGAACCATCGATCCTAAACTGAGACACACTCTCCAATGACTGAGCTAACCCCATCAGAATTTCTCACGCCACCGTTTACTTACCAAAAAGACAATGGGTGCCATTAGGAGATTCCCGAGTGAAAGGAATCTCGGGGTCTAGGATAGAGGGGCAGCAGCCTTTTTAGTGGAGGAGACCTGTCAGCCCGAGGCCCAGGGTCGCTCTGAGAGGGGGTGGGGACTTCCTGGGTCGCTGGGTCCCTGGCGGGGGTGTCCGGGCCTCCGATTGCTGGGTGCCAGGAGGCTCGCCCAGGAAGGGGACCCTGCAGGCTCGCTGATCCCGACTGGATGACTCGGCAATTTCCCTGTGGTCCGGGCCACTGCGAGAACCCGGTTTCTGGGACCCCGAACACCGAAGAGGGAGACGAAGAGGGGACGAGGAGCGCGGGGTACATCGCGAGGCTCAGACAGCGGGAGCAGAAGGGACACGGAGGCCCACAGCGCAGAGTTTCTGAACGTCAGCGGAATCCCCATTCCATTTAGGGAGTAAAACACAACATTGCCGTCCTAATTAAACAGAAAGGTTCCACCGAGACTCGAACTCGGATCGCTGGATTCAGAGTCCAGAGTGCTCACCATTACACCATGGAACCTCATCGTGCAAGTTTGCCGGAAGCGTCTGAATTCCCAATAAGTAGCAATAGTTCCCACTCAACCATGTCAAGGCATTTCTATTATCCCACAAGCAACACTCGAGGAAGGTGGACCTGCAGGAAGGAGCCATCCTTCTTGCTTTCTCTCTGCCCTCTCCTTTGATCGACTTCCATCATTTCATTTGCACCTCGGAAAATGAGGCAAAATCCACTGTGAGTTTAGGGCCAGAGAAGAGCCCTTGAAGCCTCGGTCATAGAGTTTCCTGTGCCACAGTGAAATTTCTTTCTTCCTTTCTTTCTTTCTTTCTCTCTCTCTTTCTTTGTCTCTCTTCTTTCTTTCTTTTTCTTTCTTTCTTTCTTGTCTTTCTTTCCTTTTTTTTTCTCTTTCTTTCTTTTCTTTCTTTCTTTCCCTTTCTCTTTCTTTCTTTCATTTTCTTCCTCCCTCCCTCCCTCCTTCCCTTCTTCCCTCCTTCCTTCTTTCCTTCCTTCCTTCCTCTCTCTCCCTCCCTTCCTCCCTCCCTTCCTCCCTCACTTTCTTTCTTTCTTTCTTTTCTTTCTTTCTTTCTTTCTTTCTTTCTTTCTTTCTTTCTCTCTCTTTCTTTTCATTGAGACAGAGTCTCCTTCTGTTGCTCAGGCTGGAGTGCAGTGCAGTGGCAGTGGGCGATCTCCCCTCACTGCAACCTCTGTCTGCTGGGTTCAAGTGATTGTAATCCGCAGTAGCTGGGATTACAAGCGTGGACCACCATGCCTGGTTAAATTTTGTATATTTAGTGGAGATGAGGTTTTGCCAGGTTGGCCAGGCTGGTCTTGAACTCTTGACTTTCAGTGATTTGCCCACCTTGGGCTCCCAAAGTGCTGGGATTACAGGCGTGAGCCACTGCGCCCAGACCGGAGATGAAATTTCTGCAAAATTTCTGTTATTTTCTTTATGCTTTCCCTGTTTTCTGTTTGCCCAAGGAGGCCAGATGATTATCAAAACAGGACGTGGGACTTCCTGGGCACCTTGCCCCCTTCCTCCCTTAGTATATAACAGAAGACAGCAATCAAGTGAGATTGGGAAGCAGGGAATCCCTTATTTTTTTATTCATATTCTTCTATGTTTGTTTGTTTGGTTGGTTTTAAAAAAATTTTCTCACCAGAAATGGAGATTTGTTGGATTTAAAATAAATGCGATCAGCCATATTTTATATTTCTATAAAACACTGAAACCAGGCCATACTCACCTGCTATGACTCAAAATCAACCATATACTGTCGAGGTCAGGAGGCAGGGCCCTGACATTTAAGCACAGTGTGTTTTCTCAGAATTGGCCAAGTTGATGCCATTCCAATTTCTCAATATCTCATGACCCATTAATTGCAGTGTTTAAAAGTGTACATGCATCGTTACTGAAAGCCCAGGAGTTCCGTCTAGGCCCTGCTGCTCAGCTCACAGAAAGCCAATCATTGAGACATTGAGTATTGCCGAGGAAGAAGGCTTTAATTGGGTGCTGCAGCTGAGGAGATGGGAGATCAGTCTCAAATCAATCTCCCTGATCAACTAAAACGAGGGGTTTATACAGCAGGGAAGAAACGTAACTGTGTGTGGGAAAGAGGAACTAGGGAAGGGTGAGGAAGCACTCATGATGAGTGAAGGGACTGGCAAGTCATTGTCTGGATGCTGTGATCTGCTGAGTTTCAGGTCTATGATGCTTTTTGAGAGGCTGAGGGTCCTTTCCTGAGGAAGGAACTCAGATAAAACAAATGTAAGTTTCAAGCTTTAAGACCAGAAGGGTCCATTTTTAAGTCTATCCAAAAACACTGTATGTGGGACTATTGGGTCGATTTCAGTCCCCACTTTCTATTTGTCAGTTCCTCAATCATGGGGAATCTGGTCATGCATCTTTCTGGCTTTGTCATGAGGAGAAGGGGCATCCTGAGCAGCTCCACACCATGGGTGACCGCATGGCCACCCAGGAATCAAACATTCATCTAATACTGTAGTTTCTCCTGAAACACAATCTTCCTCTGTCCAGTTCCCCATTTCCACTAAAGACAAAACACAGCAGGACCAACCTACCTGCAAAAGAAGCTTCAGTCCCATATACTTGGCCTGATTACCCACACAAAGTGCAGCAAGAATCCTTGTCCATATAGGCTCTCCTAAATGGGCTTTGCTGGAACATTTCACAACACCATTTCAGGCAAAGCCCTGAGAAGATTACCAGTTCCTCCACCTGTGTCCTGTTATAAAAGAAAACAGAATCTTATTGAACTTATGCAAACAAACACATCATCATGAGTTAAGAATATTCAGTTTACAAATTCTGGAGAAATTCGGCAGAGAGAGAAAAATATGCCTCAAATTCTGTTTAGAAGACTATTCTACTCAATTGTTGCAGGCTATAAATAGCTCAAAATGACAAAAGTTCTCCAGGCTTTGAAGAATAAACAATGTTTTAAACAAACAAACAAAGACCATAAAAACTTACTTCAGTCCTCCATTAGTTCAGTCCATACAATCAGCTCCTGCTCTGCTTCATAGTGGGCTAGCAATCTTTATGAACATATCAGCCTTTCTATTAGTGCCCTGGGTGAAATTTTCTTTTTACTTCAATGGCACAATCTCCAAAGTTATCAGAAACCTGCATCCAAGAGTCCTTTTCGTGGACTTCCCCAAAGAAGCAAGGCCTGGACTGTAACTGATTATAAGTCACTTTTTGAGAAGAATCAAAGCAAAACAACAATTGTGGATAACAAAAGCCTTAAGACAGCCATGGTTATAGACACAGTTGACAAGGGAATTCTGTTGCTTCTGTGGCACACACAATTTAACATAATAATCATAATTATTACTGACAGCATAGCAGAACTCTAGGAATCTCATACTATCCTGGAACACACATTAACAACACATCTGTGTCAATAGAACCCAAAGGAAGTGAAACACCACCTCAGATTTGACAATGCTTCTTGCAGAATTCTACATAACAAATAAGCCTAAGAAGCCTAATATATCTCTCTTGGACTTCAAGAACCTAATATCCAAAAAGTTAATTTGAGGCCCAAAAGGCTCAATATGAAAATTTTACTCTTAGAAAGTTAGCCAAAGTTTTGAGAGACTTGATATCACAAAATAGAATCACAGGTCACCTTAAAATAGTCAATCATTTAGGCAAAAGGTAAACAAAAATATTTTATTTTATTAATATTAATAATTTTTATTTTTTAAAATAAAATTTAAAATAAATTTTTAAAAAATTTTTCAAAATAATTAATAATTTTTATTAATATTACACAAACATTTTGATCAAGAGAAAACCAAATTTTGCCTTTGTGTGATGTATTAAAATGTTAAAGCTAATTTTAATGAAACCTTATACACAAATTTAATTATAATCAGTTCAACCATAAGGTAAGAGTTTCAAAAACCTTTCATGACCTTTTATACTTTTCTATGAAAAAGCAGATGAATGCTCAAGAAAACCCTGTTATTCTGATACACGGGCCCAGTTGCTGGCCTTGCATCAGTGTGTTTCTGAGTGTAAAGTCTAATTTATAGAAAAATCTCTGAATTTGAGAGGCCAGGGTGGGTGGATCACTTGAACTTAGGAGTTTGAGTCTAGCCTGGGCAATATGGTGAAACATTGTGTCTACCAAAAAAAAAAAAAAAAAAAAAAAAAAAAAAAAAAAGAGAAAGAAAGAGAGGAAGGAAGGAAGGAAAAGAAAAGAAAAGAGAAGAAAAGAGGGAAAGAAAAGAAAGTCTCTGAACTAAACTTATCTCTCAGACTCCAGCCTTAAAATTCTCATGTGCCCACCTCTTCTGTCCAGAGGAAGAGGGGGCATGAGGTGGAAAAGGGTGCATGTGGGATTGTTGGGCCTAGAGGGATGGAATGGTTTCAATTTCTGGTTCCGTGTCTCATGGAAGAAGTTCATTTTGATTGTCATCTTCCCCAGGGTCTGAAGACAAGGCATTCATTGGCATCAGTATTCAAGATTTAGCAGAAGTATGTGCCTTTTTCAGACCCAGGAGTCTAAGACCTGTAAGCTAATAGCACAAGGATTAGTTCACAGGACATTTGTACTGCAGAAAGTTCTATTTCTCTCTCTCATGTCACTGTGATCTGCTGTCCAGTAGTTACTGCCTGCAGCACTTCAAACCATTGTATTAAAGTGGTTAGGATATTCCTTGCATATAACTAGTTGCCAGCATTCTAATGACAGAACTGTGATCGAAAGCATCAAAAATGTGACAGAACCTATGCCAAACTTTTCAAAGTAAGACAATTAAATTTTCTCTCCATCATTTAACAAAATGTGTGACAGAACCTATGCCAAACTTTTCAAAGTAAGACAATTAAATTTTCTCTCCATCATTTAACAAAATGCTAAATGCAAATATCAGTTTTGGAAATTCAGTATGAGGATAAATAATCTCCTTTTATTTAAATACTATACAACAAAACAAGAACAAAGTGAGAGTAAACACACTGTCATTTCTTTTCAGCTATTTTATTTATTTATTTTGAGACAGAATCTCCCTCTGTCACCCAGGTTGGGGTACAGTGGCAGGATCTCAGCTCACTGCAGCCTCCACCTTCGAGTCCAAGGTTCAATGGATTCTCTTGCTCAGCCTCCCGAGTAGCTGGAATTACAGGTGGGCACCACCATGCCCAGCTGATTTTTGTGTTTTTAGTAAAGACAGGGTCTCACCATGTTGAACTCCTGGCCTTCAGTGATCTGCCCACCTCAGCCTCTCAAAGTGTGGAATTATAGGAATGAGCCACCACACCCAGCCTTCTTTTCAGCGATTTTAAAAGAGCATAATCACATATTTCCAAGATTCGTTTCTAGATACAGTACTGATTACTGATTAGGTCACTTCCACCATTAAAATCTTCAAACCAGTGCAACAATTGTACATGTTTTGTTTTCAAGTACACACATGAAGACCCAACAGTGATACAAGGCTTGGGATCAAAAATCACTATAAATTCTCACAACCTGTTTGTATTACCACTTCTTCCAAGTGAATGTCACTTAATTTTAATAATGGTAAACATAACTTAAGGAGGTTGAGAGAAATCCAATCAATATAATATCTGTAAGGACAAGGCCAATCTTTCTGAACGTGGAAACTTTGTACCCACACCACAGTTTTTCCTCATTAGAGGAAAGGGTCTGCAACCAACTCAAATGATTGGTCGAAACCAACTCACATTACTGATTGCACTGAATGTGTATCAAGCCTCAGGCCATGGATACCTGGGTCCTAGTGTTCCTGTGACATCCCCTTGGGGTAGCGGAACACTACCTTTCAATGATGGGAAGTCTTGGGCAAGAGCAAGTCTCCTCCCCTTGTCCAATACAGACAGTTTTTCTGTCTAACCCTACCTCAGCAGTTGCCCTATCCCTGGGGCCAAGGGTTGGACGAGTTCCTAGCTCCAACATCAGTGGTAGATGCCTTTTGTTTTATGTGAGAAGCAACCAGGTTTTGTGCCTGTACTCTGGTGGTGGTCGATCATGTGATCATGACTTTTATGCCTACGCCACTGTGGCAAGCTTGAGAAATCCTCTTTCCCTGTTACATGTGTCTTGTCAGCACTAAGGACGTGGGAGGAAGGACCCAGCAAATGGGCAAAACCATGCTATGTATCTGGGACTCTCAGAGTTTCTAATCTGTCACAATAGTTCACACTTGGCCTTTAAGAAATGATGAAATCTTCAGTGATTTTCTCCAATGAACATTTATGGCTGCCATCTTTTCCTTCCATTATCTGTCAAAGATGAACTGCTTCATGTGTTTGTCCTTCTATAGGGGGTTTTCTCACGCTTTGGACTTCAGCTGACTCAGGGGCCTTGCAACTTCAGCTCTCTGGTGGGATCAAAGCACGTATGATTTTGCAGACCATACAGCTTTTTCTTGTCATTAGAGTGGGAACAACTGTCTCTTACAGCTTTCTGCATCTTAAACAACTGTTGAATCACATGTCTGTTTTAAAAAATCCTTATCTTTTCCTCTATATCTGGATTAATTTCCCTTCAGGATACTACACAAATTCTGTTAGTTATCACTTCTTTTGAGGCTATGAGGTAGACATAGTGAGCATCTTGACGATCCCTGCAATTGAGTCTATTCATTAGGTGCTCACGGGAAACCTGGGCCCAGACCAGTAGTGAGACACACAACTGTCACCCACAGCTCTAGTTGAATTTTTGTCATGAGGCTCTTTCTCCTCAGTCAGCATACAAGTCTTAGAACAAGTTTGAGATTGGGACTATCTTAAAATAGGCTTCCTGAGTGGCTAGTAAGATTTGCTGGGACTCCAATTTCTGGTCAAATGTGAGCCAGCAGAGTAAAGACAACATTCTTGACCCAGGAGAAGGCAACAGTACATGGATACACCATATTTTTCATCAACCTCAGAATAATTACCTCAATGAATATTTAAATTAGTGATTGAAATACTTGTTTTCCCAAGCGTGTGATGCTGAAAATTGGAAAAGTTGCCTTGGTTGTCTAAATGATTGTGCGCTCAGATTGAATTTGAGTGTACACAAGGTGCAGTCTCCATTGGAAAAGATTCTAAGAACTGGATGTGGGTAGAGGATGCAATTATGGAACTTGGTATCTTTCCCACTTTCTTTTCTTTCTTCCCATTTCGACTAGTCTTGTAATGCTAGGCCCAGGCATCAATATACACACAACTAAAAAAGGCAAAATCAGTGCAAAAGACACAATATCTATACAATGAAATCAAATGGTGCCTATTGCTAAAGTTACTTTAACTTCTCATCATGTAGCCCAATAAGGTGAATGCTGCCCACCTACCAAGGGTGTTAGTCAGCTCAGGCTGCCATAGAAAGATACCAAAGGTTGGGTGGTTTAACAGCAGACTTTTATTTTCTCAATGTTCTAGAGGCCAAAAGTCCAAGATCAATGTGCTGGTAGAGTTGGTTTCTGGGGAGGCCTCTCTTCCTGGCTTGCAGAAGGCCACTTTCTTGCTTTGTGCTCCCATAGCCTTTCCTCTGTGCCTGTGTGGAGAAAGAGAGAGATTCTTTGATGCCCTTCCTCTTCTTATATGGACACCATTCTGACCAGATTAGGGCCCCACTTGTATGGTCTAATTAACCTTAATTACCTCCTTAAAGACTCTATATCTAAATACAGTCAAGTTGGGGGTTAAGCTTTCAACATATAAATTCAGGGGAAAACAATTCATTTTATAACACCAAGCAATAGGGACGAGCCTAAGATTCTTTTTTTTTTTTTTTTTTTTTTTTTTTTGAGACAGAGTTTAGTTCTTGTTGCCCAGGCTGGAGTGCAGTGGCATGATCTAGGCTCACCGCAACCTCTGCCTCCCGGGTTCAAACGATACTCCTGCCTCGGCCTCCCAATGTGCTGGGATTACAGGTGTGAGCCACTGCGCCTGGCAATCCTATGATTCTTTACCTATTAAATCCTATGACATTTGCCTGGTGGTGGGGCCAGGAAGAAGTTGTTAGCAAGGCTGCTATTATTGCTCATTCTACAATTAGGAAAGCACACCTGAGCCGAAGTGCCTGGCTTATGGGAAAGAGTGCGGGTCAAACAGGTATGAAATAAAAATAGGGGAAAATGGTAGTAAACAAAAGCAGTGCTCTTACTTGAGTCATGCATCCAGGAAGGATTAAAATTGTGCAATTTCATGGAAATCCTATTGTCTTTATCAGGAGAATGACTTTACAAGTTTTATTAACTGGGGGCGGGGGTGAAAAGGATGGTGTCGATTAAGGACAACACCTGATTGCCCAGCATAATGTGAATTCTTGACTAAACAGCTATAGGATGTGAAGGAAAGATCAGCAGTCAAAGAAAACTCAAAGATTTTTAGACTGAGCATACGGAAGGATGGTGTTTCCATCCACAGAGGTGAGAAAATAGCATGTGCTGCAGGTTGTAGGAAGAAAAACAGAGATCAGCTCAGGGCCCCAAAACCTTGCTTGAGTTTTCCATTCACCCTGTCCCCATTTCTACATCCCCTTGAGATTTTTGTGAGGCTGAATGCAGAGGTGCTTGGCCACTTCTCCCCCTGGGCACCAGTCCTCTCACCTCCTCCTGACAGCGTCTTCCATGGCCCTGTCTCTGATGACCATCTCCCAACAAGATGTCATCCTGCAAAGGTGATCTGAGCCATAGCTGGGGCAAGGCCATCCACTCCTTGACTTGTGTGGCCTTGGTGGGCCCCAGGAGCACTTCACCGCTTCTCAGGGTAGTAGATCTTTTGTTTGGAACTCTTCTTCTGAGGAAAACAGGGAGGGAAACAGCCTGAGGGGTGGAAAGGGAGGGCTGTACCAGGGAGCCTAGGAAAGTTGAGCCTAGGCTCTCAATGCAAAGAACATTTACCACCTGAGAAGTTCTACTCAGTTACTATTGTTAGTTTAGAATCTCATCAATGAAAATGGTATAGAAATTTGCCTTCTTCCTGGTTATATGTGCACCTACATAATATCCTTAATTTTGCCTCTTGGCTCACAAGCCTAGAATACTTCCTATCTCCCTGGCCCTTTACAGAAAAAGTTTGCTGAACTCTATAGACAACAATGCCCCACACTTTACAGAAAAAGACACCCAGGAATGTCTTTTACTAATTTTCATTTGTTGGACATTTTTCCTGGTCACCAATAAGTTCCCTTTCTTGGCTTGTAATGATTAGTCTGTGGTTGGTTGTCATTTGCAATGACACAATATATACTGGGACCTCAAAGCAGAAAAAGTGTAGAAGAAAACCTAGGAAATATCATTCTCAACATCAGACGTGGCAAAGAATTTATGGCCAAGTCCACAAAAGCAATTGTAGCAAAAACAAAAATTCACAAGTAGGACCTAATTCAATGAGAGAGCTTCTGCACAGTAAAAGAAACCATCAACAGGGTCAACAGACCACCTACAGAATGGGAGAAAATGTTCACAAACTGTGAATCTGACAAAGGTCTAATGTCCAAAACCTATTAGGAACTTTAAAAAATCAACAAGAAAAAAAATAATCCCATTACAAAGTGGGCAAGGTGACATGAACAGGCACTTCTTAAAAGAAGACATACAAGCAGCCAGCAAACACAGGAATAAATGCTCATCATCACTAATAATCAGAGAAATGCAAGTCAAAGCTACAATGAGATACCATCTCACACCACTCAGAATGGCCATTATTAAAAAGTCAAAAACCAACAGATGCTGATAAGGCTGTGGAGAGAAAGCATATAAACACTTGGAGTGAATGTAAATTAGTTCAGTCTCTGTGGAAAGCAATTTGGAGATTTCTCAAAGAACCTACAACAGAGCTGTTTTTCAACCAGTAATCTCATTACTGGGTATATACCCAAAGGAATGTAAATCATTAAAACAAAAAGACACATGCGCTCCTATGATCACCACACCAGGCTATTCACAATAGCAAAGACATGGAGTCAAACTAGGTGCCCATCAATGGTGGATTAAATAAAGAAAATGTGGTACATACACAACATGGAATACTGCACACCCATAAAAAAGAATGAAATCATGTCTTTTGCAATAACATGGATAGAACAGGAGGCCATAATCTGGAAGAAACTAATGCGGAAACAGAAAATGAAATACTGAATGTTCTCACTTAGGAATGGGACCTAAATATTGAGCTCACATGGACATAAACTTGAGAACTATAGACACTGTGGACTACCATGAGGTAGGTAGGGAGGGAGGGAGAGTGGGTTGAAAAACTAGCTATTGGGTACTATGCGAACTACCTGGACCCAATATACCCATGTAACAATGCTACACTTGTACCCTTGGTACACAACAAAAAACTGAGATTTTAACAAGAACAAAAATTATAGTACACTAAAAAAATTACTGCACAGAAAGTAAAATAATCATGGATTTTAAAAATTAAATATTACAAATAAAGATCTAAAATCAATAATCCAAACTTACACTTTAGGAAACTCAAAGAAAACAAGAGCAAATTAAGTCCAAAGTGAGTGGAAGACAAGAAACAATAAACACTAGAGCAGAAATCAAGGAAATTGAAAACCAGAAATCAATAGAAAAAAGTCAAAAAAACCTGAAGAGTGTTCTTTGAAAGGACCGATAAAATTGATAAACCTTTAGCTGGTGAACCAAGAAACAATGAGAAGATACAAATTACTAATATGAGAAAGAAAACAATGACCCTCACTTCTGATCTCGTGGACATTAAAAGCATAGTAGAGGACTATTATGCACAATTCTCTGCTCACAAATTTGATAACTTCGATGAATTGGATCAACTACTTGAAAGATAAAGTTGACCAAAACTCTACAAGGAGAAATAGATACACTAAATAGGTCTCTATCTATTAACGAAATTGAAGCAACAATTAATAACCTTCCAGAACAAAGCGCCAGGTCTAGATGGTTTCACAACCAAACACTTAAGGAAGAAACTATATCAATTCTCTCTAGAAAACAGAAGCCGAGGGAACACGTCTTAACTCTGGTCTAGGAGGCAAGCTTCACCCTAGTAGCAAAACCAGACAAACGATTTTGAACCAGGATGTTGAACTAGCCTGGACTGCTGACCAGCTCCTGAAACTCAATCCTGGAAGAACTGTAGAAGCGAGAAGAAAACATGGCTTACGGGAACTGTAAAAAATGGTAAACCTCCTGTAGAGACCAAGGCAGTATTGACCCGGTGTGTGTGGAAGGTTAATGTTCACCGACAGCAGAGAGAAAACAAGATGGAGAAAAGTATTTTCGGTTCTGCTCTTGCGTCTCTCTCCATGGCTCTGGGCCAGCTGCGCTTCTTACCCCTTCCCGAAAGAGATTTGTCAGCGGCTCTTAACCCTCCAATGCGGTAGCTGCGATGTGACATCGGGAACCCATATAGGCTTCGCTGAGGAAAAGAGTAGATGAAAACAGGGGTGAAACCGGATGATCGCGGGGCTTTCCTCTTCAGAGTGTCCTCCTCAGGCCTCCAGAGCTAATGATTGCCATGGCCTCCCCACCACACTGCTTAAAGAGAAGTATTAAAAAGAATCCTGTGGACGGAAGATTTGCCTGGTGGAGTGTAAAACAAACAGGGGTGATAGAAATGAGTTTTGGGGACGTGCTGCTCTCCACTGGGGGCCCATTCTTCATTTTGCCGAGACCACCAAAGACTGGGCCTTCCTCGACAGGAAGGTCCGAGGCCCCTCTCCGCAGCTCCCCTCATCTGCACTCGGGTTCCTCCTCACATGCCTCCCCTTTCCCTGGGCCCCAGTTCCCCACCACTGCTTGTGTCCGCCCCACCCCACAGCTTCTCTCCTTTCGGGGAGTCTCGCTCTGTCACCCAGGCTGGAGTGCAATGGCGCGATCTCGGCTCACTGCAAGCTCCGCCTCCCGGGTTCACGCCATTCTCCCGCCTCGGCCTCCTGAGTAGCTGGGATTACAGGTGCCAGCCACCACCCCCGGGTAATTTTTTGTATTTTTAGTAGAGACGGGGTTTCACCATGTTAGCCAGGATGGTCTCGATCTCCTGACCTCGTGCTCCGCCCGCCTCAGCCTCCCAAAGTGCTGGGATTACAGGCGTGAGCCACCGCGCCCGGCCGGGAATGTCATTTCTTGAGCCGCACTCCATCGCGAGATGTGGTCTAATGGTCTATCCAAGGTCCAAGTAGAGAATCAGTGACCAGGTACCTCTTTGTATTGCAGGGATCCGACAGCAGAGACGATAAAAGTCGCGCCGGTTTTAGGGCCAAATACGTAGAAACGCAGAGACCAAGCAGACCCACTGGCTGCTTCAAAGACAGTCTCTGCAAAGTCTCGGCTTAGATAAATTCCTCTCCGGGGCCCGGGCTCACGCCTGTAATCCCACCACTTTGGGAGGCCGAAGCTGGTGGATCATGTGAGGTCAGTAGTTCAAGATCAGCCTAGCCAACATGGTGAAACCCCGTCTCTACTGAAAATACAAAAACTAGCAGGAAATGGTGACACGTGCCTGTAATCGCAGCTACCTGGGAGGCTGAGGCATGAGAATCTCTTGAGCCTGGAAGGTGGAGGTTGCAGTGAGCCAGGATCGTGCAACTGCACTCCAATCTGGGGGGCCAGACAGAGACTCTGTCTCAAACGAACAAACAAAAATAAATAAATAAAAGAAAAATAAATTCCGCTACGGAAAGAACCCAAGGACTATACAGTAGTTCCCCCCTTCCCCTCCTTTTTTTTCTTTATTAGCGCGGCACAGTAAGTAAATGTAAAACCCACAGGGCACAAAGACAGGACGCTGCATTTGCCGGAAATGGAATCCAGGTCTCCCGGGTGGGAGGCGAGAATTCTACCACTGAACTGCCAACGCCTCCTGACCCCGAGCTGTGCAGCCTTGGAAAGAGTTAAGACACAGACTTGGGAACAGGAGTCAAGATTTTCACCGTGTTCTCTTTGCAAGATGTGACAAACAAAAAAGACACCTAGAGCAATGGCTCGCAGTGGAGAATTGCCATCAGGCAATACCACAAAGTTATGGCTTCACATTAAAAGAGCTGACTTGAAAAAGCCTTATTCTGAGTAGGCTCTGAAGCAACTGCATAACAAACCTCTGTAGGAAAATATCAGAAACTCACCCAGCTTCTTGTCTCTGGTCCTGTATCCAGTGTGAGCCTGTGGAAAGTTCTTGCCTCGCTTGTTGATGTCTTCTCTTTGCCTCCCTGTTGCTTGGTTCCTCCCAAACCCTTTCTTCCCAACCTTGACACGAACATCAGTACTTTCCCCAAAAAGGCCTTCAGGACCCAGGAACTCGAGTATGAAAAGCTGAACTCTTGGGACTGTGCCTGGGATACTCCAGGAGACCAGGGTGATAATTGAGCTTCTCTCCTCCTACACCTCTTTTGAGTTCCTGGAAAACACCAGGGATCAGATCTTGCTTTTAACTTCTTATGCCTTACAGAGACCAAAACAAGAGGGAATAAATGGACATTTCACTCCCAGAATTCTTCTCTTCACCTGGCCCTGGTCGGCCACCCAAGGAGGCCAGTTCAGGGAAAAACAGTTCCATTTGATTCTAGGTAGATGCTAGGATATTACTCCTCTAGTTAACATAAAGCGTTCTTTTGCTGTTTACTTTTGTCGGATATTCATGTTTTCACTCTCATTCTTTTGTTTCTAATGAGCGTGGTATAGATTTGCACCGTTCTTTTTGTTGTTGTTGTTTATTTTCTTTCCTTTTTACATTTTTTATTTCCAACTTTTATTTTAAGTTCAGGGTACATGTGCAGGATGTGCAGGTTTGTCTCACAGGTAAACCTGTGTCATGGTGGTTTGATGCACAGATCTTCCCATCACTCAGGTACTAAGCCCAGCATCCATTAGCTACTCTTTCTGATGCTCTCCCTCCTCCCAACCCCCACCCTCCAACAGGCTCCAGTGTCTGTTGTCCTTGCCCCCTAACCCCATTTATCCATGTGTTCTCGCATTCAGCTCCCAGTTATAAGTGAGAACACACGGTGTTTGGTTTTCTGTTTCTGTGTTAGCTTGCTAAAGATAATGTGCACTGCTTTTGACCCGGTGTGGTGGTTCACATCTGTAATCTCAGCACTTTGGGAGGTCGAGGTGGGTGGATCACGAGGTCAGGAGTTCGAGACCAGCCTGGCCAATATGGTGAAACCCCATCTCTACTAAAAATACAAAAATTAGCTGGGCATGGTGGCGCGTGCCTATAGTCCCAGCTACTCGGGAGGCTGAGGCAGAAGAATCCCTTGAACCTGGGAGGTAGAGGTTGCAGTGAGCCGAGATCTGGCCACTGCACCCCAGCCTGGTGACAGAGCGAGACTCTGTCTCAAAATAATGATAATAATAATAATAATAATAGGCTGGGTGCAGTGGCTCATGCCTGTAATCCCAGCACTTTGGGAGGCCGAGGCGGGCGGATCACCTGAGGTCAGGAGTTCGAGACCAGCCTGACCAACATGGAGAAACCCCGTTTCTACTAAAAATACAAAATTAGCTGGGTATGGTCGCACATGCCTGTAATCCCAGCTACTAGGGAGGCTGAGGCAGGAGAATTGCTTGAACCTGGGAGGCGGAGGTTGTGGTGAGCTGAGATCACACCATTGCACTCCAGCCTGGGCAGCAAGAGTGAAACTCTGTCTCAAATAATAATAATAATAATAATAATGTGCACTGCTTTGAATATTTAACCCTTTTCTGCCATTGAACCATTAGAGTCCACATTTCCTTTTCTATCCAATATGAGAGACTTAGATCCATTATAATTAGCAGTAATTAGTGTTATGTTGGAGATGATGGGCATAGTTAGTCTCATTCCCACCACCTCATTGTATGATTTCTGTGTTTTTGCTTTGTTTATAAAATCTCTTCCTGCCTTTTTTTTCTTTTCTTTCTTTTTTTTTTTTTTGAGACGGAGTCTCACTTTGTTGCCCAGGCTGGAGTGCAGTGGCATGATCTTGGCTCACTGCAAGCTCTGCCTCCCAGGTTCATGCCATTCTCCTGCCTCAATCTCAGGAGTAGCTGGGACTAAAGGCACCCGCCACCACGCCTGGCTATTTTTTTTGTATTTTTAGTAGAGATGGGGTTTCACCATGTTAGCCAGGATGGTCTCGATCTCCTGACCTCGTGATCCGCCCGCCTCGGCCTCCCAGAGTGCTGGGATTACAGGCATGACCCACCGCGCCCGGCCTCTTCCTGCCTTTCTTAAGTAGACTGTTCTGTTTGGGTAAATTTGTTGTTTTCCCATAGTGTTTTTGAAATTCCATATCCCTGATTTGTTAATATATTCTCTTAGATCTCAGGTGCACAGGAAGAAGGTAATCATGTACCTTAGCTCAGGGCACATTATGGTGGCTGCTCTCAGCAAGGCCCTTACTGTCTTTCCTTCTTTTCTCTGTTCATCCCACTCCCATTCCCCTGTCCACTTCCAGACACACATTCTGAGGAGTTTAGCATATGCTCTTTTATCCTACACTTTCTCTGCATATTTTAATAAAGGGATGTCTGGGGAGAACACACATTGTTCTTTGGGGGTGAGGGGTGTTAACTTTATTTTATTTTATTTTATTTTATTTTATTTATTTATTTTGAGACGGAGTCTCGCTCTGTCACCCAGGCTAGAGTGCAGTGGCCCGATCTTGGCTCACTGCCAGCTCCACTTCCCAGGTTCACGCCATTCTCCTGCCTCAGCCTCCTGAGTAGCTGGGACTACAGGTGCCCGCCACCACGCCTGGCTAATTTTTTGTTTGTATTTTTAGTAGAGACGGGGTTTCACCATGTTAGCCAGGATGGTCTCGATCTCCTGACCTCGTGATCCACCCACCTCGGCCTCCCAAAGTGCTGGGATTACAGGCATGAACCACCGCGCCTGGCCTAAAACAACTTTAAAATGTGAATGGTTTCCAAAAACCCATTTCATCCTCTTTACTCCATTCTGTGAACTACCTTCTCAACTTTTCTATTCTAATACAAAAGTTTGTGTATAGGCCGGGCACAATGGCTCACGCCTGTAATCCCAGCACTTTGGGAGGCTGAGGGGGGCAGATCACGAGGTCAGGAGATTGAGACCATCCTGGCTAATACGGTGAAACCCCTGTCTCTACTAAAAATACAAAAAATTACCTGGGTGTCCTGGCACGCACCTGTAGTCCCAGCTACTCTGGAGGCTGAAGCAGGAGAATCGCTTGAACCCAGGAGGCGGAGGGTGCAGTGAGCCAATATCGCGCCACTGCACTCCAGCCTGGGCGACAGAGTGAGACTCCATCCAAAAAAAGAAAAAGAAAAAGAAAGATAGAAAGCAAGCAAGCAAGCAAGCAAGCAAGCAAGCAAGACAAAACCAAAATATCAGAGATGATAAATTCGCTGGATGGGATTAACAGCAGATTAGACGTTGCAGAAGAAATGATCAGGGAATATGGAACCATGAATAATTGAAAATATGCAAAATGAAACTCACAGACAAAAGATTTTTTTTTAAATGAAAAGATTATCAGTGAACTGTAGGGCAGATTTAAGAGGCCTAATTTATGAGTAATGTGAGTCCCTGAAAAGGAGCGGGGAGGAAAGGAAGCATTTATTTTCTTTCTTTGTTATTTTTATTACGAGTGGGGTTTCAGTATGTTGCTCAGGCTGGTCTCCAATTCCCGGCCTCACTCAACACCTCCTGATTCCTGAAGGTGTGAGCCACTGTTCCCAGCCAATTTTTGAAGAAACAATAGCTGAAAAGTTCCCAACCATAATGAAAATTATAAATCCAGTGACCCAAGGAGCTGAGGAAACCAAAGCACAAGAAACATGAAGAAAACCACTGCTAGATACCTCATAATAACATTGCTGAAATCCAGCCAGAAGAAAAAGACATTGTACCTACACAGGAACAAAGATGAGAATTGCCATCAACTTTCTTTCTGCTCTCGCCGGCCCCCACTGGGAGCAGCAATGCAATGGGAGCAGACAGAGAAGCAACATCTTTAAGGTACTGAGGGCAGAGGAAGTTAACCTAGAATACTCTGCCAGAAAAAATAAATTCCCAAAACTGGAAGTGAAGTAAGGACATTTAGAGACTTACATAAGCTGACCGAATTCACTACCAGCTGACCCACACTACAGAAACGTCAAAGGAGTCTTCCGGGCAGAAGGAATCCAATACCAGATGAAAATCCAGATCTACATGAGGAAATGAAGAACACCAGAAATAGGTAACTATACTAGGTATTTTCTTATTTTGTAAATTTCTTTTGTAAAAGTTTGACCATTTAAACAAAAGCAATAACAATGGGTTGTGGGTTTATAACATGCGTAAAAGCAAAGTACATGTCAGCAATAACTTCAAGGCCAGAAGGCGAGGTTTAATATCACTTGAAGGTTGACTGTGTTCAGTTAAAAAGGTTTGCTATAAGCCCTAAGGGAATTACTAAAGTAACAAAAGAAAGAGTTATAGCTAATAAGCCAACAGAGGAGAGAGAATGGAATGATATAAAAACCGTGTGAACACTATGATGGAGTAATTGCTCTTCCTATAGTAATTGCACCTCTATCCTATAGAAATACACCAGTGGCTGAAAACGCCGAAAATGCCCGTACAAGAATGACTAGAACATTATATGTAATCATAAAATCACAGAACCAATTTAACTTCAAAAGCGTATGGAAAGGGCTAAATGAATGACAGTAAACAAACAAACAAACAAACAAACAAACAAAATAGAGAGAAGGCCGGGCGCGGTGGCTCAAGCCTGTAATCCCAACACTTTAGGAGGCAAAGGCGGGTGCATCACGAGGTCAGGAGATTGATACCATCCTGGCCAACATGATGAAACCCCCGTCTCTACTATAAATACAAAAATTAGCTGGGCGTGGTGGCGCGTGCCTATAATCCCAGCTACTCGGGAGGCTGAGGCAGGAGAATCGCTTGAACCAGGGAGTCGGAGGTTGCAATGAGCCGAGATGGCGCCACTGCACTCCAGCCTGGTGACAGAGAGAGACTCCGTCGAGAGAGAGAGAGAGAGAGAGAGAGAGAGAGAGAGAGAGAGATCCTAGAATCCTAGCGGACCTTGATTTACGTCCTCATGTCGTATGGGAGACACGGAGGAGAGGCGGGTAAAGTTGGTCTTGCTCTGCCATTCCATGAGAGAATGTGCTGGGTAGAAGAAAGTTGCCAGCGGTTTAAGCATTTTTAAAATGCAAGAAACGCTCAGTAGAACGAGCTTGAACCAGCCAACTCCAGACTTGGAAGCAAGCACACCACCCGACTGCGACATACGGACAGTCGACCCTCGCTCCGGCATCACCATGCAGAGCAAGCGCCCATCCAATGCTAGGCGGAGCCACCGTCTTTTGCAGAACAATTGTGCAGGTTCCAAAGCCTCGGAAAACCGGAGAGGCGCATCTTGCCGGCTACGGTTGAAACCCGTTCACTGGGTGATTCTGAAGCTAGAAGGGCAGCCGAATGGCCTTCCCCCCGTCCTGCCCCTCGTCCACTGTAAGCTCAGGGGGGAGCGGGACCCAGGGAGGTGAAGTGCACAGACTCGGCAGAGGCGGCGGGCAGAACCGCGGGGGTGAGAGGGCGCGGTGGCTGTGGGGCGGGAGCCGCTGCTGAAAGGAGGCCTGGGTTGTTGGGAGGGTGACTGTCCGTGGAATCTTTGGCGGAGGGTGGTTTGGAAGAATGGCGAGGGGAGAGCAGAGGAGAAGGTGGTGACCCTGATCGTCGGCCAGGGGAGAGTAGGCTGTGCTGTCCCTCCTCTCCCCTTATGTGGCGGGGGACATACAGTGGTCAGGAAGGGGGTTCTCCCTGGAGGAGGCTAGTCCACCACACTTCGGCTCCGCTGACCCCTGCGATTTCTCCACATGCGGGGCCCTCGTCCGCGGTGGTGTTTGCGCTATCCGGCGGCTGGGTTCGCGCACTCACTCTCCTGACATGCCTTGGCTCACCGCCGATGTGGATATCGCCGCCAGGGACCCTTCCCGCCCTCCTACGAATCTTGAGTGCGCTTCCTTGGTGTTCTCACCGAAGCTTACGAACAGACAGATGTGAGCTCTCTGTCTTTTACACGCTGAATTTGGCTATAGCAAAAAAGCCTTGACCAAGAGCTTGGGTCTCCTTCGGACCTGCACACGACTCCCCAACTCCCGCCTGCAACGGCGGCTCTTGGATCCCGGGCAGGCAGCGTCCACCCAGCGTGGAACCGTGGCAGCCGCAGCCCCCGCAGGTTGGAGGGCAGACACTAGCAGGAGAAAGGCCACAAGGCCTGCGTGGTGGGAAAGCATGGGAGACGTCGCTTTCCTACCGGGCGAGAAGGTCTCCCTACAGTCTTTGGAGACAAGATGGAGGGAGGCACCCCTTCCAGGAACAAGGCGGCTGCTCCTGAGGCCTGGCTCCGCACGGAGGCTCCTGGGTCCCGCGCGCCCTCTCCCTACCCGCTGTAGCCAGAGCTGCTTCACATATCTCAACCGGCCTCCTCCTCCTCCCCAGCCGTCCTTGGGACAGCAAGGCCCCCAGCCCGTGGGAAAGACCTAGCCTCCTCTCCAGCACTTGGAGAGGGAGTTGGATGCACGTCTCTTAACCCCAGGAGGACAGAGACCCTGAGGCAGGAGGGGACCCCTTCCCTTGCTGCTTCTCTTGGCACAGCCGGTCCAGGGGGCTGGCTCAGGGCCCAGGACTCCTCGCTCCTCCTGGAGGGCCTGGGTCGCGTGGCCCAGGAGCTGGCCACATGGGCATCTCCCGCACTGCTCCTCAGGGAACGGGAGGCATTATCCTGCAGGGCCCACTCTTACCCATGAAAGACACTCGGGAAATGCTCCTGCGGAAGCTGGAGCTCTGCGCGTTTGACCACTTAGTCTGTCCGCCCATCCTTCCTTCGGAGGGTCTTGGGGAGAGAAGAAATGCTCCTTCGGAGGGTCTTGGGGAGAGAAGAAATGCTCGAGGACGATGCGCTTTGCAGCGTCTCTACCAACATCAGAAGAAAGCAGGGCGCGTCTTCCTGGAAGAAGGCGGCCGGAGGCCTGCGGTCGCAGGGAGGCTTGCGGGGCAGGAACGCCCTATCTCCGCCGTGCTATCCAGCGGCTTGCAGCATCCCACCTGGCGGACTCCTCTTCCTCTCTCTTCTACTGTGGCTCTTCTATCCTGGTGTCCCTTGAATGCCTATCTTCCTTTTGTGCCTCCAAACCTCTCACGCCCGCCCCAAGTTACTCATTTCCTTAGTTGTTCTGAACTTTAAATAAGGTAATGCATGTAAGATTGCATAAATGCTCAATAATTGTCATCTGTTATTATTTTCATCAGTAACATCATCTGAATCATCAGTATTGTCTATTTTTAACAGCTGCATTTTTCATTGTCCGAATATAGTCACATACATTTGAACATTTTATAATTATTGAATAATAAATTCGTTCTGCTATTTTACAATAAAAAATAATGCTGCAGAGTGTATTCTTACACATATATCTTGGCAGATGTAGGCCAGAGGCTCTTCTTTGGCCATTCTGTGGCCAACCTATCAATGTATACACTTTTAATGAGATTTTGCCAGCAATCAAAGCCTTCAGTGAAAATGTCCCTAGCTCTTTACTACATCGGATCAAGGACTCTGGACAGTAGGCACAACATCCTGGAATATTGTGGAATATCTCCTGAAACGGAGATATTATTCTTTCCTCTCCTCTTTTGTCTTTGTCTTTTCACAACATCTTAATGACAGTGCTGGCGACAAGAGTGTAACTATATGTCAGTGTTCTGCTGTCCTTGCCTGTGTGGGTCTTCTCCCAAACCCGACTTTCCTCCAGCAGCTTCACTGAAAAAGAGGAGGGGGCTGCGGGGGTGGGGGAGTGGGGCGGGGAGGGGAGGAGGAAATAAACTGAATAGGGAGGAAGCAGCTCACAGGCCAGGAGAGGGTAAGGAAGGGAGTCAAAGACAGAATTTTCTTCAGCAAACAGTAAAAGGGGAAATCCGGGGACGCTAAGAGTTTTTAAACCTTTGCTCCATCACATAAGTAATCCATGATTTTCCGTTACACAAATCAGCACTCCTACTCCTCCCTCCCTCCCCACCCCCAATCCTGATTCCTGTTTACAAAGAATGCTCAAAAACAAGGAATTATGTATAACAGTTCCCAGTTTACTCAGGAAATTCTCAGATTACAAAGAGACTTTACGAATAACAAGTGAAGAGAAGAACCTTAGTGGTTCCAACATAGTATGGCCATCGTTTTATACTCAAAATATAGAAAGACAACCTCAGAATAGAATTGAATAAATCAAGTTTATCATTAAAACGCAAAGAAAAAAAAACTCTCCAAACGTTGCTGATCTTCTGTTTTAAACTACTGTTAGACTGGTGAGCTGGAGAGCCGGGGGAATCCACCAAAGATTTTTGGATGAAAATTAATCATCCCTTGTCCACCGTAGTCGCACCCCAATGCCCCTCAGATCCAGTCCTTCGAAGGAGTGTCCAAGAGGTATAAAGCAAAACCGGAAAAACAGTTCCCAAATTCTGGAGTTTGTTTTCTCTCATTAAAAATATAAATATCAGGCTAACACCTATTGACACACAATAACAGGGACACAGAATCCCTCCCGGAAGACCCATGGGCCCACGGACCCCGCGGATGCCACAGTGGTTGACGAGGTTAAGTAACTGGGTTCAGGGTGTCTGGGCATACCTGTGCGTGAGACTCTGTCTCCGCTGCTCCCCTCATCTCCACTGCTCCCCTCGTCTCCCCACGATCCTCCCTTTTCCTTGGGCCGCTGATGGCTCTCCGACTCACGAAGAGTCTCCCTGGCCCCTGCAGCTCTCTCCTTCCCAGACCTTTACTTCTTGATCCTCACTCCATAGTGAGATGTGGCCTAAGGTAGGGGAAAGTCCAGCACGAGAATCCGTCTGATGGCCTTTGGATTACTCAGGGGTGTGCCCGGAGACTAGATGAAAGTAGCAAAGGCTTTATTTAGTTCCCAGTACTCCAAACTGCAGCAAACCACCGGAAACACCCCCACTTTCAAAGACAGGCTTTGAGCAGAGGAAATGTAATTTCAAGATTAGATCCAGCACAGAGAATATTCCAGAGGTGGCAGGTTTAGCTTCCAGCCACCACGACTCAAGGCCCCTAAATGCTGTACAGCCTGTGTAGTACAATAACTTTGTTGGCTAGAAATGTAATAGCCCTTCAAGCATGAACTTGGAGCATGAAGGGTAAGAAGGCCTGCTTTGGCCGGGAGTTGAACCCAGGTCTCCCGCGTAGGTGGGGAGAATGCCACCGCTGAACTACCAATGCTCCACTGAGTGCGGTTTCACTAGATCTAATTTTGAAGAGTCTCTGGAAGGACTTTGAAGCAGTGTTTCTAAAATAGATTTGTATAGGACTCTTGAGTAGACACACCGAGCAAACAGAAAGGACACCCAGAGCAAAGCCTTGCATAGGAGACGTATGTCAGGCAACATTATCAAGTTATTTATAATGGCATTTAAATCAACATACCAGATTTGAAAGAGCCTAATTGTGAAACAGGCTCTATACAACTAGATAACAGACCTCTATGGAAATACACAGGAAATTCATCCAGGCCTTTGTCTCTGGTCCCAGATCTGGCAAAAACCTCTGGAAATTTCATTTCCTCACTGATGATGTAATCTTTTTGCCAACCCATGCCTTGGTGTTTCCCAAACTCTTTCCTCTCAACCTTGAGACAATCACAAATTCTTTCCCTAAACAGGCTTTCAAAGACCCAGGAGCTGGAGATTTAGGGATGTGTCCAGGTTACCCTGGAAGATCTGTGGGATGATGGAGCTTCTCTTCCTCTACACCTCTTTTGAGTCATGTGAAAAAGCCAAGTATCTTGCTTCTAAATTCATATGTTTTTGAGAAACCTACAAAGGTGAGAGTGAGTGAAAGTTCACTCCAATATTTCTTTTCTTAACTACACTCTCTTTGGCCACTCCAGGAGGCATGTTGAGTGGCACGGTCATTCCAGGGACCCAGAGCTTTTCTCCTCAGATGCGTCTTTTGAGTCTCTAGAAAAGTCAAGGATCAAAATGACTGTCTTCCAAACTTTTGTGTCTTACAGAGATCTGCACAAGAGAGAAAGTGAAAATTTCACTCCAAGATTTCTTCCCTTGGCAAACAACAGAAGGTTTAGGACAAGCCTTTTCTCTAAGTGCCTGTTGCTTTGTTAGCTCTGTTTTCCAAAGACATCTGTGTAAGCCTATTATAGAACATTCCCACCCCCATCCCCCCTGCCCCTTCATGCCTGCTTATAACACTAGAGTTTTTTTTTTTTTTTTAAACCCATGAGAGGTTATACTACATGGAACACTGATGGTTCAGTAATGGAATTGTCAACTCCCATGCTGGAGACTGGGGTTTAACTCATAGGGTGAATGCATCTCATGTCCGAATCTCCTCTAGCCCCCTTCCCCTTTCTTTCCTCCCTCCCGAGCTTACATACCTTTCTTAGCGGCCTGTGTTCTTATCCTCTCTAGAAAGGACCAGTCTTGTAAGAACCCTCTGGGCTGGGGTTGAACCACACTCTATATTCCAGCAGTGCCAGAAGCTCAGCTAATCTGCACCTGGATCTTGGGAGGGCAGGGATGGAGGTGGCTGAGGAACTACCTGCTTCTACTTGGGTGTCAAGGGTCAACTAGCAGCATCTCCAGGGCCAGATATTGAGCCAGATGGTCAGCATTTCCCTCTGGCAGTTGGCAGAGGGTTATTAAAGTTACCTTTTTCTTCTTCCCTCCTAGGTTGTGGATCTGGTCAGAAAGAGTGGGAATTCAGTGACTTTACTAGTTCTGGATGGGGATTCCTATGAGAAAGCAGTGAAAACACGGGTGGACTTGAAAGAGTTGGGTCAAAGTCAGAAGGAGCAAGGTTTGAGTGATAATATACTTTCCCCTGTGATGAATGGAGGTGTGCAAACTTGGACCCAGCCCCGGCTCTGCTATCTCGTGAAGGAGGGAGGCAGCCATGGCTTCTCTCTGAAAACTGTCCAAGGTGAGAATTTTTTGGGGAGCAGGGGGAGGCAGGGGCAGGGCACAGACAACAGGCTTCCAGAACAAAGATGCTACTGGTTAATGACTTTTCTTCGACTGACTTTTCAGTTGCTATAGATAGCTTGCAACAGCTTGCCTCCCTCCGTCTCTCACTCCCTCCCTGCCCTTTCCCTTGCCTTGCACAGTTGTGCAATGGGGGAGGGACACTGGACAGCAGTGGGGGTGGGGGGCACTGGGTACTCCTGTCCCTGAGTGTTTGTCAGGCTGACACTTGAGGACTCTTTGAGGTCAGGGGGCCAGAGGGTTGATGCTTCTAGCCCTCTTAGGGTGAAAATGAAGGGCAGAATAAGGAATAAAAGGCAAGAAAAATGAGATTCTTCATAATAGCTATTTTTGAGTAAGATTGGTATCTTTTTTTTTTATCTGAGTGCCCAGATAGTCATTCACTTATTCAACAAATTCTTGAGCACCTGCTGATGTGCCAGGCACTGTTACCTTTGCTGAGAATACCGCAAAAATTTCCACCCTCCTGTAACATTTTGATAGTATCCTCAGCTGCAGCTCAGCCCCACCTGTTCTGAGGTGCATCTTTGAGCTCTGGCTAAGAGGTACATAGTGATTTGAGAAACCCTGACCATCAGGAAGTACCAGAAGTTCTATTTCTAGAATTTCAGAGGTGCAGACTAACCTGTGTTCAGTTGACCGTGGCTCTGGGGTATTGGTTGGAACCAGAGGAGCTGTGTTAGCTGGTCGATTCCTTCTTGAACACTGCCTCTGCCTATGTTCTTTCTGGGGCTGGAGAAGCACTGGTGGTAGGTCATGATTTGGCAAGTGATACAGCAGCAGACCAGTGGTAAATTTAAAATAGTTTCTAAGGCTTATTTAACCTGTACCAAGAGATGTAAACTCACGATAAGGGGTATTTCTCAGGTCTGTCAGTTATTAAACACAGTGGTGTGTATAGTCAAAGGAAGCTTGGCACGTCTTAGAAGCCTATTATCAGTAAAGTGGTAAAAAAAAGAAAATCATAATTCAGATTCTACTCATCTGGCTCGTGTGCTAATGCACATGGTGAATGGTTTAGGTTAGCTTTATGAGGAAAATGGTCTCTTCATGACAAATATATAACAAGGTAGCAGGAGAAATGCTGAGTGTTTAAGGAAGCAGAGTTTAAGTTACTGTCATTCCTTACAAGTGATTTATGTAGTCATTAGCAAGCGATCCCTTGCCTAGGTTGACATACAAGAGTCCCCCCTTATCCTGTTTGGCTTTCCATAGTTTCAGTTACCTTACCTGCAGGCAACTGTGGTCTGAAAATATTAAATGGAAAATTCCATACATAATTTTTGCATTGTGAACCATTATGAGTAGTGTAATGAAATCTTGTGCTGTCCTGCCCCGTCTTGGACGTGAATCCTCTGTTTGTCTAGCATCTCCACGTGGCATGTGCTTACCTGCCTGTTAGTCTTACTACTTACTACTCAGTTACCAGGTCAACTGTCACGGTATTAAAGTACTGTGTTCAAATAATCCTTATTTTGCTTAATAATGGCCCAGCACAGAAAGAAAAATATCACATATTCTCATATGTGGGAGCTAAAAAAGGTGAATCTCATGGAGGTAGAGAGTAGAATGAGAGATACCAGCAGCTGGGAAGGGTATGTGTGTGGGGTAGGGTGGGGATGAAGAGAGCTAGGTTAATGGGTACAAACCCACAGAGAGAAGGAATAAGTTCTAATGTTTGATAGCACAGTGGGGTGACTGTAGTTAACAACAATGTATTGTACATTTCAAAATAGCTGTAAGAAGATTTGAAATATTCTCAACACAAAGAAATGATAAATGTTCAAGGATGGATGTCCTAAATATTACACCCTGATTTGTTCATCATATGCTCTTGGTATCAAAATATGACACACACCCTATAAATATGTACAAATGTTATGTATCAATAAAAAATAATAGCTCAGGCCGGGCGCAGTGGCTCACGCCTGTAATCCCAGCACTTTGGGAGGCCGAGGCAGGCGGATCTTAAGGTCAGGAGATCGAGACCATCCTGGCTAACACGGTGAAACCCTGTCTCTACTAAAAATACAAAAAATTAGCCGGGTGTGGTGGTGGGCGCCTGTAGTTCCAGCTACTCAGGAGGCTGAGGCAGGAGAATGGTGTGAACCCGGGAGGCGGAGGTTGCAGTGAGCTCAGATTGCGCCACTGCACTCCAGGCTGGGCGATAAAGCAAGACTCCGTCTCAAAAAAAAAAAAAAAAGCCAAAAATGCAACGATAGTGATGCTGGCAGTTCAGATATGACAAAGAGAAGCTGTAAAGTGGCTGGGCACAGTGGCTCATATCTGTAATCCTAGCGCTTTGAGAGTGCGAGGCGAGTGGATTACCTGAGGTCAGGAGTTCGAGACAAGCCTGGCCAACATGGCGAAACCCCATCTCTACTAAAAATACAAAAATTAGCCAGGCGCGGTGGCAGGCGCCTGTAGTCCCAGCTACTCGAGAGGCTGAGGCAGAAGAATCGCTTGAACCGGGGAGGCAGAGGTTGCTGTGAGCCAAGATTGCGGCCCTGCGTTCCAGCCTAGGTGACAGAGCAAGACTCCATCTGTTAAAAAAAAAAAAAAGGCTGTAAAGTGCTTCTATTAAGTGAAAAGTTCTCGATTTAATAAGGAAAGAAAAAATACTGTATGCTGAGGTTGCTAAGATTAGCTCAGTTATTGTTAATCTCTTACTGTGCCTAATTTATAAGTTAAACTCTATCGTAGGTATGTAAGCACAGGAAAAAACATATAGGGTTCGGTATACTATCTTAAAGTTTCAGGCCTCCACTGGGGGTCTTGGAATGTATCCCCCATGGTTAAGGGGGAACTGCTCTATTAATATCTTTGAAGAATTGACAGCATTTCTGTAAGTAGCACCTAAATCTCACCACCTAAATGCATTCGGGTTCTTCCCTCCCTCCTGTGCCTGTCCTTGTTAGCCTACATTGGTGAGATGACTCCGCAGCATACGATGGCTAATATAATAGTACAAACTGAAGAGGAGAGAATGGTAAAGATGCTTTCTGATTCTACAAATGCAAAGAAAGGGCGTATGACACAATAATGCAGTGTGGGCATGTTTTAGCGCTTTCTGGTGCAAGGGGCCAAGGCCACCCAAGATTCCATCTTTGCATTTAGCTGACCTCAGAAATTCTATTCAAATCAACAAATACCCACTGAGTAAAGGCTGTGTCAAGTTCAGTGTCAGGAGCTATAACTGTGATTTTAGATCAGAAGCCAAAGGCCGAGTTAGCTCTAAAATCGGAAGTTTGTTTCACATTATTGGGAGAAAAGTCTTTACCATTGGATTTCGAGTTTTTCTTTGCAATGGAGTGTTCTGTGAAAGGGTGGTGTAAGCAAAGCAGTCCCTCAAAGGCCAAAGGAGCTGAGAAACCAAAGGACAAGGCAGGCAAATCCAGTTTGTTGGTACATTGGAATTTATCAGGGGAACTTACGAACAGAAGCATGGTCTTGGACAGCCACAAAACATGTAGATCTCTGTGTTACTCCCCAGACCCAAGGCTGATATACCATAGGGAAAGGGTATATGTGCTCCAGCAAGACAATCGAAGGCAGCCCTCTGCAATAGCCAAGAATGCTATAGTGCATCATAGCCTATAATTTGTGTGATAACATTAAGGTTGACATGTTCTTAGACTAGGGACAGTAAATGAAGTAGGAATCGGGAGGCAATCACAGGACTGGGGCTAATCAGAAGTCAACATCACAGATTACCATCCAAGAGGGAGTCACTTGTGTCTCCACATGGAGTTTACCCCTACTCTCTTCCAGGTAAAAAGGGGGTATACATGACTGATATTACACCTCAAGGTGTGGCTATGAGAGCTGGAGTTCTGGCTGATGATCACTTGATTGAAGTGAATGGAGAGAATGTAGAGGATGCCAGCCATGAGGAAGTGGTTGAAAAGGTATGCCCCAAAGGGTACTTTTCTTACCCTATCTTCCACTCTATTCTCATTGGAGGTGACAGGAAGACAGGGGTGGTAGGGGACAGCATGAGTTTATGATGGAAAAAATATCCAGTTGAGTTGCCCCTTCATATTAAGGGTGAACAGACTCACACTAGTGGTATAAGCAGTGTTAATATAGGGTTTTGGAATAAAGCCTTCCCTAGTTTCACATGAGGTCTACAAAATTATTAACTTTACCTTTTGGATCTTGTTTGTATCTGATTGGGAGCCCCCTCTGAACTGTTTGATTGAGACAGGGTCTCACTCTGTTACCCAGGCTGGAGTGTAGTGGCACAATCTCGGCTCATTGCAGTCTCGGCCTCCTGGGCTCAGATGATTCTTCTACCTCAGCTTCCTGAGTAGCTGGGACTACAGGTGTGCACCACCGCACCTGGCTAATTTTTATGTGTGTGTGTGTGTGTGTGTGTGTGTGTGTGTGTGTGTTTTGTAGAGATAGGGTCTCACTATGTTGGCCAGGCTGGTCTTGAACTCCTGAGCTCAAGTGATCTGCCCGCCTTGGCCTCCCAAAGTGCTGGGATTATGGGCGTGTGCCACTGCGCCCTCTGAATTTACAATAAGTTCACTGTTGAGCCGTTAATACTGAAATGCTTTAATAGGAAGTGGGAGATAACCGAGATTTTCCTTTGAGGTCATATGGAACCTTAAAAATTGACCAACCTTCTCTTTGTAGAATGATTTTTTGACGTGGACCCTTACTTTCTTTTCTTTTCCAAACTCCCTTTCTAGCTTTTATCTAGGTACCTTTATGGGTTTTCTGAATTCCAGCTCCTACTTGGGCTCAGTTAGCACCTATGTGGGTAGGTCATACTTAAATAAGGGAAAACAACTATAGAAGTGGAGATAGGGGCCGGGCGCGGTGGCTCACGCCTGTAATCCCAGCACTTTGGGAGGCCGAGGCGGGTGGATCACGAGGTCAGGAGATCGAGACCATCCTGGCTAACACGGTGAAACACCGTCTCTACTAAAAATACAAAAAAAAAAAAAAATTAGCCAGGTGCGGTGGCGGGCGCCTGTAGTCCCAGGTACTCGGGAGGCTGAGGCAGGAGAATGGCGTGAACCCGGGAGGCAGAGCTTGCAGTGAGCTGAGATAGTGCCACTGCACTCCAGCCTGGGCGAAAGAGTGACACTCCATCTCAAAAAAAAAAAAAAGGCGATAAATACATATCAGTTAGCTGGTAGGGCATAGTGTAACAGCTTAAACTCAGGCCTTTCATCCCCTATCTTTTGTTGAACCTAGAGACTGTGTGCCTTTATACAGAAACTTTCTTATTCCCCAGCATTGTTCTTGGGGGTTGATGTCATTCCTCATCTGTGTGTGTTGTTACAGGTGAAGAAGTCAGGAAGCCGTGTCATGTTCCTGCTGGTGGACAAAGAAACTGACAAGCGTCATGTTGAGCAGAAGATACAATTCAAAAGAGAAACAGCCAGTTTGAAACTGTTACCCCACCAGCCCCGAATTGTGGAGATGAAGAAAGGAAGCAATGGCTATGGTTTCTATCTGAGGGCAGGCTCAGAACAGAAAGGTAAGGTACAAGAGCAGGAAACTTGGCAGTAACCAGCAAATTCCTCATCCCATTCTGACTCCAGAGTTCCATTAGGTTCCCAACTCCCAGCCAGATGCATGAGCGGCATAGCATAGAAGGCACAGCTGGGTCAGCGTCTATGTCACATGAGGGTCTGATGTTGGGCATCAAAAGTTTCCACAGCATTATGATAAGGCAGAATTTGGGATCTGGGCAACGGTATCCTGGTAAGTTAGCTCTCTGGGGCGGGGGTAGGGGGAAATCCAAATTGGTAGCGTTTGTTTTTGGTACCAAATTGGTAGTATTTTGTGATGTAAATACTCCTCCCATGTCCAATTTCAACTTACTAACACGATGTCACTGAACACAATGAAGTGTTGCACAGAATTGGCTTTTGTGAGCCGGTGTGAGCCAGTATAGCACACCGCTGGACCTGAGGCCGAGGTGTGGGTGAGGATTTGGGACTCAGAACCAGGAGTCCTCCTTCCTTGCAACTCAATAGGAAGAACACTAGGTTCTTTCAGGGAAGGTAAATACATAAAAGAACATGAGTTCAGGCCGTATAAACTGCTATTCGCCCATAAGTTGTTATTTTCTTTTCACTCTCTGTTTACATTAATTTATCAAATATTAATTTGGTTTGTGTTTTGTAAAAACATCCTCAGTGCCTTGGAGAAAGAATATCATATGAAGCAGACAGGAATTCTTTAGTCAAGGAGTCTACCATTTAGTAGATAAGAGACATATGTCCATAATGAAGGGAGATAGAGGTTAAGTACCTTCATACAGGGGCAGATCAAGCACTGTGATAATTCAACGTTAGAGTAAGCTTTTCTCACTAAAAAGGTACCAGAAGCCCTCATAGTAGGGGTGGCACTTGAGTTCAGGCTTTGTAACATGAATAGATTTGGGAAAGTAGACAGAGCTGGGATAAGGAAGATCATTCCAGGAAGGTGGGAGTCATGTGAACACAGTCAGGAGACACTGGCACAGTTTAATTGGCACATGATGTGTAGTACAAGAATTCGTTGGAAAGGTAGGTTGGAGAGAAGTGACAAGGGTACTTCTATGCAAGACTGATGAGTTTGAACTTGGCTTATCAGACAATGGGGAGTTGTTTTTTGAGCAGTATAAGGGAGAAGAACAAAAACCAGCCTATAATGTCTTGGGGGCTTTGCACATCTCAATTACTCCTAACAATTACGCAAGAAGAACTGCTGAAATTGAGGGCTTGGAGAAGATACAGTAATTATGTAAGGTCAAATAGTTGTTTAGTTCCAAAGCCCATGCTCATTCTGTTGCACCAGGAAGTGACTTGGTTAGGAATGTGCATCAAGATGGATCTGAAGGCAGATCTGTATCAGACAGAAGGACTGGGGAAGGGAAAGCAGTAGGTAAGGTGCTGTAATAGTTTAGGTAGAATTCTAGGCAGGAACTAATACAAACTGCATTCAGGGTAGAAGAAGTGGGATGTGTAAGGTATTATGGTAGCATCAGAGGACTTAGCAATCGTCTAGATATGGGGACTGGATGCTGGGGAAAAATCAGTTGCCAAGTGTTGGTGACTGGGATGATGTTGCTCCACTAACAGGTAACCAAGAGGAGGGGCTTTGGGATGGAGAATGGGCAGAGCTGATTTTTGGTTTGAATACATTACAGTTGAGAGATCTATGAGATATTTTGTTGGAGATACCCAGCAGCTAGCTGGAAAAGTGAAACAGGAACTTGTTAAAAAAAAAAAAAAAAAAGCAGCATCTGGTGAAGATACCAGAAGGCCAAAGGCACCTGGAGGCATGTATATACAAATATATTCAAAACCGAACACACCCAATTGCTACTAAAATGCCAGCATGGGTTTCTTAAGGTCCAAAGTTTTGGGTTTTGTTCTTTATTCTTCCCCATCTTTTATGACAGCTTTTACATAAGACGCGTGGCTACAAGTATGCCCACTGACTTTCTGGGAACTTGCAGCCTTTTAATATGCTATTTTGCCAAAATCAAATGTCAGATGCTTTTAGTAACAGGATTATTTTCGTTAAGACCCCTTCATTGTTAATTGCTGGGTTAGTTTCTGGGGTGAGTTCTGAGCAGGAAACGAGCCTAGATAGTGTGCTTATAAGCTTCCTGGGATGCTGGTGGAAGGGGTGGTAGTTGTACTCAGCATGCCTTTTTTATCTATTTCATCAGGGCTTTGGGCTCCAGCAGAAAATCTGTTTTATTTTTTTAGGGGACTTACTGATAATTTTATTTTTTGGGGTTGGGGGAGGGTAGGTCAAATCATCAAGGACATAGATTCTGGAAGTCCAGCAGAGGAGGCTGGCTTGAAGAACAATGATCTGGTAGTTGCTGTCAACGGCGAGTCTGTGGAAACCCTGGATCATGACAGTGTGGTAGAAATGATTAGAAAGGGTGGAGATCAGACTTCACTGTTGGTGGTAGACAAAGAGACGGACAACATGTACAGACTGGTAAGTAATACAAGGCCATATATTCATGCATTAAGGCTGGGCCCATTCACTCATGACCTCAACTTTTGCACTGAGTTAGGACTTTGTTCCTCAAACTGGAAGAGGCATAACAATCATCATTAAGGCTAAACTGAAGCTCAACTCAAATTGGTAGTGATAAGAGAATGCCAAATGATTGATAAATGAGTTTTAAGTCCTTGGTCTTAAGATTTTGAAAGAATTTGTGAATATAACTGCAGGCTTACTCTTGGTGATCTGAGAAAATCTATGGAGAATATAAGCCTGGAAATAAAATTGTTCCCAAAATAGGAAACAATTAGATTTTAAGCTTTAGGTCAGTTAAGTGCTATCAACTGCACATAAAAGCCTAGAAAGGATTATTAAACAACTTGTAAGCCCTTAGCAAATAAAAAAGAAACACAGATAGACCAAGACCAACCTGAATCAAACTAACTTTATTTTCTCTTAACAGCTCTTTATCATAACACCCACTACTGCATGTTTTAAGGTTTTTTTGTTGTTGTTTTTTTTTTTTTTTTTTTTACTTTTAACACAAGAACTGAGGTTGTCTAGTTTAACAGATACCTGGGGGGCCTTCTAAGTACCATCTGTCTTGCTAAGTGTTGATTGTAAAGATGAACAAGATAAATGTCCTCTGTGATATACAATGATAGTAGAATCTAAAATAAGCGGTACAGAGGGGGGAATATGATGGGTGGTGATATCTTAGGCCCTCCTCATAGATTAGGAAACCGAAGCTTAGAGAGACTAAGCACTTTGCTAAAGTCACGCAGCTTAGTAAAGACTGAAGGTGGTATCTGAACCCAAATTCTTGGACCTGTAATTCATTATACCATACTCCCCAGCACATTTTTTCAAGATAATCTTGTAAGCAGGATTAAACAATTAATTAGATTAATGGCTTTTTTTTTAGCTACTTGAACAATCATACCTAGAAAATACTTGATATCAACCTGAATATCAACTTGAATAGAAGTCTCTAATGGCATGCTACTTGTTCCTAACCGTTTATGTGCTTAAAGTTGAAAGGAGATATGGAAAATATATTAACATACTTAAAGTGGCACTAGATAATTCATTTGCTGGATGGTGTAATTAATACTCAAAATATTTAGTTAGGATAGAAAGAATGAAAACTAAAGAAATAAGAATAAATTTCAGATGTACTATACTAACCTAAAAGTAAATTGTATGAATACCACATGGTGAGACCTGATTTGAGGACTACAGAAAAAGACCAGAAACTTGATAGTCCAAGTGGTTGTCCCATCCAAATATGGTAATTTAAAAATTAACTGACACTTGGCTTCTAGAGATGACCATCTTACTGTACTTACTTGGTCAGACCATACTTGGAATTCCTGGTAATATAGTTACCACCTCTCTCTGTGCTTCAGTTTCCTTAGTTGTAAGAGAGGGGTAGTAGCTACAGTGAAGGGTGGCTATGAGGGTTGAATTGGAATATTCAGAGCATGTAGAATAATGCCTCACACATCTAAATGTTCTATTTGTTCAATCAATATTGTGTCCGGTTTCAAGAACTTCACTTTAAGAAGGCAATGACAAGGGTAACCAGGGAAGAGGTTTTGGAAGCCACCATGTGAGTATTTAGCTTGAGTAAGGCTTTGGAGAAGAGGGCATCTTCAAGAATTTGAAAGGCTATTACATGTAAGAAGGAGCACACTTTTTTTTTTTTTTTTGAGACGTTGTCTTGCTCTGTCACCAGGCTGGAGTGCAGTGGTGCCATCTCAGCTCACTGCAATCTCCACCTCCCGGGTTCAAGCGATTCCCCTGCCTCAGCCTCCTGAGTAGCTGGAATTACAGGTGCGCACCACCATGCCCAGCTAATTTTTTGTATTTTAGTAGTTTTACCATGTTGGCCAGGATGGTCTCGATCTCCTGACCTTGTGATCCGCCCGCCTCGGCCTCCCAAAGTGCTGGGATTACAGGTATAAGCCAACACGCCCGGGCCACACATTTTTTTTTAAGGTGTCCTATGGGGCACAACAGGACCAGAGAAGCCATAGGGAGATAGCTTTTGGCTTAAGAACCAACTGAAGCTGCCAGAAATGATGAGTCATTTTGCAGTTGGTGGAAAGTCAAGCAGAAATCAGAGGCGGCTGCTGCAGCTGTTTGTTGTAAAGGGGATTCTGACCCCTCCTGATCTTATCATAGAATGATTTAATTGTAATTTTTCTGTTTTGGTTAATAGAGAACTTTGATCGAAAAAGAAGCCTGCCCTCATCACCTCCTTCCCCGCTCTCCAAAGTAAGACCTGTAGGTTGGGGTGGAGGGTAGATCTTTGAGATACATCAGTGAGTAAAACACAACCCTCTAGCAGTCCCTGGCACATACTAGACACCCAATTATCTGAATGAAGCATGAATAAAATCTCATTTTTTTTTTTTTTTTTTTTTGAGACAGAGTCTCCCGCTGTTGTCCAAGCTGGAGTGCAATGGTATGTTCTCAGCTCACTGGAACCTCTGCCTCCCAGGTTCAAGTGAGTCTCCTGCCTCAGTCTCTCGAGTAGCTGGGACTACAGGTGTGTGCTACCACACCTGGCTAATTTTTATATTTTTAGTAGAGAATGAGGTTTCACCATTTTGGCCAGGCTGGTCTCGAACTCCTGACCTCAAGTGATCCGCCCACCTTGTACTCCCAAAGTGCTGGGATTTCAGGCATGAGCCACCAAGCCCGGCCAAAATCTCAAGTGTTTTAAATGTTATTGCACTTTGCCTCGAGATGAGCTGCGACTGTCAGATACAGTTGGTTTGCTTGTTTGGGTAGTGTTATCAGACGTATTTTTGCATGTAATGAGTCACCTGATAATTTTCCATATTTTAAAGAGAAAGGCTCCATTGTGGAACTGTTGCAAGTATATGACTGAAAGGTCTGAAGTTAGTTGAACTGGGTAACTAGGAGGTTCTGTGCTGGTGGTATTCTCACTTAGAAAGGAAGGAGATGTGGTCTTGTGGTTAGTAAGACACATGATAACCAGAGGACTAAAAATCTAATTTTAGTCAGGCTGCTAAACAGTGCGATTTGAAGTAGAGCCCACACTGTGCTCACCTTCCATTGCTTGATTTCCTACTCATCACCTAACAAATGTTCCGGACACGTGTGGGCAGCCATTTAGCTGCTGATCCAGGATCACACCATACCCAGGTCCACCCTTCTAATTGTCTCAACTAAAACAGCCAGTTAGGCTTGTAATTCTATTACAAAAAAATCAATCCTGTTTCCTGTTCTATGCCTCTTCGGTATTCAAGATCATCATTTCTTCACATGGATGGGCTGGGAGTTGATATGAATTAGGAGTATTTAAAGATGTTGGAGAGTTTGGCATAATAGAAGTGACAGCTAATGCTTACAACAATACATAGCAAAATAAATAAGCGCAGATCCCAGGTCTGGAAGGGGAGGGTATTGGCAAGCAGCAAAGGGTTGGAATTAACTTTTGTTACAATATGTGACCATATAACAGCTGTCACCCTCTCACCAATTATTACTGTGTATATGGGTTGGTCTCTTCTAGTAGCTTTGAATCTTTGGATAGTGATAAAAATAGTGTTATATTAACATTCTCCAGAGAGACAGATCTAGTAGGATATAGATACAGGTATGAGAGGAGATTAATTAGGGGAATTGGCTTGTGTGATTATGGAGGCTGAGAAGCCCCACGACAGGCTGTCTTCAAGCTTGAGACCCTGGGATGCCAGTAGTGTGGCTCCGTCCAAATCTGACTGAGCCACATTACTGGCATCACCCCTGATTGGCAGTCCTACTTGTTTGCTTCTGTGCATTTGGCCTGAGAATCTGGGGGGCTGCGGCTGTAGATCTTAGAGTCCAAAGGCCGGAGAACCAGGAATTCTGATGTCCAAGCACAGGAGAGGAAGAGTGTATCCCAGCTCTAGCAGACAGACTGACACCTTTGCCTTTTCTGTAGTTCACTCAGACTCGCATGCTAATCCCCTCTGGAACCACCTTCACAGACACACACCAAAATAATGCTTTACCGGGCTTCTAGGTATTCCTTAATCCAGTCAAGTTGGCATCTAAAATTAACTATCACAAGTGTCTTGTGTTTTACTTTTTCTAATGTGTTTAAGGAGCTCTGAAGACCATCTTACCGAAAGGAAAAGCCAGAAGAATGTACTCTGCATGAGGTACCGGCTAGTCAGTCAGATATGTCATTTCCCAACAGGGAGATTATGTATAGCTTGTTCAGTGACTTGCTCACTATCATGAACTCAAAAGAAACTAGCAATTTTTTAGACTTCTTTTGGGATCCTTGTACCGCATCCTATACTGCTTTTATGTTCATGTGTGCATTTGTGTACATGTATACACATATTACTCCATAACGAAGCACAGTCTTCTTTTATACCTTTCCTGGTTGGGGTAGTAGAGGAATTTTACAGCCTACAATCAGACACATCCAGAAGAAGAGTGGAATATGTATGATACCTTAAAAATCAGCACATTTAACAAAGTATAACTTACTCATGGTTACAACTAAGTTAATGTTTTTTCCCTTTATTTTTCAAAAGGCTCATTTTTCTCCATTTCTCTACTATCAAAGTCAAGAACTGCCCAATGGCTCTGTCAAGGAGGCTCCAGCTCCTACTCCCACTTCTCTGGAAGTCTCAAGTCCACCAGATACTACAGAGGAAGAAGATCATAAGCCTAAACTCTGCAGGCTGGCTAAAGGTGAAAATGGCTATGGCTTTCACTTAAATGCGATTCGGGGTCTGCCAGGCTCATTCATCAAAGAGGTATGGTAATCTGGTTCCAGCAGCCCAACAAACACAGCCACAATTAGGATAGTCTCAGCTTTTCCCACCCATTGATGGCTTAGTAGAGAGGTTCCATTGAAGGCACACACTGAGGGGTCTCACTTGGGTTCAGATAAATGTTGTCATGGTCCCACACCCTTTAGGTTAGCTACCAGTACATCATAAGCTCACGTTTGTTTGTTTCCCAAACATCTGTTCCAAACAGTGTGAGTTGACTGAACTCTAGTTGACAGTCACTATCAACCCTGATTGGCAGTCATATTTGTTTGCTTCTGTGCATTTGGCATAATGCCCCTTACCCTGTAGGGACTGATAAGAATCCCTATAGCTTTCAAGTTGGGAGTGAAGAAGGGGGACCTATTTATCCCCCTTCATCCCAGAAGACATATGACGCTGAACCACTATTTATAATACCACTAATCATGTGAATATGGAAGTTATAGCCTTCATAAATATAAAAGCATTAGAACACCTTTCTCAACTTCTATACCTCAAGGAGAAATAATAACATGATTAAAAATAAATTCTTGAGCTCCTCATCTATCCTCTTAAGGAGAGCTAGTCTGATGTCCCCTTCTCTGTTTGAAATTGATAACTCAGAACTTCTGTTCACAGGTACAGAAGGGCGGTCCTGCTGACTTGGCTGGGCTAGAGGATGAGGATGTCATCATTGAAGTGAATGGGGTGAATGTGCTAGATGAACCCTATGAGAAGGTGGTGGATAGAATCCAGAGCAGTGGGAAGAATGTCACACTTCTAGTCTGTGGAAAGAAGGCCTATGATTATTTCCAAGCTAAGAAAATCCCTATTGTTTCCTCCCTGGCTGATCCACTTGACACCCCTCCAGATTCTAAAGAAGGAATAGTGGTGGAGTCAAAGCATGACTCGCACATGGCAAAAGAACGGGTGAGTGGGGGCCTATTTCTTTTCATGATCTAATTTACTAGAGTATGGGTACAGTCCCTATGAGTATATTTAATGTCTATGTTTGCCACAGATTTTTTTTAAAACTAGAAAATGACAATGTAAAGATAACTAACAAATCAAGTTATTGTAGAGGACAGGAGGCAGTATAAGAACAACAAATTTCTTACTTTCATAGCATGCAGCTGACAGCAACTGTCTAGAGCTAATAAATCAAGAAGTAAAAAGTTTATCAGTATTGTAATGGGAACCCCCAAAAGAGCCTGAATCGGATGATCTAGATATGAATTCTGGTTCTGTCATTTGTCAGCTGTGGGGAAATGGATTTATTTGTTCTGTTCCTCAGTTTTCCCACCCATAAAACAGGAATAATTTGTAGGATTGTTATCAGGATCATGTTAACTAAGATTAACTATATTAAAGTGCTTTGAATAGTGGCTGGCTCATAGTGAGCATGTAAGTGGTGACGGTTAAAGACAATATTGTTTAAAACAATTGACAGGTATTCCAGTTTTATTACTAGGAAAGATTAAGCATTCTCTATATTATTCTCTATATATTTGGATTAAATTTCTTGGTAAGTCTCAGTTTTATATTTTTGCCCAATTTTTCCTGGATGAACTTGAGGTCCAAAAGTAAACTGACTTATCCAAGTTCATAAAGGAAATTTATAGCAAAGCCGAGACTCTAAAAAAGTTTAATTCAATGTTGTTCTTCTTTCCATTATATTAATTCTGCTAATGGGTGGAATATTCATTTTAATAAACTCAGTTTAATGAACACACACAATGCCCACTGATTTGTATTCAGGAATGCTTAATAAATACTATTAGTTGTATTAGTTGTCATTTAAAAATTCTGTAATTTCTCTTTAGGAAGTCAATATCCTAGTCTTATACAAAAGAAATATACACAGACATTAAGGAATTTGTTAATGTGTCAAACAGCAAGTTGAAAACAATCAAGTGTAGAATTCAGGTCACCTGACTTCTAGTCATACCTAGATCATCTGATTCAGGCTCTTCTGGGGGTTCCCATTACAATACTGATAAACTTTTTACTTGATTTATCAGCTCTACACAATTGCTGTCAACTGCATGCTGTGAAAGAAAGAAATTCTAGTGAGTGACTCTACTCCCCGACTTAAGTCATGCAACTCTAGAATAGATCATCCCTCTTTCATTACTCTACCATTTGTAAATTCTTTGTTTTCTTATACACAGGCCCACAGTACAGCCTCACATTCTTCTTCCAATTCTGAAGATACAGAGATGTGATGAAAACAAGTAATAGCTTTGGCTGTTTATTTGATAGCTGTTTCTGGGTATTTAATAGGAATCCTTTCTCAAAGAATGAGTTGCGACCTGTTTACTGTCTCTTTAGAAGAAAAACTCCACTGGAAACCATTCACCATGTGTGATTGTCTTCTGTTATCATTTGTCTTACAGGCGGCTATTGCAGACGGCTAATTTATGCTTAACTTAGGAAGAGATAAGGCAAGAGCTAGATTTTTTTCATGTGATCTTTTCCAAGCTTCAACTTAACTACATTTCTCTGTATGATGATGTCTCTTACTTCTACAGGTTCCTTGAGCACCAAAGATGATTCATAACTCTGTATAGGTGACAGCTGCTTATAAAAGCATCTTAGCAGATAAGCCTATTAAAATTGTGCTTTTGTAACAATGTTGTGGTTGCTAGAATAAATACCATTAACAAATGCCTTTTGAGTATGCTTGATAGTGCTTTTGTTTTGGATTCACTTTTTATGCTTTAACCTTCATTTGCCTCTAGAAACCCAAAACACAATAAAGTACAGAATAAGACCTTAGTAATAAAATTCAGAATTTTCTTAAATTGCATGTCTGAGTGTTCTAAAAATTTTTCAACATTTCCCTTTCACAAGTGACTTATTCCCCCAGTTAAGTTATTCACGGTTTCACCCCACAGCGTGAGGGGCAGATAGAAAAAAAAAGGAAACATCACTACCGAATTGAAAGTAGGGTATAATACTAAGTTCACAGGAAATCAAGAAAAAATGACATAACTGAAATCTCTCTTTTGGTAAAATCTATTTCAGGTGCATACCACCCCTTTCCCGGAAAAGAACAGATAACCTCTTGGTTATTTTAATGGGGCAGGATCAGAAGAGGAGGTGTGGGATGCTAACTCATGTTAGATCACACAAGCATAATAAATACCAAGCTATGCTTGATAAAATGAACGTAAGGCAAAAGTGTTACAGTCTCTGATTTTAATGAGTCAATCTCAAGGCAAAGCTATAACCTTTTCCATGTGAACCTTAAAACGGAAATCCTACGTGTTTGGCTCAGCTACCATAGACATCTCTTGCCCCAGAGTTCCAGTGTATTTTTCACCTTTAGTTTCTTGGCTCCTCTCCGCCTCTACACCAGCCTCATATCCACACGGGATGCTCTCTGCTGAGTATTGTCTTGAGTTAGTTCTCCCTCTCATGTTCTGGCTGATGCTACTCATGGTCATAGTATCACCTGAGGGGGAAGGAGTATGCTATGAAGGTGAAAAATGCTACCATAGCATTTTGTTTGTTTATAAAATGTCAGGCCCTGGTTCCATTTTTCCCCCCTCTTATATCTAAATTTTGAAACCACTGGCCTCTAACAGTCTGTAGTAGGCTTAAGTTCAAGGTGCCATTTGCTTCTCTGGTGCCTGTTTGTGAGCCAAATAGAGGAAGAGTATGCTAGAGAGAGCGCTGACCAGGAAGATCACATCAAACCAACGGTGATAGAAGTTGAACTGCAGTTCTCCAAGGACTTCAGTGATTATGGTGCGGTATTCTAAAGGCATACTCATTCGGATCAGCAGCACAGAGGAGACAAAGTACATGCCCTGTAAGTCAAATGAATTAATCCAGAAGTGACTCTGAATGTAGTGAGGAACAGGACAAAGGAAATTATTAAAATTCTTAAAAGTATCAAGCACATTTCTGATATTTTACAGCTGTCAACATAAAGGTAACTAATTAAACTTACCATTATCTGTGCTAATAGCAGGACAATGACATTGGAGGACTTACTGCTAGAGATGGCATAAAAGAACTGTCAAGAAAGAGGGAGATAAATTTATGCAGTACTGTTAGATTCCTGTGTCACGAACAGTAAGAAATATGGTTAACATTTGATTAAAAGTGTCTCTTCCATGCCACAATCCTGTATAGAACAATTCATATGATTAAGACTATAAAGAAGAGACTTAAAATAGACTGCTGAAAAAGTTATACTTTCCCCCTGGGGGTAATTTAATTACATAACATATGAAAGGATTCCTATTGCTATCAAACTTCAGAAACTATGTGATACATATGACTTAACATCACTATAAAACATTAAGTCAGATCACTCCAGCCCACTCCAAGCGGTTGTAATTGTTAGTAGGCTCCCACGCTCTTTCTAAAACTGTGCTAGATGCCTGCAGATCCCTTCCTGTCCCAGCCACTTCTCTTTCATTCAAAAGCTCCTGGATTTTTAAATCCCTACCTTTCCTACCAGAGAGGACTCACTTTCCACCTCCGTGAAGTCTTCCTACGTTGATTAGAAAATAGTTGAATTCAGGCTTTGGTATCAGGATGATGCTGGCCTCATAAAATGAGTTAGGGTATCATCCTGATACCAAAACCTGGCAGAGACACAACAAAAAAAGAGAATTTTAGACCCTGATGAACATCGATGCAAAAATCCTCAATAAAATACTGGCAAACTGAATCCAGCGGCACATCAAAAAGCTTATCTGCCATGATCAAGTGGGCTTCATCCCTGGGATGCAAGGCTGGTTCAACATATGCAAATCAATAAACATAATCCAGCATATAAACAGAACCAAAGACAAAAACCACATGGTTATCTCAATAGATGCAGAAAAGGCCTTTGACAAAATTCAACAGCCCTTCATGCTAAAAACTCAATAAATTAGGTATTGATGGGACGTATCTCGAAATCGTAAGAGCTATTTATGACAAACCCACAGCCAATATCATACTGAATGGGCAAAAACTGGAAGCATTCCCTTTGAAAACTGGCACAAGACAGGGATGCCCTCTCTCACCACTCTTATTCAACATAGTGTTGGAAGTTCTGGCCAGGGCAATCAGACAGGAGAAAGAAATAAAGGATATTCAATCAGGAAAAGAGGAAGTCAAATTGTCCCTGTTTGCAGAAGACATGACTGTATATATAGAAAACCCCATCGTCTCAGCCCAAAATCTCCTTAAGCTGATAAGCAACTTCAGCAAAGTCTCAGGATACAAAATCAATGTGCAAAAATCACAAGCATTCTTATACACCAATAACAGACAAACAGAGAGCCAAATCATGAGTGAACGCCCATTCACAATTGCTTCAAAGAGAATAAAATACCTAGGAATCCAATTTACAAGGGATGTGAAGGACCTCTTCAAGGAGAACTACAAACCACTGCTCAACACAATAAAAGAGGAAACAAACACATGGAAGAACATTCCATGTTCATGGATAGGAAGAATCAATATCATGAAAATGGCCATACTGCCCAAGGTAATTTATAGATTCAATGCCATCCCCATCAAGCTACCAATGACTTTCTTCACAGAATTGGAAAAAACTACTCTAAAGTTCATATGGAACCAAAAAGAGCCCGCATTGCCAAGTCAATCCTAAGCCAAAAGAACAAAGCTGGAGGCATCACGCTACCTGACTTCAAGCTATACTACAAGGCTACAGTAACCAAAACAGCATGGTACTGGTACCAAAACAGAGATACAGACCAATGGAACAGAACAGAGCCCTCAGAAATAATACCACACATCTACAACCATCTGCTCTTTGACAAACCTGACAAAAACAAGAAATGGGGAAGGGATTCCCTATTTAACAAATGGTGCTGGGAAAACTGGCTAGCCATATGTAGAAAGCTGAAACTGGATCCCTTCCTTACACCTTATACAAAAATTAATTCAAGATGGATTAAAGACTTAAATGTTAGATGTAAAACCATAAAAACCCTAGAAGAAAACCTAGGCAATAACATTCAGGACATAGGCATGGGCAAGGACTTCATGTCTAAAACACCAAAAGCAATGGCAACAAAAGCCAAAATTGACAAATGGGATCTAATGAAACTAAAGAGCTTCTGCACAGCAAAAGAAACTACCATCAGAGTGAACAGGCAACCTACAGAATGGGAGAAAATTTTTGCAATCTACTTATCTGACAAAGGGCTAATATCCAGAATTTACAAAGAACTCAAACAAATTTACAAGAAAAAAACAACCCCATCAAAAAGTGGGCAAAGGATATGAACAGACACTTCTCATGTGCAGCCAACAGACACATGGAAAAATGCTGATCATCACTGGCCATCAGAGAAATGCAAATCAAAACCACAATGAGATACCATCACACACCAGTTAGAATGGTGATCATTAAAAAGTCAGGAAACAACAGGTGCTGGAGAGGATGTGGAGAAATAGCAACACTTTTACACTGTTGGTGGGACTGTAAACTAGTTCAACCATTGTGGAAGGCAGTGTGGCGATTCCTCAAGGATCTACAACTAGAAATAACATTTGACCCAGTCATCCCATTACTGGGTATATACCCAAAGGATTATAAATCATGCTGCTATAAAGACACATGCACACGTATGTTTATTGCGTGTGCAATATTCATACTATTCACTATTCACATACTCTATTCACAATAGCAAAGACTTGGAACCAACCCAAATGTCCATCAATGATAGACTGGATTAAGAAAATGTGGCACATATACACCATGGAATACTATCCAGCCATAAAAAAAGATGAGTTCATGTCCTTTGTAGGGACATGGATGAAGCTGGAAACCATCATTCTCAGCAAACTATCGCAAGGACAAAAAGCCAAACACTGCATATTCCCACTCATAGGTGGGAATTGAACAATGAGAACACTTGGACACAGGAAGGGGAACATCACACACCGAGGCTTGTCGTGGGGTGGGGGAAGGGGGGAGGGACAGCATTAGGAGATATACCTAATGTAAATGACAAGTTAATAGGTGCAGCACACCAACATGGCACATGTATCCAAATGTAACAAACCTGCACGTTGTGCACATGTACCCTAGAACTTAAAGTATAATTTAAAAAAAAAAAAAAAGAAAATAGTTGAATTCAGTAGGTCCTTACTTAATGCCATTTATAGGATCTTGGAAACTGAGATTTTAAGTGAAATGATGTATAACAAAACTACATTTTTCTCACAGCATTATAATGAAATGTTGAATGAAACATTTTTTTGAGGACTTGGTATATAGTTTTGCTTAAAGCTGCTGTTTCCAAGAACTTATTGATGACATTAAGGACTTGCTATATTCTGCTCCCTTACTTCCATATCTTCTCTGTAAGTGACTCTCACAACTATTCTTCCAGTCTCAAATATCTGCTGAATATCTGCCTACCATGTGCTAGGTTCTGTTCTAGATACTGATAACATATCAGTGAACAAAACAGACCCATATCTTACTCTATCACCTTTAGTGAATGTACTTATCTATAATTGGTATATGATGTAAATATATCATCATCAATTTATGTAGTAGTTTAACTTTTAAAAAATTCTGTTGTATGTCTTTTAAATCCTTGACACTGTTGTTTAAAGTCTCAGGAGGCAGAATTCTTAATGAGGTAAAATTATCTCATGGTACCACCTATTTTTTTTTTTTTGAGATGGAGTGTTGCTCTTTCACCAGGCTGGAGTGCAGTGTGTGACCTTGGCTCACTGCAATCTCCGCTGCCTGGGTTCAAGTGATTCTCCTAACTCAGCCTCCCAAGTAGTTGGGACTACAGGCATGTGCCACCACACCCAGCTAATTTGTTGTATTTTTAGTAGAGATGGGGTTTCACCATGTTGGCTAGGATGGACTCGATCTCCTGACCTCGTGATCCACCCACCTCAGCCTTCCAAAGTGTTGGGATTACAGGCGTGAGCCACCACACCCGGCTGGTACCACATTTAATTAAACAAATGATAAGCAGTACTTTTTAACACTGTGATAAAACATACCTTGGTAAGAGTGATCAGCAATCCTCTGATGGATGTGACGATGATTATTCCAACAAGAATGAAGGAAATGTGTTGGGACCAAAACTTCACCTGCCACCATAACAAGAAAAAATATCTGCTAAATCTCTGTTCAGAGAGACGTAAGGGCTAAGCTATATCCCAATCATTTACATGACTGTGAGAGGGAGCTTTATTAGACCCTACCTGATTTTTTTTCTTAAGGGAGAGAGGAAAGCAAGTAAGTGGCAAATAAAACAACTACAGAAAGACTGCAGTAAATACCTTAATTAGCAGACTTAATTAAACCTTAAAATTAAAAAAATATTTTTTTTGTAGAGCCAGGGTCTTGCTATGTAGTTCAGGCTCGTCTCAAACTCCTGGGCTCAAGCAATACTCCCACATCAGCCTCCCAAAGTGTTGGTACTACAGGCATGAGTCACCATGCCCGGCAGCAAGTACCAAGCAGTGATAAAAATAACGCTAATAAATCAGAAAAAAACAGAACTAATGATACAGTTTTACTGTGATAAATGAAAAGCAGGAATTAAAAGGAAACTAAATAATACCTTGATTATTTTCTATCTATGAATAATAGTTCCCTAATCACCAAAACTTCAAGGAATCTTTCTTTTTATAGTAAAAGAATATATAGACATTCTCAGCTAAATTCTAGGAAATAGTTGAACTTCACTGGAACCACATGATACCTTTTTCTCCTCCTGTATTGCTTCATAGTGAGAAGGAGTTTTGGGACCCTGTGTTTGATTCAGTTCTGAAAAGTATCTGAAAGGGAGCTGCTATTACTAACATCTAAATGATTTGTTATTCAGAATTACAAAATATAGCATAAACAGATGAATTACAGATGAAATATATACATGGCCATGTAAGTATCCTCAGAAAGTACAGAAAAGCAAAAGCATTGCTAAAAATTCAGCCCAGTAAAACACTTAAGGAAACACAAATGCAACAACAGCAAAGCATACTTTTTGTTGTTTTTTGAGACAGGGGTCTCACTCTGTCGCCCAGAGTGGAGTGCAGTGGCACTATCTCAGCTCACTGCAACTTCTTTCTCCCCGGCTCAAGTGATCCTCCTGCTTTAGCCTCCTGCATAGCTGGGACTACAGGTGCATGCCACCATGTCCAGCTAATTTTTATATTTTTTCTAGAGACAGGTTTTCACCATGTTGCCCAGGCTGGTCTTGAACTCCTGGACTCAAGTGATCTGTCTCGGCCTCTCAAAGTGCTGGGACTACAGATGTGGGCCACAGTACTGCGTGGCCTGTAAAGCATACTTAATATAATTTATATACCACTTGAAGAAAAGATATCATGTTCCTTCACACTCAAAGAGGATACACTATTGATCTAGCATCAAGAAACATGTACATTGAGCTGTTTCTCAAGGATTGGGGCTCAATTTGCTCTTGTTCATTTTCATTTCATCCAAGTCCTTTTGAGATTAGGGGCACGTCTGGCTGGGATGGATGGCTGGGGGTAGCACGCAGTCTGCGTCTAGGTTGACAGCACAGCTAAATGGCCTACACTGGGACTAAGAATATGACATTGGTCTTACTATTAAAGTGCTATTCAGCCAGAGTCATTGGCTCTGGTTTATGAATAAAGACACTGAACTTCAATTAGGACAAGGGTGTATTTATGACAGTGGTATTATGAAACAGTAAAAAGACAATTTAAAAAAAAATTTTGTGCATAGGTGACAGTTACCATCTTTAGCCCAAGGTCCACATTAATAGATAAAGATCATTTCTTACAGCAGAAATCATTTCAGCTCTAACACAGAACACTAATTAGTAGCTAATTTTCCACTGGAGCATCAAAGCTGAGTTGTGTGTTTGAAGAGCTCAATAAGAATCACAGAGAGAAGTATTTGAATACTTTGGTGGGGAGAAAATGGTAAACTGGTAGCTGCCTATAGAGAAGCAGAGGAGCAGCTGTAGAAATAATCAGCATCCGTGACAATATTAAGTATCAGTCATTACTTCTGGCTTTATGTTAAGAGAGAGAATCTTGGCCTTTTACAAATTTTCCATGTGAATACATCAAAATATAAAAATTTTCCATGTGAATACGTCAAAATATACAGAGTGGGAAGAACAAAAGCAGAAGCAAGTACCTAAAGTATACAAATTAGAATCTTAACAATGATAAGTTATAGCAGATAAAACAGAAACATGACAAACCAGGATCTTGATATAACACTTACATCAAATTGGATTCCCAGATAATTCACAGTGATCTCAATGCCTCTTGTGACAGGATCCGTTTTCCCAACTCGATCAAAAACAATATTGATGGTAGCCTGCAAAGATGCAGATTTTTACCTTGGAGCATCTTAACAATCACTTACTATTTCAAAAAGTGACTGAAACTAATGAATTAATCACTATAACATATCTTACAGGTCAATGTTCCTAAAAATGCAATTCTACTCTTAATCCAAATCATATATAGGAAATCTATTTCGGATACTCATATATAGGCAAACAAAAGTCCCTATGTCCTCCATCTTTCTTTTCTGTAAAGAGTCAATGGGAATAAAGCTACGGCATTATGCCTTAATTTATCAGGAGCCAAAAAGGTAACATTTTGGTAGATGAAGTCAGATTAAGAGAATCAAGAAATCCCAGGGTAATTCCTTGTGGTTATTTTCTGAATGCTCTAACAGCAAATACTAAAATAACAGAAAAAGGAGTTATAGCTAATAAGTCAACAAACGATATCAAATGGAATAATGAAAAATTCCCAATTAATCCCCAAGATGGAAGTTTAAAAAAAGGAAAAAGGGAGAAAAGAACAGATGGGACCAATGAAAAGAAATAGCAACACAGTGGTTTAAAATCCAACCACGTTAAAAAAAAAAACAACCACATCAATAATCACATGAAATGTAAATGGTCTGCATTATAGGTGAGCAAACTCTGCCACTGGAGTGTGACAGCAGCCACAGACAATACACAAATGAATGGACTTGGCTGCGTTCCAATAAAACTTTATTTCCAAAGGCAGGCAGTGGTTAGGTTTGCCCTGTGGGCTATAGATTGCTGATCCTTGGTCTAAACATGTCAATGAAATGGCAGAGGTTGTTAGATTGGATAAAAATGCAAGACCCAACTATATATTCCTTATGAAAAAACCACTTTAATAAATATAAAGATACAAATAGGTTAAAAGTAAAAGGACAGAAAAATATATTATGCTAACACTAATCAAAAGAAAGCTAGAATGTCTATATTAATGTCGGACAAAGTAGATTTCATAGCAAAAATACTGCTAGGTATTAAAAGGGTCATTTCAGAATGATAAAAGGATCATTTCAACAAGGGGTACACAATGATTCTAAATGTTTATATACCTAATGACAGAGCTTCAAAATACGTAAAGCAAAACTGACAGAAATAAAAAAGAAATGGACAAATCCACAATAGCTGGATCCCCTCTCTCAATAACTGATAAAATTAGTCAGAAACTCTAATAATACTATCAATGAATTTGACGTAATTGACATTTATGGAACACTCCTGCCAACAAGAGCACAATACGTATTCTACTCACATACAGGTAAGACATTTATCACCATATTCTGTCTGGGACAGAAAACAAGTCAATAATTTAAAAGATTCATATCATACAAAATATGTTCTTACACCACATGAAATTAAATTAGAAATTAATTAGAGAATAATATTTGGAAGATCCTCAAATATTTTATAACACACTTCTAAATCACCCATGAATCAAAGAAGAAATCAAAGGGAAACTCGAAAGCATTTTGAATTGAATGAGAAATACAATTCATTAAATTTGTGAGATCTAGTATAGCAGTACATAGCAAGAAATGTATAGCATTAAAACCCCTATATCAGCAAAGATCTCCAATCAATGATCTTAGTTTAAATCTTAAGAAATTAGAAAAAGAGACTCAAAATAAGCAGAAGAAAGGAAATAACAAAGACCAGAGCAGAAATCAATGAAATAGCAAAAAATGAGAGAAAACTAATTAACCCAAAAGTTGGTTCTTTGAAAAGTTCAACAAAACCAATAAACTTCTACTAGACTGATAAAGACAAAAGAGGGAAGTCACAAGTTACCAATATTAAGAACAAGAGAGACATCACTGTCACACCCATGAGGATGGCTATAATAAAAAAGTTTTTATTTTATTTTATTATTATTATACTTTAAGTTTTAGGGTACATGTGCACACTGTGCAGGTTAGTTACATATGTATACATGTGACATGCTGGTGTGCTGCACCCATTAACTCATCATTTAGCATTAGGTATATCTCCTAAAACTATCCCTCCCCCCTCCCCCCACCCCACAACAGTCCCCAGAGTGTGATGTTCCCCTTCCTGTGTCCATGTGTTCTCATTGTTCAATTCCCACCTATGAGTGAGAACATGTGGTGTTTGGTTTTTTGTCCTTGCGATAGTTTACTGAGAATGATGATTTCCAATTTCATCCATGTCCCTACAAAGGACATGAACTCATCATTTTTTATGGCTGCATAGTATTCCATGGTGTATATGTGCCACATTTTCTGAATCCAGTCTATCATTGTTGGACATTTGGGTTGGTTCCAAGTCTTTGCTATTGTGAATAGTGCCACAATAAACATACGTGTGCATGTGTCTTTATAGCAACATGATTTATAGTCCTTTGGGTATATACCCAGTAATGGGATGGCTGGGTCAAATGGTATTTCTAGTTCTAGATCCCTGAAGAATCGCCACACTGACTTCCACAAGGGTTGAACTAGTTTACAGTCCCACCAACAGTGTAAAAGTGTTCCTGTTTCTCCACATCCTCTCCAGCACCTGTTGTTTCCTGACTTTTTAATGATTGCCATTCTAACTGGTGTGAGATGGTATGTCATTGTGGTTTTGATTTGCATTTCTCTGATGGCCAGTGATGGTGAGCATTTTTTCTTGTGTTTTTTGGCGTCATAAATGTCTTCTTTTGAGAAGTGTCTGTTCATGTCCTTCGCCAACTTTTTGATGGGGTTGTTTGTTTTTTTCTTGTAAATTTGTTTGAGTTCATTGTAGATTCTGGATATTAGCCCTCTGTCAGATGAGTAGGTTGCAAAAATTTTCTCCCATTCTGTAGGTTGCCTGTTCACTCTGATGGTAGTTTCTTTTGCTGTGCAGAAGCTCTTTAGTTTAATTAGATCCCATTTGTCAATTTTGGCTTTTGTTGCCATTGCTTTTGGTATGCTTTTAGACATGAAGTCCTTGCCCATGCCTATGTCCTGAATGGTAACGCCTAGGTTTTCTTCTAGGGTTTTTATGGTTTTAGGTCTAACGTTTAAGTCTTTAATCCATCTTGAATTAATTTTTGTATAAGGTGTAAGGAAGGGATCCAGTTTCATCTACATATGGCTAGCCAGTTTTCCCAGCACCATTTATTAAATAGGGAATCCTTTCCCCATTGCTTGTTTTTCTCAGGTTTGTCAAAGATCAGACGGTTGTAGATATGCGGCGTGATTTCTGAGGGCTCTGTTCGGTGCCAATGTACAAAAATCACAAGCATTCTTATACACCAATAACAGACAAACAGAGAGACAAATCATGAGTGAACTCCCATTCACAATTGCTTCAAAGAGAATAAAATACCTAGGAATCCAACTTACAAGGGACGCGAAGGACCTCTTCAAGGAGAACTACAAAACACTGCTCAATGAAATAAAAGAGGATACAAACAAATGGAAGAACATTCCATGCTCATGGTAGGAAGAATCAATATCATGAAAATGGCCATACTGCCCAAGGTAATTTATAGATTCAATGCCATCCCTATAAAGCTACCAATGACTTTCTTCACAGAATTGGAAAAAACTACTTTAAAGTTCATAAGGAACCAAAAAAAGCCCACATTGCCAAGTCAATCCTAAGCCAAAAGAGCAAAGCTGGAGGCATCACGCTACCTGACTTCAAACTATACTACAAGGCTACAGTAACCAAAACAGCATGGTACTGGTACCAAAACAGAGATATAGATCAATGGAACAGTATAAAAAAGTTAATAACAATTGTTGGTGGGGATGTGGAGAAATTGGAGCACGCATCCCCTGCTGACAGGAATGTAAACTGTTGCTGCTGTTTTGGAAAAGTCTGGTAGTTCTTTAAAAGGTTAAACATAGGCCGGTCGCAGTGGCTCATGCCTGTAATCCTAGCACTTTGGGAGGCTGAGGCGGGTAGATCACAAGGTTAGGAGTTAGAGACCAGCCTGGCCAATATGGTGAAACCCTGTCTCTACTAAAAATACAAAAAAGTTAGCCGGGAGTGGTTGCATGTGCCTGTAACCTGAGCTACTTGGGACACTGAGGCAGGAGAATTGCTTGAACCTGGGAGGCGGAAGTTGCAGTGAGCTGAGACTGCACCACTGCACTCCAGCCTGGGCGACAGAGCGAGACTCCACCTCAGTAAATAAATAAATAAATAAATAAAAAGGTTAAACATATACTTAGCATATGACACAGCAATTCTACCCCTAGATATACACATAAGAGAAATTAAAACATATACTCACATAAAAACTTATACACGAGGCCGGGCATGGTGGCTCACGGATATAATCCCAGCACTTTGGGAGGCCGAGGCTGGTGGATCACCTGAGGTCAGGAGTTGAGACCAGCCTGGCCAACATGGTCAAACCTCGTCTCTACTAAAAATAGAAAAATCAGCCAGGCATGGTGGTACGCACCTGTAATCCCAGCTACTCAGGCGGCTGAGGCAGGAGAATCGCTTGAACCCAGGAGGCAGAGGTCGAAGTGAGCTGAGATCACCCCACTGCACTCCAGCCTGGGCAACAGAGTGAGACTGTGTCTCAAAACAAAAACAAAAAAATTATACACAAATGTTCACATCAGCATTATTGATAATGGCCCAAAAGTAGAAACAATCCTAATGTACATCAACTAATAAATGGATAAAAAATGTGGTGTACCTATAAAATGAAATAGATATTATTCAGCCATAGAAAATATGAATTTTTTTTTTAAGACAGTCTTGCTCTGCTGCCTGCTGGAGTGTGGTGGCACAATCACGGCTCACTGCAGCTTCAACTTCCCAGGCTCAAGCGATCCTCCCCCGCCTCAGCCTCCCGAGTAGCTGGGGCCACAAGCATGTACTTCCATGCCCTATTAATTTTGTGTGTGTGTGTGTGTGTATGTGTGTGTGTCGGGGAGGGAGGGGTAAAGAATGGGGTTTCCCTTTGTTTCTCAGGATAGTCTCAAACTCCTGGGCTCAAGTGATCCTCCTGCCTCAGCCTCCCAAAGTGTTGGGATTACAGGCATCTGCCACTGTGCCTGGCCAGGAATGAAATATTGATAGATACTATGACATGGATGTACCTTAAAAACATTATGCTAGGGCTGGGTACAGTGGCTCAGCCTGGGCAATATAGTGAGACTCGTCTCTATGAAAAAGAATATATACTTTTTAAAATTACATTTAAAAAGCCCCCCCCAACCCCATTATGCTAAATGAGAGAAGCCAATCATAAAACAATATAAATTATGTGATTCCATTTATATGAAACATCCAGAATAGGGAAATCTACAGAGACAGAAAATAGATTAGTGGTTGCTAAGGGCTGAGGGAGTGGGAATTGGAGGGAAATGGGGAATGACTACTAATGAGTATGGAATTTCTTTTTTTTTTTTTTTTTTTTTTTTTTTTGAGACGGAGTCTCGCTCTGTCGCCCAGGCTGGAGTGCAGTGGCGGGATCTCGGCTCACTGCAAGCTCCGCCTCCCGGGTTCACGCCATTCTCCTGCCTCAGCCTCCCAAGTAGCTGGGACTACAGGCGAGTATGGAATTTCTTTTTGGCTTGATAAAAATGTTCAAAAATTGATTGTGGTAATGGTTATAAAACTATGAATATATTAAGAACTACTGCATCATACACTAAATGAGTATATTGTATTGTATGTGAATTATATCTCAATAAACCTGTTACATGAAAAAAATAACAGTCTCTACAGGTTCTATAGATATTAAAAGGATAGTAAGAATATTATGAGCAATATCATGCCAATAAATTTGACAACTTCAATAAAAATAGACAAATTCCTTGAGACCCAAATTGCAAGAGCTCACTCAAGAAGAAATAGATAACCTGCATAAACCCTGTATCTTTAAAAAAATGAATTGGTAGTTTAAAAAAATCTTCCTGCAAAGAAAACTCCAGGCCCAGATGGCTTTATTGATAAACTCTACAACACAGTTAGGGGAGAAATAACAACATCTCCACACATACTTTTCCACTAATTTAAAGAGGTGGCAGTACTTCTCAACTCATTCTCTAAGGTCAGCAAGCATTACTCTGACACCAAAACCAAATAAAGACATTATGAGAAAAGAAAACTATAGTCCAATATCCTCATACATATGGAATCAATTTTTTTTTTTTTTGAGACAGAGTCTCCCTCTGTCATTCAAGCTGGAGTGCAGCGGCGTGATAATAGCTCACTGAGGCCTTGGACTTCTGGGCTCAAGCGATCCTCCCACCATAGCCTCCTGAGTAGCTGGGAACACAGGCATGCCACCACACTCAGTTAATTTTTATTGTTTTGCTGAGATGGGGTCTTGCTATGCTGCCCAGGCTGGTCTCGAATTCCTGGCCTCAAGCAGTCCTCCTGCTTCAGCCTCCCAAAGTACTGGGAATACAGGTGTGAGCCAACATGCTCAGACAATGCAAACATTCTTAACGTAATTTTAGCAAATTGAATCTAACAAAATAGAAAAATGATAATTCACCATGACCAAGTGAGGTTTATTCTAGGAATGCAAGATTGGTTTAATATTCAAAAATTAATGAATATAATCAACTATAGCAGACTAAAAAAGAAAAACATTGATCATCTCAATAGATGCAGTAAAAGAATTTAACAAAATCCAACACCTTTTCATGATTAACAATACTCAATAAACTATGATTACAATGGAACTTCCTCAACCTGATAAAGGGCATCTAGGGAAAACCTAACATCATAATGAAAGGTGAGACTGGATGCTATCTCCCTAAGAGCAGGAATAACAATAGGATGACTAATCCTACCACTTCTATTCAACTTTGTACTGAAGGTTTTAGTCAGTGCAATAAGGCTGGAGAAGGAGCAGGAGAAAAAGGATAAGAAGAAGGAAGGAAGGATGGGGAAAGGAACAACTTAATTAAAAGACTGGCAAGGTCGGTGGAGGGGCCAAGGTGACCAACTAGAAGTAGCTGCTGTTGGCTGCTCCTATCAAGAATGAAAACAGCGAGTGAATGTTGCACTTTCAGGCTGAGGTAACCAGGTTCTCTCATTGGGACTGACTAGGCAGTTGGCACAACCCACGGAGAGTGAGGAAAAGCAGGGTAGTGCAACAGCCCCACCTGGGAGCCGCACAGGGCAAGGGGAGTTCCCACCCCCAATCAAGGAAGGCGATGAGTGATTGTGGCACCCTGCCCAGGAAACCATGCTTCTTCCACAGATCTGTGCAACCCGTGGATCAGGAGATTCCCCTTGTGAGCCCAGGCCAACAGGGCCTTGGATCCCAAGCACAGAGCTGCCCAGATGCTCAGTGGCCACTGAGGTTGCAGCCAGCAGCAGCAGGCTGGAGATTGCCTAAGACGACCAAGTTCCCGGGATAGCCACCATCACTGCAGGTCCAGTCTGCCCTTTTCCCCTGCCAGTGCCGGGGAGAATAGGTGGTTTGGACCAGGAGGAATTCCCCACAGCACAGCACAGTGGTAGTGGCAGATTGTGGCCAGACCGCTTCTTTAGGTGGGACTCGGATCCATTCCTCCTCACTAGGCGAGGCCTCCCTGCAGAAATGTCAGCAACTCCAGGTAGGGGTTTATGAGCAGAACTGATCTCCCTGGGAAGGAGCCCCTGGGGGCAGGGGTGACTATCGTCTTCGTGGTTCAGCAGACTTAGTCTTTCCTGCCTGCTGGCTCTGAAGGGTCTGGGCAGTCCAGAGGAGGGGGATTCCCTTCAGTGCAGCACAGCTGCTCTGCCAAGGGGCAGTCAGAGTGCTTCCTTAAGCAGGTCCCTGATCCCGTGCCTCCTGACTGAGACCCACCAGGGGTTGCCAGACATCTTATACAGGAACGTTCCTGCCGGCATCAGGTCAGTGCTTCCTCCCAGAGGACGGAGCAAGCAGCCATCTTTGCTGTTCTGCAGCCTCCACTGGTAATACCTCCAGATGCGAGAGGGACCCAGGCGAGTAGGGTATGGATTCGACCCCCAACAAATGGCAGCAGCCCTACAGAAGAGGGGCCTGACTGTTAAAAACAAACAAACAGAAAGCAACAACAACAACATCAACAAAAAAAGACCCCACAAAAACCCCATCCAAAGGTCAGCAGCCTCAAAAATCGAAGGTAGATAAACTGAGGATGATGAGAAAGAATCAACACAAAAACGGTGACAACTCAAAAAGCCAGAGTGCCTCTTCTCCAAATGATCACAACACCTCTCCAGCAAGGGCACAGAACTGGGCTGAGGCTGAGGCTGAGATGGATGCACTGACAGAAGTAGGCTTTAGAAGCTGGGCAGTAACAAACTTTGCTGAGCAAAAGGAGTAATGTTCTAACCCAATGCAAAGAAGCCAAGAACCATGATAAAACATTATAGGAGCTGTTAACCAGAATAACCCGTTTAAAAAGGAACATAAACAATGTGATGGAGCTGAAAAACACAATGTGAAATTCACAATGCAACCACAAATATCAATAGCTGAAGAGACTAAGCAGAGGAAAGAATCTCAGAGCTTGAAGACTATCTTGCTGAAATAAGACAGGCAGACAAGGTGAGAGAAAAAAGAATGAAAAGGAATGAACAAAACCTCTGAGAACTATGGGATTACATAAAAATACCGAACCTACGGCTGATTCAGGTACCTGGAAGAGACGGGGAGAACGGAACCGTTTCAAGTTGGAAAACATACTTCAGGATATCATCCAGGAGAACTTCCCCAACCTAGCAAGACAGGCCAGAACTTCTTCAAGCTAGCAAGACAGGCCAACATTCAAATTCAGGAAATCCAGAGAACTCCAGTAAAATACTCCATGAGAAGATCAACCCCAAGACACATAATCATCAGATTCTCCAAGGTCGAAATGAAGGAAAAAATGTTAAGGGCAGCCAGAAAGGACAGGTCACCTACAAAGGGAAGTCCATCAGACTAACAGTGCACCTCTCAGTGGAAACCCTATAAGCCAGAAGCAATTGGGAGTCAATATTCAACATTCTGTTTTTTTTTTTTTTTTTTTTTTTTTTTTTGAGATGGAGTCTTGCTCTGTCACCCAGGCTGGAGTGCAGTGGCATAGTCTCGGCTCACTGCAACCTCCGCCTCCTGGGTTCATGCCATTCTCCTGCCTCAGACTCCCGAGTAGCTAGGACTATAGGCGCCTGCCACCATGCCTGGCTAATTTTTTGTATTTTTAGTAGAGATGGGGTTTCACCGTGTTAGCCAGGATGGTCTCGATCTTCTGACCTCGTGATCTGCCCGCCTCGGCCTCCCAAAGTGCTGGGATTACCGGCGTGAGCCACCACGCCCAGCTCAACATTCTTAAAGAAAAGAATTTCCAACCAAGAATTTCCTATCTGGCCAAACTAAGCTTCATAAGTGAAGGAGAAATAAAATCCTTTTCAGACAAGCAAATGCTGAGGGAACTTGTGACCACCTTGCAAGAACTCCTGAAGGAAGCACTAAATATGGAAAGGAAAAACTATTACCAGCCACTACAAAAACACACTGAAGTACACAAAGCAATGACACTATGAAGCAACTACAATAACAAGTCTGCAAAATAACCAGCTGGCATCATGATGACAGGATCAAATCACACATAACAATTTTAACCTTAAATGTAAATGGGCTAAATGCCCCAATTAAAAGACACAGAATGGCAAGCTGGATAAAGAATCAAGACCCATCAGTGTGCTGTATTCAGGAGGCCCCTCTCATGTGCAAAGACACACATAGGCTCAAAATAAAGGGATGGAGGAAAATTTACCAAGCAAATGGAAAGCAAAAAAAAGCAGGGGTTGCAATCCTAGTTTCTGACAAAACAGACTTTAACAAAGATCAAAAAAGACAAACAAGGGCTTTACATAATGCTAAAGGGTTCAATTCAACAAGAGCTAACTATCCTAAATATATATACACCCAATACAGGAGCACCCAGATCTATAAAACAAGTTCTTAGAGACCTACAAAGAGACTTATACTCTCACATAATAATAGTGGGAGACATTAACACCCCACAGTCAATGTTACACAGATCATTGAGACAGAAAATTAACAAGTATATTTAGGACTTGAACTCAGCTCTGGATCAAGTGGACCTGATAGATATCTACAGAACTCTCTACCCAAAAACAACAGAATATACATTCTTCTTGGTGCCACATGGCACATACTCTAAAATTGATCACATAATTGGAAGTAGAACACTCCTCAGCAAATGCAAAAGAACTGAAATTATAACAGTCTCTCAGACCACAGGACAATCAAATTAGAACTCAAGACTAAGAAACTAACTCAAAACTACACAACTACATGAAAATTGAACAACCTGCTCCTGAATGACTCCTCGGTAAATAATGAAATTAAGGCAGAAATCAAGAAGTTATTTGATACTATGAGAACAAAGAGACAACATACCAGAATCTCTGGGACACAGCTAAAGCAGTGTTAAGAGGGAAATGGATAGCACTAAATGCCCATATCAAAAAGCTAGAAAGATCTCAAATCGACACCCTAACATCACAACTAAAAGAACTAGAGAACCAAGAGCAAACAAACCCCAAAGCTAGCAGAATATAAGAAATAACCAAGGTCACAGCAGAACTGCAGGAGATAGAGACACGAAAAACCCTTCAAAAAAATCAACGAATCCAGGAGCCAGTTTTTTGAAAAGATTAATAAAATAGACCACTACTAGACTAATAAAGAAGAAAAGAAGAATCAAACAGACACAAAAAAAATGATAAAGGGGACATCACCACTGATCCCACAGAAATACAAATAACCATCAGAGAATACTATAAACATCTCTATGCAAATCAACTAGAAAATCTAGAAGAAATGGATAAATTCTTGGACACATACACCCTCCCAAGACTGAACCAGGAAGAAGTTGAATCCCTGAATAGACCCATAAGGAGTTCTGATTTGGGGCAGTAATAAGCCTACCATCCAAGGAAAGCCCAGGACCAGATGGATTTACAGCTGAATTCAGAGGTAAAAAGAGGAGCTGATACCATTTCTTCTGCAACTATTCCAAACAACAGAAAAAGAGGGACTCCTCCCTAACTCATTTTATGAGGCCAGCTCATTCTGATACCAAAATCTGGCAGAGATACAACAACAAAAAAAGAAAACTTCAGGCCAATATCCCTGAAGAACATTGATGTGAAAATCCTCAATAAAATACTGGCAAACCAAATCCAGCAGCACATCAAAAAGCTCATCTACCACGATCAAGTCAGCTTCATCCCCGGTATGCAACACTGGTTCAACATACACGAATCAATAAACGTAATCCATCACATAAACAGAACCAATGACAAAAACCACATGATTATCTCAATAGACACAGAAAAGGCCTTTGATAAAATTCAACATCCCTTCATGCTAAAAACTCTCAATAAACTAGGTATTGATGGAACATACCTCAAAATAATAAGGGTGATTTATAACAAACCCACAGCCAATATCACACTGAATGGACAAAAGCTGGAAGCATTTCCTTTGAAAACTGGCACAAGATAGGACTCCCTCTCTCACCACTCCTATTCAACATAGTATTGGAAGTTCTGGCCAGGGCAATCAGGCAAGAGAAAGAAATAAAGGGTATTCAAATAGGAAGAGAGAAAGTCAAATTGTCTTTGTTTGCATATGACATAATCTTCTATCTAGAAAACCCCATCGTCTCAGCCCAAAAGCTACCTAAACTGATAAGCAACTTCAGCAAAGTCTCAGGATACAAAGTCAATGTGCAAAAATCACAAGCATTCCTGTACACCAACAACAGACAAGCAGAGAGCCAAATCATGAATGAACTCCCATTTACAACTGCTACAAAGAGAATACAATACCTAGGAATACAGCTAACAAGGGGAGTGAAGGACCTCTTCAAGGAGAACTACAAACCACTGCTCAAGGAAATCAGAGAGGACACATACAAATGGAAAAACACTCCATGCTCCCAGATAGGAAGAATCAATATCATGAAAATGGCCATACTGCCCAAAGTAATTTATAAATTCAGTGCTACTCCCATTAAACTACCATTGACATTCTTCCCAGAATTAGAAAAAAACTATTTTAAAATTCAATATGGAAGCAAAAAAGAGCCCGTACAAGTCAAGACAACTGTAAGCAAAAAGAACAAAGCTGGAGGCATCACGCTACCTGACTTCAAACTATACTACCAGGTTACAGTGACCAAAACAGCATGGTACTGGTACAAAAACAGACACATAGACCAATGGAACAGAATAGAGAACTCAGAAATAAGACCGCACATCTACAGCCATCTGATCTTTGACAAAGCTGACAAAAACAAGCAATGGGGAAAGGATTCCCTATTTAATAAATGGTGCTGGGAAAACTGGCTAGCCATATGCAGAAAACTGAAACTGGAACCCTTCTTTACACCTTATACAAAAATTAACTCAAGATGGATTAAAGACTTAAATGTAAAACCCCAAACTATAAAAAACCTAGAAGAAAATCTAGGCAATACCATTCAGGACATGGCACAGGCAAAGGTTTCATGACAAAAATGTCAAAAGCAATTGCCACAAAAGCAAAAATTGACAAATGGGATCTAATTAAACTAAAGAGCTTCTGCACAGCTAAAGAAACTATCATCAGGGTGAACAGACAACCAACAGAATGGGAGAAAATTTTTGCAATCTATCCATCTGACAAAGGCCTAACATCCAGAATCTACAAGGAACTTAAACAAATTTACAAGAAAAAAATCAAACAACCCCATTAAAAAGTAAGCAAAGGACATGAACAGACAATTCTCAAAAGAAGACATTTATGTGGCCAACAAACGTATGAAAAAAAGCTCAAGCTCAGTATCACTGATCATTAGAGAAATGCAAATCAAAACCACAATGAGCTACCATCTCACACCAGTCAGAATGGCAATTATTAAAAAGTCAAGAAACAACAGATGCTGGTGAGGCTACAGAGAAATAGGAACGCTTTTACACTGTTGGTGGGAATGTACATTAACTCAATCATTGTGGAAGACAGTGTGGTGATTCCTCAAAGACCTAGCACCAGAAATACCATTTGACCCAGCAATCCCATTACTGGGTATATACCCAAAGGAATATAAATCATTCCATTATAAAGATACATACACATGTACGCCCACTGCAGCACTATTCACAATAGCAAAGACATAGAATCAACCCAAATGCCCATCAATGATAGACCGGATAAAGAAAATGTGGTACATATACACCATGGAATACTATACTGCCATAAAAAGGAATGAGATCATGTCCTTTGCAGGGACATGGATGGAGCTGGAAGCCATCATCCTCATCAAACTAACACAGGAACAGAAAACCAAATATCACATGTTCTCACTTATAAGTGGGAACTGAACAATGTGAACACACAGACACAGGGAGGGAACAACACAAACTGGGACCTGTCGAAGGCGGGGAGGGGGAGGGAGAGCATCAGGGAAATAGCTAATGGATGCTGGGCTTAATACCTAGGTGATGGGTTGACAGATGCAGCAAATCACCATGGCACATACTTACATATGTAACAAACTTGCACATCCTGCACATGTACCTCAGAACTTAAAATTTAAAAAAAAATTGGCAAAAGATTTGAACAGATAATTCATCCAAAAAAAATATGGGTGGGAAAAAAAGCACATGAAAAGATGCTCAATATCATTAGACATTAAGAAATATAAATTAAAACCACAATGCAATATCACCTCGTATCTATTAGAATGTCTAATATTAGCAAGACTGGCCATATAGAGTGTTGGTGAGGATGTGAACAACTGAAACTCATACACAGTGCAGGTGGAAATGTAAATGATACAATTTTTTTGGAAAAGAGTTGGCTGTTTCTTCAAAAGTTAAACATTACATCTGCCATATGATCCAGACATTCCACTCCTAAGTGCCTACTCAAGAGAAAGACAGCACACGTCTATACAAAAAATTGTACACAAGTGTTCACAGCAACTTTATCTGTAATATCCCCCAACTGGAAACAACCAAATATTCATCATCAGATGAATGGACAAACAAAATTGTGGCACGTCCAAACCACGGAAACACTACTCAGCAATACAAAAGAATAAACTACTGATACAAATCATAACATGGATAAAATGTAAAATAATCATGCCGAGTAAAATAAGCCAGACAGAAAAAGGATACATACTGTAGGATTCTACTTACATAACATTCTAGAAAATACAAACTAATATATAATGAGAGAAAGCAGACTGGCAGTCGTCTGGGGACTAGAGGTGTGGGAGAGAGGCATTACAAAGGGACACCAGGAATCTCAGGAATCTCATGGCAGTGATGGATGGATGTGTTCTCTGTCTTGACCGTGGTGATGGTTGTTGCATAGGTATATATGTATGTCAAAACGTACCCAGTTGTACATAAATATATGTTCGGTTTACATATCAGTTATACCCCAACAAGCCTGTTAAAAAATGACATGCTGGCTGGGTGCAGTGGCTCACGCCTGTAATCCCAGCACTTTGGGAGGCTGAGGCAGGCGCATCACAAGGTCAGGAGATCGAGACCATCCTGGCCAAGATGGTGAAACCCTGTCTCTACTAAAAATACAAAAAATTATTGTATTTTGCGTTGTGGCACACACCTGTAGTCCCAGCTACTTGGGAGCCTAAGGCAGGGGAATCACTTGAATCTGGAAGGCGGAGGGGTTGCAGTGAGCCGAGATCATGCCACTGCACTCCAGCCTGGGAGACAGAGAGAGACTCCGTCTTCACAAAAAAAAAAAAAAAAAAAAAAAAAGACATGCTTCCCTAGGCCGGGTGTGATGGCTCACGCCTGTAGTCCCAGCACTTTGGGAGGCTGAGACGGGCAGATTGCCTGAGCTCAGGAGTTCGAAACCACCTTGGGCAACATGGTGAAAGCCCATGTCTACTGAAATACAAAAAAGTTAGCTGGGCGTGGCGGTGCGTGCTTGTAATCCCAGCCACTCGGGAGGCTGAGGCAGGAGAATTGCTTGAGCCCAGGAGGCAGAGGTTGCAGTGAGCTGAGATCGCACCACTGCACTACAGCTTGGGTGACAGAGTGAGACTCCATCTAAAAAAAAAAAGACATGCTTCCCTAAACGCTGCATCTTAGGAAAATACCTTTTAGTAGCTTTGCTAACTGAACATACTATCTTCATTCATTATCTCCCACTGAATGAATCCAGATTTTAAAATGTCATCTGAGTATTATTGACATCAATTTATTGTAACACTAGATCCTTTATATAATGAAAATCCTCATTCATCTACATTGATCAAAATTAACTAACAAGCTGACAAAGCTCCTCTGTGCACAAACACAAACCCAGTAGGAAAGTCATCAAACTAGGAAGTCAAATCAGCCTTTTCTGTAATCACATTGAAATCCATTAATACCTGAGTCAGAGGTAAAGACAAATACTGTACATAAAAAATATTATGAGAAAACCACAAAAGAATTAGAGCTATATGTACAGCAAATGAATTTATCTATGGAAATACATTTTAGAATTTATTGTGAACTTAATTTTTTAGGTATACACATAATTAAAAAGGACAAGTAACTTCTGAGCTGAAGGTAGAAGTTGAAGTTATATATACAGTTATGTACTCATGGGTAACACAGAAAGCAGAATGCAAAATAAGAAATGTTCACATTCTATATATATATAGAGAGAGAGAGAGATAGAGAGAGAGAGATAGAGATAGAGAGAGAGAGAGAGAGAGAGAGAGAGAGAGAGAGAGAGAGATGGAGTCTCACCCTCTCCCCAGGCTGGAGTGCAGTGGCGTGATCTTAGCTCACTGCAACGTCCGCCTCTCGGGTTCAAGCGATTCTCCTGCCTCAGCCTCCTGAGTAGCTGGGATTACAGGCAGCCCACCACCACACCCAGCTAATTTTTGTATTTTTAGTAGAGATGGGGTTTCACCATGTTGGCCAGGCTGTTCTCGAATTCCTGACCTCAGGTGATATGCCTGCCTTGGCCTCCGAAAGTGCTGGGATTATAGGCATGAGCCACCATGCCCGGCCTCAATTTAGATATTTCATAAACTAAGGCCTTATTAACAATTTCTGACAGAAGAAAAATGCAACCTTCCTTATCTATGTAATCTAAAAAGGAGAGAGGATAACAAATGAAGCCCAGAGATGTGGAAGATCATGCTCTCTGTTGATGCAATCACATTTGGAATTTAGTTCAATATATCAGTCAAATCCATTCTTATCTCCCTGCCACTACCAGGAAAAAACATCTAAACTCTGATAATTAAAAATAACATACTTACCATGAAAATTTTCCAAACACAGTAAATAGAGAAAAAGTAACCAAGAAAATTAAAATATTTCCCCTTGAAGGTTTTGGAGTATTCTATTCTCTCCTGGGGGAAAACAAACACAAAACATAGTTTTCAGCAAAATATAAATTTATATTCAACACAAGTATTCTTCCCTCTATGAATCACTGTTCAGGTTCAGTCAAAAAACCATACATTGCAATAATATTAAACTAATAACAGTAGTTGTGGCCAGCATTTACTGAATGCTTGCTTTTAGCTAGAGACTGGGATAAACATCTTACATGCATTATCCACTTAATCTTCATAACAACTCTTATGAGATACGTTCTATTATCTTAATTTTACAGATGAGAAAATTGAGGCTTTGAGAGGTTCGATAACTTGCTCAAAGTCACACAGCTGGTGAGTAGGCTCAGGTTTATCTGTTTCCAAAGCCTATGTTAACCTCTGTCCTATAAGGTTACTCCTGTAAAGTTATCCTCAAAAAGAATTAAAAGTTTGCAATCTTCACTAACAGATTTTGCACATTTAAATTATATTTTATTTTAGGTGTACATAGGAAAGTTACTTCTTACAGTTTCGACACTTATTGATCTGGATCCTTTAAAATAGGGCTAGGCCATCCATGGCAGATAGGTGTCTACTGCTCTTATAATATTACTAACTTATAAAGGAATAAAAAGTAGCTACCATCTTTATCCCAGGTTAGTAGGAGGTGGTACGTGCCACCTTCCTAAATGTTGAAAAGCCTCTTCTGACTATCCCACCAATTGCTACTTTTGAGAGTGTTCCATTAAGGATTTTGCTAGTGACAGGAGCAATTTCATGAAGAGTGAAGATCCCTTATCCCTAATGCTTCATGGCTGATATAGAAGCTGTGAGGTATCTCTTGCTTGGCCACAGAGAAATCTAAAAAGCCATTTAGTCTTGTTCTCTCTTTAATAATATTGGTAAAAACCACACTTCAGTTTCCTTGCTCTGTACCTTGGTAGCATATAGATCAGCTGTTTCCAGAAAAAGCTGCCTGCTTAATTCTTCCAAAGCATCCACTTCCTGTTGAATAAGAGTAAGATCTGGCACAGAATGGGCATCAAGGTTTTAATCACATAGGAATTTCAAGAAATGGCAATGAGAAAGCATATACTTTTAGTTTTTCCTACAGTGGATTCCCGGAGTTGCCTATATTCTCAATTTCCTGTTTCATAGCCAGCAACACTACTTCAGAGCAACTTTCCCAACCTCTGACGCAGGTGTGTAAAAGCTTCTCCATCAAGAGCATCGCCACCAAACAATTACCACTCAGTTTCTCTTAAGTCAAGCAGCTCAAACAGATAGTTTCATTTGTTTTTTGATTTATCTAGTTAGATTAAGTCAAATGTAATGTTCAAGATTGTAAATAGTTACAGAATAATAACTATAATAAAGCATAGCTTTCTCCTACATTATCTGAATATAATGTTAGAAAAGGGAACTAATACTTTACTGTGTTCTAATATAGGCTAGGATTTACAGACATTACCTTATTTCTTTTCAAACATTATCTTCTTTTATATCTTATCTTCATGGGATTGTCTTATGCCATGGTGTTATCCATTTTGCACATAAGGAAAGTGAAGCTCAGAGAGTTAAATAACTTGCTCAAAGTCACACAATTAATTGATAGAGATGCAAAGTCAAATCCTCTTTTCCTCCAAAGCCTGCTCTTTCCGTTACACTATGTTATTTTCCAAGAACTCAATCAGGTAGAGTTATTATTCTCCCATTTAGAGAACAGGGGCTCAGGGAGGTTAAATAGTCCTGATATGTTTGTTAACTCATCACTAACACAGCTCAAACCCATATTATTGGCTTTTATGAACTTTTAAGTAATAAACATAGTAAATATAGCCCCTTCTAAAATAGAAGCACATACTTCAATCTAAATCCTCCCTCCTCTCTGATTTTTCCCACTATTACCCAAATCAGTAAGTGCCCTTCAGTTCCTTCCTTAATAGTGGCTACTACTGGCATGGTTCAAGCCACCAAACAATATGGTTTAACTAGTTACATGTCTGTCTCTCCCATGATTAGAGGGTAAGCTCCTTGAGGAGAAAGGCTATACTCTACTCATCATTTTATTTCTTAGCACTCAGCCTGGAAATAGGAGATACAAAATAAATGTTTCTTGGTTAAATAAATCTAAATTAATCCTTTTTCTTTCTCTTCCACAATCATCTTGCCTTTCTTTGATCTTATTCTTATCTTCATTTGACACCAGGACATAAATCATAATTTGTAGCAAGAATAGACATCCTTCTCTAATTGAGGCAAAAGGGAATTTGTATTTCCCTGGGACAGAGAAGGAAACAGGAGTATGCTATCTCATGCTTAGTTCCCCAAAGTTTTGACCTAATAGCACCAGAGCCACACAGAAATTTGGTTACATAATTTGGGAAGTAGTTCAACATCATAACCAATCAGGAAAGAACAATTTATTAATCTATTAATCAAATCTCCTTTATCCTTTCTTTTTTATTTTGAGACAGGGTCTAGCTCTGTTGCCTAGGCAGGAGTGCAGTGGCGTGATCTGGGCTCACTCCTACCTCAGCCTCCCAAGTTCAAACAATCCTCCCACCTCAGCCTCCTGAGTAGTTGGGATTACAGGCACATGCCACTGGGCCTGGCTAATTTTTGTATTTTTTGTAGAGATGAGGTTTTGTCATGTTGCCGAGGCTTGTCTTGAACTCCTGGGTTCAAGTGATCTGCCCACCTCGGCCTTGCAAAGTGCTGGGATTACAGGGATGAGCCACTGCGCCCAGCCTCCCCTTGATTCTTTAAACCAAAATGTCACTGGAGAAGCAGAGCTACTTAAAATTTGTTTAGGAATACTAATTACTTTAGAAATGGGCCATTTATTTTAGGTAGCCATTATGCTTTATGGTGGTTTTTCAGAGTTGAGAAATGTAATAGTGTAGTGGAAAGAACTATGAAGAGGAGACCACAGTTATGTTTCTAGCTTTGCCACAAACCACCGTGTGACTTAACCTCTCTGGGTCTATTTTCTCATCTGTAAAATGGAAAGGCTGACTTTTTAGGACCACTTCAGCTCAAAGACAATGATTTTATGATATTGTGCAGGTGCTGGAAAGATGACTGTACACATGGTATTTCCTAAGCCTAGCTCTTAGGAGTTTGGACTCTGATGTAGTCAGGTACCTTAGAAGGGACTATCCCAACACTACTTTTTTTCTTTTGCTCTTGGTCCAGAGTTGAGAAAAAGAATCAAGCAGAGGGACAAAGGATACTTTCACTTCCTGATGCTGAAGTGGTAACACTTTTTATCATTCCCCAGAAACCTGATGGTTTGTTATGCACTTCCCCCTTCTGGAACATTGTTCTCCGTGCCATTGCCATCCTGAAATGAAAGAAAATATAAAGCCTCAGCAAGCAAGCATGGACCCTCACAGTCTAGTCCCATCCATTTTCCAGTCTCACAACTGCCTCTCATGTACTGAGCTGTTTATGTAAGGATACTGATTCTGGAGTCCTACTTTTCTACTACTTACAACTGAAGGGAAACTATGTGGAAGCAATGTGGCCTGGGTGAAGAAGCACAGAATTTGGGCTAGGCAATAAATTTGAGGACTGGCTCTGCTATTTGGAAGCTGGGAGGTCTTAGAGTTTTCATCTCCTCATATCTGGATGGTTGTGAAGATAAATGAAATAATACATATGAATTCATGTTGTCAACTACAAGGCGCTATACATAGTTTAATTACTACAGTTACCATTTAAAGACAAAATAAAACAGCTAACATACCTGGCTGGGTATGGTGGCTCACTCCTGTAATCCCAGCACTTTGGGAGGCCGAGGCAGGTGGATCACCTGAGGTTGGGAGTTCAAGACCAGCATGGGCAACATGGTGAAACCCCATCTCTACTAAAAATACAAAAATTAGCTGGGCGTGGTGACCCATGTCTGTAATCCCAGCTACTTGGGAGGCTGAGGCAGGAGAATCGCTTGAACCTAGGAGGCAGAGGTTGCAGTGAGCTGAGATCACGCCACTGCACGCCAGCCCAGGTGACAGAGTGAGACTCCATCTCAAAAACAAAACAAAAACAAACAAACAAAAAAAAACAGCTAACATACCTAACTAAAGGACCAAATACAGAGTTTGGAACGCAATACATGTTTTCTTCCTTCTTTTTCAAAGGCAGACAAAAGGAAAAAAAAATAGCAAAATTGCATAAACCTGTCCCCTTCTAAAATATCAGTCTCTAAGTCCAATACCCTCACCTTCTGTAATCTGTCCTACAGGTGAATAAGTCAACAGGAAACCTACCACTCCTGGTCCTCTCAGTCTGTGGAGGACCGACTAGTACAGTGGTAGCTGCTGGCATGTCCCAGCTCACCACAAAGGTATCAACAGGGTCCTAGTGAGGATCAAAATAAAAGATCATTTGTACATAATTGATTTAAAGGGTTTAATGGGCCAAGGCCTACAGGCATAAAATGAACTAGGATGAGTCTAATAAAAATAGAGTAGCAGGACCAAAGAAAAATGTAACTCAAGGTGGATATTTTTGGGAGGCAAAAGATAAAAATGGTGAAGAGCAAGCAGCAGCATTGGTATTTATGCCTGGGACTAATACAAATAGTAGCAATGGTACCAAAGATCAAATGATATTTCTATGGGTGAAATTTTTTGAGCCATTAGCTAAAATGATATTAACAGGAAAGAATGTCAGCCATGTTGACTTAACTGTTTCCTTTTGAAAATGACCTTTGCCTGGATACTGAGTGAATGAAACACAGCTCTTTTAGCTCTTTCTGCCTTTCTTCTAACTACACATCTACTATCACTCACCATTTTGGGAAGATGTAATAAACAACCAAGAAGAGGCTCAGACCTAGGGAGATTCTGACTTGTAAGATTAAGGCTTAGTAATTCTAGGTTTTTATATTTTCATAGTTGAAAAAGCTAGAACACATACACAAAGAAGGCAAGGGTTCTATTCCACTCATTTAATAGTTCATTTCAGCTTAACATGCAGGATTAAAAGAGGCAGTTGTGAGAGAGGAAGCACAGAGCTCATTTCTATTGTCCTTATTTTCAGTGTCTACAACAAACACTAATGACTGGCTGTGGAGTGGAATCGATTGAATATGTAAAGGTGATTGACACTGTGCTGTGGTCTCATAATAGGCAAAGAAGTGTAATCACTAGAAGTGAAAGTTAGAGGCACATAGACAAGCATGGCCTTGTTTTAAACAATTCACTTTTACTTTCAATTGTATCAAGAATCTATTAATTCTAAACCAATTTTGCTCTTATCAAATAAGTTGTAGATGAAAAAGAAATGATTATATATTTAAGAAGGTAACAATATTAAACCTTCCGAAGCGTGAATAGGAATGAAAAAACCACCCAACCATATGAGGTACTATAGAATTAGATCACCTTCATCTTCAACTTTTCTTTACTATCATCATCACTATTGCCTCTTTATAACAAGGGTAGCTTACAAGGAATTATCTATTTGTTATTAGCCCAATGTCATTTAAAAGTTCCTAATATGGAAAAACATATGCACTTGGCTGAGGTTTGGTAGTAGTGTACAACAGAAGAAGCTAAAAAATGTCTACTGAGGTTTAAATGTCAGTCAACTATTTTCTGGTCTCTGTTGTTTCTAGTAGGAAGTCAGCCATTACTTTTTTTTAGTTAAACTTTTTGAAATAATTGTAGATTCATAATGTAGTTTTGAGAAAAAATACAGAGATTCCATGTACCCTTTACCCAGATTTCCTCAACTGAAATATCTTGCAAAACTCTAGTACAACCAGGATACTGACATTGATAGAGTCACAATACGGGACATTTCCATCACTACAAGGATCTTTCAGGGTGCACCTGTACAGCTTACCTCCCTCCCACCTCCAATTCCTTAATTCCGGCAACCACGAATCTGTTCTCCATTTCTGTAATTTTATCATTTCAAAAATGTATATATAACTAGAATCATACGGTATATATTCTTTGGGGATTCTTTTTCACTCAGCGTAATTTTCATAAACATTCAAGTACAGTTTTTTGTGTGAATATAAATCTTCATTTCTCTGGATAAATGCCCAGGAGTGCAATTGTTGGGGTGTGGTAACGGCATGTTTAGCTTTTAAAGAAAGAGCTAAACTGTGTTCCAGAGGGACTGTACCATTCTACATGGATGCCAGCAATGTATGAGTGATCCAGTTGCTCTGCATTCTTATTAGTATTTGGTGTTGTCACTAATTTTTATTTTAGCTATTCTGATAGGTGTGTAGTGATTATCTCGATGTAGTTTTAATGGCATGTCCATAATGGCTAACAATGTTGAACACCTTTTCATGTGGTTATGTGCCATTTGTATATCCTCTACAATAAAATGTTCATCATTTTTGCTTATTTTCTAACTGCATTTTTTTTAAATGTAAGCTTTGAATGTTTTTTATTCTAGATACTAGTGCTTTCTCAAATAAGTGGCTTGCAAATATTTTCTCCCAGTGGGTAGCTTATCTTTTCATCCTCTTAACAGTATTTTTTTTTTTTTTTTTTAAGAAGGAGTCTTGCTCTGTCACCCAGGCTAGAGTACAGTGGCTCCATCTTGGCTCACTGCAACCTCCGCCTCCCAGGTTCAAGCCATTTTCCTGCCTCAGCCTCCCGAGTAGTTGGGATTACAGGTGCCCGCCACCACGCCTGGCTAATTATTGTATTTTTAGTAGAGACGGGGTTTCACCATCTTGGCCAGGCTGGTCATGAACTCCTGACCTTGTGATCCACCCACCCTGGCCTCCCAAAGTGCTGGGATTACAGGCGTGAGCCACCGCACCGGGCCTTAACAGTCTTTTACAGAGCGAAAGTGTTAAATTTTGATGGAGCCCAATTTATCCATTTTTTCCTTTCATGGATTTTATTTTTGGTATCAAGTAAAGAACTTTTTGTGTAGCCCTTGATTCCAAAGATTCTTTTTTTTTTTTCTGAAAGTTTTATAGTTTTACATTTTAGTCTATTATCTGTTTTAATTTTTTTTTTTTTGAGACGGAGTCTCGCTCTGTTGCCCAGGCTGGAGGGCAATGGCGGATCTCGGCTCACTGCAACCTCCACCTCCTGGGTTCAGCAATTCTCCTGCCTCAGCCTCCCCAGTAGCTGGGATTACAGGTGCCCGCCACCACACCGGGCTAATTTTTTGTATTTTTAGTAGAGACAGGGTTTCACCATGTTCACCGGTCTAGTCTTGAACTCCTGACCTTAAGTGATCCGTCCGCCTTGGCTTCCCAAAGTGCTGGGATTACAGGCATGAGCCACCGCGCCTGGCGTGTTTTAATTTTATATAAGGTGTAAGACTTAGATTTAGATTCATTTTTTAAACCTATGGACGCCTAATTGCTCTAGCACCATTTGGTGAAAGGTTATCTTTCCTCCACTGAACTGCTTTTGCATCTTTGTCAAAAATTAGCTGGGTGTATTTGTGTCAGTATTTCTTTTCTTTTCTTTTTTTTTTTTTTTTGAGACAGAGTTTGGCTCTGTCACCCAGGCTGGAGGGCAGCGGAGCAATCTCAGCTCACTGCAACCTCTGCCTCCTGGATTCAAGCAATTCTTCTGTCTCAACCTCCCAAGTAGCTGGGACTACAGGCGCATGCCACCATGTCCAGCTAATTTTTGTATTTTTAGTAGAGACGGGGTTTCGCCATATTGGTCAGGATGGTCTCAAACTCCTGACCTCAGGTGATCTACCTGCCTCAGCCTCCCAAAGTGCTGGGATTACAGACGTGAGCCACCGTGCCTGGCCATGTGTCGGTATTTCTGGGTTCTCTTTTCTGTTCCAGTGATCTATGTCTACCAGTACCACAGTCTTGATTACTGCAGCTATATAATATGTTTAAAGATCAGGTAGAGGAATTCCTCTCATACTGTTCTTTTTAAAAATTGTATTAACTATTCTAGTTATTTTGCCTTTCTGTACAAATTTTAGAATAATTTTGTGTATATCTACAAATAAATCTTGCTGGGATTTTGAAATGAATAACATTAAATTTGTATACCAATTTGGGGAGAATTAACATCATTACTATTCAAGTCTTCCAATCTATTAACATGGTTTATTTATATCTTATTTGATTTTTTCATTAGTTTTATAATTTTCAGCAAACAAGTCCTATATACATGTTTTGTTAGACTTCTATGTATTTCATTTTGTGAGTGATTGTAAGTAGTGTATTTAAACATTTGATGTTCATATGTCCGTTGCTAGCTTATAGAAAGACAATTGATTTAAAAAAATTGGATTTTCAAGATGGGGTCTTGTTACGTTGCTCTCAGGCTGCACTCAAACTCCTGGGCTCAAACAATCCTCTCGCTTTAGCCTCTTGAGTAGCTGGTCAAGCGCATTCACCACTGCTCCTGGCTACAACTGATTTTTGTATGTTCATTTGGTATTCTACAATGTTGTTGAATAACCATTACTTTTTTTTTTCCCATTGTTGCCCTGTATGTATCATTTTCCCCTTGTTGCTTTCAAGATTTTCTCTTTACTTTTGCCTTTTAGCAGTTTCACTATATATACACATAGGTGTAGTTTTCTTATGTTTTGGGCTGGTATTTCTTTCAATGCTTTTTCTGCCCCTTTCCTTTTCTTTAGAACTCCAATCACAAGAATGTTGGACTGCTTGATATTGTCTCCTACTGAGACTTTTGTTGAGTTTTCTTCAATCTTTTTTTAAAAAAATATTTACTATTTTTTTCTTCTTTTTGAGACAGAGTCTCGCTCTGTCACCTGGGGTGGGGTGCAGAGGCGTGACTGCAGCTCACTGCAACTTCCGCCTCCCAGGTTCAAGCCATTCTCCTGCCTCCATCTCCTGAGTAGCTGGGACTACAGGTTCCCACCACCACGCCCAGCTAATTTTTTTTGTATTTTTGGTAGAGACGGGGTTTCGCCATGTTGGCCAGGCCTCAAGTGATCCGCCTGCCTTGGCCTCCCAAAGTGCTGGGATTACCTGGCCATTTTTCTTCAATCTTTTATCTATTCTTCAGATTAAATAATTTCTATTAATCTATCTCAATTTTTATTTTTATTTTATGTTTTGAGACAGTCTCGCTCTGTCACCCAAGCTGGAGTGCAGTGGCATGATCTCAGCTCACTACAACCTTGCCTCCTGGGTTCAAGTGATTCTCCTACCTCAGCTTCCCAAGTAGCTGGCACTACAGGCACGTGAAAGCATGGCCAGCTAAGTTTTGTATTTTTGGTAGAGACAGGGTTTCACTATGTTGGCCAGGCTGGTCTCTAACTCCTGATCTCAGGTGTCCAACCACCTCGGCCTCCCAAAGTGCTGGGATTACAGGCGTGAGCCACCATGCCCAGCCTGAATTTTTATGGATCTGATTCTTCTGTCATCTCAATTCTCCTGTTAAGCCCACCTAGTAAAATTTTTATTTCCGTTACTGTAGTTTTCAGTCTTTGGATTTCTATTTTGTTGTTTTTTAAAAGTTTCCATTTCTTTGTTGGGATTCTCTTTTCACTTGTATCATGCTTTCCTTCACTTTTTTGAATATATTTGTAATGGTTACTTTCAAGTCTTTGTTAAATGTGTAATCTGGATCCACTTGGAGTTAGTATCTATTGGCTGCTTTTTATCTTGAACATTGGTCACATCGTCTTGTTTCTTTACATGTCTAGCAAGTTTTGGTTGAAGGTAATATGTTGTAGTGACTTTGGAATCTGTTTTGTTTTTCTGAGAATTGTTAATTTTTTTGGCACTAGTAAGCAGTTAATTTACTTAAACTGTGAAATCTGTCATACCTGCAGCAGCTAATGTTTCTGCTCAGTTTCTTGGTTTCTAGCTTCTCCTTTTTAGCCTAACTCCCTGATATTCTCTGCTGAGCTTGAGCTTGTGTAGGGTAGTGGTAGTCTGGACAAATTCTATAGTCATATTTTAGGGCTTATCCTCTCTGTGGATCTTTTGCTTCTAGGGATCTCTCCTAAATTTTCAACTGCTTTGCCAGTCCTGAGATCTACCCTCTGACACCTCAAGCCAGAAAAGCTTTCACTTTCTGTCATCCAAACTGTGTGTTCAACCTGCACATAGCTCAGAAAATGCACTCAATCAAAGGCACAGCAACCTTGCAAATCGCACCAAGAAGCAGTTCAGTATATCAAGGATAGACTCTCTTCTAGTTTCTGCCTATTTTTCTCAGACTCTTTGGTGTTTACCGTGGAAATACATTATTTAATGATGACACAGAGATTTGGGAAGGGTTTATACTGAGATTTTGGATATCAGTCCTTCTGCATTTCCCTCATTTCCAAAATTTCCCCTTTAAATGTTCAGTTACTCAGCTGATTTAAACTCTTACCAATCTGTACACTTGAGTGGGTGCTGGGAGGGTGGGTGGTGGCTAAGGGGCACTTCCAGGCAAGAAAGCTATCAACTTGCAATAGTTACCTGATGCTCTTCTCAAATTTCTACCTGCCTCTGCTCATTTTCCAGTAACTTCAAATACTTGCTTTTAATATTTTTTCCAGTTTTTATGATTTTCTGTAGAAAGAATTGCTTAAATTCTTTCCACTGTCATTTCTGGAAGTTTCCTCTATTGAGAATGGCTGTGGCTGTTGCTGAAATTTCACTAGTGAATATATTTCTTCCTCCTATCTCTACAAAATTTCAAAGAGGTCCTAGAAAACTAATTCAAGGTAGAGGTTAACATTTTTTCCCTCACTGTTCCAAACAGGAAGACGTATGCCTCTTTCCTCCTCCCATTTTAAACCATTAACTTTTTTGTACATAACAAATGTTACTTTTCTTGTATGTCATCTCACTATGGCCCTCTACTGTTAAGGTGAAAGATGGTTTTCTGGTCACTACTCCTCCCCAACTATGAATGTTTGCAAAAACAGTTTTTCTTTTTTATTAAAAAAAATTTTATTTTGTAAAACCACTTGTAAACAACAAAAACAGTTTTTCTATATTGTGGTAAATGGCAAGGGCATTATATGAATCCCAAGGGCCCCAGTGTTGTCATGTTTGCTGTCTATCTGCTCTGTTAGTTCCACTGGGTAAAGGACTGTGGTAATGGGGTCATGCTGGGAGGCTGATTCTTCTGTGAGCCACTCAAATTAATAAAACTTACTGTCGGACCACAAACCATTCCTGATCCTGACCAGACAATGCATTATAGGGGAAATGGGCTATAGTATGTACAGATCAGAGTCAATTCCTTAGCACTATTAGTATGAAATGGCTTAAAAGTATGTATCCACACTTGACATGGGTCATGACTTCACTTTTTTTTTTTTTTGAGACAGAGTCTCGTTCTGCCCCCAGGCTGGAGTGCAGTGGTGTAATCTCGGCTCACTGCAACCTCTGCCTCCCGGGTTCAAGCGATTTTCCTGCCTCAGCCTCCCAAAGTAGCTGGGATTACAGGCATGCACCACTATGCCCAGATAATTTTTGTATTTTTACTAGAGATGGGGTTTTGCCATGTTGGCCAGGCTGGTCTTGAACTCATGACCTCAGCCTCTCAAAGCGTTAGGGTTACAGGCATGAGTACCCGGTCATGACTTCACTTTTATATATTCATTTCTTTATATGAATAAAAGAAATACAGTGAGAAAGAGAATAGCCTTGGGAATCAAAATAGTATTGTTTATATAAATCTTTCACTTTTGAATAATCTTGCTCTATTTTTTAAAATCTGCATTTATATACACTCATGTAAAATAAACAATAAATGTAAATAAAATAAATTATACACGTGTCTACCTTCAATAGCCTAGTCTTTACTGACTGTCTTTACTGACATGCAGAAATAGAGACAAATAATTAGTCAGTGAACCTGAGCCTTCTTTATCATTCTTTTTTTTTTTCTTTTTTGAGACGGAGTCTCACTCCATCACCCAGGCTGGAGTGCAGTGGCGCGATGTGGGCTTACCGCAAGCTCCGCCTCCTGGGTTCACACCGTTCTCCTGCCTCAGTCTCCCGAGTAGCTGGGACTACAGGCGCCCACCACCACGCCCGGCTACTTTTTTGTATCTTTAGTAGAGATGGGGTTTCACCGTATTAGCCAGGATGGTCTTGATCTCCTGACCTTGTGATCTGCCCGACTCGGCCTCCCAAAGTGCTGGGATTACAGGCGTGAGCCACTGCGCCTGGCCTTTATGTCTAATGTTATCTCTTACATTAAGGCTTCTTTAACTTGACTATGGGTCTTACTATAGAAAAGTGTTGAAGAAGGAAATATGAAATGTGAAAATACTCATGCAATTCAAAACCTGTTACCATTTACTTATGGGTAATAATAACTTTAATAAAGAGAGTAGACTAATAAGCTTCATGAAGGTAAGAAATGATTATCTTGTTCATCATTCTATCCCTAGCATCTAGTACAGTGTCTGGCGTAAACTAGGTTTTCTAAAATTATTAAGTGAATGAATCTATGAATGAATAAATGAAGGCAAAGCATGAAAAGCAAATGATTGTACTGTAGAGACTATTAATAATTTCAGTAGTTGTCCTTAGCTATATGTGGGTCATTGTTCTAAGGGCTCTAACTTGTTTTTCTAAGTCTTAACTCATTATTATTACCTCTATTTTACAAATGAGGCACAAAGACATAAAGTAACTAGTTCAAGGTCACACCATTAAGTTGTAGATCAAGGATTCAAATTCATACACAGTCTGATTTCAGAGCCTATGCTTTTATACACTGTGATATAGATTTCTATGAAATCCCACCTTGAAAATACACATTTTAAAAGTACTTTTTAAATAACAAAGATGATATAGAGGACTTAAATGATTTTAAGTAGTTGGAACGAAGGAAGTTGAGATCTAAGTCAGATATGTAAAAGATTGTAAAAAATTAAGGAAAATAGACTTAAAAAAATTCAGGACAATAAGGCTGGGCATGGTGGCTCACGCCTGTAATCCCAGCACTTTGGGAGGCCAAGGTGGGCAGATCACTTGAGGTCAAGAGTTTGAGACCAGCCTGGTCCAACATGGTGAAACCCCGTCTCTACCAAAAATACAAAAATAAGCTGGGTGTGGTGGTGCGCACCTATAATCCCAGATACTCGGGAGGCTGAGGCAGGAGAATTGCTTGAATCTGGGAGGTGGAGGCTGCAGTGAGCTGAAATCACGTCACTGCACTCCAGCCTGGGCAACAGAGTGAGACTCCGTCTTAAAAAAAAAAAAAATCACAATAGACAATATTCCATTCTTTGAATACAAAAATTATACACCAGTCCATGAACATGGGATATCTTTCCATTTATTTGTGTCGTCTTCAATTTCTTCTATTAATGTTGTATAGTTTTCAGTGTCCAGGTCTTTCTTCCCCCTTGGTCAAATTTATCCCTAAGTATTTTTTCTTGTAGCTATTTTAAGTGGGATGGTTCTCTTGATTTCATTTTTGGAATGTTCATTGAACATTAGTATTGTTAAAACATCCATACTACCTAAAGCAATCTATAGATTTAATGTAATCCCTATCAAAATTCCAACGTCATTTTTCATAGAAATAGAAAAAATAATCCTAAAATACATATGGAACCACAAAAAACTGAATTGCCAAGGCAATCATGAATAAAAGAACAAAGCTGGAGGCATCATACTATCTTATTTCATATTATACTACAAAGCAATAGTAATTAAAACAGCATGATACAAGCATAAGCACAAACTCATTGACCAAGGGAACAGAATAAAGAACCCAGAAATAAACCCACACATGTATGGTCAATTGATTTTTGACAAGGGTGCCACATGTACACACTGCGAAAAGGACGGTCTTTTCACTAAACGGTGATGGGAAAACTGAATATCCATCTGCAGAAGAATGAATTTGGACCCTTCTCTCACTTAATATATAAAGATTAACTCAAAATGGACTAAAGACTTAAGCCTGGAAACTATAAAACTAGAAGAAAACAGGGAAAAACTACACAAATCATGCTCTGAGCAATAACTTTTTAGATTTAACCCCCAAAGTGCAGGCAATTAAAGCAAAAATAGACAAATGGGATTACATCAAAATAAAAAGCTTCTGCACAACAAAGAAAACAATTAACAGAGTGAAGAGACAACCTATGGACTGGGAGAAAATATCTGCAAGCCATATGTCTGATAAGGGGTTAGTATACAAAATACATAAGGACCTCAAACAATTCTACAGAAAGAAAACAAATAACCTGATTTTTAAATGGGCAAGGAACCTGAATAGACATTTCTCAAAAGAAGGCATACACATGACCAACAGATATATCAAACAATGTTTAACATACTAGCCATTAAGGAATTGCAAACTAAGACACAATGAGATATCACCTCATACCTGTCGGAATGACTACTATCAAAGGGGCAAAAGATAAAGAACATTGGTGTGGATGCTGAGAAAAGGAAACCCTATTACATTGTTTGTGGAAATATAAATTAGCACAACCCTATGGAAAATAGTGTGGAGGTTCCCAAAAAAACTGAAAATGGAATTGCCATATGATCCAGCAATCCCACTTCTTAGTATTTACCCAAAAGATCTGAAATCAGTAAAATGTCAAAGAGATATCTGTACACCTATGTTCACTGCAGTATTATTTACAACAGCCAAGTTATGGTATCAATCTATATGTGCAGCAACAGAAAAATGGATAAAGAAAATATGGCATACATGTACAACAGAATACTATTCAGCCTTAAGGAAGGAAATTCTTTCATTTGTGACAACTTGAATATAACTGGAGAGCACTATGCTAGCAAAATGAGTTGGACACAGAAAGACAAATACTGCATGTTCTCACTTATATGTGGAATCTAAAACAGTGAACTCAACAGAAGCAGAGGGTAGAATGATGGTTACCAGAGGCTGGATGGGTGGGAGGAATGGAGAGATGATGGTCAAAGGGTACAAAGCTTCAGTTAGACAAGGAGGAATAAGGTTTTTTTTCTTTGCAACATACTGTACAGCATGATGAATGTAATAAATAATAATGTATTGCACATTTCAAAATCACTGAGAGTAAATTTCAAATGTTTTCACCACAAAAAAATAAACATGTGAGGTGACAGACATGTTAATTAGCTTGATTTAATTATTCCACTTTGTATGCCACAAATATATACAACCATAATTTGTCAATTTACAATTTAAAAAATTAAACAAAAAAATTCTAATAATTTATCTAAGGAGAATGATCTAAATTCAAGAAATGAGATTGAATTTTCTTTCACACAAAACACTAAATCTTTTTAAAAAAATTTTTTATATTTTTAATTTTATTGTTATTTTAAAGGGGTGGGGTCTCACTATGTTACCCAGGCTAGTCTCGAACTTCTGGGCTCAAATGATCCCCCCGTCGTGGCCTCCCAAAGTGCTGGGATCACAGGTGTGAGCCACTGTGTCCAGCCAACACTAAATCTGGTACTTTACCTTATAGTAAAAATGAATAAGATAAAATTCCCTGCCAGCACCAATTCACAGTCAAATTTTCTTGTTGAGAAATTGTAAGAGTCCAAATGTATTACAGTGTTGATATCTTACCTTTTCTTTTTGCTTATGATCATATCCATGGTTTGCAGCAGTCGCCGTTCCAGGGCTAGAATATCCGTGTCAGTCACATTCCTACAAAAAGCACAAACTGCTAGCAAAATGTTTTGGGGTCCCACTCTTGGGCATGATACAGGGTATCTGGAGACAAACATAGACTTCAACTGTTACCTACTACTTTTTTCTAGAAAATAGTAAAATGACCATAATAAACTAAAATGCCTTTGCTCTCATTTCTTATAGCTAATCCTCTGGGATCTCAGGGAAATGGAATTCACCCAGCTCTCTTACAGTTTTTCTTAGCTTTGATCCAGTTACATTTATATATATATATAAAATATATATTTAAATATTTTTATTTTATTTTTTATTATACTTTAAGTTCTGGGATACATGTGTAGAACATGCAGGTTTGTTACATAGGTATACACGTGCCATGATGGTTTGCTGCACCCATCAACCCGTCATTTATTTATGAAAGAGTCTAGCTCTGTCGCCGAGGCTGGAGTGCAGTGGCATGATCTCAGCTCAGTGACATTTAGGATGTATGTTTAAGCACACTTTTAACTTGGCATTGTCTTCTACTGTTCTGTTAATATCTAGGAGGGGAGCTGAACTGCTGAAGTTGGAGTTGGTTTATACTGCTGGTCACTAGAAATGTGCCTTTAAAAAAGTGGGAGGGGAGTGTCAGATTGAAATTTGCCATTTAAAAAATAAATGAATGTAGGACAAATAATAAAGGCAAGCCGTACAAGTGATAATACTTATTTAGAAAGATTTCCAGGTCAATGCCCACAGGGACAGAGGAAGAGAAGAATAAAAAGACAGTGTCATAGATCTAATATATAATCTTAAAGATGGTGGCATAATATGACATATGTATTCAAGAAGTAATGGGGCAAAAAAGAAAGGATGCAAAGCGCTCTGTTACCTGAGGAAGTAAGACATGTAAGTGTATGGGCAGTTGACAGCACCAAATCCAGAAAGAAGAGCCATGAGAGTCACTCCAATCACACCAACCCGGCTGATGAGCTGTTCTATGGATAAGATCCCTAAAAACATCAAGGCACATTAATGCCAGGTAATATAGACAAAATGGCTCTCATCTGTACTGCAAAAGGAAACATTATTTAAAACATTAACCATTACACATAACTAACTCATACAAGCCAACTTTTAATTATTAATGTGTAGATTATTTATAATAAATATACTAAAAGTTTACTGATTTTCCTCCTGTCCCATATGCTTCAGAGTGATCTCTTTTATTGGGTGATAGCAGTAAAATAATAACAACAATAATTATAAATAACAATCATTGACTGTTTACTCTTGGTAGCATGAATGCTAACAAAGCAAAGTACTTTTAGTAAAAGCATCGGCCAAAAAAAAAAAAAAACTAAGAAAGTAAATCTGCTGGAAAAGTATAAATAGCAGGAACTACTTTGTGCTAATTATCTTTGATATATATGTATTTCCCCTAAGGTGATACTCTTTTGCTTTTGTCTTATTCTTTTTTGCATCCAATAAACACAGAATTCATCTAATAAAAGGACTAAACTTATAGATGAATGAGTAATTCAAAGGCAAACACATCAGTTTCGGATTATAAATTGTATCCTAATTATCAATTGTTTCATATCACGTGAGAATGCTGAAAATCAACTTAGCAGTTAAAATAAATACTGCTGGTTGATGTATTTGGGATAAATGAGAGAAAGCCAATGCTGAAGAATAACTCAGTAAGTTTGGCATTGCAGAAAAAGAATGGTTTTAATTGGTTTTCACTTTCTATTTCTAGGATAGAATTCACTACAGCCATCCACTCCTATGGTCAAATGCCAGAGCTATATAATTCAGGAATTCTGTCAGCTTCAAAACTGAAAATTCCAATATTCCTTTTCTGACTACTGGCCTCCATTCCTAGTCTTTCTATTTCCACTACACTCGTTTTAGAGGTCAGTGCAACCTCTGGTCTTCTGCTTCTCCATTCTTCACCTAGCTTGGACTCCAGGCTTGCTGGCTTCAAATTCTCTCACCAGGAGCCTCAATCTCCTACTATCTTCCTTCTGAAGCGCTAATCCTACAAATTCCCAACTCTGGATCAGTCTAACACTCTGCCTTCCCTGTGCCCATGTTTTGCTGCCTCAAATTGCTAGAATGCATACTGATTTTGGAGCCATTACAAATGTATGGTCTCCAGACCTAAGAGAGCTCTCACACTATTGACTAATCCTTATCTTGCCCTTGGTCAGCCATCTCTCTCCATTGCCTTTGGCAGTTACTCTTTATTTTTCCTACCTTTGTCCTTCTCCTTTGCCAATGTCCTTATTATAAAAGACATAGCTATTAGCCATAAACTACCTTCACTCTACTACAAACTACCTTCACTCTACACTATGGTCATGAATTTTCTCCTGGTTGCAAAATTCAACATTTTCCAATCTTTGTTTTATGGGCTGTTTTATAACATTGAATATACATCTGCAATCATCCTCCCAACTTGTCTCCCTTAGAACAAAGTAGCATCCAAAGCTAACTTCTCCACTTGTGCTTCTGATCTTCTCTGGGCCCTGGGAACTGTCTCATCCTTATATGTGAGTTCTGGGATATTGCTAGTGATAATCTTGGTGCTATTTGTTTTTGGTTTTCTGCCAGGGGGGTAAGCAAAGCCAGCTTGCCCCTACGCCACCATCTTGGAACTAGAAGTCACCATACTTTTGATTGTATTCAATCCCTTCCACCTCTTTCAGAGTCTTGTTCCATCATCTGTCTCCTCTCTCTTGTATATTCAATATTTCCTTCTTTGCTAGTTCTTTCTCTTTAGTTTCAATTCTCTTTTCTAAGAGAAATTCTGTTCTTGGCTTCGAGTTTACGTCTAGTTACCAACCCCCATCTATTTCCTCCTTAATAGACAGGCTTCTTAAAAGAAGTTTATAGTTATTGTCACTTTTTCTTCACCTCCAGTTCATTCCTTAACTGACTGCAATCCAGCTTTCTTCCCATTCTTCTTTATTGAATGAAATTACTTTCACTAGTAATTGTAATGGCAATATAATAGGTAATATTCACCAAGCACCTGCTATGACTAGGCACTGTTCTAAGCATTTCACATGTTCTAATTCATTTAACCCTCATAACAATCCTATGAGGTAGATATTATTGAAAACCTAATTTTACAGATGAAGAAATGGAGGCACAGAGAGGTTAAGTAACTTAGTTAAGGCCACACAGATAAAAGGGGCAGAGTCAGGATTCAAGTGCAGTCTAGCTCCAGAGTCTGGGCTTTAACCACTACGACACTATGGTAATAAGTTTTCCCCTGGTTGCAAAATTCAACATTTTCCAATCCTTGTTTCATTGGCTCTTTTATGACATTGAATCATTTTTGTTTAAAATTATTTTATCGCTCTCCCTCTCCCTCTCCCTCTCCCCCATCTCCCTCTCCCCACGGTCTCCCTCTCCCTCTCTTTCCACGGTCTCCCACTGATGCTGAGCCGAAGCTGGACTGTACTGCTGCCATCTCGGCTCACTGCAGCCTCCCTGCCTGATTCTCCTGCCTCAGCCTGCCGAGTGCCTGCGATTGCAGGCGTGCGCCACCACGCCTGACTGGTTTTCGTATTTTTTTGGTGGAGACGGGGTTTCACTGTGTTGGCCGGGCTGGTCTCCAGCTCCGAACTGCGAGTGATCCGCCAGCCTCGGCCTCCCGAGGTGCCGGGATTGCAGACGGAGTCTGGTTCACTCAGTGCTCAATGGTGCCCAGGCTGGAGTGCAGCGGCGTGATCTCGGCTCACTACAACCTCCACCTCCCAGCCGCCTGCCTTGGCCTCCCAAAGTGCCAAGATTGCAGCCTCTGCCCGGCGCCACCCCGTCTGGGAAGTGAGGAGCGTCTCTGCCTGGCCGCCCATCGTCTGGGACGTGAGGAGCCCCTCTGCCTGGCTACCCAGTCTGGAAAGTGAGGAGCGTCTCTGCCCGGCCGCCATACCATCTAGGAAGTGAGGAGCGCCTCTTCCCGGCCGCCATCCCATCTAGGAAGTGAGGAGCGTCTCTGCCCGGCCGCCCATCGTCTAAGATGTGGGGAGCGCCTCTGCCCCGCCGCCCCGTCTGGGATGTGAGGAGCACCTCTACCCGGCCGCGACCCTGTCTGGGAGGTGAGGAGCGTCTCTGCCCAGCCGCCCCGTCTGAGAAGTGAGGAGACCCTCCGCCTGGCAACCGCCCCATATGAGAAGTGAGGAGCCCCTCCGCCCGGCAGCCACCCCGTCTGGGAAGTGAGGAGCGTCTCTGCCCGGCAGCCACCCCGTCCGGGAGGGAGGTGGGGGGATCAGCCCCCCGCACGGCCAGCCGCCCCGTCCGGGAGGGAGGTGGGGAGGTCAGCCCCCCGCCCGGCCAGCCGCCCCGTCCGGGAGGGAGGTGGGGGGGTCAGCCCCACACCCGGCCAGCCGCACCGTCCGGGAGGGAGGTGGGGGGGTCAGCCCCCCGCCCGGCCAGCCGCCCCGTCCGGGAGGTGAGGGGCGCCTCTGCCCGGCCGCCCCTACTGGGAAGTGAGGAGCCCCTCTGCCCGGCAAGCTGCCCCGTCCGGGAGGGAGGTCGGGGGGTCAGCCCCCTGCCCGGCCAGCCGTCTCTCCGGGAGGTGAGGGGCGCCTCTGCCCGGCTGCCCCTACTGGGAAGTGAGGATCCCCTCTGCCCGGCCAGCTGCCCCGTCCGCGAAGGAGGTGGGGGGGTCAGCCCCCCGCCCGGCCAGCCGCCCCATCCGGGAGGGAGGTGGGGGGGTCAGCCCCCCGCCCCGTCAGCTGCCCGGTCCTGGAGGGAGGTGGGGGGGTCAGCCCCCCGCCCGGCCAGCCGCCCCGTCCGGGAGGTGAGGGGCGCCTCTGCCCGGCCGCCCCTACTGGGAAGTGAGGAGCCCCTCTGCCCGGCCAGCCGCCCCGTCCGGGAGGGAGGTGGGGGGTCAGGGGGGTCAGCCCCCCACCCGGCCAGCCGCCCCGTCCGGGAGGGAGGTGGGGGGGTCAGCCCCCCGCCCAGCCAGCCACCCGGTCTGGGAGGTGAGGGGCACCTCTGCCCGGCCGCCCCTACTGGGAAGTGAGGAGCCCCTCTGCCCAGCCACCACCCTGTCTGGGAGGTGTACCCAACAGCTCATTGAGACCGGGCCATGATGACAATGGCGGTTTTGTGGAATGGAAAGGGGGGAAAGGCGGGGAAAGGATTGAGAAATCGGATGGTTGCCATGTCTGTGTGGAAAGAGGTAGACCCGGGAGACTTTTCATTTTGTTCTGTACTAAGAAAAATTCTTCTGCCTTGTGATCCTGTTGATCGGTGACCCTACCCCCAACCCTGTGCTCTCTGAAACATGTGCTGTGTCCACTCAGGGTTAAATGGATTAATGGTGGTGCAAGATGTGCTTTGTTAAACAGATGCTTGAAGGCAGCATGCTCGTTAAGAGTCATCACCACTCCCTAATCTCAAGGACCCAGGGACACAAACACTGCGGAAGGCCGCAGGGTCCTCTGCATAGGAAAACCAGAGACCTTTGTTCACTTGTTTATCTGCTGACCCTCCCTCCACTATTGTCCTATGACCCTGCCAAATCCCCCTCTGTGAGAAACACCCAAGAATGATCAATTAAAAAAAAAAAAAAAAAAAAAATTATTTTATCTTCTTGGCTTCCACAACACCATTTCCCTATGTTTTCCCTTTTACTTCTCTAATTGCTTTTTCTTGGTCACTTCTTGCTCTGTCTGGACCAGAGTTCTCACTTTCATTTCAGGATACACATTTTTTGCTTAGGTGATCTCACCAATTTCCCCAGCTTCACCTAATGGCATTTAGTTGATGATTTCTAGTTGTTTAGATTCCTGGAGTCATCTCTATGAGGACTGATACATGTACACCTTTTCCCTAAGCTCCTGATTTGTACATCCAATTGCTTATTTAACATCACCTGGATATGCATAAGTAACTCAAATTCAGCATATACCAAACTAAAATTATCTTTCCCCTCAACTTGTTCCTTCCTCTGCATTACCTGTCTTAGAAAATGACATAATCACCCTAACAATAAAATCTATACACTATACGATTACTTTCCATTCTATCTCTTGCCTTTCCTTGAATACACCAAGGTCTTTCTGCCTCAGGGCTTTACATGATGTCTCTTGTGCCTTCTTGCTGGGTCTTCCTTTGGTCTTGTCCTTTAAATCTCAGCTTAAATATCCCTGTCTCAGAAAGGGTGGATCTAACTGTTTGCACTACATTATCGGCATTTTTCTCTATCACAGCAACCTGTTCACTCCTTGATGACAATGATCACAATTGGCAATTATTTATTTATATATTTACCTCTTTATTGTCTAGTTCCACCCACAAGACTATAAATTTCAGGGGGGCAGAAACCAAGTTTGTTCCGTTTGTGGTTTATTTCCAGTGCTTAATTTATATAAAGTGGATGCTCAATAAATATTTGTGTAATGCTAAATGAACGAATAAATCCTCACCTAAATTCTGTTATTCTACTTGCCGTATACCTCTTGAATTTGCAACCCCTTTACAAGAAGACATCATTTCTTATTGATCTTTGTTTTCCTTACTGCTTGGCACATATGAGGTGTTCAACAAATGTTTGTTGACTATAATATCACTCAGTAACATAAAAAATCCAAGAGATTAATATGGGTTATTAAATTTGAAAAACTGAAAAAATTCCCCCTCTACCTTTATTCCTTTTAACATGGTGTCTTTGTCCTTTTATTACATATCTTTTTCTGGTTTAAAGTACTTTGTAGATACTATTTACTTAATCTCAGCATTTCTATGAAGTAGGAGTCAGTCATCATTATCCCCATTTAGCAGTTAATACATGGAAAGTCAGATGAATAAGGAGACTAGCAGAAGATCATCTCACCTTTGCCACCTGCTCACACAGATTCCTTACAGTCTTTTGTAATCTCTCTTACTCTTTCCCACTAAGGACATTCCAAGGTTGGTTCAGACACAGCACAAGAAGTACTTTTACAGATTTTTTTTTTTCATTTTACATAAGGATTGGTCTTATCTTTTTTTTTTTTTTTTTGAGAGTCTCGCTCTGTCGCCCAGGCTGGAGGGGAGTGGCACGATCTCAGCTCACTGCAACCTCAGCCTCCTGGGTTTAAGCAATTCTTGTGTCTCCGGCCTCCGGGGAGTAGCTGGGATTACAGGCATGCACCACCATGCCTGGCTAATTTTTCTATTTTTAGTACAGACGGGGTTTTGCCATGTTGGCCAGGCTGGTCTCTAACTCCTGGCCTCAAGTGATATCCCTGCCTTGGCCTCCCAAAGTGCTGGGATTATAGGGGTGAGCCAACCTGCCCAGCCCATTTTTTTGTGGTCACCACAGCAATAAACAACCATACTGGTTGTTGGGACAGTCCTGGGAAAGCTCTAAGAAGGCAGTGTAAGGCTGGTTGCTTCTCAGCTACTACCTAAACTTTTCTTCCTCCTTACTTATCTTAGAGGGTTAAATAAATTAAGATACCTGAACATTCAGGCATAAAACTGTAATGCCTATTGGAGTACAATGGAAAGAATAAAACTGAAACTATCTCCCTAGCTTTCTCCCTCAGTGTCCTTTTCAGGGTAATCCCATAGAATTTAGAAAAAGGGGTGGATGAAAGGACAATAGATACAATGGCCTTCATCTTCCCTCTGGTGCAGCCTGGCTGCACTGGTCATGTGAGCTGAATGCACACAGGAGAAAGCTGGAGAAAGGTGTCAGAGTCGGGTCTTTGTAGTGCATGTGAGACTGTATTTGCCCTGTCAGCAGCCCTGGGGGCCTTTTCTAACTCTTCTCTCTGACTTCTACCATCACAGATAAATGTGTCTGTCTGTGGGTTTCTTTGAAATAGGTTTATATGAGAACTATACTACCAGGACTCTTTAGTGCAAGTCGTTCCCTTCGTTGACCATTGACATAGGCATGCTGATCACATTAGCATTTCCTAAATTCCTATCCAGAGTGTTAAAGTAGTAAACTCATCTACCACTTTGGAGAGACTCAATTTTCTTCCATCCACTGATTCAAAGAACACGTATTAAACACTTGTTATGTGTCAGTTTCCACACTAGGCACTAGGGATACAAAGACAAATAACATGCAGTTTTCTGACCTCAGGGAGCCCATAGGTTGATGAGGAAGTTAGAAAAGGAAACATGAAATTTTAAGTTTTATAGATGATATAGATACCTTGAGATGGTAGCAATTAATATCTCCTAATGATGGCCAGGAAAATCTTCCTAAAGGAATTGACAAGAGTTGAATCTAGAAAGGATAAATAGGCATTTTCTAGGTAGACAGGGTTGGTGAAGGATTGTCCAGGCTGATAGAACAGCTCTAGAAACTTGAGGCTGGGTGTGGTGGCTCATACTTGTAATCCCAGCACTTTGGGAAGCTGAGGTGGGTCGATCCCCTGAGCTCAGGAGTTCGAGACCATCCTGAGCAACGTGGAGAAACCCCATCTCTATGAAAAAATACCAAAATTAGCCGGGTATGGTGGCATGCGCCCATAGTCCCCGTTACTCAGGAGGCTGAGGTAGGAGGATCACTTGAGCCTGGGAGTCGGAGGTTGCAGTGAGCCAAGATCATGCCACTGCACTCCAGCCTGGGTGAGAGTGAGACCTGTCTCAAAAAGAAAAAAAAAAAAGAAACTTGAAATAATTTCACAGGACTGGAGAATGCAACATGTATAGAGAGCAGCAGCCAGGTCATGAAAGGTCTCATACGCCACCTAAGAGTTTGAATGCTTTTGGCAGGCTGGTGTTATGTTAAGTTTTCCGGCCTTTAATGTTATTTGAAATTTTGAAAGTTATTCTTATTTTAAAAATACACAACTATTTATGGTATTGCATATGCTTTTCAAAACTGCATATCTCCTCTGATCTTACTGCAGGAGAGTCTCATAACCTCTCTCTCTCGAAATTCCTGCTATAGGCAATCAGTATACATGGAAGGGTGTGTGGGAGGTATGGCAGATTCTATAATAGACACTGGCTCATTCAACATTAATTCCAATATCCTTTTCCAGCATTTGTTTTGGTACTACAGAGTTTAGAAAGCCAAAAGCCCCTTCTCAGACTTCCTTGAGGCCAAGGTTTTAAATATTACCTAGGTTTCACCAAAAAACCCGGCCCATGTGAGGCCTCAGATGCAGAAATGAACAATGTAGGGGTGGTGATAGCACTTAGGAGCTCAAACAGCTGGGACTGAGGTCCCTGATGTCATAGACCCTGAGTGGCAGGTGATAACTTCAGTGAGGTTTTCTAGTTTAGTATTGTGGCATAGTTGGGTATTTCTCTTCACTATATAGCAGTTAAGCTTTGCATCCCTACTTTCCTAGAAAGTCTATAAATTGCCTGATACTGTATAATTAATCACTTTCTGCTTTAAATTAGTTACAGTAGATTCTGTTTTCTGCAATAAGAAGCCTAATAATAGGTACGGCAGGATGGTGAATAAAGAGGTATATATATATATATTTTTAAAAAGGTTCCAGCATGAAACCTGTAGTATATTTATTACAGATGGGCTCTCTAATCTTTTTAGATAGATTCTCTAATCTTTTTAGATAGATTCATACATACTTCTGAAATAGTTCTGGAAGGACTTGTTAGCTGAGGTACTTTTGTTCATTGTTTTTAGCTTAAAAATTAGGGCTCTGCCAAATTTCTTGTTTTAAAATAAACTTTTTTTGTTAGAGGGGAGACACCGATTCTTGGAAAGCTTTTCTTTATCTACTAATTGTGGGTGTTTTATGTCACCTTTCCTCAAATACATATGCTTCCCTAATGTATCTTTATCATCACTTAAGCAGTGGCCGTTTACCTTTTGGGTCACAGACCCAAATCTGCTACCCAAATCTGATAAAAGTTTATTGATACCTTACCTCCAAATACACATACAAATATATTCCTGTAGTTCCATATACAATATGAGTTAGACACCGTTCTCTTTCCTTATACCCTTTAAGTATATTCAGTAAATGAAGGTCAAAAATTCCTACTCTAGAATGATAGAAGTGAGGTCCAAAACCAGCATTAGTTATCTCTTAGAATGAAGGAGAAAATGTGGTTCAAAATCAGACATTTTTCAGAGAAATAGCTTGCTATCCTCCTCAATCAGAAAAATTTTTTTCCAAATCCCAAGAACCTGTGAATTAATAAATTATTTCCCCAAATACATTTTTTCCCCAAGAAATTTAATTAATTGTTTTTGAAATCAGAAAATTAAACAAATCTTCTCCCCCCACTTCCTCTGCCCTCCTATATATACTCACCATGTTTTGGGCTGAGAATGGGAAAGGGATCTCCTAGTTTCCAGAAGAAATACATAAAGGTCAGCCATAAGAGACAGGAAAAAAGCAGTCGTTGTTTATGCACTGAGACAGAGGAGACAAAACTGTTAGGAAAAACAGATATAGGTTAAAGAGCTTGCTCTATTTAAAAATATAAGATAATGCTAACTAATATTTGGCTGCTAATTCACTTGGCAAATGACTGATGAACAGCATAATTTTTAGTGAAAGCATCCTTACCATCGTAAGAGAAATTTAGCTGAATTTAAGGTGTGGGATGAACTAACGGAGACATTATTAATAGGTAGAAAAATAAAGCTGTGGCAGAACAAATAACCTAATCATTCATTCAATATTTATTTTGTGCCAATTCATTCAATATTTATTTTATATTTATTTTTAAGATGTTGTGTGTGAGGTATCCTCAAATAGCGGTAGATACTGAAAGTTAATGTAGAAATGAAGCTATCCACAATTTAAGTCCCCTCAAATACTCATCTCAATCTATACGCTGACTGAGAGGGTAAAATACTTACGTAGTCGGATATTGCTCACAATAAAATAGCCAATGTAAAAAGGCACCATGAAAACCAGGATCAGCAGAATTACACACAGGTTCATTTTCCAGTGAAAATAACGGGAGCTGAAATAAATGTCAAAGACTGTCACTGGGAGGAAGAGAGGGCAGCAACTTTCTTTCTCTTTAGTCTTCCAAAGGGTCCTTTTGCTCTTGGACTCAATATTGAATATATCCTATCTAATCAGCCTACTAGGCTCTTAAAATCTACTCATTTGTAGAGATTAAAAAATACAAATTTTTGAAAGGTATGTATGACCATCTTAACATCTTAAGAATTTCATATATTAAAATAAGAATGTTTATGTTTTTGATATATTCATAGGCAACATATACCATTAACATGTATCAACATATGCCATTGCTGGTAGAATGACTATTGTTTTACCCACCCCTAGGAATCTCATTCCAATGTAAGAATTAAAGGAAAATAAATGTTAACAGTAATATATGTTATACTCAAAAATATTTCTTTTGTACTCTTGATATAAACACCTGATTTGCATGAATTACTTTTATTAGTTTATAAGATGTACTTCATTTATTAAAACTTTTTGTTAGCACTTTTTATAACAGTTTTAATGAGATATAATTTACCCATTTAAAGTGTACAATTCAATGGTTTTTGTATACTCAAGAGTTGTGCAACCATCACCTAAATCAATTTTAGAACATTTTCATTACGCCATAAAGAAACCCTGTACCCATTAGCAGTCACTCCCTGTTTCTCCCCAATCTCCTCAGCTCTAGGAAACCACCAATATACTTTCTGTTTCTAGGAAACCACCAATATGTAATCTTTTGTGACTGGCTTCTTTTACTTACCATAATGTTTGCAAGGTTCATCCATGTTGTAGTATCTATCAATAATTCCTTTTATGGTTGAACAATATTCATCCCATTATATGGATATATTATATTTTGTTTCTGCATTCATTAATTGAGGACATTTGGATTGTTTTTAGCTATTATAAATAGAGACGCTAGGAATGTGTGTGTATACATTTTGGTGTGGACGTATGTTTTCATTTCTCTTTAGGTAGAAATGGAGTGGAATTGTTGGGTCATATGATAAATCTATATTTAATCTTTTAGGCACTCCCACTGTTTCCCAATGTGGCTGCATCATTTTACATTTTCCTCAGGAGTGTATGAGAGTTCCAGTTTCTCCTCAGCCTCGCCAACACTTGTTATTTTCTGTTTTTTTTTTGGTTATAGCCATTTTAGTTGGTGTGAAGTGGTATCTCATTGTGGTTTTGATTTGCATTTCCTTGATGGCTAATGGTATTGGGCATCTATTCATATGTGCTTACTGGCCATTTGTATATCATCTTTGGAGAAATGCCTATTCAGATCCTTTATTCATTTTTTAATTGTATTATATTATTAAACTGTAAGAATTCTTTATATATTCTAGATACGAGTCCCAGTCCATTATCAGATAGGTAATTTATAAAAATTTTCTCTTGTTTTTGGAATGTTGGTTCACTTTCTTGATGGTGTCCTTTGTATTTACTGATTTTAAACTTACTTAAGCCTTGTTTCAAAAAAGGCCTAAGTGGTTAAATGGCTTACAAAGATAAATAAAATACAGGATGATGAAATGAACTATAAGGAAATATGAACAACAATGGTAACAGGTAAAATATTGGGCCAAGCCTGATGGCTATTATAAAATAGAATTCTAGAAAGTTGCTATGGGTAGGTCATAAATTTAGCTTTAAGTTTTCTAATGGTCAATGTGAAATAAAAAATTTGATCAGTTAGATAAAATCATCATGTCTGTAAGAAAATAAAAATTAATTCCTCAAAGGAAGCATAATTATCATTTATTGTTACTGAATTATTAACAAGATTACAATGAAATTTCTTCAAAGATTTCATAAAGAAAATGCAAAGGCAATTAACAGTGTCATCAACAACATCCTTTCAAGAGAAATATGTTTCAGAGGGCTGTTTCTTATTGTTCCTTCCTTAGTACAGATGGCAGGCATCACGAAACAAAGAGCCATTCAGTAAAAGCTACCCTACAGGGAGTGAATACCATTTAGACTAGATACATTGACAGCTTTTGCTCCTCTAGGTTAACCTACTTTAGAACATTTAGAGAAAGAAACAAGCTGGACATCCTCCAGGCAATACTACATAGTATTTCAGCTAAGCTTCTGCAAGATTTTGGGAAGCGGTGGGTTTGAAATAACAAGTGCAACTTTAATTGGCAGTATGGACTGCCTATTAAAAGTGAACCACATGTTTTAACTAGTCTTTTGAGCTGAGAGTAAAGTGATATTCTCTTGAAAAAACTAAGGATCCCAACAAGATTACATATTTGAATAGGAAGTCATATGATCTCTGCTCAAAGGTGAGTCAAAGGAATATTCTGGCCAAGATTCTCTTTTCAAAACGATTCTGAGTCCAGTCAATGGACAGTTATACATCATCAAGGTTCATATTTGTGTTCCATAATTGGGTGAAACATTAGCATGAAAAAACAGGTATAACTGAAGATATGTCTCAGACCCAATCCTCTATATAGCACACAAAGAAAAACCAGATTTTAGCAATGCTACTTCTTATCCTCTTTAACTAATTAAGAAATTTAGGAAACATACACCATAGTATGACAGATGTTTCTTACTATACGGGTTATTAACTATAAGTTAAAAGTTGGGGGACATCATCTACCAAAAACAGTAAATATAGCTTTAGAATATCTGAATCCTCTGTATCAATATTTAGATGAGTAGCTGGCAAACTATGGCCTCACAGCCACCTGTTTTTACAAATTAAGTTTATTGGAGCATGGCCATGCTCGTTTGTTTATATATTGCCTATGACTGCTTTCGCTCTACAACAGCAGAGCTGAGTACTTGTGATAGAAACCTTCTGGTCCACAGAAACCTAAAATATTTACTATCTGGCCCTTTACAGAAGAAAGACTGCCAACCCCTGCTTAAATAGCAGTGAAAGATGCAGGTTGTGATAATAAAATTTAATAACCATTATGTAAAATAATACCTGTCTATTCTCTATAGTCACAGGATCTATATCTAGCTCATCCAAGAAAAGGTTTGGATTATTTTTTATTTATTTATTTTTTTGAGATGGAGTCTTGCTCTGTCGCCCAGGCTGGAGTGCAGTGGCACAATCTCGGCTCACTGCAAGCTCTGCCTCCTGGGTTCAGGCCATTCTCCTGCCTCAGCCCCCCAAGTAGCTGGGACTACAGGCGCCCACCACCATGCCCAGCTAATTTTTTGTATTTTTAGTAGAGACGGGGTTTCACCATGTTAGCCAGGATGGTCTTGATCTCCTGACCTCGTGATCCGCCCGCCTTGGCCTCCCAAAGTGCTGGGATTACAGGCGTGAGCCACCGCGCCCGGCCAAGGTTTGGATTATTAAAGTTTAAAAGCAGGAGAATCAGAAAACACTTCTATTTTACCATAATACATGTTATTCATTGTTCTATCAAGAGACCATTATTATCAACTCTGATTCTCTCTCTCTCACTCTTTTTTTTAAGAGATGGGGTCTCATTGTCTTGTCCAGTGATCACAGCTCACCGCATATCCTCAAACTCCTGGGCTCAAGGGATCCTCCTGCTTCAGCCTCCAGGGTAGCTGGCACTACAGACGTGTACTACCACACTCTGCTGATTTTTTTTATTTTTTTGTAGAGACAGGGTCTCACTTTGTTGCCCAGGCTCGTCTTGAACCCCTGCACTTAAGTGATCCTCCTGCCTCAGCCTCCCAAAGTGCTAGGATTATAGGCGTGAGCCACTATGTCTGGCCCCTCTCTCTTTTTTTAACCTTTCAATGTTTTGTGATTAACCATCTGTATAGTAAGTTTTTCTTTTTAATTTAAATTTCGTTTTCAACTCTGATTATCAAAGGATTTGAGAGTATAGTCTCTCTACAAGTCTCAAGTGCCAGGGGTCTATAATGAACTTACCTTGGCACTGAATCCTAACTTTAGAGTGAAAGACTGCTTTACTCCTAAAAGATTTTTCCAGGTGGTGATAAAAAAGCACAACAAAGTCTGCATAGCATAGTTGATGAACCCTACATATAAATGCTGGCCTAAAAACATACTCAAGCTTGCAGATTAACAAGCAAGAAATATTTTGGATAGACTGTCTAATAAACTAACAAGTCTATTATTTGGAGGGGAGTAAAGAGTTATTTTTAAAAAGTGTTTTAAGAAACACTTTAAATTCAACCAAACTTGACCATGACTGTAAAATCAATAAAAATAACTAAGTTAAGTAAGAACTGGAGTTTCAGTCTTCAGAGAGATCATTAAAGTAGCTCTGAGGAATTCTAATCTTTTCAGGTAGAGATTTTCAATCAGCAGAACAATGTGAAGGGCTGTTACTGGGATTCAGTCAGCGAGCAGTCCTGGAAAAATAAAGCTTCTAGGAGTGAAGCCTAGACTGCAGCTTCACAGCCTCACTCCAATGAGTTCTTCAGAGTTAACGGTCAGATCTTTTGTTTCCTGGTATCTCATAATCTTTATCAAACCAGCTATTAGGTGGCTGTGACCCATATCTGTTGTGATCATTGCAGTTACTGAAACTGAACTATTAACACAGTGTTTTTTTTTTTTTCAGTTATGAGATCCAATAGCTTTTCCACTGTAAAGAATGTAGCACAGAACTCTTCAAGAGGAGTTTTCAGTACTCTTACTCACCTGCTATTCAATACTCCTAAGATTTCAAAGATGATGAGCTCAAACATGGTGCAAGAAAATGCAAACGTCACGGAGAAGATCACCTGTACAACATACTGACGTATCTGTTAAAAGCCAAACAGAGACTAGAAGTTATTTCCTTGTTTAAAAACTGAACTGATAACCTCCTTCTGGTTACAAGGCAGAAAACTTATTTTGAGGAAATTCTCAAGTCATTGGAAGTAGGGCCACAACAGCAACTTGCCTGGAGCTAAAGAAAAAGATCAATATAGGTGGCACTTCTGAATCTTGAGTCACTATTACCAGCATCCTCCTGTGGATGAAGAATTTTGAGGACAAGAAGATGAAGTGACAGGGTCATAGGTAGCACTTAGAATTCCTGATGCATACTGACAAAAAACTGACAGATTCGTACATAATGGTTAATGTTTAAAGGGGTTCTTCAACACTCTGCAGATCCTGGATCAGTTCTGGAACCTTCCTCGGGAGGTCTTAAAGTATTGGGCAGAAGAAAATCTCCAGAATCCCAGGCTCTTTCAGACAATAAACTCCCTGGGAAAGTTTAATGGAGAACATCCTAGAAATGACCCAAATGTAGACTATAACAACTGATCTTATTACTAATTAGGAGAACTAATTAGGAAATGTCGAGTCTAGGGTGGTGATCTTCTGAATCCAAAGCTTAAGATAAAAACAACACCAGCCTTGTGTTGCGGGAAGTCAGGGACCCCGAATGGAGGGACTGGCTGAAGCCGCAGCAGAAGAACATAAATTGTTTCATGGACATTTATTAGTTCCCAAAATTAATACTTTTATAATTTCTTACGCCTGTCTTTACTGCAATCTCTGAACATAAATTGTGAAGATTTCATGGACATTTATTAGTTCCCCAAATTAATACTTTTTAAATTTCTTATGCCTGTCTTACTTTAATCTCTTAATCCCGTCATCTTTGTAAACTGAGGATGTATGTCACCTCAGTACCCTGTGATGATTGCGTTAACTGTACAAATTGTTTGCAAAACATGTGTGTTTGAACAATATGAAATTAGTGCACCCTGAAAAAGAACAGAATAACAGCAATTTTCAGGGAACACGGAAAGATAACCATAAGGTCCGACTGCTTGCAGGGTTGGGCAGAATAGAGTCATATTCTTCTTCTTGCAGAAAGCGAGTAGGAGAAATACTGCTGAATTCTTTTTCCAGCAAGGAATAACCCTGGGGAAGGAATGCATTCTGGGAGGGAGGTCTATGAATGGCCGCTCTGGGAGTGTCTGTCTTATGCGGTTGAGATAGGACTAAAATACACCCTGGTCTCCTACAGTGCCCTCAGACTTACTAGGATTGGGAAATTCCAGCCTGGTAAATTCTAGTCAGACTGGTTGTCTGCTCTCGAACCCTATTTCCTGTTAAAATGTTTATAAAGACAATGTGTGCACAGTGGGACACAGACCCTCATCAGTAATTCTAATTTTTGCCTCTGCTTTGTGATTTTACTGCCCTTTCCAGCATGTGATCTCTGTGACCCACTCCCTATTCATACACTCCCTCCCCTTTTGAAATCCCTAATAAAAACTTGCTGGTTTTGTGGCTCGGAGTCACCATCACGGTCCTACCAATATGTGATGGCACTCCTGGAGGCCCAGCTGTAAAATTTCTCTCTTTGTACTCTTTCTCTTTATTTCTCAGACCGGCCGACACTTAAGGAAAACAGAAAGAACCTATGTTGAAATATTGGGGACTGGTTCCCCTGATAGCCTTGGGATTTTGGTATTAACTTATAATATAAGGCTTGCAATTCAGGGCCAGATAGACAAATGAAAGGGAACATTTGTGAGACATTATGAATTAAATTCTCTCCTACAGAATAACTATTTGCTATTGGTACATATCCTGATATGACTAAGACATAATCCTTGCTCCTAACTTCTGGGCTATATTTGATTTGCCTTTTTTCCCCCCTTTTAAATCAATTAAGTCTACTTATATTCTCCAATCTAATAGTTATATAGTACTTATTTGGTAAAAGCTTCCTATCTTGGAAATGAACATAATGTTTCTTTAATGGAGACATTTTTCTTGTCAATCTAAATTCATATAGTGTAAGTATGACAAAATGATTTCTTCTCACCTCATAGTCTTTAAACAATTGGCGCATGAAGAAAAGCCACCCAAATCCAAAAAATAGTATCTGGAGGAGAAAGAAGATAGAATGTCAATACATATTTTCTTTTGAGAAATGTTTTATAGAAACTCTTTTATGATAAAAGGTCTGCTAACTAGACGGTTAACTTATTTCAGGGATTAAAGATAAGATCCACTCTTATAAGACCTACTTATTAAAGCTCATGACATTGGAAATAAATTTTTAAATGCCCTTGGAGTTTTGAAGTTATCCATGTTACAGAGTATGCTTTAAGACAAAAATGGAAGTACATATTTTGCCATAATCTTATGATAATCATTATATGAGCCAGAGAAGTTTGCAAATAGAAAAGGAGTCAGTGGCCAGGCACGGTGCCTCACACTTGTAATCCCAGCACTTCGGGAGGACAAGGTGGGCAGATCACCTGAAGCCAGGAGTTCAAGACCAGTCTGGCCAACATGGCAAAGCACCGTCTCTACTGAAAATACAAAAATTAGCTGGGTGTGGGCACCTGTATTCCCAGCTACTCCAAAGGCTGAGGCATGAGAATCGCTTGAATCTGGGAGGCAGAGGTTGCAGAGAGCCAATATCGTGCCACTGCATTCCAGCCTGGGTGATAGAGTGAGACTAGGTCTCGAAAAAAAAAGAAAAGGTGTCAGAGTGAGACTTGCTTCTTATGGATGATCCCTGATTGCAAGTATTTAAAAATAATACTAGCCTGGCCAACATGGTGAAAACCCGTCTCTACAAAAAACACACACACATAAAAATTAGCTGGGGGTGGTGGGGTGTGCCTGTAGTCCCAGCCACCTGGGAGGCTGAGGTGGGAAGATCACCTGAGCCTAGGAAGTTGAGGCTGCAGTGAGCCATGATTGCACCACTGTGCTCCAGCCTGGGCAACAGAGTGAGACCCTGTCTCAAAAATAAATAAAAATAAATTAATTTAAAAAATAAAAACTTCAGGGGAGAGGAGTTGAGACCAAAATTAGAGGAGTAGTAGAAAGCCTAATATTTTTTATATCTGCTTCCTTCAGAGAGTTTTCTTACCTTCTCCACCATCCTGCCTAATCTACATAAAAGTGGTTTTCATCTCAGTGTAAAGCCGAGAGATTGCAGGATCCCTCTTTCGTCAGTTTTGTTTCAAACTGGCAGAGACCGTAGCCACATGACAGCTGACAAAGCTGGTCTGTAGTAAACAGAACTTTCTATACATACACACTGACACAACTACTCTTTTCTTCTTAAACTGGCTAGGACCCTTATGAATAAAATGATTTTATGTCTTTCTAGGGACTACTTTACTGAGCAAGTGTAAACTCAGTAGTTTAGCACAGACTACTTTAGCTTCTTATCATGCCCCTGCTGCCTAGCAAACTCATGTGTTCAGCCCCCTGGAACTTCTTTGGTTCTTTAGATCCATATTCTTTCACATCGAGACCTGTGTAGATGTCCTCTGAAAGGAACTTCTCTCTAGCCCTCTCCCAGTTATGCCATTTACTCCCCCTGGAAGGCCCTCTCTGCCCTCCCAAATGCAGATAAATTGCTCTTTTTATATAATCCTGTTTTACATTGTACTTCCCTCATCAAAGTGCTTACCATACAGTTTTGTAATGTGTGATTTAAATATTTTTTGACATTAGATTATAAGCTCTATGAGGACAAAAACCATGTTTGTCTTGTAATCTTTGTATCCTTGGCATCCAGCACAAAGCCTGGTACGTAGCAGGCTCTCCATAAGTGCTTGCTGAATGGCTAAGTGGTCTACATAAAAGATGGTTTATTCTTCAGCATTCAATCTTAAATTTTCTGTAATAACTCCTATGTGCTATGCTAAGTGCTGAGGATACAAAGATGAATAGGATGGTTACTACCCTCTAGGAGCTCACAATATAGTGAAGACAGTACATAAATAATTATAACATAATATGGATGTGCAATGATAGAAATACATACATGATATTGTAAAACAATATGAAAGAGGGAGACCAAACCAATCTGTAGGGGGTTAGGACAGATTTTCTGGAGAAGATAATGCCCGAGCCGAAGGAAGTTTTAATTTGGGGTTAAAACCTGATATTGTATGCACATTTTGGGGTTATGTGCATTTTTCTAGAGTGCTTTCAAGGTATTCATCACACAGTCAAAGGTTTCCACCACCCCTAACATAAAAACCATCCTCTCAAAGGATGAATAAGAATCAAGTAGGGAGGCTGGACATGGTGGCTCACGTCTGTAATCCTAGCACTTTGGGTAGATCGCTTGAGCCCAGGAGTTCGAGACCAGCTTGGGCAACGTGGTGAAACCCCATCTCTACAAAAAATACAAAAATTAGCTAGCTATGGTGGTGCATGCCTGTAGTTCCAGCTTATGGGGAGGCTGAAGTGGAAGGGCCACTTGAGCCTGGCAGGTAGACGTTATAGTGAGCTGTGAGCATGTCACTGCATTCCAGCCTGGGTGACAGAGCGAAACCCTGTCTCAAAACAAAACAAACAAACAAAAAACGAATCAGGTAGGGTAAAAACAGGTGGTAGGGGTAGGAGGACAGGGCTTTCCAGATAGCAAAGGGCATGAGTAAAGGCGCAGAGTGAATAGCATGGTATATGCCGGGAACTACACATGGTTTGGTGCTGCTAGAAGATGAAATTCAAAGAAGGAAGAGGTTAAAAATGAGGCTAGACAGGAGGAGTGGATGTCCAATCACTGAGAGCTTTGAAGGCCACCCTAAGGAGCTTAGATTATAGTCTGTAGGTGGTGAGGGTTATTTAAGCAGGGAAATGGCATGGTCTGATTTGTTTTATATTATATAGAGCGGTATGGTGGCTGTGTGGAAGACACACTTGAAGGAAGCGACAGTGTAGAAAGAGAAACATTATAGAAATGTGTTATGGGAATTCAGATGAAAGATGATAAAGCCCTGAATTAAGACATTTGGTGACAGAAGAGGAGAAAACAGATTTGAGAACTATTTAGAAGGTAAAATCAACAGGGAGAAGTCAAGGATGACTAGTTTGGAATACAGGATGAAGAGTGAAGCTACCCAATTTATATAAAGAATACTGGAGAAAGAAGAGGTTTAGGAAAGGGGGCAGAGGATGGGGAAAATGATGAGCTCATTTTTGAACACACTAAGGGCCTGAGGGACAGCCAGCAAGATGGGTCAAGATATCCAGCAAGTATCTGGAATAAAAGACAGATTGTGAAGGCAGGTCTAAGATATACCTATGAGTTGAAACCACCAAAGTACATGAGATCACCTGGGAATAGTATCTAGAGTAAGGAGAGCAATGTGCCAAGAAGAAAACACTAGAGGATAAGGAAAACAATTTTGAATGGTGAGGTAGAGGCAGGAACCAGAGTGTAGCAGGTCAGAATGAATGGGAGCTAAAGCAGTGGGGACAGTAAATGCAAATTACTCTAGGGAGAGCCAGGAATGAGAAAAAAAGAAAACATTAGATAATAGGCTAGAGAAGAATGTGGAATAAAGGGAAAGTTTATTGGCCAAGGGGAAAGACAGCAGTCAAGTAAGGAGAAAAAGATGAGAAGGATGGTGGAATACTAGAGGATGAACTGATAATACTATTATTAATATTATTAGGTAACTTTTATTGAGCATTTACTATACTCCAGGCTAAGTAGTACTTAGCATTATAATCTTATAAAAATAATTAAAAACTCAGTACAGTGGTTTGATTATCCTATTTTCACAGAGAAAGATGAGGTTTAGAGAAGTTAATCAATTTATAGTAAGTGTCAGAATCAAGATTGAACTCAAGCTTGTTTGACTCCAAAATCTGTGCTTTTTTTTAAATATTATTTTTTCAGCTCTTATTGAGTCTGTCTGTTTAGAAATTCTGTGCTTTTAACCACTTCAAAATACGCTACTCTAAGATCAAAGGTAGGTAGAATGGCTTTAAACCGGAGTAGGGGAACCCCGTTTTCTGAAATGGGAGGAAAGGAGGTAAGAATGGTTGTGAACACAGATAACCTTTTAGATTAAAATGCAGAAAGTATTCACAGTAGGAGATCATACCTTTTGGCTTCACTTTTGTTGAGTAAGTACGAGGCATGGTTATCTGCTAAGAGTAAGAGAGGTGAGTTAGAAAAGGGAGCTTTGAGGAGAGTGACAAAGATTCAGAGAAACTTTGAGGGGAATGAAACAAGTAGCTGATTAAGGTCAAGAAAAGGAATAATTCAGTGAGCTGAGGGTTAAACTCCTGGCGTTGGCAAACTACACAGCTATGTGATTTTCTATAGTAGCCTTCAGGCCTCTGTATTAGTAGTAAACAAACTATAGCAGTGATCCAAGTGTGGACTTACATATACATGAAGGTAAACGAACAAGAGGGTTTAAGAAAGTAAGTTGGATCCAAGCATCTAGATCAAGCAGAAAAGGAAAGGGTCAAACAGATTAGGAGAAAATGTCCAGGATATCCTTTGGCTATTATAAATATTTACCGGTGGAGACAGATGTAAATTCAGAGTTTAGAGACCATATTTATATGACTTATGAAGCCACGACTGAAGACAGAGAAGTTGGGCAGTTTAGGACTGATGGTGGTATGTATAGTGGAAATGGATGATTAAAAAAAAAAATCACCAAGATTGCTATGAAATGGAAGAGAAAACAAGCAAAAATTTTAAGTTTATATGGTGGGGAGGGGAATGGAAGAAAAGAGAAACAGATATATACCTTTAATATTTCATTGTGGCCTCCTTTCACATTGACAAAGAAAGCTTAAAAAGACTTTCAGAACAAAATTATGTCCTTTGCAGCAACACAGATGCAGCTAGAGGCCATCATCCTAAGCAAATTAACCCAAGAACAGAAAACCAAATACCACATGTTCTCACTTCTAAGTGGGAGCTAAATATTGGGTACTCACCAACATAAAGATGGCAAAAACAGAAACTGGAGACTACTTGGGGGCAGGGGAGGGGAGAAGGGGGAAGGGTTGAAAAACTAATTATTGAGTACTACGCTCAGTACCTGGGTGACCGGATCATTTGTACCCCAAACCTCAGCTCCCACAATATACCCAGCACAAGTACCAAATCTAAAATAAAATAAAAGTTGAAAAAAAAAAAAGACTTAAACTACACACACACACACAAGTAGCTGGAGAATTCATTTACATCCAAGTAAACACAAATTCTGGCAAGATTATAGAGGATCCAAAAAGAAAGCAGAAGCAAAATGCAATTTCAAATAGCTTTGCAAATAAAATGGAAGGCGTATAGCTTCTTATTAAAAATGAGACTTAATACTTTCAGAATTGTACAGAGTCTTGACCTTAGGACTTAAGAGTGTACTCTGGAACTGATAAGTCTTATGACGGTATAGAGGGCTTAAAACATGAGTTAGTTAACAGTTGCTTTTTAAAAAGTGACTTCTGGGTTGAAAATTAGCTACTGTTAAAAAAAAAAAGATGGCCATCAGCAGGACAGTTATTAAAGAATTAACTATAAAAGACACCTTTCTTGGATCATTTATTCACCCTTTTAATCATTTAACAAATATTTATTAGTGCCTAATATGTGCCAGGTCCAAGGGATAGAATGGCAAATGAGAGCATGAATGCTACTCTCAAGGAGTTTATAATCTATGGAGGAGATAAACAAGTAATTACAAAACAATGTGGTAGTGTTGTTACAGGGGAAGTAGGTGAAGGGTACTATGGCAGTAGGTATAGGGACATCTAGTCCAGTCTAGGGGAAGCTTCTTGGGTGTTCAACTTGAGATCTGAAGGCTTAAAGGGGAGGGATATGAGGAAAAGGCCCAGAAAGAGAAAACACACTGTGTGGAAATCTGGAGGCACCATAGCATGGCCAGGTTAGGGAACTAAAAGAAGTTCAGGAAGTCTAAAGAATAAATTGGAGCCACAGCTGAAGAGAGAAGAGCCAGGGTCCCATCAATAAGGGACCTGAAAAGCCATGTAAAGGAGTTTGAACTTCATCCTGTGCCGTGGTGAGCAAGATTCAATACGTGACCTCTGATTTCAGATTTCATTTCAAATAAACCTTTCAGTTAATACAAAACAGAAAAAATGAGCAGGGAGGGGCGCAGGGGGCAATGGTGGTGTTTCCAAGGTAACCACACCTCTCTAGAGAGGTGCTTTTTATTAAACAAATATTCACTACAACTCTACTATGTGCCTGCAACTGATCTAGATGCTGGTGAATACAGGAGAGAACAAGACAGACAGTATCTTGGACTTCATGGACAGATAACAAACACATGAATATACAAATGAACCATAGTAATAAATGCCAAGAAGATAATAAAACATGGAAATGAGGAAGAAGGCAGCCGAAATGGAAAGCTACTTTGGTTGTGGGCAGGGTGTCAGGTAAAACCTTCCTAAAGCGACATTTTTATTAATACCGAAAGGATGATAAAGTAGCCACATAAATATCTGAACAGAGAACATTCCATGCAAAGGAATCTTTGGGTCTTTCTTCCACATTTGTAAAAACCAGGTTTAACAATTAATTACTGCATATGGATACATGTGTGAAGTGAAAGTCTATGATTATAAGGCATACAAAATTAGAAAGCCACTTCCTTGGTTCAACGTATCAATTATATCCATGCTAAAAATCGTAGAGGCTGCAATGCAAAGCCAATTTTCTACTGACATTCTTATCTTTATTCTAAGTGAAAAGAAAAGCTAATTAAATATTGTTATTTTTCTTAAATTGGTACTAAGGCTAAAAATAATCCTGAGTTGTCACCAAGGGCACTGGGTAGTCTTAGAAAGGTTTTAAGCAGAAGAGTTACATGTCTAGGTTTTTTTACATTAATACATTTGAATACTATGCAGCCAATAAAAACAATACTTATGAAAACTATAGAAAAGGTGGTAAATTTTAAAAATGAAAAACTATTGCATTAGAGCGGTAGGATTATGGATGGCTTTTCCTTCTTTCTTATTTTCTTAAATATTGTAAACAAGTTTTTGAAGAGAAAAGGACAATGCTCCGCTCTACGGAGACGAGTATTAGGATGAAGCAATACAAAAACTGAATCAAAGAACACAAATTTAGTTCACTTTAAGCCCCCAAAGGTAACTGTTTCTGTTATTTGCCGTTTGAGAGAAAGAACAAGCAAAAACAAACACACACACACAAAATCTTTATTGGAAAGATGAGGGGAAGAAGGTCAACAGGCAGTCTGAGCTTCACAAATATTGGCCAACAATTATTTATTGAATGCCTGCATTTGGAAGTGGGGATACAGCTATGAACAAGGCAGGATCTCAAAAAACAAAATCAGAAACACAGACATAAATGATGCCAGTGCTATGATGAATGCTAGGAAGAAACAATAATTAACAATAGATTACATGGTAAAAGCAAGAGGCTAACTAGACGAAACTTCTATTGAGCAGAGACAGTGTCTTACATGTTTTTACGCTCAGAGCTTTATATAATGGTCGATAAATGTTTGTTGACTGTACAAACAAATGAAGGTGGCCAATGGAGAAGAAATGAGGGTCAGAAAAACATCCGGAAAAGGTGGGTAACTAAGCAGAGGATAAAGGACGAGGTGTCAGTGCAAAAACGAAACCTTATACTTTCAAGCATAGGTATTACCTTATACTGATACTTTGAAGCAGCAAATTTCTCCACACCCGGATTCAGGATTTGACATCTAACAGCAAAGCCTGCACTGACGTGTCCTCAGTATCCAGTATTGGCGCGTCGCACACCGCGCGCCCAGAACCACACAGGCTTCCCCAGTCCAGGATCAGTTGGCGCAGCCCGGAAGCTTCGAGGAGCTCCTAGAACCGCCGCCTTAGCTGGCGGCGCCGGCTCTTAGCCTGGAGGTCGGCGGACCGCTTCCAAAAGTGGACCGAAATTCCGGGGATGGATGCCGGGTGGGGACGCGGACGGCCGCAGGCCAGCCTCCTGACAGCCGGGGCTGAGGGAACCGGCCGCAGCAAATCGCACACCCTCTCTGTGTGCCAGAGTGACTGGCGCAGGCCGCGTAAGAGAGGAGCGAGACCCCGGACCAGCCCGCACCGCGGAGGACCGGAGAGGGCGATTCGGTGAAGGGAGGCGGACGGGTGTCGGGGCGGGAGGCGGTGACTCACCTGGGAGGTAATCATGATGCTGGAGTCGATCAGGAAACTCATGGCGAAGTGTAAGGAAGGCTCCTGCCTCCACTTCCCACTCCCGGAGGCCACAGCACGCTGGGGCCACAGGCCCCCTCACACGGTCTGCCTTCTCCCAGGTGCTGCAGCCGGGACTGCGGCTCTCCAGCCCGACGCCGTCAAGCTGCGCCCCAGTCAGCCAATCAGCGGCTACATCCACAGCCCCGCCTCGGGCTCGGGGTGGGTGGGGCGGACGCTAGGCTTCCGCCGCGGAAGCCCCAGGGGCGGGGCTTATTAGGGGCGGTGCTAAAAGCAGCAATGCAAGGTAGCGTTAACGTTTCTGAGGCTGAAGGAGGTAGGGCCTGAGAGCTAAGTGGTAATTCTGTTTTGTAATGATCCTAAGATAATAATGGTAATTATAGTAAGTCGGGCATTGTGTCCTAAATGTTATAACTTTTACTTGACTCGGCAAATATGACTGTACAAAGTGAGGGAAGACTGGAAAGTCAGATGAGATATGAACAAATATAACTAACCAAATACATTTCTGTGACAACAATGAAAAGCACACTGTCTGTAGCAATTTAGTGATAATATTGTACTGCATATCAGTCAGGCCACAGGTGGAGTACTGCACTCCATGTACCACACTTTGAAGAGATTTTACAGGCCGGGCCGGCTCACACCTGTAATCCCAGCACCTGGGGAGACCAAGGCGGGCGGATCACCTGAGGTCGCAAGTTCAAAACCAGCCTGACAAGCATGGAGAAACCCTGTCTCTACTAAAAATACAAAATTAGCCGGGCGTGGTGGTGCATGCCTGTAATCCCAACTACTAGGGAGGCTGAGGCAGGAGAATCGCTTGAACCCGGGAGGGGAGGTTGCGGTGAGCCGAGATCGCGCCATTGCACTCCAGCCTGGGCAACAAGAGCGAAACTCCATCTCAAAAAAAAAAAAAGAAAAGAAAAAAGAAGAGAGAGATTCTACAGAGACATATTGGAGCTCGCTCAAATGTGAGCCACCAGATAAGGGCTGCTGGAAGGAGGCGAAGAAAGATGACTCAGAACATGACATCTGTCTTCATGTGAAAGAATGGGTAGAACTGATGTGGCACTACGAATTATCTGTAGGGCAAAGGACTGGAAGTTAATTGAAGATAGATTTTAATTCAAAACAAGGATCAGTTCTTTAAGAGTCTGAAGAAGGGTTATTTTAGGAAGTAGCTGCCTCTGCCCCCTTCCCACCTGTTGCAGTGGATCAAATATACACTGAATCACTACCTCATTCATTCAACACTCATTTCATGAAGGCTTAACGCATTGCTGTGGGGCTTACTCTGCCGCCGACCTGGGGCCTAGCTAGGCTTTGTAGTCTATATAGTCTCATAGTCCTGCAAACTGGCTCCAGCCCAGGAAATCACCCTGTGTAGGAGTGGCTGCAGTCAAGACGCAGGAAGACAATCCTGAGGGGACCTGACATCCAGCATCTGAGTTCAGACTACTATAGTTTGAATAAGTGACCTGCAGATTCATTACACACAAGGGAACATGTCTTCCTTTTGTTGGATTGAACTCTGTGATACCAAGCAGTCAAAACTACCTGTCAGATGTCCAATCCCTGATCCAGAATTTCAAGGAGCTGTGGAGGCAGCTGTACAATGGGAGTGTCATAAACCAGAGAACTTTGTGTCCAGGCTATGTCTATTAGGTAAGCAGGTAGATTCCCACATAACAGCACCTAACTGACATTCAAGAGTGTGTAGAGTGCAGAGTGCTGAAAGAGACTATCAAGGCAAGCAGTTTACCTTGGTGGCTTACTGGGGTGCACAGTGGGGATCAGAATATCAGTAACGAGGAATAGCAGAGAAAGGTGTGCAATACCTGCTGGCCTAAGGCCTATGCAAAGCTTTGGGTGACACTATTCAGAATTCTCCCTACTGTACCACTTGTGTCCAGGTAAAGGACAGGCCTAGGTGATTCAAGCGACTGCTTTATCCCCTGATTTTGATTGAGGAATGTCTTTAGAAACCTTCGCACAGCATTTAGTATCCAATTGACTCTCCTTTCAAAGCAAGTCTCTTCTGCTGGTGGTGGACTCTGACACTAAAATGGCTTGTCCTCCCATCTCTACCGCTGGTAATATTCTCCCGATCCACTCTAGCTGCTGCCATCCTCTTAGAATAGTGGGATCTTTTGGTTCTGCCTCCATGGACAGTCACACCATCTGGGCTCTGAGTCCCCAGTTTGTGCTTTTTCCAAGGGAGCTTTTCAAAATATGTCATGTTCATAACTAGTAGCCATTGTTTGCCACTCATCCAGAGATTGGCAGCCAGTCCCATAGATGTGCTACAAAGAGTCGACTGACAAGATGATCAGTCTGTGTCCTTTGGATGAGTGTTTGCTCACACCACTTTACTGTCCTTTGTCATAGCAACTGCAATGTTCATACCTACGGTACTCTCACACTTCCCAGCACCATCCACATACTGACAGCTAACTACTTCATCCCCTTCCTCCAAATTAATGCAAAGGACTGGGCCCAGGAGTTGACACTAACACTAGATCCCTGGGAGACACCCTAGTACCTCTTCTCCATGCACATACATAGCACCTGCTCATGCCAGTGGCTGGATGATCTCTGTTAGGGATTTTCTCTTGAAAATTTTTACTTACTGTGACATAGTTGTAGATTCACATGCAGTTGTAAGTCTGGGATCTTTTGAGACATATGATATCACCAATTCTGTGGCATCCTACTCCCGCTGTCTCCCTTCATGGATAGACATCCTATCTTGTAGTTTTGCCTACTGTGCCAGGTTCACTGAGTCTCTGAACTCCCCTGTTTGCCCCACTAAGTCACCAGTGTAAGCTGGACAGGAAACCCCAAGTATTCAGAGGAAAAGTGTTTATTTCCCAATGGTCCCATGGACAGTATCTATACTTGATACCTAGAAAATGTATAGGTGCAGTTTTCTCAAAGTGTGGTTCTCTAACGACTTGGGGGGCTTATTTAAAATGTAGATTCATAAGCCCTAATGTAGACCAGTGGACTTGGGATTTCTGAAAGTGACTCTGAGGAGGAATCTGGGAGTCATAATATATAAAAATTATATACATTTATCATGCACAAAATGATGTCTTGAAATATGTATACATTGTGGAATGGCTAAATCAAGGTAATTAGCATATGTATTACTTCAGATACTTATTTTTTGTGGTGAGAATACTTAAAATCTACTCTCTTAGAGATTTTCAAAAATGGATACATTGTTATTAACTATAGTCACCATATTGTACAATAGATCTCTTGAACTTACTCTTGTTATCTAACTGAAATTTCCTTTGACCAACATCTCCCCTACCCCACCCAACTATCCCCCCCCCCAGCCCCTGGTAATCTCCACTCTACTCTCTGCTTTTGTGCATTCAATTTTTTTTTTAGAAGTAATCTGCATTTTTAACAGCTTCCCAGGAGATTCTTATGCACACTGACTGGGGACTGGTTGTGAGACTCTGCTCCCCACCTCAAAACTTTCCTAGAGTGAGTCAGCGCCTTCACACTAGGAAAATGCCAGTTCTGATTTGCCTAGAGAAAGGGGACTAAGGGCCAGAGTGGTGCTAGCTTTGCTCTTTCCTTTTTTCCACTCCCACCCCCCTTTCTCTAGATATGCTCACTCCACAGCCTCAGGAAGCCTAAAAATCTTTTCCAACCACTTGTGCTTTGGCTCAAGAATTCCCCTTCATCTTCCTTGAGTCTACTTTGAACCTCTTGCCTAGCTGATTCTCACTTTGCCAGACCTTCTTGGAGGTGCATTCCGGTCCTTTCCTCTTATACAATCTCATTTTGGATATATTGACCTTGGTGCTGACCTGGTGTGCACTGATTGGTTCATATGAGTTAGAGTTAACTCTGTATCAAGTGCTTGGTTGTTCTTGAGGCCGTGTTCCTGAGGAATAAAGAAGATTAAATAGTTGTGTGGTTTTATGCAAGTTACTAAACTCTCTGTACTTCAGTTTCCTCATCTAAAAAATAGAGATAGTAATAGTACCTTATCTCATAAGGCTATTATGAAGATTAATATACATAAAGCCCTCAGGAAAATAAGCACTTTATAGTAAGTATGCAATAATTTTTACCCATTATTATTATTATGAGTTTACGTTCAGTTTTCCTTCATTGTTAATTAGTTTCAATGTATATTTATTTATTAATATTTATAAATGTATGTTTAAAAGTTTTGGTTGTCAGTTATTCAAATTATACTGAAAAGATTGATGATTGTAGAGCTCCCAAATTTGGAAAGATTCAGCGGCATTATTTGAAATATATAACACCAACTTTTTCCATTTATTAAAACTAATTTTGGGATTCTCTGTTAATATAATTATCATGCAGAATGAATTTGATCCATATATTTTGTGAACAAAGGGGAAGAATGTGTAGAGATTAAATTTTAAATGGAATATATTAGTTGAAGTTCAAAGTAAAGGATGTTCATATTCTTAATGTATGAACTGTTCCAAACTTCTGGTCCCCTGCTGTCTGTGCTCAGGCAGAGCAGAAAGCTCTCCCTACTGCCCCACCACTTCTTGCTCCAGGACTAACTTCTTTTTGGGATAACTACCAGCAGGGACATTTGCTTATTTTAAAGAAGTGCCCACCTTTACCACTGGATTGAGATTTGCCACCATGACATTAAGACAGTTGCAAAGGAGTACAACACTGGCATATTTCCAAAGTCTGGGATATTCATTCTTATTCTTGGTTAACGTGATGCATACCCACACCAATGCACATATACCTTTTGATTTTCCCAAAACTGGATCACAAGGAGTGCTATGGACTCCTAGTGATCCAATATTGAAAAAATGGATCCTGTTTGTGTACCCCCAAAATGCATATGTTGAAGCCCTGGTTTCCGATGTGATAGTATTTGGAGGAGGGGCCTTTGGGAGCTGATTAGGTTTAGATGAGGTAATGAGAGTGAAGCCCCATGATGGGATTTGTGCCCTTCCAAGGAGATGAAGGACCAGCACACTCTCTTTCTGACAGGTGAGTATATGGTGAGAAGGCAGCTGTCTGTGAACCAGAAGGAGGGCCCTCACCAAGAAGTGACCATGCTGGCACCCTGATCTTGGACTTCTGGCATCTGGAACTGTAAGAAATAAATGTTTGTTAAATATATACACCTACTATGCACCCATAAAACTTAAGAATAAAAAATTTTTTAAAGTTTGTTGTTGAAGCCACCCAATGTATGGTATCTTGTTATAGTAGCTTGAACTAAGACAATGAGCATACTATGTTGTTACATAGTTTTCATTATATTTCATTTTAGAAATATATTATGGGGCTGGGCATGGTGGCTCACGCCCGTAGTCCCAGCACTTTGGGAGGCCGAGGTGGGTGGATCACTTCAGGTCAGGAGTTTGAGACCAGCCTGGCCAACATGGTGAAACCCCATCTCTACTAAAAATACAAAAATTAGCTGGGCATGGTGGCACATGCCTGTAATCCCACCTACTTGGGAGGCTGAGGCAGAAGAATTGCTTGAACCTGGGAGGCGGAGGTTGCAGTGAGCCGAGATTGTGCCACTGCACTCCAGGCTGGGTGACAGAGCAAGACTTTGTCTAAAAAACAAAAAACAAACAAACAAACAAAAAACAACAAAAAAAAGAAATATATTATAGGACAGGCATGGTGGCTAAAACTTGTAATCCCAGCACTTTGGGAGGCCGAAGTGAGAGGATTACTTGAGTCCAGGAGTTTGAGACCAACCTGGATAACATTGGGAGACCCTGTCTCTATTAAAAAAAAAAAAAAATTAGCCAGGCATGGTGGTGCACACCTGTAATCCCAGATACTCTGGAGGCTGAAGTGTGGGGATTGCTTGAGCCTATGAGGTTGAGGCTGTAATAATCTGTGATTGCACCACTGCATTCCAGCCTGGGTGTCTCAAAAAAAATGTATATTATGAATATTTTCTTTTGCCAAAGACTTTATAGCATTTTTATTGACTCAGTAACATTCCATCATATGGTTATCTCATGAGTAAGTTAACCAATCTACCTTTTGGATTATTTTTTTGGTGGTGTTTACTATAATAAAATAATATGATGGTGAAGAATTTGGCCCACAAGAAACACTTATTCAAGCCTCCAATTTTCCCTGGGCAAGGGAAGGTCACTGTGTCTATGTTCCAGCAAATTCTGAGGACACACATCAAGGTCCTGCAAGCTTGGCTACTGTGGTAGCCGGAGATGAGCCTGTGAACTTCTGCAGACCAATAGGCCACTAATGACTAGTGAGAAAGAGGTCAGGCCTCCCTCCCAGCAAGTGCTTCCCAAAAAGTCTCAGGGGTTTTCCTTGAGCCCCTCACTTGGAGGGGAGTGAGGGAAGGGGGTGAGAAACACCACAGCTCTTTCTTCTAGTCTGACAACTCTCTTCAAAGACTGCTCCTATCAGTTAACCCTTATCGTTCTCTTAAATAACCCAGAGGTGGATTGTGAGCTAGGAGTTGCAAGACTGTTTGGGGGCTACTTTTTTTTTTTTAAAGCAATTCTAGATTGTGCTTTGTACCACTTTTTAGAGAGTATAGACATTGAGCATTTATTGTCCTTGGTTATGTAGCCTTACTGAAACTCCAAGACATAGGAAGTATTTTGTTTAACATTTCATTACATATCCATTAAATCAGACTTGTAAATTACATTTAGGTCCTCTCTATTTTTGTCTTCTATCAATTCGTCAAGGACTGAAGTCTTTTATCACTATTATTTTTCTGTCCATATCTCCATATATTTCTGAGAGCTTCATACAGTCCAATGCCTTATTTTTCAGTGCAAAATGATTCACAGTATGTCTTTGTTGCATATTATATTTTATATTAATAAAGATCAATATTTTGGTTTGATTTAATTATTCTGCTCTCGTATTTTGTGTGTTTGGTCTTTATTTTTGCCTTTTTTCTGTTTTTTCTTCTTTTTGCTGTATGGACTGTGTAGTCCTTGTTTCTTGTTTTGTTTCCTAGTAATCTGGAAGGCATGCATTTTGTTTTAAAATAACACACACAACTTTATATTTTTCTTATTACTAACATACAGAATAAAATAGTATCTTTGTACGTTGAGAATACCAGGACACTTCTACTTTCTCACGTTTCTCCTTGTTACTCCCTTCACCCCACACAATACCCAAGTTTATGTTGGTGTAATCTGGGATTTTAAACCTTACTTTAAAAATATATTTTTGTTAGGGAATATTTATGATATTTGTCTTCTGTTTTGTAATTATACGTAAAATAGTTACATTTAATTCATTTTATGCTTAAATGTCTTCAGTATTCATCATCAGCCTCTTTCATACTTTGCCTTTTTGATTTCTTTTTTTTTTTTTTTTTCCTGAGACAGCATCTCACTTTGCTGTTCAGGCTGGAGTGCAGTGGCATGATCACAGCTCACTATAGTTCCTGGGCTCAAGTGATCCTCCCACCTCAGCTTCTCAAGTAGCTGGGACTATAGGCATGTGCCACCATGCCTGGCTAATTTTTAAATTTTTGTAGAGACAGGGTCTTACAATGTGCCCAGGCTAGTCTCAAACTCCTGGGCTCAAGCAGTCCTCCCACCTCTGCCTCTCAAAATGTTGGAATTACAGGTATGAGCCACTATTCTTGAGCCTTGAATTCTTTTAAAAAATATTTCTCTTGGGCGGGCGTGGTGGGTAATGCCTGTAATCCCAGCACTTTGGGAGGCTGAAACGGGTGGATCACCTGAGGTCAGGAGTTCGAGACCAGCCTGGCCAACATGGTGAAACCCTGTCTCTACTAATAATCCAAAAATTAGCCAGGTGTGGTGGCACACGCCTCTAATCCCAGCTACTCATGAGGCTGAGGCACGAGAATCTCTTGAACCCGGGAGGTGGAGGTTGAATGAGCCGAGATCATGCCATTGCACTCCAGCCTGGGCGACAAGAGTAAAACTCCGCCTCAAAAAAATAAATATATATATAGATCTATATATATAGATCTATATAGATCTCTATATATATCTATATATAGATCTATATATATAGATCTATATATATATCTATATATCTATATATATATATCTATATATATATCTATATATATATCTACATGTATATATATCTACATATATATATATATAGGCTTATGAAATACATTTTTTCTTTAAAGAAGGGTTTGCAGGTATTTTGAGCTTTTGCATAATTGAGAGTGCCTTTCAATTGGCTTCACACATGAATGAAATTTGGCTTGTTGTGGAGTTTTCAGCTTAAGTTTTTCATCCGCAATATTCTGTGGATAATGTTCTCTTTTCTGAAATTTAATGTGTTGTGGAGAAGCATGATGCCAGCCTGATGTTTTTTTTCCTTTGTGAGTAACTTGATATATGCTCTGTTCATCCACAGTTGGCACTGGAAGGACTAGCGCGACGTTGAGAGGGTTGGCTGAAACTGAGAGCCATGAGTTTTTGGTTCCTTATGCTCACTCCAGCTTCCCTTTCCCTTTTGGGCTATTACTCATCCCTATGAGCAACAGTGGCCTCTGAGGGAGAGGAGGAATCTCTCTCCTTCACCCTCCAGACCACATAAACCCTTTTCTTAAATTGCTATCAAAGCTGAGTCTAAGGTACATCATTTAATAATAAGACTAGGCCGGGCGCAGTGGCTCATCCTGTAACCCCAGCACTTTGGGAGGCTGAGGTGGGTAGATCACAAGGTCAGGAGCTCGAGACAAGCCTGGCCAACAGGGTGCAACCAAGTCTGTACTAAAAATACAAAAATTAGCCAGGCATGGTGGCATGCAGCTGCAGTCTCAGCTACTCTGGAGGCTGAGGCAGGAGAATTGCTTGAACTTGGGAGGTGGAGGTTGCAGTGAGCTGAGATTGTGCCACTGGACTCCAGCATGGGTGACAGAGCAAGACTGTCTCAATAATAATAATAAGGCTATGCTAAATTACAGTGATCATATCACATAGAATGATAATTATGAAGGTGATGATAGCTAACATTTGTGGAATGCTTACCATGTGCCAGGTACTGTTTTAAGATCTTGACTTGTATTAACTCATTAACTCTCCAACTTAGTTCCTAGCTTGCCTCCATCTGGCAGATGCCATTTTCCCTTCTTTTTTTGGAAGCAATAGCGAGCATATTATGACTCTTTGGATTGTAGGCTCAAGAGAATGAGGCTCAGAGAAAGGAATTCCCTTTTGTTCCTGTTTAAGGCCCACCTTCCAAATTCTCTTTTCTCATCTTAGAATCTTTCTCTTTTCAGCAGTTGACATTTGAAATATCTATTATCTTCAAGGAAGCCTCACCTCCTATTGAGAGAGGTATGACCCTACTCTCTGTTCACAAGCAGACAAGAATGTGAAAACATAGTTGTTAAACAGTGGTACAAAAACCATTGCAGGGGTTGTTCCATTACATTTCTAAATTATAGAATTATGTCTTTATACTTGCAAATCAAAATTTATCTAGATTTTTTCCCTGGTGCATGATGAATCCCTTCCAATTTGCAATTTTAGGTCTTTTATCGGCTCAAGAAAATTTCCTTCTATTGTATCTTTAGAGCTTACGGTTCACTTGTCCTGACTTTTCTTCAGGAGCATCGATATCCATGTGTTGGATTTTTATTGTCTTTCCTCCATATCTATTATTTCTTCTTTGATAATTTTCATCTCTTTGTCCTTTCTTTTGGCATTTGGGAGAATTTCTGATATTGATTCTTTACAAAATTGATTTGGTTTTATGTATTGCTAATTCTGCTCTTTATTCTTAAATTCTGCTGTGGCATTGTTTGCTAACTCTGCCAGCTCCTTTTACAATTCAATCTAGTACCTTATTATCTTGTTTCATGTATTGTTTTATAGAGTCCATGTTTTCTTTAACCCTTTTTTTTTGAGAGTACAAACAGATTTTAAGTAAATTTTTACTTTTTTAAGTAAAGATTTTTTGAAATTATGCCATTCTTTTACTTTTGGTGTTTATTGTTTTCTTCTCTTGTCTCTGAAACCTTCCACAGACTCCAGGTTATTCTCTGTCTAGTTGTTGTTATTTTCCCTGTCTATTACTTATCTATAAAACTGAGAATCTCATCCATCCCAGAATAGATATAGGACCTGACTAGACACAGTAAAATTAGGTCAGCAGAATTAATAAAAATGTAAAGAAGAATCCTGTTTGACTATTGGATAAGTAAATTTCTAAAAAATATTTGGCCGGGTGCGGTGGCTCACGCCTGTAATCCCAGCACTTTGGGAGGCCAAGGCGGGCGGATCACGAGGTCAGGAAATCAAGACCATCCTGGCTAACACGGGAAACCCCGTCTCTACTAAAAAATACAAAAAATTAGCCGGGCATGGTGGCGGGCGCCTGTAGTCCCAGCTACTTGGGAGGCTGAGGCAGGAGAATGGCGTGAACCCGGGAGGCAGAGCTTGCAGTGAGTGAGCCGAGATTGAGCCACTGCACTCCAGCCTGGGTGACAGAGCGAGACTCCGTCTCAAAAAAAAAAAAAAAAAATTTAAAGGAAGACAAGTAAACTATAATTCAAGAAAAATATAGAGTTGTCCTAGAATTTAGTGCCATAGGCTGATACAATTATGAAAAAAAACTGAAGAAAGTTGACCTTCTGATCTGAGAGATCTTAGAGAGATGAACAATTGTTGTAATATCATCCCCGTCATAATATCTGCCCTATAGATATTACTGAGTTTTTTTAATTGTTAAGTTATATTCCATTGGCTCAGGTCTCTTGTGTTTATCTAATCTCATCATTTTCTGTTGGTTACATTGATCTAACTCAATTTTAGAGGTACCTCATTTTTTCTTCCATCTACAGATCTAGCTAGTTTAAAGATGAAAACTGCAGCAGATGAGAAAGAAAAATACAACTGGAAAACTTGGATGAATTAGAAACACTAAACAGTTTTCAGGAAAGCTGAGTATCAGAGAAAAACAGATGCTGGAGGAAAAGAAAAAAAGAGGACACAAAAACTGTCCTGGCCAAAGGGGTCATGACCACACATTATCCTTGGATGAGGGCTTCCTTTATGGTGACAATTGAACAGAAGCATTTAGAGCAGATTACAATGCATATTATACGTACAATGAAATCATTGAAACAGAAAAAAGAGCCAAAATTGATGTCTTTGCCTTAAATCTTGCTTCTTTCTAGTTTATTCTCTCCACAGTGGTCGGGGCAGTCTGAGAGAATACGGTGGAATCGATGGTATGCGACTTCCAAGGTTAGGTCATAAAAGACATTGAAGTTTCTGCTTTGTCTCTTGAATCACTTTCTCTGGGGGAAACCAGCTACTGGGTCATAAGGACACTCAAGCAGCACCATGGAGGGGCCCAAGTGGAGAGAAACCAACTTGCCAGCATTAACTTGGTAGTTGTGCAGCCATGTGAATGAGTGGATCCTACCATCCTAGTCAAACCTCTGATAACTGAAGGTCCCACCTATATTTGACTGCAGTCTTCCAACAGACCCCACCCAAGCTGCTCTAGGATTCCTGACCTACAGAAACTGTGAGGGATAAGATATGCTTGTTGTTTTAACCCACTAAGTTTTAGAGTGATTTGTTACACAGCAATATACAACAAATACACAAGTCATCACAGGTAATATTTTTATTAAATATTTGCATAGTACAAACCTGGGTCTCCATCTTTGTAGGCTTTGATTTTTGTTTTTTACCAATCACTGACTGTTAAGCCACATATTTTAAGTTTTTGTTACAATCACACCTAACCTCAATGTACCAATTTCTGTAAATAGATAATGCTAGGTACCGTAACCGATAAATCTTGACATCTGAGTGGATTAATACAATAAAAGTTTATTTTTCATCTCATGTAAGGTCTAAAAGTCCAATTAATGGGAATTTGCAGGGTGGGAAGCCCTCTGATCAACAACTGTTCAAAAACTGACATCTTCATAACATGGCTTCCAAGGTTGCTCTGGGTGACAGCATCTTTAACATAAGGATGCTATCTTTAATATGTGGCTTCTGGGGTTGCTCTAGGTGACAACATCCAGTAATTCATATGAAAATATCTTTTTCTTCCTTTATTTTTACTTATGACAAAGAAAGTTTGCTTGCTTTCAAGCCTGGAACGCCTGGGACCTTCAGTGAACCTCTTCCTCAGATACATGCCTGCGTAGTGTCAACTTGCTCTATTGCTGGGAAGTGCTTGGCTGATTATCTTCTTCCTGCCCTGGGAGATGTCTCACTAATCATTCATTCATTCAGCAAACATTACAACGTTCCAGGCACTGTGCTAACTACTGAATATTCAGTGATATAGGATAAAATCTCTGTCCTAAAGTTGCTTGCAGTCAGATGGGAGAAAAGCAAGTAAATACAACAATTTGGTAAGTGCTATGATAGAAGGGCACAAAAGTACTGAGGGACCACAAAGGGGGGGGCAACTGACTTTTCTTGGGAAGTTTGTAAAATTTCATAAAGAGAAAGACAACTGAGCTGACTCTCATAGGATGAGAAGAAGCTGACAGTAGGAAAAAGGCAGGACAGAGCACAGAGTCCTGAAACAACATGACTTTCATCGTGATCTGCCAGGACTCTCCATATTGGGGACTGGCCAATGGTTCTGTAAGGCTGGGGCACAGTTATGTGTAGACAAATGTGGGAGGTGAGGCTAGAAAGGTGGTGTACTAGTCGGGCTGTGCTGGCAAGCAATGGAGATGATTTTGGCTATGTTAAATTAAAAAAACAAAAAGGAACTCAGAGGTAGCTTAGGTAGCTTAGCAAATTGAAGGAAGGCTGAAGAACCATGATCTGAAAAATGTGGAGCCAAACATCTGGAAATCTAGGTAAGCAGAAACTAATTGTGAATTTTTCTTCTGGAGCTTCTGCCAAGATAAATGAATTCCAACCAATTTTCAGTTTCTTTGTTACTCTTATTCAAGATTCACATTCCAGGGAGAGAGTGACTGGCCCATTTGGGTCCAAAAACCTGACCCTTGACCAGGGGATGCTGGGTTAACATGACTAAGGGTTCACTAAGACTACATCTAATTGAGGAAGGATGTTTCCCATAGGTGAAATGGAGATTGTAAAAGAAGGAAGAATAGATTCTGGTCAGGTAAAAACAGACGTAGTCTCTAGGTGAGTTGGAGTCAGTAATAAAGGGCTTCAAAAGTCATGTTAAAAAAATCTAGAATTTATTGGGTAGGCAATGAAGAGCTGTTGAAGGAATATGAGCAGAGAAGTGACATGATAAATCCCAGACAGAAGCTTTTGGCTAATTTTATTTTGTTATCAGTTTATTTTTACCTGTAATGAACAAAGTTAACTCTTTCTGTAGTTCTCATTGACATGGAAGAGAACAAATATCATTCTATCGCACCTTTCCATAGTCCAAACAAATATACAGTTTATTTTTTCCTGAGATTTGTGTAGTGAAAGAGAGGGAAAAAAAATGGACCAAATCTCAATTGATCAAGAAAGTTTTCATGCTCTTTCTGAATCAGATTCTCTTCCATCCCACCCAGTGGTGTGTTGGAGCTGGTTTGTACTGGCTGACAAGAGTCATTTGCTAAATTTTCAGGAATTCTGTGAGTCATTTGTTAAGAACAGTCATTATTAACAATTAAGTTATATACATTTAAATAAAAAAGATATGAAATGCAAAGGTAATAAATATTCAAAGCTGATCACTTCCTAATTATTTTACTATCGTCTATGTTCTTGAGGTTATTTATACCTACTCAATGGTACACATCAGTCGTATGGTGGAAACCCTTATCATGTTATGCTACTGCACATCTTCCCAACTCTGCATTCAGTGGCATTAGGTTGGTAGCTTGAAATTGGTGGCAGTGGGATAATTTAAACCAAGGAAATTGGCAAACACTACAAAGTCTGCCTTCTTTACCCTGGAGAGAGCTGGTGGTTGAACATTTACTAACATACCAACCTCACCACCTTTACCCCACTCGCCTTGTTTTCTAGGCCCTCAACTCCAAAGGAAAAATAACTAGAAACTGAGGCAGTCTCTTCACAGTCTACTTCAGCTGACACGTAAAAAGAAAAAACAAAGATGGTGAAAAGTCAAGTTAATTTTATTTGCTTTGTAACAGTCTAACACACGACTATTAGCTCTGGCACAAGGATGTGGAAGGTTGGAGAATACAGGACCACCATCCCAATAACGTGTCTCTCTTTTGCCAGAGATTTCCCCAGGAAGTTTGTTATGAATGTGCTTCATAACAAACTGAGTCTTTACCACTTTGTTTTATAGATGAAAAAATTGCAGAAAAAGGCCATGGGGTCATCTACTTTTCCCTTCAGACAACCTTATGAATTCTTTTAGAATCTTCTTTGTCTGCTCTGTAGAACTTCCAGAAAGCAGTGGCGTTGGAGACTATGGGATGTCCCACTGCAACTTGGTGGCTACTTTTTTATGTGGTATTCGGTTCCCAGAGCTGAATACCACTTTTTCCTGGCTCTGGGAGCTGCAATGTCTAGGGCAGTGGAGAGTGAACTGTCTTTCATAAAAGTTTTTCTTTCCTCTTACCCAAATGCTGAACCGAGAATTTTTTTTCCTTTTTCTCCTCCCTTCCCCAAGTACATATTTAGTTATAATACAATAATTGCAAAAGGGGAAAGTCTCCTTGCCTATTTCGCTATCACTTCTAGGTACACACTTAGTAGTTTTACAGATTGTATTTACACTCAGAAGAGTTTTTCTTCCAACCAGGCAAACCTTTCTCATCTAAACTTTGCTAAGCTGGGTTGGGCAATCATTTGCACACAGTATGCATAGAGGGTAAATCATGGTCAGGGAAAGGAGAGAAGAGGAGGCTGGGGGAATGGAATGGGACATGCAGTTGGGGTGGTGTTCTCATTCTTACTTAGAGCACGCCTAATGACCCTTCTCGGGAACTGGAGAGGAGCAGTGGTTTGTACCAATCTTGTCCTAGGCCTTCCACATGGCCTGGACTGAAGAGTTCCTGCATGCAGCTCTTTCCGTATCCATGGAGCCCCTTCTGCCATGAGTCAGAGATTATCTCAGGGGTTGACGCTTCTCCATATGTGAGCTCTACTAAGCCGAGTACCTTTAGCACCTCTTTCAGCAACCAATTCTTGCGTGATTAAAGACATTCTTTTTTTTGTACCATAATTCTTAGGAATTCAAGACTACCTGCTGCCCCTCCAAATTTATTTCCCTTACTTTAGTTATTGGCTCACTTTTTATCAGTATCTTAGTTAACAATCTATGCAGTATTTGAAAGTGATGACTGTCACTGCTTCAGTATACATTTTACAATATGGTCTTACAAAATTTGATGATGGCTTCTTTCTTTTCCATTTATTTCCAAATTAGTGAGCTTTAAAAAAGACCTATAACATCTTGTGAAGGAGGGGCAGAACTTATCATCCTCAACTAACATAGAGAAAATTGTCTCATAGAGCAGGTAAGTGGCATCTTGGAATACCCAGAGTCAGGAGGGGCAATCAACACCCCTGACTTGAATGTCAGTGTTCTTTGTGGGTCCCCAGGTCACACAGACCTTCAGGAATATCTGTCCAGTGCTGTACTGGATGCTTCCCTGTGTGGCAGGGGACAAAGACATGGTGAAAAGCAGACAGGCTTTTTTCTTTCTTTTCTTTCTTTTTTTTTTTTTTTTTTTTAAATAATGCCCAAAACACTAGGCCAGGGTTTACACAGCCAGGCTCAAAACTTTCTCACTGAACTTTGAGTACATCTATTCTTGGTCACAGATATCCCCTGAGGGTGGTGTTAGAACTGCTATCAAGTGATTAGCCCTTTTCCTCTGGAGGGAGCTGTACTACTGATGTCCCGCTGTCTAATGCATCTTTTTATTGGTAGGTCCATGTGCCCTAGGGTTTTTATCTAACAAGGGACCGACTAGGAGTAGAAATGAAATCTGGACATAATGAAGCCCATGGGGATTATAATCCTGACTCAGTCATAATTATTTGCCTCAAAACAGATGCTGAGTGGTGTAGCTGCCTAGAGTAAAGACCACCACAGACATGCAGCTGCTTCTAAATGGAAACTGGCTGTGTTTGTGTGGCCGCTTAAGATGGGACCTCTTTCTCAGAGAATGAAAGTAATTGGCAATCTGTCTCCAGTCATTTATTAAGGTCAATGAGCCTCAGGTTCCTACTAAACATATGGGGTTAAATTCTGTTTTGAATCTCTTCTGAGAAAAGTGATCTCTGGAGTGTCTATTTCACGTTGAAAAACTCACCAGGTAACTACGAGGCAGGTTGGAGGGACAGATGGAAACCATCCACCTGCCCTTCTTCCCAGTCTTACTGCTGTTGGAGGAATCTCTCAGGGAATGGTACCACTCAGCAGGCCTCATGCTTGGCAGCCAACTCAATCTTTAGGACACCCCTGGATGTAGGTAGGTGGCAAATGCCAGCTTTAGTTTGTAGACAGAAAACTGAAGTAAAGAGAGCTCAAGGCACAATAATGATACAGCTACTAAATGGCAGAAATAGAAAAAAAATGCAGCCCCTTGATGCCTGTGTCTGTTTCTTCCTAAATAGGCTTCTCCTTTTATTGGGAAGACTAAGAGGGAAAATGTGGGGACAGTGTGGGTACGTTCATTGAAGCAGGATACTGCCTCATCTGAGGAAAGACGCTCTATCACACACTTATGTCCCACCTGAGATAAGGAGACCAGTAGCCCTCATTTCTACAACTGGTACCAAACAGCAGTTTTATTTAGAACAGGATATCGTTTTTCTTTTTCTTTTTTGTATTAGGCTCTAGTTGAGATAGACACTTTATTCTGGTAATGATCAAGCTATTCATAAGGCTCTTCCTAAAATGCATCTTCAGGAACAAAACTATGGGAGCAATAGTGCAGCCATTAGAGTCAAGGATGCACTCTCTGGTTCTCAGGCCTCGGATTGTGTTAATTCTCTCACCATATAGGAGAAAGTCTGTGTAGAATAACGTTGCTTGCTAGGGGTAAGATTAAGCAGTAGCCAGAAAATCACGTGCCTCCAAGATAAACATACCTCTTCTATTCAACATCCCTCCACTGAAGGTTTGTCACTTTGGGTTACCTAGGTAAAAATATATTTTAGTCTTTCTCTTTTAAATGCAGTTTTTTCCCCAGGAGTAGTTACCGAACAATCAAACCTTAGAATGAATTTAATTTTTAGACTACTTTGCTTTAGAATGGGTCACCAAGGAATGGAAATTTTGTCAAGGGGGAGGAATAGTTTTGGAAAAGGCCTGCTTTGGAAAGGTATATCTTGAATGAATATCTTAAAAGGAAGGTGGTAACCAGAGGGCAGCAAAGGGGATTGATATACTTTGAGATGATGCTGATCGGGGTTGGGAAGATACAACAAACGCAGTTTTTCTAAGTATCCCTTTTGGGCCCCTTGCTGGTCTCCTGTCCAGGTCCCTGCTATGTCAACTTGGTTTCTATACCTCCTACCCTATCTTTGGCACTGCAGTCCATGAAGCATAGTGTTGCTTTAGGTGAACCATCTTAGTTTTCTCTCCTTGCTCTGGAAATCAATTGGCTGAGGGTAAAATTGCTCCTGGTATGAAATATGTACGTGTACATGAGGATTTCCCCTGAACAGACTCTGTGTTTGAGGAGGGTGAGTTGTGGGAATATGAGGACAGGAGCCCTTCAAGATTCTTCTTGTTCCCTTTAGCCTCTGTGTCCTTTCCAGGGATGAAGCTTGGCCTGAGACTCCACTTTGGGATCCTGGCTGTGTGAGCACCCACTTTGTGAGAGGCTCCCTCTGGTGCCACCCTGATGGCCCTTTGATCATGTCTGAGAGCTGCCTCTTCCCAGGACATGCCTGTGAGCAGATGTCCTCCAGCTCGAAACTGGGCTTGCTTCTAGTCACTAGTGAAAAAAGGTATAGATTTTAGGCTGAGCACTGATGCTGCAAGAGGGGAATAAAGAAAGGATCTTCTTTGCTTCAGGAAAAACAAACTACAACCAGGCCTCAAAGCCTTTTGATTTCACAGAGAGAGTTTTGGCAACTTGCTCTCTTTCTCTGATGGTACCCAGGGCAGAATTCCCACCAATACAAAGCATATCATTGCTTCAGAACCCAGGGGCTACAATGAGCCAAAAGAATGGTCAGTGAGAACTTTAGGTATCTCCTGGACTGATGATTTAAACAAAACACTCCAAAGTAGTGAAATAAGGTTTAGGAGCCACAGAAACAAGTTGAGACCATAAATAATAAGACCGATTCCATAGGAAAGCTGGGCTAATTAGCATAAGCTGATATTGCAAATTGGTGCCTCACAGGTTAAATGTGGCTTGCACATATTTCATTTGGTCCACATGTTGTATTTAAAATTTAGTTGCCAACATTAACAATTTTGAAAATTTCAATTAAAATTTAGATTTCATGGGCCAGGCACGGTGGCATACACCTGTAATCCCAGCATTATAGGAGGCTGAGGTGGGTGGATCACTTGAACCCAGGAGTTTGAGATCAGCCTAGGCAACATGGTGAAACGCCATCTGTACAAAAAATACAAAAATTAGCCGGGTGTGGTGGTGTGCGCCTATAGTCCCAGCTACTTGGGAGGCTAAGGTGAGAGGATCACTTGAGCTTGGGAGGTTGAGGCTGCAGTGAGCTGAGATTGTGCCACTGCACCCCAGCCTGGGCAAGAGAGAGCCTGTCTAAAAAAAAGGTTGGATTTCTGGCTTCCCTTGAAAAATCAGAAAGACCAGGTAACACTTCATGGTACTCATTGTCTGGAAGTGAGCAGCAGCTGCCCCTGCTTTCCAACTTTCACAGCCCCATTCTCTCCCTTGCATTAGAACAGGCCTGTCTTGCAACTTATGTCACCTGTCTGTATTCTGTAGGCTTTTGAGTCTGGATCCCTGAAATATGGTCACATGGTATCTGCTTCAGAAATGCTGGGATGATAGATTCTGGCTTAGTGAGCTTGAGACAAGATGGGTAAAAGGCTATGAGGCAACCCCAATTCCGATTTAAGGGTTTCTATGGAGAAATGGGGATGAAAGAAGAGTCACCCATAGCTGCTGGGGTTGGAGGAGCGGGGTAGTCCTATGAGACTGGGGAACTTTAGTGGGTCGATGGGTTTATCTTGGTAGCCCTTATGCTGGATGTGGGAAAGACTGTTTCCTAGAGTTGCCTGGAGTGCACTGCCCTGCTGCAGTGCCTGTCCAACCAGAGGCTGGTGGGAGGACAGGAGACAGAAGATTCAGATCATGTTGGCACCTGTTCCTTTCATCTTGCCCTACGTAAGCTTGGGCGTTTTTTTTTTTTTCTTTGGCGTCACTTCATACGGTTAGATCGTCTGACCTGGCTCGGCTGCTGGCTTTGCTTAGCCTGCTCAGGGGTCTGGCATCATCTGTTGTCAGCTCTGGACAGAGTGAAGGTGTCTTCTCAGCTGGCAGCCCTTGCTTTGACACCTTCTCCGACTGCGGCTCTTCTTTTTCACCCTCCTTATCCACTCCGGGGGTCTCTACTTTCTCCCCCTCTGGCACGGCCACCTTCTCCTGCTCCTCCGTGGTCAGCCTCTCTGCTTCCTCCTTCTTCTCTCCCACCTCGGGTTCGGCTCCCTCCTCTGCAGGCGGCCCCTCGCCCTCCACTTCTTGTGCCCCCACCTGAGCGTAGGAAGGCAGTGTCTCTTGGTAGCCCCGGGACAAGTCCCCCAGGGGTCCTGTGCTGATCTTCTCCTCGAACTGATTGAAAGGCTTGGCAGGCAGTGGGCTGGTCTCCACCATCCCAACCTCGGTCAAGGGGAAATAGTGGGAAACGATTTTCTCTTCTTCTAGGAGCTGATAGCCCTTGGCTTTCTGGATGGAGGAGACAGCAATGGAGTGGAGGGATTTCTCAGGAATCTCCCCCAGGGGCTGCTCTACAGGCCTCTTCAAGGCAGACCGGATCCCCTTCAGGCCCAGGTGGCCCAACTCCATCACGTTGAGGAATAGGGACACAGAGGCCACAGACAACATGAACAGGATGAAGATGGTTTTCTCCGTGGGCCGGGACACGAAGCAGTCCACCACATTGGGGCAGGGCCACCGGCTGCAGCGGTACAGAGGCAGGATCCGGAACCCGTACAGGAAGTAGTGGCCCACGATGAAGCCCACTTCAAAGAGGGTCTTGAAGATGATGTGGCAGATGTAGGTCCTCAGCAGGGTCCCCTCCAGCCGGAACTTCTTAGTGCCTTTGCTGCCGCTGCTCTTCTTGACGCTGCCCTGGTCCGGGCCGCCGTTAGTCCCCGCCTGCTGGCCCAGCTCCTCCGCCTCGCGGCTTTTGCGCTTCTCCTCCATGCGGACGTAGTGCACCGCGTGCCCCACGTACATCAGGGACGGGGTGGAGACGAAGATGATCTGCAGCACCCAGAGGCGAATGTGGGAGATGGGAAAGGCCTCGTCGTAGCAGACGTTCTCGCAGCCAGGCTGCTGGGTGTTGCACACGAAGTCGGATTGCTCATCCCCCCACACGAACTCTGCGGCCGTGCCAAGGATGAGGATCCGGAAGATGAAAAGCACGGTGAGCCAGACTCTGCCGATGACGGTGGAGTGCTCATTCACCTCCTCCAAGATGTTCCCCAGGAAACTCCAGTCGCCCATTTCTCACCCACCTGAAGAAATGAGGGAGAAGGCAAGAGCTGAGCGGCCGCAATGCAACCCTGAGTCAATATCTGTTTTTGCTAACGCGGGGTACCTCTCCTTTCCAAGTTGCCAGAACGGTCAATGTGCACACAGCGTCTATCCAGTGCTTCCTTTGTGCAGACTAGGACTAGAGAACAAAGAAGGCCCCGAAGAATGTGCTTCCATCCGCTTCCTCATCTGTAAAATGGGTTTAATAATAATAATACCTATTCTCATTCACTTCACAAATGGTCTGAAAGCATCAATGAGGCAATATTTGTATAATTCCTTAAAGTCCACCAAAAATAAGGATTCATTGTTGACCATAAATAGAAACCCTTGGTTACATGGATTTAAATCAAGACCACACACTGATCTAAGTTTCGTGAGACATAATGCTGAAGAGTTCCCTTATACTATGGGTGTCTGGGCTCCCAACACAATTCTTGTATGTATGAAATTGTCTGTGGCCATCTTATGTTTGAGTGTCAGAATATATAATGATCGTATATTTGAAGGGAAGTGGAAGGGGATTAGCATTTATTGAATACCAACTTTGTGAAAGAACTTTGACATTATATTATTTCATTTAACTTGATCCTGCTAGACTGTAATTTCCATGACGGTAGGAGCCATGCCTGTCTTATTTACAGCTATATACTCAATGCCTGACATACAGCCCAGCACACAGTGAGAACTTGATAAGTATTTGTTAACTAAGTTGATTCCAACAAATAAGAAAACTGAAGGCCAGGCACAGTGGCTCATGCCTGTAATCCTAGAACTTTGGGAGGCCAGGGCAAGAGAATCACTTGAGCCCAGGAGATAGAGACTAGCCTGGGCAACACAGTGAGACCCCATCTCTACAAAAAACTTTAAAAACTAGCTGGGCTCGGTGGTGCATGCCTGTGTTCCCAGCTACTTGGGAGGCTGAGCCAGGAAGATTGCTTGAGCCTGGGAGGTCGAGGTTGCAGTGAACCCTGATATGTGCCACTATACTCCATCCTGGGCAACAGAGAAAGACCCTGTCTCAAAGGAAAAAGAAAAAAAAGAAAAAAGAAATCTGAGGCTCAGAGAGGCTAAATATATTGTCCAAGATTAGACAGCTAAATAGCAGCAGTTCTGTTTGCTTGATCACAAAGGCTGGGTTCTTCCCACTACACCATTGAGATAAACTGCCTGCAATCAAAGCTACACAATTCTTTGACTTCTGTGCTCTTAATTTATGTTTCCTCTTCTCTAGGTTGAAATCTGGAAACCCTTATTAATAGCTTTACACATTGAGGGCCGTATATTTTTATTATTACTCTTTTAAATCCAAAGAACAGAGAGAATGCTTTGGGAAGGAATCATGTCACAGGATGAGGAAGGTCTTCTAGGACACTTTTAGTGTCCTATGGAATGAAAATGTTTCAGGGTCTGTAACATATGGCTGTTTTAATAGAGTCAAAAATTTGGTCTATAGAAAAAATATCGTTAAACATGATAGTATATAATGCCTGTAGCACAGCAATGGCTAATGGAAATGGCATTGAGCTGACAAGGGGCTGGCTGCAACTGGGTCATTCATCCAGTGCAAACCTGTAACCTATAAAGAATGATGAGCAAAACTTCCACCTCAATGGAGAACAGTTGTTCCTGCAGCTTGAACATCTCTAGAGTTATAAGTTTACTCATCACTGCCCTCAGACCAGGGCAAGAGCCCATGTTAGAGGATCTTGCTCTGGGCTTCTTCTAGCCATGCCCCATGCTATAGGCCTAGGAACCTATGGGGCTAAAGGGATATGCCTATTGTTTTTTAATCACAGTGATATTTGTTAAACACAAAAGCCTATTTCCAACCTGTGATTTGGAGTCTGGCCAGACAGAACCTGGTGGCAGGATACTAATTGCAGGCATCTGCAATGTCCAGCCTGTGCTGTCAGGGCAGGCACAATAGCTGTTCGCTTCTTGTGGGAGAGCAGAGAGTGCTCCTCCTCTTGAGGCCTCATAAGCTCCCAATCAGGCAGGGCATCCTGCAGCAGCTTCTCTTCTCCTGAAAAAGTGACAGCAGCTGTGGCATCCCCAGTCATGGGTCTGGCATTGGGAAGAGTTCCTTGGAGAAATGGGTAATGGAGAGGGGGAAGGACCCAGCAGCTCGGAATCGGAACCAGCAACTCAATCCCAGCCACATGTATCTATTTTTAACTCTTCAGACTATAGTTAAGTCTAGTAATTGCCCTGGTAAGAGTGGTAGCCATTCCCATTGCCTTTTGGAAAATAGGTGGGAAACATCACAATCAGGTAAGCAGCCCAAGCATAAAGCTCACTGGTGGCAGAGCCAGGAAAAAGTTCATTTCTTATCAAATAGTTCATTCTAAAATTTATGTTAAAACAGCAATTTGAATAACTGTACTTCTATAAGATTTAGCTAATATCTTACTATCTTACTAATATCTTACTGAATCTTAACTATCTTGCTAATACTTACCCTCATTGATATATCAGTTCATTTTTGACAGTGTATTTCACTCACATACCCACATGAATGTGTGTGATGAGCACATGCTCTCAGTCCTGTATGTTAACCAATCTTGTTTTCCCCCCTTTAGTATCAAAAGGTTTTGGAGGGCAGGAACCATTTTGGCCTCATCTTTTGTGAACCATCACAACACAGAACAAAGCCCTTCACAGAGTGGGAGCTCCATAGACAGCAGTGCATGGTTCTAATAGTAATCCTTGTGAAATCTGAAATTCTCAATCCCCAAATTCCTGTAATATGAATACTAGAGACCAAGGAACTTCAGTCCTCTTGCTACAGCTAACAGCAGAAAAATTAAGAACTTGTAAAAAATGGTAAATAACAAAAAGGATAGTAAATTGATCCCCAACCAGCTGCTCTGAGACACAAAACTGCTTATTTTGTATGAGATCAAATATATAAACTGGAAGGCCAACAATTCTTGACAAGAGTGTCATGATACATGTTCATGACACAAGAAGTCGTTCCTGACCACTCATTAGTAATTTTGAAACCAAAGCCAAACAAGCCCATGTCTTTCTATACTCTAAGCCGCCATGCTAAGATTGTATTTTTTTTTAAATGTCTAGTTACAGTTTCTTGTGATAACTGAAGGAGAGAAACTGTAATTTAGGACACAATCTTTCCAACCCCATGATGTTGAAACAGGCCTACTGTGCTGTTAAGGAGAGACACTTTAGAGCTGCGAAGGGAAATGTATTGGTTTCCTGACTTCTAACAGTGAAAATTTAAAGGAAGTCAGATCAGAGAAGCAAAGCGTTCTGTGGGAGCAGGGAGAAATCTGAACCAAAGGAAGACTATTTCTCTTCTCTTTCTCAGAGATAATTCTCTGTTTTATTTTGCTTGTGAAAATTTAGTGAACAGACCTATTACAGATGGAAAATAAATGGATAGAGTTCAAGCCTCCAACCCCAGGGTGTCCATATATGGCCAGGAACATCCCACCAGAAAATGATGGCTAGAGGTAATGATTAAAATAACACCTTATGTTTGGGTATCCTTGATCTAAGTGATACATTTTCACGTATCTTATTTCAGTCCTCATAACAAGCTGTGAACTAGGCCAGTGGTTCTCAGACTTAGATTTCACAGACTAGTATAATAATAACAAACTAGTGTGACCAACATAAGGATACCAACTCCTTATTTTGCCAAACAAGGACATAAAAATAAGAGTTATTGGCTGGGCGTGGTGACTCATGCCTGTAATCCCAGCACTATGGGAGGCCGAGGTGGGAGGATCACTTGAGGTCAGGAGTTCAAGATCAGCCTGGCCAACAGGGTGAAACCCTATCTCTACTAAAAATACAAAAATTAGCTGGGCACGGTGGTGGGGCACCTGTAATCCCAGCTACTTGGGAGGCTGGGGCAGGAGAATTGCTTGAGCCCAGGAGGTGGAGGCTGCAGTGAGCTGAGATCACACCACTGCACTCCAGCCTGGGCAACACAGCGAGACTCTGTCTCAAAAAAAAAAAAAAAGAGTTATTAAATTACTAACTACAACTACAGTCTATTTTCATCATCATTTCATAAAAGGGGATTTTAACACCACAAAACTGGAGAGGACATAACTTCAGAATAAAAGACAAGCCTTTAAATTGAACACACTTAACTTGGTGAAACATTTACTACATTGTTAACTTTATCATTGTCACATTTTGGTCACAGGTTGTGGAAACCTTCATCTTGAGCTAGAACTGACAGATCCCCAGATGGATGTCTGAGAACCAGTGAACTTGGCATTATCAATCCCCATTACCAGACAAAAAGACAGGCTGGGAGGTGAAATGAGTCTCCAAGATGGGGGCTTAGCTAGTGAGGGCAGAGCTAGGCTGTGAGCCCTGGTCTTCTAGATCTAAGCCCATTACAGCATAGCCCTCCTCTGGTTTTGAAGAGGCAGAATAACACATATACATCCATTAATAAGTTATCCAAAGCGTTCAATGGCCACTTACCACTCTGGTTGGTAACCAGGTGGAAAGTGCCTCTTTTCTAGTTTCTAGAACAGCCACTAGCCAGCAGTTCTCATAGATAGACAACAGAACCTGCTCCTAGGAGGAATTTTATGGTCCTTAGCCAGATCCCTTCCTGTGCTCCATTAAATGCTCCAACATGGAAAATGCTGAGCACGAAGCCTCCGCTACCCCCACAGCATTCAGTAATTATGACTATTATTTCTATTGTAGAATTTGAGTGAAAAGGGCACAAAACTTTTTCATAAATATCAAATACTTGGTTTAGGTCCCTGTGGATTCCTGTAGACATGAAAAGAGCTTAAGAAGTCAAATTGTAGTTTGAGTTTGGACATCTCTGTTTCCCCATCCTGCTGATTATTCCAGCATTCCTCTCCCTTCCAAACCTCTGCCAGTTCTTAGGTCAACTTGAAGAGGGTTTTCAGAGTTGGAGTGTAAGTCTAGCCATCCCAGCCCAAGACTGAATCTTATTGGCAACCTTTTTCCTTTTGGAGAAGCCTATATATGGCCCTTAGATTAGGCTGAGAAAGAACAATTGGGGGGAAGGTTACAAACTAATATCACCCAAGGAAAACTTGCCAATACAAGGAGTGTCCCACGGAGAAATATGTGCTCTTTCTCTCTTGGCGCTCAGCAGCAAAATGGCAACTTTCGTCTCTTTCCTTTGCTGCCTAAAAGCCCACCTCCCACTTCTCTACCCCGCCCCTACTGTGCTGCACGACTGAGCAGATATGACTGGATTGGCCCTGATGGGTAGGTTTTACTGTCCAGCAATATTTTAAGCTCCCAGCCAGACAGCTTTTATGAAGGGAGGGATGTTTGGGAAACAATGGGAGTGAGAGAATGGGAGAGCTGTGTTGGGCACTGAGGGGAGGAGGATGGGGAAAGCTGATGTGTGAAAGCTTAGCTGGGGCTTCTGTGCCTCCCAAAGTTTCTTTTAGCAGCAGACTGGGCCTGTACATCAGTAAACCTTTGGCGTCTCTCCAGAGCGCATGAGCCTAGGGGCATTTTCCCAAGGCCTTATCATCAGCTGGGAGAATCTTAATGATGTAGGGACAGTAAGTGGTCAGTTGTGTGAATCCCTCTGCCCTGAGTCACACCAAGAGTGGTTGGTCCTTTCCAAAGGACCATATTTCATTTTTTATTGGTGGTTTGCTCTTGTCTCTCAAAGCCTTCAGCAGAATTGTGGATATTAGAGGCTGGGAAGTGTAGTGGCGGAAGGAAGGATGGGGAGCATGTTGCTAATAGATACAAAAGCACAGCTAGATAGGGGGAATGGGTTCTGGTGGTCTGCAGTGCTGTAGGGTGAATATGGTTAACATTAATTAATTAATTATTTTAATTTTTATATTTTTGTGTGTGTGTGAGACAGAGTCTCGCTCTGCCACCCAGGCTGGAGTGCAATGTCACGATCTTAGCTCACTGCAACCTCTGCCTCTCAGGTTCAAGTTATTCTCCTGCCTCAGCCTCCTGAGTAGCTGGGATAACAGACACCCACAACCACGCCCAGCTAATTTTTTTTTTTCTATTTTTAGTAGAGACGGGGTTTCACCATGTTGGCCAGGCTGGCCTCAGACTCCTGACCTCAGGCGATCTGCCCGCCTTGGCCTCCCCAAATGCTGGGATTACAAGCATGAGCGACCATGCCTGGCCGTTAACTATTTTATTGTATAGTCTCAAAAAGCTAGAGGAGAGGATTTTGATTGTTCCCAACAGAAAGAAATGATAAATGTTTGAGATGCTGAATATGCTAATTATCCTGATTTGATCATTACACATTGTATACATGTATTGAAATATCACTGTGTATCACAAATACGTACAATTATTATGTGTCAACTAAACATAAAAGGAAAGAGCTTTCTAAAAAGATCAAAACAATAAAAAAGAAACACAAACAAACCTTCAGCAGGGTGGTCTCCCTCTTTGAAAGGAGCCTTAACACTCCAAAGAATTCTGGTGCCATTTGTCAAAGTAATAGCCTTTCTCACCACGTTTCACTTATAATTACATATACTTTTGAGTAGCGGAAGTTCAATCAATGTCAGCTAACATTTTTAGACTTTAGTGCCTTCATCTGTTAAATGGGGATATGATGGTTTTGCTCACCAGGAGGCTCTTGGATTAAATTCTAATGTGGCTTAATGAGGAATGATGCTTGGAGGGCATGGACATATGCTCTCTGAGGCCCACTCCCGTCCCATCATCTGGGACTGACTATTGGTAGTATAAAAAATGGTTATTTTGACTACATTTCCAAACCAAAAATAGGGGCATTTTATCCTACAAGTTTATTCGTGAAAACAATGGAGCAAAAATAGTTGAAACTTAGATTGTTTTATGAAATCTGCAATGTATGATTACTAAATTGAAGACAACTTGGAGGGCAAACTAGACAAAAAAAATCTAAGCACTGGCTTCACCACCCCACCCCCCCTTCCTGTCCTTTCTGGTGTCATGGACATATTGCATTTTGATGGGGGCAGTTTGAAGGAGGATGGTACCAATGTTGTGTGAGTCCCCAATTCCATTTTAAATAAAATGGTCACTAGCCCAAAACCTTGTTTACTTTAGATGTCTGATTTCTTTTGAACTCCCAAGTTTGAGGGCCCACACTGACTGGGACAATGCCCTATAGCAAATCCTTCAGTTAAAAATAGATGGTCAAGGCTGATCCCTGCAATATCAATAAGGTAAGAAGTCAGAGGATGAGGGGAAAAAATCCAATCATTCTTTCTTTGGGAATATTCAGTACATGCTGATTCCTGAAGCTTGCGCTCTCCCTGATATAGTCCTATGAAGAGAAAAGAATCTACAAAGCTTCTCTTTAAAATGAAGTTCTCCCTATCCAAGGCTTCCCAGTCCAACTTGGCTAATGTAGTGGGTGGTGTCATCGCTCATCATCATTTTGTGAGAGATGGTAGTAGAGGATGCATTTGAATCCAGAAAAACGGGGCTGTCAACAAGGCTCTGAACCAGTTATAGTCTCTCGGATTTAGACAAATCTAGCTTTTCAATTTAGCACTTTCTTTGTTTTCTTACGCTGTTAACAAAGAAGATACTCCTCTACTCGTAGTACCCAATTGATTAAGTTATCTTTGTTATTGGTTCTTCTGTTTGTAGCTGGGAAGTCCTTGAAAATATAAACACTCAGTCGTGTATATCTTGGGGAAAGTTTTGAAAGAGATCGGGAAAGAGGCTCACCTTAGCTACCATTGAGAGATGACTTGTCTATTCCTACCAAGAATCACTTTCTCAGGTCTTTCAGAGGGATGTCTTCCCAGGGTGTCTGTATTGCATTATTTGAGATAAATAAGTAAATGTCTAGAATAGGAGACATAACCACATTCAAATGTAAGTTCCAATTTTATATTCTGTAATCTTATAGATTATTAGATTATTGACATTTTGGATAATCTAATGGTGGCATTCTCCTACCAGGGTTCGTTTTTCCTTTCTTTCTTTCTTTCTTTCTTTCTTTCTTTCTTTCTTTCTTTCTTTCTTTCTTTCTTTCTCTTTCTTTCTTTCTTTCTTTCTCTTTCTTTCTCTCTCTCTTCCTTTCTTTCTTTCCTTTCTTTCTCTCTCTCTCTTTTTCTTTCTTTTCTATTTTGAGACAAGGTCTTGCTTTGTCACCCAGGCTGGAGTGCAGTGGCCTGATATTGGCACACTGCAACCTCCACCTCTGGGCTCAAGCAATCCTCCCACCTCAGCCCCCCAAGTAGCTGGTACTACAGGCGCAGGCCACCACACCCAGCTAATTTTTGTATTTTTTGTAGAGATGGGGTTTTGCCGTATTGCCCAGGCTGGTCTCGAGCTCCTGAGCTCAAGCAATCTGCCTGCCTCAGCCTCCCAAAGTGCTGGGACTACGGGCATGAGCCACTGCACCTGGCCCAGGGTGCATTTCAAAAGCAATGAGGCAGTTCTTTGTGGAAAGTCTGTGGAATTTGCCATTGGAAGACCTGGCTTTGAGTGTGGCTCTTCTGCTTCCTGTGTGCGGGTGGCTTGTTTAGCCTTTCTGAGCCTCAGTTTTCTCATCTGTGAAATAGAGATAATAATCACTGCCTTTTTTGCTTTGTGAAAACAGATGGTGGCTGCTAATCTAACCTATGTGATGCTGTGAATGCCTGTTCACTTGTTGGTTATATTTGCTATGATCTGAGTGTGGCTATGTCCTGTGCCCCAGGGCCATGGGTTGGTTTGTTTCTAAGTACGTTTTGACCAAGGTTACGCACTCCCCCACTTCCACAGGGAAAATGTCAGAACTGGGAAAGACTGGAGGAGATCATTGGTCCCAGCCCTTATTTTATAGATGAGGAAACCAAGGCTAGAGTTGAAATGACACCCTAAGGTTGTGGCATAGCTCTCAAGCCCATGTGTTTTCCATGGCTCCGGGTGCCTCCAGTTATGGGACACAGACTCAATATGCAGAGAGTCTCTTTAGGGAGAACCAGGTGAGCCCTGGCCTGAGGAGAAGGGCAGAAAGATTTATGGGGCCCAAGAGGACCATCCTCAGTCAATCCCTCTGGTGACTGGAATTGGGAGATGTAGAATCTCTCTTCCAGTTACTGGGAAGTGCCAGGGGGAACGAGTCTCTGAGAAACATAGGACGGGGGGCTGTGGGAGAATCCGGTCACTTCTCTGAGTATTTCAAGCCCAGCTCTGACTTAGTGGGCAATGTTTAGAGATTCATTCAATAAGTAGTTGTTGAGCTCCCACCCTTTAAGGTGTGTGGGACACTTTGGTAAGACAAAGATTCCTAGTGGGGAGGTGGAGAATAGGCATTAAACACAATGAATGAGTGAATTATACAGAACATTTGAAGGTAGTAAGTACCAGAAATGAGAACATATGGCAGGGTGAGGGGGATTGGGATTGCTGGTGGAGGGGAGGTGGTGCCCAAAGAGACCTCACTGAGGTGAGATTTGAGCAATTTTTCAAGAAGGTGAGAGAATCGTGAGGGCATGGGGGCGAAGCTTGAGGCAGCAAGGAAGCCAGAGGGGCTGTGGTAGAGTGGGCAAGGACAAACATAATTGGGAAATGTAATTTTAATCTGTTGGTTGTTCATCTATGTATTGTTTGTTCACCTGCATGTCTTCAAAACCCCAACACCAGCAAGAAGCCAGTTACTACCCAGTGCCCATCGTACAGCTTTATCCTTCCTTTCTACCACAGGCTTTGCTAAGCAGCTACTGTGTGCTTGGCACTGTGCTGGGAGCACAAAGGTAAACGAAGCATGGTCCCCTATGTGATGCTTAGCACATGGAGTGTGCAAAGAGGCCTCATGTACGTTGCTCAAAGAGAGGGGTCGGGGGAGAATCTGGTCTACCCCATCATGCTGAATCCTGGGCCTAACCTTGGCCTGGGAGCCTCCATCTTGTGGGAAACTGAACAGTGAAGAGGTTAACGCCAGACTCTGGGGTTAGATTGTCTCAGCTTCACCACTAACTAGCCAGCTGCCTGACCTTGCCTAAGTGACTTTCCTGGTTTCAGCCTCAGTTTTCTCTTGTGAAAAATGGTGAACAGTGTCTGCCTCAAAGAGTTGCAGTGATTTAATAAAACAGTGTGTGTGAAACTGAGTCCAATACTTTGCATAGTAAGCGCTTGACAGATAGTAATTGCTATCACCATTATTAGGAAGAGGGTCACCAGAGAGAGAAACCAAGGGTACTTTGCTTCACCAGCAGAGAGATCAATACTTGCTTTTTTGGTCTGTTTGTGCCACCTGGAGAGGGTCAGGAGGCAGGCCATGGCCCTCTCTTTCCCTCCTCCCTGGCCAATTTGGTTGGGAGCCAGAAATTCTTCATCACAACCATTTGGCTGAGGTTCAAGGGCTCCCGTGCCCTGAGGGGCAAAGGGTGTGTTGGAGGGGGGAACTGGGGGGACTTTCACTTGAGAGAGGATTTCCAGCACAGACGAGTTGTCAGGGTAAGGCAGGTCTCTCTATTGATAGGAGCAGCTCATGCATGAGAGCAGATTGTGCCAATTCTATAGAGCACGACCCCTCGGCCCAGGCTTCTCCTGCTAACATAGTTATCTTTCCCAATCTGCTTAGGCAGAAGGGGGATACAATTCCTGTCCTTGTGCTGAGCACACAGAGCAGGCAGGACCCAGGCCAGGGGCTGGGTCTGGCTCTCCGCATTCCCCCCAGTTTCTCCCCTCCCTTAACTAAAAGTCTTGGGTTCTTTCAGCTGCCGCATCACCTTGGACAGAATTAGCACAGGCTGCAGAAATTGGCCACTGGCCATGGGTAAAACCAGGGAGTGTCCTGGAATTCTTGATGCCTGGGAAGGTTCAGAGAGAACGCCAGAGGAAGCATCTCCAGAACTAGGGGTAGGGAAAGAGTCTGCTGCAGCCTAAAATTCACTGGCTAGGGGCAGTTGTTGATGCTTTAAGTCTGAGGGTCTCAAAGCGTGCTCCCCACACCAGCAGGATCGGCATCACCTGGGAACCTGTTAGGACAGTGTGTACTCCCAAGCCCTACCCCAGATCTGCTGAATCAGAAACTCTGAGGGCAAGACCAGCAAGCTGGGTTAACAAGCCCCCCCAGGTGATTCTAATGCATGCTAAAATTTTAGAACCACTGATCTAGGAAGCTGCAGCTACTAGAATTGTTCATCCTGGCCCTGGTGCTCAAAGCTTTTGTATCACAACCCTCCCCAACAACAAACTGCACCTCTTGACACTCTACCACCAAGATAGGGCCCTAAAAACATTTCTCTGGGTCCACCTAAAAAAAAAATCATTGTAAAATGTTCACTACAGTCTCCCAGCTGCCATATGAGCCCAGCCTACATATACAATATCATAAATGAGAAAGGGAGAAAAATATTTTGTATACACATGGTGTTTTCATCAAGACTGAGGGGTAGGCACTTGTATCTTTATTTTATGGAGACGCAGTGAGCTTAAGTAATTAGCACACAGTTGCAGAAAGAAAGGGGCAGGGCCAGGACTAGGACCAGATCTGCTTGACTCCAGAGACCATGTTTGCTCTGGCCTACCCATGTTGTCTCCTTTAATTATAAGGTTTGGTTCTACAGTGCTGAATTTTCAGAGCATCTCGGGTCTCCGGTCTTTGTGCTAATTAGTTAACATTTAGCATGTTTTAAAAAGCTGCTTTTTGTTCTGTAAAACCAATATAGCTGCAAATATCTTCTAAATAGACTAATTCACTTTGCACATATCTATATATTTAATAAAACTACAAATGTATGGCATGAATATCTGCACATTGAAAAAAAACTAACAATATAGGGGCATGTAGGGTAAAAAGTAAAGGCCTCGGCCAGGCATGGTGGCTCACACCTGTAATCCCAGCACTTTGGGAGGCCGAGGCAGGCAGATCACCTGAGGTCAGGAGTTCGAGACCAGCCTGGACAACACAGTGAAACCCCATCTCTACTAAAAATACAAAAACTAGCCGGGCATGGTGGCAGCCACCTGTAATCTCAGCTACTTGGGAGGCTGACACAGGAGAATTGCTTGAACCTGGGAAGCGGAGGTTGCAGTGAGCCGAGTTCGTGCCAGTGCACTCCAGCCTGGGTGACAGAGAGAGACTCCGTCTCCAAAAAAACCATAAAAATAAAAAGAGTGGAGGCCTCTCCTTACCCTCTTGTTCCTATCCTACCATCACTGTGACCATGCTTAACAGTTTGATATGTGTCTTTCTAGATGCTTTTTCTATGCATATATGTATGTACATGTCAATGAGATCAACGAATTGCATATTATTGTGTGACTTGCCTTTTTCCCTTAATATATCTTGGTGATCTTTGCAGTGCATGCAGATCAACCTCATCCTTTTAATGTCTGTAATAGTATTCCACAGTAAGGACATCCTGTACGTTTATTTGGTCTGTTCTCTATTGAAAGACACTTAGATTGCTTTTTTTCCTGTCACAATATTTTTAAGTAGTAACATCCTTATGAATATATTTTGAGCACATGTAGGAATATTTCAGGAGTGTGTAGAGGTAGAAATGATTGTTCAAAAGAGGTAAAATTTAAAAGTTCATAGGTACTACCAATCGCTCTCAAACACACTGTACCATACTACACTCATATAGCTGTCAAGGGAGCACTTCGTTATGTATTCTTACAATCACTGGCTATTGTCCAGCTTCACATTTTTTACAATGGGATGGGCAGAAAGTATCTTATTTTAGTTTGTGTTTTTCTGGTTACTAGAGAGATGGCGTGACTCCTCATGTTTACTAGCTATTTGCCTTTCTTTTTTCTGAATTGCCTACTCATATCCTTTGTCCATTTGGGTAGGGGGAGCAGTTGTCTTTTCCTTATAGACGTATAAGCTCTTCTTATAGACTATGGTTATTATTCCTCTGCCACTTATGTTGTAAAACTTTTTCCAAATCATCACTTGTCTTGCAAGTTTACTTTTAGTGTGTTTTGCTGTACAGAGAATTTATATTTTTATCTAATCAAGTCTGTCATTTAAAAATGTATTGTTTCTTGACTTTGTGCCTGGCTTAGAAAGCCCTCTACATTTCACTTAAATTCAAGAAACCAGTTAGAAAAAAATTTTGCCAGATCAGCTTCTGTTTCAGTTCAGCATTTAAGCCTGGATGCTTAAAAAACTGGATTATGATAGCAATGTCAGTACTGCTGATTCTCCTCCTAGTTTTTAGTCCTCTTTCTCTGCTGGCATTAAACATAATGATAATAAAGGAGTACAGTCATCCCAAAGTATCTGTGGGGGATTGGCTCCAGGACCACCCGCAGATACCAAAATCTATACAAACTCAAGTCCTGTAGTCTGCCCTATGAAACCCGTGGATATGAAAAGTGAGCCCTACTATAATGCAGATTTCCAAATCTTGCCTTCCTACCCATGTTTGGTTGCTGATGCAGAACCCACCAATATGGAGACAATACGGAAGGCAGACTGCATTTATTGAAGAACACCTGTGTATAAGTGGACCCGCACAGTTTAAATCATTTTGTGCAAGGGTCAACTATATATACATATATATAATTCATCATCTTGGTGCATCTGGAGACAGATTTTATCATCATTTGCAAGGGCCTCTTCTGATTCGCAAATCAGAAAGTCAAACCTGGGGATTATCTGTGACATTTCGCTTTTCCAATGTGTTTTTGTCTTGCATTTTATGGCTCTGGATGCCTGATTTGTACTATATTCAGATATCACTGATGGATGAGATAGGTGAGAAAGAGCAAGAATGTTATTTTTATTTTATTTTTTTAATTTTAACTTTTTTTTTTTTTGAGACAGAGTCTCACTTGTCACCCAGGCTGGAGTGCAGTCATGCAATCTCGGCTCTCTGCAACCTCCTGGATTCAAGCAATTCTTGTTCCTCAGTCTCCTGAGTAGCTGGAATTACAGGTGTGTGTCACCATACCCAGCTAATTTTTGTATTTTTAGTAGAGATGGGGTTTTACCATATTGGCTGGGTTGGTCTCAAACTCGTGACCTCAGGTCATCTGCCCACCTCAGCCTCCCAAAGTGCTGGGATTACAGTCGTGAGCCACCACATCCAGCCCTGTTTTTCTCCTTTATAGGCATATTTTCTACCTTTTTACGGAGAGAGAGCTTTTTTATTTTTCTTTTTGCCTTTGCTTTTTGTTTTGGAAATTGCTTGTCTCTTTTATGTATCTCTAAGGCTGTCATTACCCTTTCTTGGGCCTGTAACTTCTCACTCAGAAGCAACAGCGTAATTGTCACAGCCCGTCTGGGTTGGTCCTCTTATAGGTACTTGGTCTTTTTGGTCTCAATGTATGTGAAAGACAGAATAATGGCCCGCAAAGATGTCAGCGTCGTAATCCCTGGAACCTGGGAATATGCTATATTACATGGCAAAGAGGAATTAAGGTTTCAGATGTGGAATTAAGGTTCCATTCAAACCACAATTCTCAGTTTTTCCTGGCTCCAAGCGATGCTCTGTTCTACAGAAAGCAGCCACTCACTCTTAAGAAACGTACTTGCTGGGCATCTGATTGGCTTTAGGCTCACAGATTCCTATAATTTGCATATTCCGGTGGTAATTATTCTTCCTATAATTATTCTAGAATCTAATATACAACTGTGCTTTGGTTGCCATTCATGACAAAGAAATAGCTGTGGTCTGTCTGTGCCAGTTACTCTGAATTTCACAAAGGCTTGCCTCTTTCCTCATTCTTTACTACTTGGTTTCTTTTCAACTCAAGTTAGAGATTTGAATCTGACCAGATTTTTTGGAATGAATCTAGACCTGGAAGCAGGAAAACCTCAGTGTCTGTAGCTTAATCTAGTTGGTCTCTCAGTCACCAAGGTCTTCAGTTTGTCTGTCTTGTAAGTGGGGATAATGCATCTCATGTACATCAGCTGACATAGTTCCTAACCCACAGGAGACTCAAAACAAATATTGTTTTCTTCCCATCTCTCAGTTTTATGGCCTGTAACATGGGTATATTAATGAGACATACTTTGCCAAGGTTTTTTGAGGATTAAATAAGATAATACAGATATTCAGAAAGAAATGCAAGCTTGTTTCCTTTTGGAGTCATGCTGCACTCCTACCACTAGATGGCATGATCAGCACAGCCAGCTGGTGAAAACAGCTCTGAAGTCTAAGGGAAAGGGATCCCACTTCGTTTTCTTTTCTCAGGATGAAGTTTGGAAATAATTATCACAGATGTACTGAAGAAGTCTTCATTTTTGCTGTAAATCATGTATTACCATCAGAGATTTTCTTGGGCAGTAGACTTCCCTGAGGAATGGTTGGAAGTGAGGCCTAGAAACTGGAGTGGTCTCTTTGAAACGTCGTTTGATCATGTCCTTCCCATACATGCCTCTTTTATCGTGTCCTTCCCAGACTTTAATCTCACTGTGGTTTGCTGTCACCTATTCAAGTACATATAAAATAAGTCACTCAGGGCTGGGTGCGGTGGCTCATGCCTGTAATCCTAGCACTTTGGCTGAGGCGGGCGGATCACTTGAGTTAGAGTGAAACTCTGTCTGGAAAAAAAAAAATCACTCAGGTTGAGAGTGAGAGGCCCCTAGTCCTGCCCCTGAGGCACCACAGTGGAGCCCTGGAACTCCGTGAGCCATGGCTGAAGAACCACTGCAGGAGGAAGCTTGGGGCCTTTAGCATGGCACATAGGGCCCTCTGCTGTCTGATGACTGCCAATTTACTCCAGCCCATCTCTTGCCACTCATAGCTTTGCACTGGCTCTCAGCACCTATGATCTACCGAGTTTCTTATGCACATAATCCTGTTTCTTGCCTCTATGCCTTTGCCTACGCAGTCCCCTCTCTATTTTGAATCTCCTCTCCCCTAACTGACTCATCCGTTGGGGCTCAGTTTGGGCTTTAACTTCCCCAGGACTTCTTACTTGACCCTATCTAAGTTGTTTTCTAGTAGTTCACTTATGTGTCTGCATCCCCCACTAGTCTGTGAGATTTCTGAGTACAGGGAAAGTCTCTTACGTCTATTTTATAAAGGCCTGGCAAATGAAAGAACTCAATGGGTTTGGAGAAATGAATGAGTGATGAGTAGAGAGAAGGGCACCACCTAGATGAGGAGGTAGGAGATGAAGATGTAGGAGATGAAGATGTAGGAGTGGCAAAGGAAAATGAGTGTTTTGAATCTAGAAGTAAGGGGAGTCCTTCCCCAGCTGCAGGCTGAGCCCCCAGCAGGAGACCAGGTGAGCCTTCTTCTCTCAAAGCCTCAGTGGCAGCCCTCACAAGAGGTCACCAGGGGCTGGGAAATTGGAACTCCTTCAGCCACAGAGCAGCTGTTAGAGAAGCACTAGCAGTGTTGGGAGAGGAGGACCTCGGGATGGGGGCAAAGGCTCCGGCTGTCCCAGAGAGACAGTGCAGAAGGATGGCTGTTTGACTGCCCAGGCTCCAGGGACAGCAGGCTTGCTTCTAAGAATCATTTTGACTGTGATCTTCGAGGCCTGGGGTTGGAGGGCCTAAATCTGCCCAGGCTGTACTAAAGGCAAGTGTCCTACCAGGGATGACCTCTGCCAGAAGGCCAGAGGGCGGAGGTGGATCTCAATCTGAAACTGGGAGGGGAAACCACTTGAATCTTAAAAAAATCGCTTCTTACTTCATTTTCCTTCTGAGCGGGTCCCTAGACATCCAAACAATGCCTCTCCAGGCAGCCTGGCACGGCTGTCATAAAATGCAACTGAAATCTGTATCTATGGAAACAGGCTGGCTCCTCGTTTTTGCCTCTCTCACTCCCTGCTTCTGTGTTGGCCAGGATGGGGCTAGACTCCAAGCTCTGCACTCTGATGTAGGGGCAGCTTCATCCATGCTCTGATGGACCTCCTGTGTCCCCCTTCCTTTTACCTCCTCTTACCAGAGGCAGAGGAGGTTCTGGGAGAGGGTGACCTCGGGATGGGGGCAAAGGTTCCGGCTGTCCCAGAGAGACAGTGCAGAAGGATGACTGTTTGCCTGCCCAGGCTCCAGGGACAGCAGGGAGTGACTGACAGGGGTGCTGTAGGCTCGATGCCCCAATCTGGGCTTTTGGGATTGAGGCCCAGACCTTTATCCACTCAACAAAATTAATTCCCTGCCTCCTCCACCCACCCTAGGCTTGACAGCAATTCTCTGGTCCTTTCTTTCCGTTGCCTGAAGAGGTGACTTAGTATTCCTTAGGGTACATATGTGATGGTGTTTGGTTTGAGAGGTTTATTTAAAAAAAATATTTTGGGGGGATTTAAGATGAATGAAAATCATTCTGCTTCAACTTGGCAGAATGGACTGAAATGGAAACAAAGACAGCACAACTCTTTTCTTCTCTAGCCCTGATGTGCTGATTTACTAAACCAGGAGTTTTCTTGCAGGGGCAACCTGTTTTCAAAACACACTGCAGACAGGTCTAGCTTAGCTGACCTGTGTGAACATCAATGGGGAGGGTAGAAGGAACAGGGTGATGGCATTCGGGGATCTCACCATTCTGACAAGACACAAGTCATTCAACAGCCAGAGGTTCTGAGGACAGCATTTCCACTCCCACGGGGTGCCCCTGTCTGGGCAGCCCAGGACAGCGTCCGGAATACCGCAGAGCTTGGCCCTGCGCCACGAGGGGGCGATGCCGTCTCTCTTTTGCTCCACGCACTGTAGTAGACGCCTTCAGAGCCTGAGGGCAAAGAAAAGAGGCTTACTCCAAGTCTGCAAAGGAGAGTCAAGTGAACTCTTTTTTTCCACACGGGAAAAGATGGATATGGTCTAAATGGGAGGGGCTGGGAGGACAGGAAATGCAAAGGGGGACAACCTTGGCTTTAATTTTACTGTATAACCACACTCTCTGGGCCGGTTTCCTGGTGCCTTCCCTTTCACCCTGTTTAGTGATCATTATACTGGTGGCACTGGATGCCCCAGAGGGTATCCCTCTTTTTCTCCTCTTACTTTTCTTCCTATTCAGAAGTCCCTTTTATCACGGAAATATTTGCCCTGTCTCCCACAGCACCACAAATCCAGAATCACCAACCCGAGGGTTTCAAGATTCTTTGCTCTATCCCCTCCCTTCTCTCAGACCTGTCCTTATTTCCTTTGGTCCTGCACAATTCTACTGTATCCCTGATTGTACCAGGGGCAATATTTGATGATAAAGGGCAGAGTAAATTGTAGAGCATTAGGTTCATGTGATGACAAAGCAAAGGGCAAAACTTCAGCAGATGGCAGGCCTTGATCACTGGAGACAAACATTCTGGGGCCTTTCTGGTTAGGGCAATGGAGAACCCATTCTAAGAGTTATGGCTGAGATTGTGTGAATTTAACTCACCCACCTGCAAATCAGAGACAGACTTGGCTACAGGAAGCCTCTGTTGCTAGGGGCAGAATTGGGGAGCTTTTGGGACCTTCTCTCTTGTGAGTTGTCCATGGCCTGGGCTTGCACTCCAAAAGCCTCCTGGCTAATTGAAATCCACTGGTACAGCTTGCATCAACAAAGACTCCAGGCTCCTACTCAGGAGTTCATTTTGCCCTTGGCCTACCTGTAAACCCATTAGAGTGGAGAGTGCAGAGGAATTTCTCTCCCCACTAGGTCCAGCAAACACATTTTCATGTCCTTGTAAACGATGAGGGAGTCTTCCATGGAAGACTGTAGGTAGAGCCATCACTGGCTTTCACAACATGGTTTAGTATTTTTGTTGTCAGTCTCTATAATCTGGCTATAATTCTATAATTCTGGCTCAGAATCTATCACTTACTAGCTCTGTGATAGGTGGCAAATTAACCCTTTTAAATCTCATTTTTATCATCTGTAGATGGAGATGATTATTATGAGAACTTAATGAGATAATCTATGTTAAAGTACTCGGCCCAATTGCTGGCACATAAATGGTTGTTATCATTATCTTGAAATGCAGTGGAGTATAAAGGCTAAGCCAGCTGACTCAAATCTGAGCTCTACCACTTACCGTCAGTGTGAGCTCAGGAAAACCATTTGATTTCTATATGCCTCAGTCTTCTCAGATGTAAAATGCAATTTATTTATTTGAGACAGGGCCTCTCTCCTGTTATCCAGGCTGGAGTGCAGTGGCACAATCATAGCTCACTGTAACCTTGAAGTCCTGGGCTCAGGTGATCCTCCTGCTTCAGCCTTCTGAGTAGCTAGGACTACAGGCATGTGCCACCATGCCCAGCTAATTAGAAAAAAAAAATCTGTAGAGACAAGGTCTGGCTGTGTTGCCCAGGTTGGTCTCAGGCTCCTGGCCTCAAGTGATCCTCCCACCCCAGCCTCCCAAAGCACGGGGATTATAGGCATGAGCCACCATGCCTGGCTAAAAATGAAGTTTAATAATCACAGCTATGTCACAGGGTACTTAGGACTGAATAGATAATGTATGCAGTGCACTGAAAACAGTTCTTGGCATATGCTGAGTACTCAAAGAAGGCTGGTCATCACTGCCTATAAAGCTGTGGTTTGGATTATCCAAAAGTTACCTGCATTTTGCTCTAGAATACTAAGATGCGTGTTTTAGTTAGCAGGAGAATTATTTTCTTATTTGACTTAGTTTGCAGTAAGGTGAATCTGTATTTGTTACTTGTACAACTGGTTAATGCTGGGGCTGGGGCTTAGAACATGGCTGAGGGAGACTGGTTAGAGATGCAAGATGTGCCACAGAGAGTCCAGAAAACAGATCACTTTGAGGCACTTGCATGGCATCTTTTCACTAGTGCTCCTGTATAGTTTATCTTTTACTACATATCAGTTTAGAAAGAAAGATTTTATTGTCAAACCAATTTTGCAGGTAGAAGAGTAGGTGAAAGAGACAGATTACGTGCCCTGCCCAAAGGTCACAAAAGCAGGATCTATATCCACATGGCAGTTGCATTTAAAAATAAAAATTAATCAAAGTAGCTTTTGGCTCTGCCTGACAGGACAAGTCATAGACAGTGTATTTAATGTGTCATTAGACGGTGTTGGCAGCCTTCGTCACAGCTGCAGTGAATCTGGGGTAACACCAGGAATACAGCACCTCTCTGATTATTTATTTTTAGAGTCTCCAACAAGAAAATTTTAAGAAAAGAAAAAAGAAATCATTGTGGGTAGGAATCAGGAGAGAGTAGTCAGGAAAAATCTGAAATTTTCCTAAAATTTGAAAAATATATATTATGAATTCTAGGTCCTGGGCCATTTAAGCCAGTCTCTAAATCATATGGTTATCTTATAGGAGGAGAATCTTGGACAATAAAAAGATCAGAATGAGGGTGATGTGCTATAAATCTTCCTAAAAAAGCAAGAAGAATTAATTTGGAGAAACAACCCATTAGGGTTGACAACTGTTTAAGTAAAACTGATGACATGAAACTGGAAAGAAAATAGTCCGCTAACTTCTTAAATGGGAAGATGATTCATTAGCAGTGAGGGTTAGGGGTGTCTGTAGTCCTTTTCTGATTATCTATGAAGTAGTAACCTGGATTAGCCAAAAAGAGATTTGCTTTTGACTCTGAAAAATGTCATGATATTTGTTTTGGCAGTAGATAAATTTTTGAACTAGACCTGTTAGCTCAATTGTAAATATTTCATTAGAGAGTGATGGGCATATGAATGCTACAGCTTCTTTTCATTCAACAAATATTTATTGAGTACCTACTACGTGCCAGGCACTGGGCTAGGAGCTGGAAATACAATGCTGAACTAGTTAGACATGGTCCTTGTCCTCCTGGAGATAGACACTGAAGAAATAATACACGTGAGCAATCATTATCATCTAATTAATAATCATCACAATGGGCCAGGCGTGGTGGCTCATGCCTGTAATCCCAGCACTTTGGGAGGCTGAGGTGGGCAGATCACCTGAGGTCAGGAGTTCAAGACCACCTTGGCCGACATGGTGAAACCCCTTCTCTACAAAATACAAAAATTAGCCAGGCATGACGGCCAGTGAATGTAATCCCAGCTACGTGGGAGGCTGAGGCAGGAGAATCACTTGAACCCAGGAGGCAGAGGTTGCAGTGAGCCAAGATCGTGCCATTGCACTCCAGCCTGGGCAACAGAGTGAGACTCTGTCTCAAAAAAAAAAAAAAAAAAAAAAGTCATCATCGTCATCACAATGAAGACATATACAGAGTGCTAAATATGGGTATAATGAAGAGTTGGCCTTGCCCAGGAGGTGAGAAATATGAAAGCCCTTTGAAAACTGTGAAGTGCTAACTAAGGCTTTGTCTGGATTCATCTGGATTGTGGTTAGTCTCTGAATGGGCACAAGATTGCTCCTGTGTAATGCCTGGGGTGCTGTTTCTGCCTGAACTTTCTCTCTTGAAGGAGGCCAATTTCTTTCTCAAAATTCTACCTGGTGAGTGGGAAAGGCCCAGGAGTGGGTGGGAATAGGTTGAGAAATGCTTCTATCAGTTGCTGGAGCACAGAGACCAGTTCATATTTATGAGTTCATCATCTATTTTGGTTGGAAATCTCACAAAAAAATAAGAAAGCACAACTTCTTGACCAAAATTATGAGCAGAAAGGTCTGCTACTGTCCATCACTCATACTTTCAGGAATTGACACAATGCATTTCTCATTCACCAGTTCTATGCTAACAGTTAGGCATATGCAGATGTGAACACCAACATTATTACAAAACTTGAAGATCCCTTTTAAAATAGTCATAACTTATTAAATGTACATTATAAGGCTGGCACCTTTATATACATCATTTCACTTCATCATTATTAAAGCCCTATAAAGTAACTCTTTTATTCCTGTTTTACAGATTTGGGAATGCAGTTAAATATATTATTCACTTGCTCAAGGTCATAATGCTAAGAAGTGGTAGAATCAAGATTTATATCCAGGCCCAAATTTGAAGTTTATAACTTGCATTTTTTCCATTACATGGTACGTGTCTTTTGGTTAGAGTTAGAGACAGCAGCTGGACTTCAAGAGTTTGGTAACATTACTTACTTTCTCTTACTAAAGAAATGGGGTTGGGGGGAGGAAAGAGTCTACAACTGAGCTTTAAATTGGGGATTAGTGGAAGCATATTTTATAACATTTTAAGTTCAATGTCTTTTATTGGGTTGGCCTTGAAATGAAAGTCTAGGAAATAAGATGTCTGCTCTGAGATGGGGGTGGAAGATCCTGTACTTTCACATGCCTGTTAAAATTAGAGATGAAATATAATCAGTTGATGGAGGGCTTGGATAAAATAAACTGAGACACATAACTGGCAAATATGAAAGTGCATGAAAGGGACCAAGACCCAGAAGATCGTAGAGAAAAGAGACGCATATCTCATTGCCAAGCTGGAGTTATTTCTGTTTAGAGACACCAAAGTTCTCCCTAAAACTTTTCCCTTAGTCTTGGTAATGTGAAACTCTGGGGGGGTCATTCCTACAAATTCTGCCCCCTTTGTGATCCCCTGTATAATTAGATCCATCCTTTTTAAGGAAGAGGACCTGGCAGATATGTTTCATGGTTTATACGTAATCCAGTTCCTTTCATGCTTCCTGCTGTAAACTTTTGCCTGTACATTGTATTTTTGAGACCCTACTGCAATCATTCCCAGGGTCGGAATGATCACAACCAGCTGACCAGACCAGTTAGCTGCTGTTTGGTTAACTGTTCAAGTAGATTGGAAGAAGAGGCAGTGAAAGAACTGGGCAGTGAGAGCAAGGTAAGGACATTGAGAAGATGCATGCCCAGGGATTTTGGTCTTCCGTCTTCCTTTAACTTGTATTGTCCACATGAGATTGTATTAGTGAGGGTTCTCCAGAGAAACAGAACCAATCTGATATATATATAGGCATATAAGAGATTTGTTATGGGATTTGGCTCACGTGATTATGGAGGCCAAGAAGTCCCACAATATGCCATCTGCAAGCTGGAGAACCAGGAAAGCTTGTGATGCGATTCAGTTCAAGTCTGAAGGCCTGAGAACCAGGGGAATCGATGGTGTAACTCCTGGTTCAAAGCTGAGAGCTGGTGGGATGGGGAGTTGGTGGGGAAGGCACTGGAGTAAATCCTGAAGTCTGTAGGCCTGCGAACTAGGAGCTCCAATTTCTGAGAGCAGGAGAAGATGGGTATCCCAGCTCAAGAAGAGAGAGAGAATTTACCCTTTCTCCTGCTTTTTGTTCTATTTGGGCCTTTAATAGATTAGAAGATGCTCACCCATACTGGGGGAAATGAATCTTCTTTACTCAGCATATTGATTTAAATTATAATCTTTTGCTACAACATCCTAATAGACACACCTGAAAATAATGTTTTATCAGTTAAATGGGCATCCCTTAGCACAATCAAGTTGACATATAAAATTAACCATTACAGAGATCAATCTTGGATAGGCTTCTCCTCTGGGTCCTCTCTAGCTGCCTTGTAAAATGCTAAGCTTCCAACTGTATGATTTTTCTTGTTATCACTTCTTCTATTCTTGGAAATTTAAAAAGCACTGGTCTCAGAGGGATTGTTCTCCCCTGCCCCACACCATGTTAGTTTTAAGTTTAATGATTTTCATAGTGTCCTTAAACTAACTGGTCTATTTTTCTATTGGCATAGTCAAATGGAGTTCACGTTTATACCTGCTTAAGAGTTAATTAGTTTAGTTTAAGAATCGACTTTATGTGGTTCTAGCTTTAACTCAAGAATGACTGAAATAATAACCACAATAACAGTAACACTGAATAGAATCAATGAAAGAAAATCATACTGCAGGAGGGGATGGTGGTTGTTTCATTTGTATTATTTGTTTTAACACATTCATTTGTTGCTGCCACAAAGATATAAAACCCATCATTCTTGACCTGTTCAACACTCAAACGTGTTTACAATGAAGATGATCACTATGGTCTCTTGAAAAACATGAAAAAAGAAAAACAGTTAATGATCCTCTTGTTTGGTTGGGATGGTACCATTTGGTCCATACCTCTATTATGGACTTTATTAAATTGCATGGTAGTTATTGGTTAACCTGGCTGGCTTCTCCAATAAAATGCAAGTTCCTTGAGGGCATATTAATTAAAATTCATATTAATAAAATTTTGCTGTTCTTTGATTAAATATTATCCAAAAGTCATAATAAATAAAGAATGAGGGGTCAAATTAATTAGGTTAATAAAATAACTGGGGCTGGCCAGCACAGCTAGCCAGCAGGGAACTCCCATCTAAATTCATTACCACCTGGCTATGTTTTGGCAACTCCTGATAGTAGTTGTCTGCTCTAGCCTAAATATTGATGGGGATGCTTCTGGGTCCTGTTGTTGGGATTTCCAGGGAAAGAGCAGTGATTCCAAACATCTCCTGGTTAGTGGTACCCACTTGGCCCAATTCAAGTAGATAGGTCCAGAAAAACATTAGGGATGCTGGGACTTACCCTCCACTTCGCTGCTTCCAAAGACAAATTTACCACCATTTCCCCTATTTTTTCCATCCTGCCCCTCTTCTTCTTTCCACATTTTCTCTTTTTCCTCAAATAATAAGAAAGCTGTCTGCTAATTTGAGAATAGTGGCTGAATGGAAGAAGGAAGCCAATATCAGGGTCTTATATTCTAGTGCATTGTCATTGCAGGAGTTTTACTCTGTTAGATACTCAAAAAGTATTTGTTGAATTAATGAATAAATACAATTTGTCTCAAGCAATGACCTGAACTTCTTAAAGAGTCAGACAACAAAATGTATAAATAAACCAATACAAGGAATCAACATTTGGCACCACTAAATCCTGGGTGTCTAGCATACAGGCTAGCTAATAAAATACTAATGACATACTAGCAAGTCTAGATTTTGAAAACTGAAGGAATTGCATGGCATATCTGCACACCAGATTAGCCTAAACTTCATAGTCAAAACTCTGCCCAATTCTAGGCTAAAAGAAGGTGTATATTGAAGGTAGCTGTGGTTGTGATCCAGGTTTAGATAATCGGTGCTGACAAATTATCTCAATCCAATCAATGACTGAGTTTATCAGAAGCTGAGATTTATTCTTTTTGAGGGCTAGTCTATTTCTAGTCCCTGTTTACTCCTAAGTGTAAATCAGTGCAACAGGATGACATAACAATCCTAAATATAAATGTATCTAATAACAGAAGCAAAACGTGACATAACTAAGAGGAAAAATAAACAAATATCTAATTATAGTGAGAGATTTTAACAACATAGCTTTCTTTAAGTAATTTATAGAGCAAGTAGATAAAAAATCAGTAAGGATAAAAAGCCCTGAGCAGCACAATCAACAATTTGACCTAATTGACATTCATAGAACAATCTACCTTATACAGCAGAATAAACATTCTTTTTAAGTGCCCAGGAAACAGTCACCAAAATTAATCATACGCTGAGTCATAAAATAACTCTTAATACTTTTAAAAGGTTAATATTATATATAATATATTCTCTAGCTACAATAGAATTAAATTATAAATCAATTAAATTAGAAATTAATAATAATAAAATATCTAGAAAAATCTCCAGATATTTGGAAATTAAACATTTATAAGTAATCCATGTTTCAAAGAAGAAATCACAAGAGAGATTAAAAAATATTTTTAATTGAATGAAACAAAACCAGAAAAAACACTTCACAATAAAATAAAACTAAAGATCTTTCAAGGATATAGATGCAAAAGCCTTACTAAAATATTGGCACACAGAATTGAGCAATATATAAAAGAGATAATTAAAAAATAAAAAAGGATATTATAAGACCAAATGGGGTTCTCCCCCAAAAAATGCAAGGATGGTTTAGTGTCTGAAAATCAGTTAGTACAATTTACCATATCTGCAACATAAAGATGCAAAGCCATTTGATCAACTTGATAAATGCAGAAAACATTTGAAATGATTTAATACTCATTCATGATTAAAATGCTTATGCTTTCAGATATAACTTCCTTAATCTGAAAAATGGTATCTATGAAAAAATTCTGCAGCTAATATCATACCTAATAGTAAAATATCAAATGCTTTTTCCTTGAGATCAGAAAAAATTCTCTCACCACTTATATTGAAGGCTGTAACCAATACAATATGGCAAGCCAAAGAAATGCAGTATGAAGTTTGAAAAAGAAGAAATAAAACTATCTTCAGATGGCATGATGTGTATGTTAAAAATTCTAAGGAATCTAAAAAGAAGTCTCTAGTAGAATAAATACATTTGGAAAATCATGGGATATAAAGTCAATATACAAAAATCAATCTTATTTCTATATACCAGCAGCAAAAAGTTCAACAATAAAATTAAAAAGTATCATTACAATAGCATCAAAAACATCAAATACTTAGAAATAAATTTAATAAAATGCAAAATGCTTGCGCTGAGAAGCATTGTGGAGAGAAATTAAAGAAGATATAAACAAATGAAGAGATATATCATGTTCATGGATTGGAAGAATCAGTATTGCTAAGATGCCCATTCTCTCCAAATTGATCTGTAGATTCAGTGCAATCCCAATCAGAATCCTAGAAGATTTTTTAAATGTAAATTGACATTTTGATTCTGAAATATATGTGGACATGCAAAGGACTTTAATAGTCAAAACAATTTTGAAAAAGGACAAATTTGGAGAATTTTCATTATCTATTAAAGAAATACTTTAGGCCAGGCATGGTGGCTCATGCCTGTAATCCCAGCACTTTGGGAGGCCGAGGTGGGAAGATCACGAGGTCAAGAGATTGAGACCATCCTGGCCAACATGGTGAAACCCCATCTCTACTAAAAATACAAAAATTAGTTAGGCGTGGTGGCATGCGCCTGTAGTCTCAGCTACTCGGGAGGCTGAGGCAGGAGAATCGCTTGAACTCGGGAGGCGGAGGTTGCAGTGAGCCGAGATCATGCCACTGCACTCAAGCCTGGCATCAGACTCCGTCTCAAAAAAAAAAAAAAAGAAAGAAATATTTTAAAACTATAGTAATTAAGACAATGTAGTATTGATGTAAACACAGAAAAAAATAGATGAATGGAACAGAATATAGAGTCCAGAAAGAGATATACATATATGATCAATCGATTTTTGACAAATCAACAACTCAAATCAGTAGAGGAAACGAAAACCTTTCCCCATATGGTGCTGAAACACCTGAATAAATGTATGAAAAATATGAAACTTTACCCTTACCCCATATTACTACACAAAATTAATTTGACATGGCTCATAGACCTAAACATAAAATTTAAAACTATAAAACTTCTAGAAGAAACCTTCAGAGAATATTTTTTTGTGATCTTGGGATGGAAAATATTTTTTAAAGAGGTCACAAAATACACTAACCAATAATAAAAAAAAGTTGATAAACTAGATTTATCAAAGTCCAAAACTTCTGCTCATCAAAAGATGTCACCATTAAAATGAAAAAGCCAGCCACAGTCTAGGAAAAAAATATTTGTAAAATATAGATTTGACACAGAATTCCTTTCACATATATAAAGAACTTTTACATATCAATCATAGAAAGATAATCCAACAAATATAATGGGCAAAAGATCTGAATAGAGACTTCACAAAAGAAGATACATGAATGACTAATAAGCACATAAAAATGTGTTCAACATCACTAGTCACCAGGAAAATAAAGATTAAAACTACAATAAAATTTCACTATATACCCATCATAATGGGTAAAATTAACAAGACAACACCAAATGTTGGCAAGGATGTGAAGCAACTTGAACTCACATTCATTGGTGTTAGAAGTTTCAAATGGTACAGCCACTTGGCAATAGTCTTTGAAAGTTTTAAAATGTCACACATACACCTATTATATAACCAGGCAATTTAACTATTATATATTTACCCAAGAGAAATAAAAACATGTCTGTAGAATGAGTTGTGCAAGAATCTTCACAGCAGCTTTACTCATCAAGTGTCCACAAACAAGAGAATGGGTAAACAAATTGTGGTATATCCATACAATGGAATACTATTCAGCAACAAAAAGGAACAAACTACTGGTACACACAACAACATAAATGAATTTCAAACATATTATCCTAAGTTAAAGAGGCCAGGCACAAAGGACTATGATTTTATGACTCCATTTATATGAAAAATTAGAAAAGGCAAAATTATAGTGATAGAAATCAGATCCATGGCTGCCAGGGGACAAGGAATCAAGGGTGGGTATTGACTGTAAAGAGGCTAGAAGGAATTTTTTGAGGTGATAGAAATGTTCTTATCTTGGTTATAGTAATGACTATATGATCCTATACCTTTGTGAAAACTTATTAAATTGTATGGCTTTTTTTTTTTTTTTTTTTTTTTTTTGGAGACAGGGTCTTGCTCTGTCACCAGGCTGGAGGGCAGTGGCACAATCACAGCTCACTGCAACCTCGACCTCCCAGGCTCAATGGATCCTCCAGCCTTACCCTCCTGAGTAGCTGGGACTACAGGCATGTGCCACCACACCCAGCTAGTATATATAGATATATATATATATATATTTTTTTTTTTTTTTTTTTTTTTAGATATGAGGTTTTGCCATCTCGCCCAGGCTGGTTGCAAACTCCTGGGCTCAAGCAATCCTCCTGCCTCGGCCTCCCAAAGTGCTGGGATTACAGGCACGAGCCACTGTGTGGGGCCTTTTAATGGGTAAACTTTACTGTGTGGAAATTATACCTCAATAAAGGTTATTTAAAAACACGACCTTATGAGGGTAGATATTTATTACCCTATTTCAAAGGTGGGAAAAGTAGGATCACAGAGGTGATACTATCTTGCCTAAGTTCACACATCAAGTGAGTGGCAAGGCCGGAATTTGAACCTCCATATGTTGTTGATGCCAAAGGCCATATTCTGTTATACAAATAATTTAAAAATGATTGTGCAGGTGTATATTACTTATACATGCAGGTATATTTCATTTCTTAAACTAGCATGGAAGCTCCTCAAAGGCAAGGACTTTCCTATATACCTCTTTTCTAGTTCCCCAACTGGCTTGCAGAATGCTCTGTAGCAGAGTCAGGAAGTCTGTAGACCTGAGCTTGTCCATCACTTGTGTGTGCGGTGACTTTGAAGGGATTGTGGGGTGTGTCAGGGATATTGATCCCCTCTGTCCTCCAGGCATCTTGAGTCTCTGGGCTTATGGACCTGGCTGACATCAGCTTTATGTGCTGTACAAATATGATCATTTTCTAATCCCTGAAAAAGGTGAGGAAGCACTGACTTGGACAAGAAGTGCTATTGAAATTTGAAAGGAAGAGGAGGTAGCTCTGGCTGAGATGCTCTCGGTTGAGAACCTATGGGGAAAACCTTGCTAATCAGTGAAGAGGGAAGGGAGTATGTGGAAGGGGAAGAGAAGAATGGATTGGACTAAACTGGGCTTAACATATGTTTGGGGACAGTGGGCAGGAAGGTCAGGCTGGATCTGGGGGTATGGAGATGTATTCCAGAGGGGGATGGACACTTTCCTGGTGAGGGCCTGGCCTCTGGGCTAAGGAGTTGGAATATGCTCAGCAGCACAAAGCCTCCTGGTCCAATTTCATCCAGGAATTGTGTGTGGGTGTGTGTTTGTGTGTGTTTTGTGTACGTGTGCACACGCGTGTAGGAGGATGGGGATATGGAAGGAAAAGTGTGTATGTTTAAGAATAATGTGCTGTTCCTGGACTTTATGGCTGAGGGTCGTTCTGGATGCTGGAAGTGCCAGGCCCTCACCCTGGAGGCTCTGGGGAAGTCTGGCTTTCCTTTTCACACAGTATTTTTTTTCCCCAGCCCCTAGCTCTTTTCCCCCCGGGGGGAGGACATCTGTGGGGACGGTTCCTGTTTCCCCACCATTGCAGGCCCTGGCCTTCCTGAACATGATATGATTGTTTCTCTGGGCACAGTGCAAAGATGCCAATGGAGAACGGAAGTATCTCATGCCTTAGCAATTTTTTTTAAGGCAAAAAAGAAAAGGCTATTGAACTTGGGAACCCTGGACCTGAAGTCCTCTCTTCCTGGTGTGGAAGTGGGGACATTGTACAGGGTCTGCCAATCAGCCCTGTGGGCCAGATCTCCAACAAGGGAAAGATTTGACTCCCACCCATCCCCTAAGCAGTAACACTGGCACTAAATTCCTTCCTGTTCTCAAACTGCTACTATATATTTATGCACTGCTCCCTTGGGAATCTTGGGACATGGAAATGGAGAACTTTGTTCTCTTTCTCACCTTCCTCACTTTTCATATCCTCATCCCTTTTTAATATTCTTTCATTCATTCACTCATTTATTCCCTTGTTCAGCAAATATTTCTTGAGTACCTACCTGTGGTATAATAAGAAATACATTTGGTTTTTGTCCCTTATTCCTGGCACAGAGCTCCTAAATCCCTTGGAAGTTCCAGAATTATAGGAATGTCCTTTGTTATGCATATGGAGCCCTTTCAGTCCCACTGGAGTTTATGCTGATGATGTGATTTAGGGTTAGGGACCCCTAGATAGCCTCAGGATGGGGCTGCTTACCAGAAGGACAAAATGATTAGAAGGTTGGTACTTTCAGTCTCACCCACTGACTTCTTGGCAGAGGGGAGGGGACTGAAGATTAAGAAGCTCTATAAAAACTCTTAAAGAACAAGATTTGATGAGCTTCCAGGCTGCTCAACACCTGAAGGTGCCAGGAGGGTGGTGGCCTCTGAGAGGAACAACCATCTGGTTGTTCCTGAGTTAGATCCTTTATAACAAACCAGTAAACATAAGTAAAGTGTTTCCCTAAGTTCTGTGAGCCATTCTAGCAAATTATTAAAACTGAGAAGAAGGTTGTGGGAACCTCTGATTTATAGCTGGTTGGTCAGAAGTATCAGAGGCCCAAACTTGCAATTGGCATCTGAAGTGGGGAGATAGTCTTGTTGGAATGAGTCCTTAACTTGTAGGATCTGACATTAACTCCAGGTAGATAGTGGCAGAATGGAATTAAATTGTAGGGCTTCCATCTGGTGTTCAGAGAGTTGGAGAATTGTAGAAAAAACTCATACATCTTGGGCCAGAAGTGTGTGAGATGGTGGAGAAACAGTGTGTGTGTTTTCCCAGACTACTTTGTGACAGGTATTGTGTTAAATACTAACAATATAGCAGTGCTTAAGGAAAACCTCCCATCCTTGACCTCAGTCACTTATAGCCTGATGGAAAAGATCCATTATGTTCAGACATGGTTATACCAGGCATGGAAAGACAGAAAGTACATAAAAAGAGAAATGGCAACATAAAGAAGCATATCTCAGAGCTCTATGTAACCTGAATTTGTGTCTAATTCACCTTTTTGTTTTGTTTTGGTTTTTGGTTTTTTTTTTTGAGACGGTCTCGCTCTGTCACCCACGCTGGAGTGCAGTGGTGCGATCTCAGTTCACTGCAACCTCCACTCCCCAGGTTGAAATGATTCTTCTGCTTCAGCCTCCCAAGTAGCTGGGATTACAAGTGGCTGCCATCACGCCTGGCTAATTTTTGTATTTTTAGTGGAGATGGGGTTTCACCATATTGGTCTTGAACTCCTGACCTTGTGATCCGCCCACCTTGGCCTCCCAAAGTTGATGAGATTACAGGTGTGACCCACTGCGCCTGGCCTGTAATTCATCTTTAACTCTGTTATAACACATATTACAACACATGGCACATAATAGGTACACCAGGACTATTTGTTGAATGAATAATGATGGTGTGAATGAGAAGTCACATAATATAATACAAAAAGAATAGAGACCCTGGAATTTCACAGACCTGAATTTGATTTCCAACTGTACTCCTTCTTGGCTGGTATGATTTTGGAGAAGTAGGATAACCTCTGTGAGCCTCAGTTTCCTCATTTGAAAAGTGAGGATTATAATACCTATTGCATGGGAATTTAGTAAGATTTAATGACTAAGGATTAATAACTATGTAAAGTATATAAATATGTAAAAAAATCTGGCACATAAGTGATCAATAAATAGTTTACACTAGCTTACACCATTCTTTGGTGTTATTAATAATAAAGGCTACATGAATAAAAATAAAGGTTAAATGAATAGTACAGAAAAAAGTTACAGAATTATGGAGGAAGGCGTGGCTACAGAGCACTGAGGCTCTTATTGAGATGGAGCTGGACTGAACTGTACTTGGAAGGTAACCCACACTTGGGTAAACAGAGAAGGAGAAGGCAGCACTGGGCATGGTAATGGCAGGCTTCTGGGACAGGGCAGAGGAGGGAACCGGGAGGCAGTGGAATGGGTGGACCAGCGTGGAAAGCTCCTTCAGGAAGCCAGGCTCAAGAGCTTGCCCTTGATTCCCTTGACATTGAGTCTCACAGGTGGAGCTGCGATGTGCTAAGTGATGTTTTAGAATAATCAGTCTGGGGTAGTTATAGGGTCAGGGAGGCAGGGAGAATAGTTAGATTACATAACAATCCAAGTGGCCCAGGGACCTAGATTCAGGGGACAGCAGCAGGATGAAAATATAGTATGGATTCCTCCTTGTTCCTCCACACTATATTTAACTGGTACCATTCCTTCTGAACCTATTCCAATCAATAGAAAAAGAGGGAATCCTCTCTAACTCATTTTATGAGGCCAGCATCATCCTGATAACAAAGCCGGGCAGAGACACAACCAAAAAAGAGAATTTTGGACCAATATCCTTGATGAACATTGATGCAAAAATCCTCAATAAAATACTGGCAAACGGAATCCAGCAGCACATCTAAAAGCTTATCCACCATGATCAAGTGGGCTTCATTCCTGGGATGCAAGTCTGGTTCAATATACACAAATCAATAAATGTAATCCAGCATATAAACAGAACCAAAGACAAAAACCACATGATTATCTCAATAGATGGAGAAAAGGCCTTTGACAAAATTCAACAACTCTTCATGCTAAAAACTCTCAATAAATTAGGTATTGATGGGACGTATCTCAAAATAATAAGAGCTATCTATGACAAACCCACAGCCAATATCATACTGAATGGGCAAAAACTGGAAGCATTCCCTTTGAAAACTGGCACAAGACAGGGATGCCCTCTCTCACCACTCCTATTCAACAGAGTGTTGGAAGTTCTGGCTAGGGCAATTAGGCAGGAGAAGGAAATAAAGGGTATTCAATTAGGAAAAGAGGAAGTCAAATTGTCCCGGTTTGCAGATGACATGATTGTATATCTAGAAAACCCCATTGTCTCAGCCCAAAATCTCCTTAAGCTGATAAGCAACTTCAGCAAAGTCTCAGGATACAAAAATCAATGTACAAAAATCACAAGCATTCTTATACACCAATAACAAACAGAGAGCCAAATCATGAGTGAACTCCCATTCACAATTGCTTCAAAGAGAATAAAATACCTAGGAATCCAACTTACAAGGGATGTGAAGGACCTCTTCAAGAAGAACTACAAACCACTGCTCAGTGAAATAAAAGAGGATACAAAGAAATGGAAGAACATTTCATGCTCATGGGTGGGAAGAATCAATATCATGAAAATGGCCATACTGCCCAAGGTAATTTATAGATTCAATGCCATCCCCATCAAGCTACCAATGACTTTCTTCACAGAATTGGAAAAAACTACTTTAAAGTTCATATGGAACCAAAAAAGAGCTCACATCGCCAAGTCAATCCTAAGCCAAAAGAACAAAGCTGGAGGCATCACACTACCAGACTTCAAACTATACAACAAGGCTACAGTAACCAAAACAGCATGGTACTGGTACCAAAACCGAGATATAGATCAATGGAACAGAACAGAGTCCTCAGAAATAATGCCGCATATCTACAACTATCTGATCTTTGACAAACCTGACAAAAACAAGCAATGGGGAAAGGATTCCCTATTTAATAAATGGTGCTGGGAAAACTGGCTAGCCATATGTAGAAAGCTGAAAATGGATCCCTTCCTTACACCTTATACAAAAATTAATTCAAGATGGATTAAAGACTTACATGTTAGACCTAAAACCATAAGAACCCTAGAAGAAAACCTAGGCGTTACCATTCAGGACATAGGCATGGGCAAGGACTTCATGTCTAAAACACCAAAAGCAATGGCAACAAAAGCCAAAATTGACAAATGGGATCTAATTATACTAAAGAGCTTCTGCACAGCAAAAGAAACTACCATCAGAGTGAACAGGCAACCTACAAAATGGGAGAAAATTTTCGCAACCTACTCATCTGACAAAGGGCTAATATCCAGAATCTACAATGAACTCAAACAAATTTAAAAGAAAAAAACAAACAACCCCATCAAAAAGTGGGTGAAGGATATGAACAGACACTTCTCAAAAGAAGACATTTATGCAGCCAAAAGACACATGAAAAAATGCTCATCATCACTGGCCATCAGAGAAATGCAAATCAAAACCACAATGAGATACCATCTCACACCAGTTAGAATGGCAATCATTAAAAAGTCAGGAAACAACAGGTGCTGGAGAGGATGTGGAGAAATAGGATCACTTTTACACTGTTGGTGGGACTGTAAACTAGTTCAACCATTGTGGAAGTCAGTGTGGTGATTCCTCAGGGATCTAGAACTAGAAATGCCATTTGACCCAGCCATCCCATTACTGGGTATTTACCAAAAGAACTATAAATCATGCTGCTATGAAGACACATGCACACGTATGTTTATTGTGGCACTATTCACAATAGCAAAGACTTGGAACCAACCCAAATGTCCAACAATGATAGACTGGATAAAGAAAATGTGGCACATATACACCATGGAATACTATGCAGCCATAAAAAACGAGGAGTTCATGTCCTTTGTAGGGACATGGATGAAACTGGAAATCATCATTCTCAGTAAACTATCGCAAGGACAAAAAACCAAACACCGCATGTTCTCACTCATAGGTGGGAATTGAACAATGAGAACACAAGGACACAGGAAGGGGAACATCACACACCGGGGCCTGTTGTGGGGTCAGGTTAGAGGGGAGGGATAGCATTAGGAGATATACCTAATGTAAATGACGAGTTAATGGGTGCAGCACACTAGCATGGCACATGTATACATATGTAACTAACCTGCACATTGTGCATATGTACCCTAAAACTTAAAGTATAATAACAATAAAATAAAAGAAAGTATAGTATTGATTTGACAGACTTTGAGGTAGAAGAATCAGCAGAACCAGCTTTAGAAAGCTTGTCCAGGATCATAGAGTTAGAAGGGAAAAAACAACCCTCTTCTCAAAGAAATGGACTCCACTGGGAACCTTCAAGGGGTCTTTTCCAAAACCTCTGCCACATTAGCCTTTGGTTCTGATGCTTTTTTTTTTTTTTTGTCTAGACTGTGTTTTTTTGCTTTTTGGCATATCTTGTATTTTTTTGTTGAGAGCTTGTCAGCCAGACTCCTATTGAGTTCTATATTAGGTTTGAGAGGCTGAAGAAGAGACCGAGTCAGAGAACGAGACATAGGGTTTACTGAGGGAACTTACATATAGGGTGGACCAGTGGTGGAGGGCTGGGACAGGAAAACCACTACCATTTGTGGAAAGCATGCAGTTATATAGATCAGGTGAGTCTGCATTCTTGGGGATATGCTTAAGTTATTGCCAGCAGGTGCATCTGCCATACAAAGCTACACATCTGGTTAAAAGAAAGAGGAATATTGGCCTTTGGTGTGAGGTTTTGTTTTTCTGGCTGGGAGTTAGGTGTGTTTACTGTTTGCTGTAACCGTAGTGTCAGATGATAAAATTCCCTCTCATGTCTTTGCTTTTGTTTTCTCTGTTGTCTTTGGGTTTCTCTAGAGACTCTTTCTAAAATAGGGTCATGGAAGGCTTGAAGGGGCTGGAACTGGGTATTTCCTTCCCCCAAGGCAGTTAGGTTCTGGTAAAATAGTTTTCCTTGAAGGCAGCTTTCTTAAGGAGAATAGGGCTCTCTGGGAATATTTTTAAATGGTTACTTTGTCTATCTCCGACCCCTTTGCTGGCAGCATCAGGGGATTTTTCTTCAATTTTCACAATAAGAACCTGGTGGGGGTCCTGAAGGTAAAACTCAGGAAAGTGTTGGGGACCCTCGAAGACAGCTGCTACCCCTCAGTGTTTAACTCTCAAGCTAGCCCACACTAAACCTGCAGCAATTCATCCATTATAGTGTCAGTGTTTCTTCTGGAATTGGCTCCAGCTGTGGTCTTTTGCGCCAGTAAACTGTAATTCTCTGTATTTGCCTCATTGTCTCTCCAGTTTTCAGGACGGCTGTTTGTCCTGTGATTTTGGTTCTCTGATGGATCTAAGAAGAGTTGTTTGTTCAACTTTTTTGTTGTTGAGTGGATGGGAGTGCTGACTTCCAACTCTGTACATGTTGGATCGTTGATCAGAAGACCCAGGGGCCTTTTGATTTGGAATAAACTTACCTTTGATTGGCTGGTTTGAAAGCCAGAGAAAGCAATTACCTTAACTTTTAGGAGTGAAGGAAATGGGTCATTTTGTTTTTTTTAATAGTGATTTCTTATTCATTTATTTCTCCAAAATATTTTTTGAAGGTCTTACTGTACATTGCACTGTGCTGGGCTTTGTGGGAGTTAGAAAGAACAATAAGACATGGTTCTTGGCCTAAGACTATATGATATTCTCCTAATTCCATCCACCCCCACCTCGAAGTTGTCTTCCACACCTTAAGCTTGTTTTCTACATTTCAACCAGTGGCAGTGTAGCACACGAAGTAGCACGTTATTGGAATCAGAGAGATCTTGGTCCAAATTTTGGCTTTGCTACTCACTGGCTGTATATCTTGTGCACATTTCTTAGCCTCCATAAGGTTGATAATAGCCTATTTCATTGGATTTTTATGAAGATTAACTTATAGCCACATGGCATGTAGGAGGTAGTCAGTAAATGGTAGCTGTTTAAATTATTTTCTCTGACAATACCAGAATTCTGTTGATGAGGTGCCAGGAACTCTTAGACAAATAATTTCTTATCGAAAAAATTTTGGTAAAATGTCCATAACCTATAATTTACCATCTTAACAATTTTTAAATGTGGTTTAGTATTAAGTAGATTCACAGTGTTCTACAACCAATTTTAGAAGTTTTTAATCTTGCAAAATGGAAACTCTATACCCATTAAATGACTCTTTTTTTTCCTTCCCCTAAGTCCCTGGCAACTACAATTTTACTTTATGTTTGTAGGAGATTATGAGATAATGTCTTTTTTCAAACATGAGTATGAATATTCATCTGGAATGAGACCTGAAGGCTTCACATCACTCCCTGGGGCAGTATTTGGTATATTAATGCAAGAAAATATATACACCTTTGTCAGGGCCTAACTGAATCAATAGGTAGAGCCCTGTGTCCTCCCAGCATGATCCCTGGCATCACTGGCAATAAGCCAGTGATTTCTCCAGGTTGTGTTCTCCATGATTTCAAGGTGAAAAGTGTGGCACTGTGGTCCCTGAGCTGCAGCCTCACCTTCTCATGCTGTGTGTTAAGGTAGTTGCTGCGTCACTCGAGCTGTGACTTGTAACCCTGGTCCCCATTAGGTTCAGATTCTAAGTTTATGTAGGTGACTCCCACACTTCTGGCTTAAGCTTCAGTCTTGAATATTGAATTTATCTAGATGTTTCATTGGCACTTTAAACTCAACAGCGCTAACCTGAGCTCAGCATCTTTCCCTCGAAACCTGCCCTTAGTTCTGTGATCTTCAGTCTGTAAATGATGTTTCCCTATTTCCAGCTTCCTAAGCCTTATTCTTTGGAATCTTCCTTTGATTTTCTGTCTCTCCTTCCCCCTGATGTTCCATCTACAGCCAAGACCAGGTGAGTCTAATTTATATCTCTCCTGTCTTCCCTCCAATCCCATTGTCACTATTGCTCAAGTATTCTTTGCTTCTTGTCAGGGAATCATGAGCTTCTCAAGAGTTTTGCTTAATTTCTTATCTTGGGAATCTCTCTCTTTTTTGCTCCAACTCATCTTATGCACCACTGACAGATGACTGTTCAAAAAACCTGTCTCCACTCACATCATTGCACACAACATTTAATATCTCACAATTGCCTTCAGGTACAGACAAGATGTATCAGTCATGGGTCAGATATATCAGTCTGGTACTGAGGATTCTCCAAGATTTGCCTCTAATTCTTTCCACATATATTAACTAATTGTCTATTGCAGCATAATCAAAATGTAATGGCTTAAAACAGTACACATTTACTCTCTAACAGTTTTTGTGTGACAGGAATCTGGTTATGGCTTGACTGGGTCCTCCAGCTTAGGGTTCTCAAAAGACTGCAATCAGGGTGTTAGTTAGGGCCACAGTCAATGCAAGGTTTGACCGGGATGGGATCTGTTTCCAAGCTCAGCCAGAGGTTACTGGCAGGATTCAGCTCCCTGTGGGTCATTGGATGGAGGGCCCTGGTTCCTCACTGGCTTTTGTTTGGAGGGTGCCCTCAGTTTCTTGCCAATTGGGCACCTCCATAGGGTAGATCATAACACGGCAGCTGGCTCCATCAAAGTTAATGACAGGAGAGGGAGAGACCAAGATGGAAGTCAGTCCAGTCTTTTAGAACTTAATTGGATTGGGAGGCGAGTATGGTAACAGGGTGTGAGTATCAGGAGGCAATCAGTGGGAGACATTTCAGAAGCTGCCTACTGTATTAGGCTTCTTGTCTGCTACTCCATTGTTTATACCCTAGGTTCTGGCCAAAGTTTTGTGCTGGCTGTGACTTGAATACCTCTGATTCTTTTCTACCTCTATGCCTTTACTTAGGCTATTCCTTCCACCATTTAGTCTTCTTCACCTGCACAGCTATCTGTATACATCCATAAGCACAGCTCAAATACCACTATTCCTGCAGAGGCTTTTCTGATCAGATCTAGAGTTGATCTCCCACTTTGGAGTTCCCCAGGGGCTTATCTCTTTATTGGCTGCTATTCCATTCTGCTCTGTGGGAGATCAGTTTGTATACGTGTACTTACTGTCAGCAGACTGAGTTCCTTGAAGGTAGAATTATGCTATGCCTTAGTCAACTTTTTGACCTTTTGGCCCTAGCACAGTTCCTGGAACAAAGTAAATAGTGAAACATTTTTTGAATTGAAAATAATTGTGAGGTCTGAGAGCCCAGGTTCTGTGCAGATGAGATGTGTTAAGGGCCATGGTGGAGAAAAGAGGCCTCATGCTTCCCAAATAGCCCTGCATGGTGGACTTAAATCAGAAGAGCTGCCTTGCTGTGACTCCAGGGAGTAGTCAGGGGCTGGGATAGTCTGCAGGAACTGTGGGCTGATGGGGACCAGAAGCCATGGACATCTGATCTCTGTATAGGAACTTTGGAAGGCTAGAGTTAAGGTACCTTAACCTTACTATTTCATGTAAAGAAACTCTCCTCATGACCTCAGTAGAGTTAATAGGCTAGAAATCAAAAGGGAAGGGAACTAATATTTATTTAACTTATGATAGCATTTAATACTCAGAAAATTCCTATGAAGTGGTTATTATGCCCATTTTAAAGATTAAAAACAAAACAAAATCAGAGGGAAAAGTAATGGATGGAGCTTAGTAAATAGCTTAACAGTGATTCAATTCAGGTGTGACTGTGAAGCCTGTATTCCATTAAAACCACTCAATTCTGCCAATATTTATTGAGCACCTAATATGTGCAAATCTCTGCTAGAGTACTGAAGATTTTAAGAGGTGTAAGGCATGGATCTTATCTTGTAAGGGGTTATGATCTAGAGTTGAGTTATGGGCGGGGAAGTTGGTTGGTGCAGGATAACTGAGTTTAAGCCAGTAAACACTCCCATGCAAACATACACACATGCACACACACTTTTCTGTATAGGGGAATATAGTGAAAACAAAACGGATGAATTGTAACTGGGAAGAGAGGAAAGTTTTTTATAGGGGAGGTAGAGATTAAAGCAAAGGTAGAACTCTGAGTTTAAGAAGGAAATCTTACTCTTCTTCCCAGTCCCACCCAGGCATCACTGTGTAATCCTGAGAAAGGTACACACTCCCAACACTCTTGGATGTGACAAGGATTAGAATACAGCCATATGTGGTAATAAACATAAACCCAGACTTAATTAAACCTAATTCAAGCAATAGTGGATTAGCAACCAAAAGGATAAATCAGAGCAAATTTTTAATCTAACAAATTGGATTCACTGAAGCCAACTTCCTAAATGATTAAATGAGATTCAAGTGCTCTGTGAACAACAGAACACTATTCACATGTGAAATACCAAGATACTCCTAGGTCTTTTCTTTGTGTTAATGTTCAATTTGGTGAACCTAAATGCAGGACTTTACATGTATCGTGATTCTATTTCATCTTGTTATCCTGAGGAGATAATTGGATCCTGGCTCCATCATTCTTTTTTTGTGTTTTGTTTTTTGTTTTATTATATATACTTTAAGTTCTAGGGTACAAGTGCACAATGTGCAGGTTTGTTACATAGGTATACATGTGCCATGTTGGTTTACTGCACCCATCAACTCGTCATTTACATTAGATATTTCTCCTAATGCTATCCCTCCCCGAGGCCCCCACTCCACAACAGGCCCCAGCGTGTGATGTACCCTGTCCTGTGTCCAAGTGTTCTCATTGTTCAGTTCCCACCTATGAGTGAGAACATGCGGTGTTTGGTGTTCTGTCCTTGTGATAGTTTGCTTAGAATGATGGTTTCTAGCTTCATCCGTGTCCCTGCAAAGGACATGAACTCATCCTTTTTTATGGCTGCATAGTATTCCATGGTGTATATGTGCTATATTTTCTTAATCCAGTCTATCATTGATGGGGATTTGGGTTGGTTGCAAGTCTTTGCTATCGTGAAAACTGCCACAATAGACATACATGTGCATGTGTCCTTATAGTAGCATGACTTATAATCCTTTGAGTATATACCCAGCAATGGGATTGCTGGGCCAAATGGTATTTCTGGTTCTAGATCCTTGAAGAATCGCCACACTGTCTTCCACAATGGTTGAACTAATTTACACTCCCACCAACAGCGTAAAAGCATTCCTATTTTTCCACACCCTCTCCAACATCTGCTGTTTCCTGACTTTTTAATGTTCACCATTCTAATTGGCGTAAGATGGTATCTCATTGTGGTTTTGATTTGCATTTCTCTGATGACCAGTGATAATGAGCATTTTTTCATGTGTCTGTTGGCTGCATAAATGTCTTCTTTTGAGAAGTGTCTGTTATATCCTTTGCCCACTTTTTGATGGGGTTGTTTTTTTCTTGTAAATTTGTTGGAGTTCTTTGTAGATTCTGGATATTAGCCCTTTGTCAGATGGGTATGTTGCAAAAATTTTCTCCCATTCTGTAGGTTGCCTGTTCACTCTGATGAGAGTTTCTTTTGCTGTGCAGAAGCTCTTTAGTTTAACTGGATCCCATTTGTCTATTTTAGCTTTTGTTGCCATTTTTTTTTTTTTTTTGGTGTTTTAGTCATGAAGTCCTTGCCCATGCATATGTCCTGAATGGTATTGCCTAGGTTTTCTTCCAGGGTTTTTATGGTTTTAGGTCAAACATTTAAGTCTTTAATCCATCTTGAGTTAACTTTTGTATAAGGTGTAAGGAAGGGATCCAGTTTCAGCTTTCTACATATGGCTAGCCAGTTTTCCCAGCACCATTTATTAAATAGGGAATCCTTTCCCCATTGCTTGTTTTTGTAAGATTTGTCAAAGTTCAGACAGTTGCAGATGTGTGGTGTTATTTCTGAGGCCTCTGTTCTGTTCCATTGATCTATATATCTGTTTTGGTACCAGTACCATGCTGCTTTGGTTACTGTAGCCTTGTAGTATAGTTTAAAGTCAGGTAGCATGATGCCTCCAGCTTTGCTCTTTTTGCTTAGGATTGTCTTGGCAATGCAGGCTCTTTTTGGTTCCATATGAACTTTAAAGTAGTTTCTTCCAATTCTGTGAAGAAAGTCATTGGTGGCTTGATGGGATAGCATTGAATCTATAAATTACCTTGGGCAGTATGGCCATTTTCATGATATTGATTCCTATCCATGAGCATGGAATGTTCTTCCATTTGTTTGTGTCCTCTTTTATTTCATTGAGCAGTGGTTTGTATTTCTCCTTGAAGAGGTCTTTCACATCCGTTGTAAGTTGCATTGCTAGGTGTTTTATTATCTTTGTAGCAATTGTGAATGGGAGTTCACTCATGATTTGGCTCTCTGTTTGTTTGTTATTGGTGTATAGGAATGATTGTGATTTTTGCACACTGATTTTGTATCCTGAGACTTTGCTGAAGTTGCTTATCAGCTTAAGGAGATTTTGGGCTGAGACGATGGGGTTTTCTAAATATACAATCATGTCATCTACAAACAGGGACAATTTGACTTCCTCTTTTCCTGATTGAATACCCTTTATTTCTTTCTTTTGCCTGATTTTCTGGGCCAGAACTTCCAACACTGTGTTGAACAGGAGTGGTGAGAGAGGGCATCCTTGTCTTGTGCTGGTTTTCAATGGGAATGCTTCCAGTTTATGCCCATTCAATATGATATCAGCTGTGGATTTGTCATAAATAGCTCTTATTATTTTGAGATATGTTCCATCAATGCCTAGTTTATTCAGAGTTTTTAGCATGAAGGCTGCTGAATTTTGTCGAAGGCCTTTTCTGCATCTATTGAGATAATCCTGTGGTTTTTGTCATTGGTTCTGTTTATGTCATGGATTACATTTATTGATTTGCATATGTTTAACTAGCCTTGCATGCCAGAGATGAAACCAATTTGATTGTGGTGGATAAGGTTTTTGGTGTGCTGCTGGATTTCATTTGCCAGTATTTTATTGAGGATCTTTGCATCGATGTTCATCAGGAATTTTGGTCTAAAATTCTCTTTTTTTGTGTGTGTCTCGCCAGGCTTTGGAATCAGGATGATGCTGGCCTAATAAATTGAGTTAGGGAGGAGTCCCTCTTTTTCTATTGATTGGAATAGTTTCAGAAGGAATGTTACCAGCTCCTTTTCATACCTCTGGTAGAATTCGGCTGTGAATCCATCAGGTCCTGGACTTTTCTGATTGGTAGGTTATTAATTATTGCCTCAATTTCAGAGCCTGTTATTGGTCTATTCAGAGATTCAAATTCTTCCTTGTTTAGTCTTGGGAGGGTGTATGTGTCCAGGAGTTTATCCATTTCTTCTAGATTTTCTAGTTTATTTGCGTAGAGGTGTTTATAGTATTCTCTGATGATAGTTTGTATTTCTGTGGGATCAGTGGTGATATCCCCTTTATTATTTTTTATTGCATCTATTTGATTTTTCTCTCTTTTCTTCTGTATTAGTCTTGCTAGCAGTCTATCAATTTTGTTGATCTTTTCAAAAAACAAGCTCCTGGATTCATTGATTTTTTGAAGAGTTTTTTGTGTCTCTATCTCTTTCAGATCTGCTCTGATCTTAGTTATTTCTTGCCTTCTGTTAGCTTTTGAATTTGTTTGCTCTTGCTTCTCTAGTTCTTTTAATTGTGATGTTAGGGTGTCAATTTTAGATCTTTCCTGCATTCTCTTGTGGGCATTTAGTGCTATAAATTTCCCTCTACACACTGCTTTAAATATGTCCCAGAGATTCTGGTATGTTGTGTCTTTGTTCTTGTTGGTTCCAAAGAACATCTTTATTTCTGCCTTAATTTTGTTATTTACCCAGTAGTCACTCAGGAGCAGGTTGTTCAGTTTCCATGTAGTTGTGCAGTTTTGAGTGAGTTTCTTAATCCTGAATTCTAATTTGATTGCACTGTGGTCTGAGAGACAGTTTGTGGTGATTTCTGTTCTTTTACATTTGCTGAGGAGTGCTTTACTTCCAACTATGCAGTCAATTTTAGAATATGTGTGATGTGGTGCTTAGAAGAATGTATATTCTGTTGATTTGGGGTGAAGAGTTCTGTAGATGTCTATTAGGTCTGTTTTTCTGGATATCCTTGTTAACCTTCTGTCTTGTTGATCTGTCTAATATTGACAGTGGGGTGTTAAAGTCTCCCATTATGATTGTGTGGGAGTCTAGGTCTCTTTGTAGATCTCTAAGGACTTGCTTTATGAATCTGAGTGCTCCTGTATTGGGTGCATATACATTTAGGATAGTTAGCTCTTCTTGTTGCATTGATCTCTTTACCATTATGTAATGGCCTTCTTTGTCTCTTGATCTTTGTTGGTTTAAAGTCTATTTTATCAAAGACTAGGATTGTAACCCCTGCTCTTTTTATACTTTCCATTTGCTTGGTATATCTTCCTCCGTCCCTTTATTTTGAGTCTATGTGTGTCTCTGCACATGAGATGGGTCTCCTGAATACAGCACACCAATGGGTATTAACTCTTTATCCAATTTTCCAGTCTGTGTCTTTTAGCCCATTTACATTTAAGGTTAATATTGTTATGTGTGAATTTGATCCTGTCATTATGATGTTAGCTGGTTATTTTGTCCGTTAATTGATGCAGTTTCTTCATAGCATAGATGGTCTTTACAATTTGGCATGTTTTTGTAGTAGCTGGTACTGGTTGTTCCTTTCCATGTTAAGTGCTTCCTTCAGGACCTCTTGTAAGGCAGGCCTGGTGGTGACAAAATCTCTCAGCATTGCTGGTCTGTAAAGGATTTTATTTCTCTTTCACTTTTGAAGCTTAGTTTGGCTGGATATGAAATTCTGAGTTGAAAATTCTTTTCTTTAAGAATGTTGAATATTGGCCTCCACTCTCTTCTGGCTTGTAGGGTTTCTGCAGAGAGATCCACTGTTAGTCTGATGGGCTTCCCTTTGTGGGTAACCCAACCTTTCTCTCTGACTGAACTTAACATTTTTTCCTTCATTTCAACCTTGGTGAATCTGACAATTATGTGTCTTGGGGTTGCTCTTCTCGAGGAGTATCTTTATGGTGTTCTCTGTATTTCCTGAATTTGAATGTTGGCCTGCCTTGCTAGGTTGGGGAAGTTCTCCTGGATGATATCCTGAAGAGTGTTTTCCAACTTGGTTCCATTCTCCCCATCACTTTCAGGTACACCTATCAAACATAGATTTGATCTTTTTACATAGTTCCATATTTCTTGGAGGCTTTGTTTGTTTCTTTTTACTCTTTTTTCTCTAACCTTGTTTTGTTGCTTCATTTCATTAATTTGATCTTCAATCACTGATACCCTATCTTCCACTTGATGGAATCGGGTATTGAAGGTTGTGCATGCATCACAAAGTTCTCATGCCATGGTTTTCACCTCCATGAGGTCATTTAAGGTCTTCTCTACACTGTTTATTCTAGTTAACCCTTTGTCTAACCTTTTTTCAAGGTTTTTAGCTTTTTTGCGATGGGTTTGAACATGCTCCTTTAACTTGGAGAAGTTTGTTATTATGACCTTCTGAAGCCTACTTCTGTCAATTCATCAAAGTCATTCTCCGTCCAGCTTTGTTCCATTGCTGGCAAGGAGCTGCGATCCTTTGGAAGAGAAGATGTGCTCCGGTTTTTAGAATTTTCAGCTTTTTTGCTCTGGTTTCTCCCCATCTTTATGGTTTTATCAACCTTTGATCTTTGATGTTGGTGACCTACAGATGGGGTTTTGGTGTAGATGTCCTTTTTGTTGATGTTGGTGCTATTGCTTTCTGTTTGTTAGTTTTCCTTCTAACAGTCAGGTCCCTCAGCTGCATGTCTGTTGGAGTTTGCTGGAGGTCCACTTCAGACCCTGTTTGCCTGGGTATCACCAGTGGAGGCTACAGAACAGCAAATATTGCAGAACAGCAAATATTGCTGCCTGATCCTTCCTCTGGAAGCTTTGTCCCAGAGGGGCACCTGCGTACATGAAGTGTCTGTCAGCCCCTATTGGGAGGTGTCTCCCCATTAGGCTACACGGGGATCAGGGACCCACTTGAGGAGGCAGTCTGTTTGTTCTTGGAGCTCAACCACCAGGCTGGGAGAACCACTGCTCTCTTCAGAGCTGTCAGACAGGGACATTTAAGTCTGCAGAAGCTGTCTGCTTCCTTTTGTTCAGCTATGCCTTGCCCACAGAGGTGGAGTCTATAGAGGCAGTAGGCTGTGCTGAGCTGTGGTGGGCTCCGCCCAGTTCGAGCTTCCCAGCCACTTTGTTTATCTACTCAAGCCTCAGCAATGGTGAACGTTCCTCCCCAAGCCAGGCTGCCACCTTGCAGTTTGATCTCAGACTGCTGCGCTAGCAGTGAGCAAGGTTCCATGGGCATGAAACCCGCTGAGCCAGGCACAGGAGAGAATCTCCTTGTCTGCTGGTTGCTAAGACCTTGGGAAAAGCACACTATTTGGGTGGGAGTGTCCCATTTTTCCAGGTACAGTCGGTTCTGACTTCTCTTGGCTAGGAAAGGGAAATCCCCCAACCCCTTGAACTTCCCGAGTGAGGTGATGCCCACTCTTCTTTGGCTCACCCTCTGTGGGCTGCACCCACTGTCCAACCAGTCCCAGTGAGAGGAACCAGGCACCTCAGTTGGAAATGCAGGAATCATCCATCTTCTGTGTCAATCATGCTGGGAACTGAAGACTGAAGCTGTCCTTATTTGGCCATCTTGGAACAGATCAATCCATCATTCTTTGTATTTTCTATTTTTAGCTTCATTTGTGCTGTATATTAATAAACATCTTATGTTTTCATCCAATATGTTGTTAAACATACTGAACAGGACAGAGATGAGGCCAGTGGGCAGTGGTGGGTGGTGGTGGATCAGTAATGTCTGGGGACAGTCACATCTTCTGGCACCTGGCAGGGCTTAAAAACTCTCATCTATGAGTTTTGCAAGTGCTTTCACATTGGTTATCTCATTTGAGCTTCACAACAACCTCATGAGAGAGGCTGTACAGATGTTGCTATATGGATTCTCAGAGAATGCTGATGAAATCAAGGCTATTCGAAGTTAAGTAACTTTTTTTTTATTATTATGCTTTAAGTTCTGGGATACATGTGCAGAGCGTGCAGGTTTGTTACGTAGGTATACACATGCCATGGTGGTTTGCTGCACCCAACAACCCATCATCTACATTAGGTATTTCTCCTAATGCTATCCCTCCCCTAGGCCCTCACCCCACAACAGGCTCTGGTGTGTGATATTCCCCGCCCTGTATCCATGTGTTCTCATTGTTCAACTCCCAGTTATAAGTGAGAACATGCAATGTTTCATTTTCTGTTCCTATATTCGTTTGCTGAGAATGATGGTTTCCAGCTTCATCCATGTCCCTGCAAAGGACATGAACTCATCCTTTTTTATGGCTGCATAGTATTTCATGGTGTATATGTGCCACTTTTTCTTTATCCAGTCTATCATTGATGGGGATTTGGGTTGGTTGCAAGTCTTTGCTATTGTGAATAGTGCTGCAATAAACATATGTGTGCATGTGTCTTTATAGTAGCATGATTTATAATCCTAGTAATTGCTAGTACAATGCCGGTTAGGCCACCCACAGTGAAGAGAAAAATGAATCCCAGGGCTCAGAGTACTGCAGCAGATCACTTCATGTTGCTTCCGTGGAGTGTAGTGAGTCATATACCCAGTAATGGGATGGCTGGGTCAGATGATATTTCTGGTTCTAGATCCTTGAGGAATCACCACACTGCCTTCCACAATGGTTGAACTAATTTACACGCCCACCAACAGTGTAAAAGTGTTCCTATTTCTCCACATCCTCTCCAGCATCTGTTGTTTCCTGACTTTTTAATGATCACCATTCTAACTGGTGTGAGATGGTATCTCATTGTGGTTTTGATTTGCATTTCTCTGATGGCCAGTGATGATGAGCATTTTGTCATGTGTCTGTTGGCTGCATAAATGTCTTCTTTTGAGAAGTGTCTGTTCATATCCTTCACCCACTTGTTGATGGGGTTGTTTGTTTTTTCTTGTAAATTTGTTTGAGTTCTTTGTAGATTCTGGATATTAGCCCTTTGTCAGATGAGTGTCTCATTGTGGTTTTGTTTTGCATTTCTATAATGACCAATGATGGTGAGCTTTTTTTTTCATATGTTTGTTGGCTGCATAAATGTCTTCTTTTGAGAAGTGTCTGTTCATATCCTTTGCCCACTTTTTGATGAGGTTGTTTGTTTTTTTCTTGTAAATTTGTCTAAGTTCCTTGTAGATTCTGGATATTAGCCCTTTGTCAGAGGGATAGTTTGCAAAAATTTTCTCCCATTCTATAGGTTGCCTGTTCACTCTGATGAGAGTTTCTTTTGCTGTGCAGAAGCTCTTTAGTTTAACTAAATCTCATTTGTCAATTTTGGCTTTTGTTACCATTTTTTTTTTGGTGTTTTAGACATGAAGTCTTTGCCCATGCCTATGTCCTGAATGGTATTGCCTAGGTTTTCTTCTAGGGTTTTTATGGTTTTAGGTCTTACATTTAAGTCTTTAATCCATCTTGAGTTAAATTTTGTATAAGGTGCAAAGAAGGGTACCAGTTTTGATTTTCTGCACATGGCCAGCCAGTGTTCCAGCACCATTTATTAAATAGGGAATCCTTTCCCCATTGCTTGTTTTTGTCAGCTTTGTCAAAGATCAGATGGCTGTAGATGTGCGGTCTTATTTCTGAGTCTCTATTCTGTTCCACTGGTCTATGTGTCTGTTTTAGTACCAGTACCATGCTGTTTTGGTTACTGTAAACTTGTAGTATAGTTTGAAGTCAGGTAGTGTAATGCCTCCAGCTTTGTTCTTTTTGCTTACAATTGTCTTGACTGTACAGGCTCTTTTTTGCTTCCATATGAATTTTAAAATAGTTTTTTCTAATTCTGTGAAGAATGTCAATGTTAGTTTAATGGGTGTAGCATTGAATTTATAAATTACTTTGGGCAGTGTGGCCATTTTCATGATATTGATTCTTCCTGTCTGGGAGCATGGAGTGTTTTTCCATTTGTTTGCATCCTCTCTGATTTCCTTGAGCAGTGGTTTGTAGTTCTCCTTAAAGAGGTCCTTCACTCCCCTTGTTAGCTGTATTCCTAGGTATTGTATTCTCTTTGTAGCAATTGTAAATGGGAGTTCATTCATGATTTGGCTCTCTGCTTGTCTGTTATTGGTGTACAGGAATGCTTGTGATTTTTGCACATTGATTTTGTATCCTGAGAGTTTGCTGAATTTGTTTACCAGCTTAAGGAGATTTTGGGCTGAGATGATGGAGTTTTCTGAATATATAATCATGTCATCTGCAAACAGAGACCATTTGTCTTTCTCTCTTCCTATTTTAATACCCTTTATTTCTTTCTCTTGCCTGATTGCCCTGGCCAGAATGTTGAATAGGAGTGGTGAGAGAGGGCATCCTTGTCTTGTGCTGGTTTTCAAAAGGAATGCTTCCAGCATTTGCCCATGCAGTATGATATTGGCTGTGGGTTTGTCATAAATAGCTCTTATTATTTTGAGATACGTTACGTCAATACCTAGTTTATTGAGAGTTTTTAGCATAAAGGAGTGTTGAATTTTGTCGAAGGCCTTCTCTGCGTATATTGAGATAATCATGTGGTTTTTGTCATTGGTTCTGTTTATTGATTTGCATATGTTGAACCTTGGATCCCAGGGATGAAGCTGACGTGATCATGGTGGATAAGCTTTTGATATGGTGCTGGATTCAGTTTGCCAGTATTTTATTGGGGGTTTTCACATTGATGTTCATCAGTGATATTGTCCTGAAATTTTCTTTTTTTGTTGTGCCTCTGCCAGGTTTTGTTATCAGGATGATGCTGACCTCATAAAATGAGTTAGAGAGGAGTCCCTCTTTTTCTATTGTTTGGAATAGTTTCAGAAGGAATGGTACCAACTCCTCTTGGTAGCTCTTGTAGAATTTGGCTCTGAATCCACCTGGTCTTGGGCTTTTTTTTGTTGTTAGGGTATTAATTACTGCCTCAATTTCAGAACTTGTTATTGGTCTATTCAGGGATTTGACTTCCTGGTTTAGTCTTGGGAGGGTGTATGTGTCCAGGAATTTATCCATTTCTTCTAGATTTTCTAGTTTATTTGCATAGAGGTGTTTATAGTATTCTCTGATGGTTGTTTGTATTCCTATGGGATCAGTGGTGATGTCTCCTTCATCATTTTTTTATTGTATCTATTTGATTCTTCTCTCTTTTCTTCTTTATTAGTCTGGCTAGCCATCTATCTATTTTGTTCATCTTTTCAAAAAATGAGCTCCTGGGTTCATTGATGTTTTGAAGGGTTTTTCGTGACTCTATCTCCTTCAGTTCTGCTCTGATCTTAGTTATTTCTTGCCTTCTGCTAGCTTTTGAATTTGTTTGCTCTTGCTTCTTTAGTTCTTTTAATTGTGATGTTAGGGTGTCAATTTTAGATCTTTCCTGCATTCTCTTGTGGGCATTTAGTGCTATAAATTTCCCTGTACACACTGCTTTAAATATGTCCCAGAGATCCTGGTACATTGTGTCTTCATTCTCATTGGTTTCAAAGAACTCATTTATTTCTGCCTTAATTTTGTTATTTACCCAGTAGTCATTCAGGAGCAGGTTGTTCAGTTTCCACGTAGTTGTGCGGTTTTTAGTGAGTTTCTTATTCCTGAGTTCTGATTTGATTGCACTGTGGTCTGACAGACTGTTTGTTATGATTTCCGTTCTTTTGCATTTGTTGAGGAGTGTTTACTTCCAATTATGTGGTCAATCTTAGAGTAAGTATGATGTGGTGCTGAGAAGAATGTATATTCTGTTAATTTGGGGTGGAGAGTTCTGTAGAGGTCTATTAGGTCTGCTTGGTCCAGAGCTGAGTTCAAGTCCTGAATATCCTTGTTAATTTTCTGTCTTGTTCATCTGTCTAATACTGACAGTAGGGTGTTAAAGTCTCCCACTATTATTGTGTGGGAGTCTAAGTCTCTTTTTAGGTCTCTAAGAACTTTCTTTATGAATCTGGGTGCTCCTGTATTGGGTGCATATGTATTTAGGATAGTTAGCTCTCTTGTTGCATTGATCCCTTTACCATTATGTAATGCCCTTCTTTGTCTTTTTGATCTTTGTTGGTTTAAAGTCTGTTTTATCTGTGACTAGGATTGCAACCCATGCTTTTATTTTACTTTCCATTTGCTTGGTAAATCTTCCTCCATCCCTTTATTTTGAGCCTAAGTGTGTCTTTGCATGTGAGATGGGTCTCCTGAATACAGCACACCAATGGGTCTTGACTCTATCCAATTTTCCAGTCTGTGTCTTTTAATTGGGGGCATTTAGCCCATTTACATTTAAGGTTAATATTGTTATGTGTGAATTTGATCCTATCATTATGATGCTAGCTGGTTATTTTGCCCATTAGTTGATGTAGTTTCTTCATAGCATTGATGGTCTTTACAATTTGGTATGTTTTTGCAGTGGCTGGTACTGGCTTTTCCTTTCCATGTTTAGTGCTTCCTTCAGGAACTCTTGTAAGGCAGGCCTGGTGGTGACAAAATCTCTCAGCATTTGCTTGTCTGTAAAGGACTTTATTTCTCCTTCACTCATGAAGCTTAATTTGGCTGGATATGAAATTCTGGGTTGAAAATTCTTTTCTTTAAGAATGTTGAATATTGGCCTCCACTCTCTTCTGGCTGTAGGGTTTCTGCAGAGACCCACTGTTAATCTGATGGGCTTCCCTTTGTGGGTAACCTCACCTTTCTCTCTTGCTCCTTTTAACATTTTTTCCTTCATTTCAACCTTGGTGAATCTGACAATTATTTGTCTTGGGGTTGCTTTTCTCGAGGAGTATCTTTGTGGTGTTCTCTGTATTTCCTAAATTTGAATGTTGGCCTGCCTTGCTAGGTTGGGGAAGTTCTCCTGGATAATATCCTGAAGAGTGTTTTCCAACTTGGTTCCATTCTCCCCATCACTTTCAGGTATACCAATCAAACATAGGTTTGGTCTTTTCACATAGTCCCATATTTCTTGGAGGCTTTGTTCATTCTTTTTCATTCTTTTTTCTTGAGTCTTGTCTTCATGCTTGATTTCATTAAGTTGATCTTTAATCTCTTTTATCCTTTCTTCTGCTTGATTGATTTGGCTGTTAATACTTATGTATGCTTCACGAAGTTCTCGTGCTGTGTTTTTCAGCTCCATCCGGTCATTTATCTTCTTTTCTAAGCTGGTTATTCTAGTTAGCAATTCCTCTAACCTTTTTTCAAGGTTCTTAACTTCCTTGCATTGGGTTAGAACATGCTCCTTTCACTCAGAGGAGTTTGTTATTACCCACCTCTGAAGCCTACTTCTGTCAATTCATCAAACTCATTCTCTGTCCAGTTTTGTTCCCTTGCTAGTGAGCAGTTGTGATCCTTTGGAGGAGAAGAGGTATTCTGGCTTTTGGAATTTTCAGCCTTTTTGCACTGGTTTTTCCTCATCTTCATGGATTTATCTACCTTTGGTCTTTGATGTTGATGGCCTTCTGTTGGGTTTTTGTGTGGACATCCTTTTTGTTGATGTTGATGCTATTCCTTTCTGTTTGTTAGTTTTCCTTCTAACAGTCAGGACCATCTGCTGCAGGTCTGCTGGAGTTTGCTGGAAGTCCACTCCAGACCCTCTTTGCCTGGCTATCACCAGCGGAGGCTGCAGAACATCAAATATTGCTACCTCTTCCTCCCTCCAGAAGCTTCATCCCAGAGGGGCACCCACCAGATGCCAGCTGTCACTCTCCTGTATGAGGTTTCTGTCGACCCCTGCTGGGAGGTGTCTCCCAGTCAGGAGGCACTGGAGGAGGTGCCTTGAGGAGGCAGTCTCTCCCTTAGCAGAGCTTGAGCGCTGTGCTGTGAGATCCGCTGCTCTCTTCAGAGCTGGCAGGCAGGAACGTTTAAGTCTGCTGAAGCTGCGCTTACAGCCGCCCCTTCTCCCAGGTGCTCTGTCCCAGGGAGATGGGAGTTTTATCTATAAGCTCCTGACTGGGGCTGCTGCCTCTCTTTCAGAGATGCCCTGCCCGGAGAGGAGGAATCTAGAGAGGCAGTCTGGCTACAGCAGCTTTGCTGAGCTGTGGTGGGTTCTGCCCATTTTGAACTTCCCAGCGGCTTTGTTTACACTGTGAGGGAAAAACCGCCTACTCAAGCCTCAGTAATGGCAGATGCCCCTCCCCCCACCAAGCTCTAGCATCCCAGGTCAATTTCAGAGTGCTGTGCTGGCAGCAAGAATTTCAAACCAGTGGGTCTTAGCCATGGGGGTGGGATCCATTGAGTTAGACCACTTGGCTCCCCAGCTTCAACCCCCTTTCCAGGGGAGTGAACAGTCTGTTTTGCTAGCGTTCCAGGCACCACTGGAGTATGAAAAAAACTCCTGGAGCTAGCTCTGTGTCTGCCCAAACGGCCACCAAATTTTGTGCTTGAAACCCAGGTGTAGGCACCTGAGGGAATCTCCTGGTCTGCGGGTTACAAAGACTGTGGGAAAAGCATGGTTTCTGGGCCAGAATGCGCCATTCCTCGTGGTACAGTCCCTTACGACTTCCCTTGGCAAGGGGAGGGACTTCCCTGACCCCTTGTGTTTCCCTGGTGAGGTGGCACCCCTCCCTGCTTCTGCTTGCCCTCTGTGGGCTGCACCCACTGTCTAACCAGTCTTAATAAGATGAGCTGGGTACCTCAGTTGGAAATGCAGATATCATCCACCTTCTGTGTTGATCTCGCTGGGAGCTGCAGCCTGGAGCTGTCACTAGTTGGCCATCTTGCCCAGGCGACCAGAATTTAAGTAACTTTTTGAGGCTGACATAGCAGTAAGCAGGAGATCCAGGTCTCAAATCCTCTTCTGACTTCCAAGCCTATGATTTTTTTTTCACTTGCCTAATAATAATAGTCATTTTCATTGAAAATTAAGTTCTTTTTTTTTCTTTTTATTACTCCTCAAACTTGCAAGAAGTGGCTAGTTGCACAGTTCCTCATTTGGCTCTATGCACCATGAGGGCAAGGACTGTGCTGTCCTGTTCACAGTTACATCCTTTGTGCCTATACAGTGACCAGCACAGAGTATGTGTTCAGTGAATGTGTGCTGAGTATATAAATAAGTGGCTGAACACAAACTATTATCTAAATGTAATTGTTAGTAATAATAATTCTTCCTTTATTTAGCAGGGCTAGGATTTTAAATTGCTTCCTGCTATTAACACTGAATAAATATGGCAATATGGCTATACTACATTCTCTTAATATAGAATTCAATACTCTCCAAATACACTCTGTTTATCCTCACACACACCTTGACAATAGGTATGGGTTAGTGGTGCTATCATTTCATCACTCATAAGAATAGGGAGATTCTTTACCTCACCCAAGACTGCACAGGCATTTTCAGGAGCAGCCGTTAATAGATTTTATGTTTCTTTATATTCAGCCCATTGCTGAGGATGCTAAATCCTACTAAAGCTATAGGCACCAGAGCCTTATGCTGCTTCAAGGGTCTACAATACTCCCAAATTAATTCATGGAAATGGCTGCAGCATTGTGGAAAAACAGCTGGTTACTTCCCAGCAGAATTAGCTGTAACCAGTTTAGTCACTTGTTGAGAGAAGACAGGAAATCTCTTGCAAAAGTCAGCCACATTCCCCACAATATAATAGCAAGTAAATCATTCCTGAGGAGCCCTGGGTGCCTGGCTGGTTTAGGAAGATTCAGGGACAGACAGAGAGCTGTAGTCTAAAGAATGTGAGAGATTTTAGAGCCAGACCTAAGTCTTTGATTTGGTGACTCCGTTACACATGGGGAAATATTTTGAGAGCAGTGAGAATGATTTGTCAGTGAAGTTTAACCAGAAATGTGGCCAGGCAGGAAATCTTGAGCCACGTTCAGGCAGCTGCTGATGCATGGACAAAATCAGTTCAATTTTCCTGCCTGAGACTGGCAACGAACTATTGGTCTCCAACCCAACAGGCCCTGAAATGGCCTACAAGCTGGAGTGAGAGGACAGCCTGCCCAAAAGTAGTCAAACCATGGCCCGTTTATTTATTAGTATACTTTTAAATTAAATATTTTTAAAGGATTACAGTCACACTAAAAACGTACAAGTATGGTAGAAGTAACTGTTTTTCCTTAACCCTTTGAGAATAAGCTGCTAACCTGATTCCCTATTATCCCAAAAACTTCAGTGTTTATTTCCTACAAAGACATTCTTCCATATGCTTATATAGACTATATATAGTATATACAATACAATTCCCAGTTACTCAGGGGGCTGAGGCAGGAGGATCACTATAGCCTGGGAGGTTGAGGCTGCAGTGAGCTGTGATTGTGCCACTGCACTTCAGCCTGGGTGACAGAGTGAAATCCTGTGACTTAAATAAAAAAGAAAAAAAAAAGAAAAAAGAAAATTAACCTTGATGAATCATTTTTATCAGATCCCATTCCAAGTTTTGCCAAGTGTTGCAATAATACTCTTTATAGCAAGAGGATCCAGTTCAAAATGCTGCATGTATCACATCTTTGGCTAACTTCAATTTGAAATGGTTCCTCATCTTTCCTTGACTGTCATATCCTTGCCACTTTCGAAGATTGTAGGCCAGTTATTTTGTAGAATGTCTCTCAATTCAGAGCCATCTGCTGTTTCCTCAGAATAGACTTGGGTTATGCATCTTTGGAAAGAATAACATAGAAGTGATACTGTGTTCTTCTCAGTGCATCATGCCAGGTAGTGCAAAACTTCAATTTTTCCCATTATTGATGATGTCAATTTTGGTTGCTTTATTTATTTATTTATTTATTTATTTATTTTGGCACGGAGTTTTGCTCTTGTTGCCCAGGCTGGAGTGCAGTGGCGTGATCTTGACTCACTGCAACCTCTGCCTCCAGGGTTCAAGTGATTCTCTTACCTCAGCCTCCTGAGTAGCTGGGATTACAGGCACGCACCATCACACCTGGCTAATTTTTGTATTTTTAGTAGAGATGCAGTTTCACCATGTTGTCCAGGCTGGTCTCAAACTCCTGACCTCAGGTGATCCACCCATCTCAGCCTCCCAAAGTGCTGGGATTAGAGGCATGAGCCACCGCTCCCAGCCAAGAGTTGCTTTATTAAGATGATGTCTACTAGTCTCCGGTTTCAAGTTACTTCTTTTTGTAATTAATGAATATTTTGTGTGAAAAATGTTGAAGCTTTGTAACTATTCTATTCCTGAACAAACTTTTAATTAATTTATTTATTGTTTTATACCTGTATGGGCTCATGGTTTCCTATTTTATTCAATGAATTATGATCTGTTACTATCATTCTTTGATACTCAAATTGTCTCCAGTTTGGCCATTGGAAGCCTCTTCAAGCTGGTGTTTGTGTGCTTTTGATATAGTCCTATCATTCTTTGAGTACTTTCTTGCCTTCTGAGGGGAAAAAATGTTATGAGCTCACCTCATACTTTCCCTGCCCAAGCCTTAAACTCAAGACATTTCTCTGAAGAGGCCTGGTTCCTTCAAGTAGAGAATGATGTTGAGAAGCCCGCATCTGGGCAACAGGTTTGGTTCTTGCTTTTGGGGTGTTTCACTTCCCAGGACTTCTCAGTGGACATAGCTAAGAAATATATATAGATATACACACACGTTTATATCTATATTTTTATATTTCTCTCTATATATTGCAAACGGATACTTCCAATTCCAATCCAAAACCACAGAGTTCATTCTATATTTCTCATTTTTCATATTTGTTAATCCATTTTCTGATGGTAAGAAACCTGGCTCTCAATATCTTTAATATATTTAATTATGTGACCAGTGTTCCTGTACGAGACCAATCTCCTATTTTCGTTGCTAGCCCCTCACCTGCAAATATGCCCTCCTCACTCTATATGCTAGTTCTAGCTTTCTACACCAGGCTTGAAAGAGGACTCTGAGCTACTGGCAGAAAGTGGACTGATTAAAATGACTCAGCTGCAAACATGAGCTACCTTTTGTCAAAAAGGAAAGATGACTCAGAGACCAGAGTGCAGAGTTCAGAGGTTAGAGAGCTAAACAGTCTCTATTCCCATTCCTTGAAACTTAATCAAGGAAATGTAATATTTGCTTGGCTGAATTTCAATACTGTGATGGACAGGTGACTCCTTTATTTATCTCTCATCTCTCCCATTTTTGAACCAGGATGTCTATAGCAATTATCCTATGTCTATCTGAACATTGTATGTTGGGTACCTTGTGGGTAGATAATTTGTCTCTTAAGTTTTACAGGTTCTTAAATGGAGAGAAATTGTGCCCCAGGAATTGTACTTAATAGACTGTACCCAGGATCCCTGTCTGTACCTGAGTTATATGATTTAGATAATGAGATTTTGGATTTTGAGCTGATGAGATGAGATTTGATGAAGAGATTTTGCTGATGATGTAATGGGATGAAGATGCTGGGATGGTGTATTAGTCAGCTAGGGCTGCCAAATCAAAGTACCACAAACTGGGTGACCTGGATGACAGAAATGATTTTTCTCACAATTCTGGATGTTAGAAGTCTGAAATGAAAGTATTGGCAGGGTTTTTTTTTTTTCCTGAGGGCCCATATCTTTGGCTTATAGATGCCTGTCTCTCTCTGTGTCTTCACACGGTCTTCCTTTTGTATACATCTATGCCCAAATTTCTACTTTGTATAAGGACACCAGTCATGTTACATTAGGGCCCATCCTAAGGATCTCAATTTAATTACTTCTTTTTTTTTTCAAAAACAAGCAAACGTATATTTTGAGTCATTCTGTGTTTAAATTTATTTATTTATTTATTCATTTATTCATTTATTTATTTTTGTTTTTCTGAGACGGAGTCTCACCCGGTTGTCCAGGCTGGAGTGCAGTGGCGTGATCTCGGCTCACCGCAATCAACGCCTCCTGGGTTCAAGCGATTCTCCTGCCTTAGCCTCCTGAGTAGCTGGGACTACAGATGTGTGCCACCACACCCGGCTAGTTTTTTGTATTTTTGGTAGAGACAGGCTTTCACCATGTTAGACAGGATGGTCTTGATCTCCTGATCTCGTGATCTGCCTGCCTCAGCCTCCCAAAGTGCTGGGATTACAGGTGTGAGCCACTGCGCCCGACCTTTAATTACTTCTTTAAAGACTCTATTTCCAAATACAGTCACATACTGGGAGTTAGGACTTTCATGTATGAATTTTGCGCGACACAATTTAGCCTGTAACAGATAAGGTGAATGTATTTTTCATGTGGGAGGAATATGAATTACTGGAGGCCAGAGGTCAAATTGTGGTAGGTGGAATTCTGAGATGATCCCCAGGATTCCTGTCTCCTGGTATACACACCCTTTATAGTCTCCTCCCCTTGAATGTGGGTAGGACCTGTGAATATGGTGGAATAGTCACACTGTGATTATATTACATTATATAAGATTCCATCTTAGTAAGATGGAGATAGAGTGAGCTTCCCTGCTGGCTTTGAAGAAGTAAGTGGCCAGGTTGTCAGAAAGCCATATGACAGGGAACTGTGGGGGCCTCTAGGAGCTGACAGTGGCCCTTACTGACAGCCAGCAAGAGAGCAGGGACCTCTGTCCTACAAACGCAAGGAACTAACTCTGCTGACAATTATATGAGCTGAGAAGGAGAACTTGGAGCTCCAGAAAGAAATGCAGTCCAGACACTGATCACAGACTTGTGAAACCCTGAGCAAAGGGCCCAGCTGAGCCATGTCTGGATGCCTGACTCACAGGAACTGAGAGACGCTAAAAGTATGTTGTTTTAAGGTGCTAAATTTGCAATAATTTGTTACACAGCAATAGGAAGCTAATATACTGTCCAAAGTTTCTAGCCCTTGTCTGCTGTAGGCTGCCATTTTCTGTCCTTGTGACAACTCCAAAACCTAACCAACCTTTAACTCCCTACCAATCAACAAACAAGCATACAAACCAAAAAAATAGTTTTTGCAATAAGCATTGAATCTAATAAGCTCACGTTTGCTTCTTGGACATCTCTAGGGTTGGGTTTCATGGAAGGAGCAAGCAGCTGGTGCCAGTTTGTCATCCTGTCTCCATGGTCACCAGATTTGCATTTGAAGAAGTTCAGTCTTGATTCTGTGTGGGGAGTGAATTGGTAAGACCAGCTGCAGGCTGATCATTTAGGAGGTTACTGTAGAAGATCAGGAGGGAGATGATAGTGACATGACTAGGTGATGCCAAAGACCTGGAGAGAAGTGAATGGACTTGAGGAAAGCTAACAGAAGTCACCCTCAGTCTCAGTGCGCAGAGATATCCATTGTTAATGTTAATATTAACCAGGTTAATATTTTCATGTATTTTCTTTTGCATATACATATATACGTAACAGTATATTTTTATAGTGTTGGGATAACATTGTATCTATAATTTGGTAAACTGACCTTTTATCTTGTTATGACCAATTATCTGAAGCATTAAATATCACTTAAAATATTATTCTCAGTAAGCCATTGGTTTTGTCTCTTTTATTCCCTGGAGCCACACTAAAATATATTAGTGGAAGATTCCTAGGAGAACTTAGGAGAACAAAATGGAGTGAATGATGCTGAGAGCTAGGTGGAGTATACACCTGGAGATGCCCCTGATTCCCTTACTATGAGAGAGAGGAGGTGTGGATGCCATCTACGCTGAGCTAATATTTGAGAGGTGTGATTTGGGGAGCAGGATCTGGTATCAACGATCAGCCCCTGAAACAGGACACATCCCCTCCCCCTGCATCTGTCATAGCTCACTGTTCCCAGCTACCAGGTGCTGGCTATAAACTATAGCCTCTCTTGCCTGTTAACAAGTTTTTCATAGTGTAACTACTGACTGGATGCTCAGAATGATCTGATTTGGAAGGTAAATATTCAAATGGCTTTTCATAAGTGAAGCAAGTACAAATTGGGTATTAGGAGAGAGGCTAGTTATTAAATAAATTTTTTAAATGATTGATTTAAAACATTTTACAACAACAGATTCAGGCATCCCTTGAGGGTCTACACTCCCCATTCAGGCCATGCAAACTTCTCTGCAATCCTCTTCTCAGAACTTGATGTCTGCTTCCCAGGAGTCCTTACACAGATTATATAACACACACAAACACATACACACACGAACACACGCACCTCTTGCATCTCCCCCTGTCCCCTCTCTCATGAGTGCAGGGCAAGCAAAGCATTATCTTGGGTCTCCTCTAAAAATTCTCCCTGTTCACTTTGCATTCCCTAAACCCTTATTGCCACCCTTCACCTTCCTCTACCAGGGACAAAACAGGGGTTTCTTCTGTGCACACACACTCTGAAAGTTGTCAAGTAATTTGAGCCAAGGTGTTCGCTGATAACAAAGGTGCTGTGGCTGATAAGAAAAGTGTTAGCTGATATGCTTAACACCTACAGAAATACTTCCATTTTTACTAGGGGGCCTTTTGAGAAGACAGAAGCTCTTTGGGCCTCAAAGAAAGTGGTAGCATGGTGGGATGGCTTTGGGGGACTGAAATGTGGGGCAGAGCTCCCTGGCATCACCTCAGACTGTGCTAGTCTTTGCAGAAGGATTCTCCATCCATCTGCAGCATCCATTTCAGATAAATGCTTAACTGCTGCTAGATGAGTGGTCAGAGCTCCCACAGGCCCACCTGGCCTGGGCACCTAACCAGCCCCCTCAAACCCTTCCTTCTTGATCTTTCCAGGAGATGGTGAAAAGAACGGTGAGGGTGGGAGGGGAAAGGAGGGTGTGCTTGTTTCACCCAAAATTGGGAGACTTGGTGTTAAAATTTACTTTAAGTTTTCAATAGAAAACATGTTATTGTTAAAAAAACCTGGCTGGGTGTGGTGGCTCACGCCTGTAATCCCAGCACTTTGGGAGGCTGAGGCAGGTGGATCACGAGGTCAGGAGATTGAGACCATCCTGGCTAACATGGTGAAACCCCGTCTCTACTAGAAATAAAAAATTAGCCAGGCATGGTGGCGGGCGCCTGTAGTCCCAGCTACTTGGGAGGCTGAGGCAGGAGAATGGCATGAACCCGGGAGGCGGAGCTTGCAGTGAGCCGAGATAGTGCCACTGCACTCCAGCCTGGGTGACAGAGCGAGACTTCATCTCAAAAAAAAAAAAAGAAAGAAAAAGAAAACACTAAGCACTTTATAAATATTAGCAATTTTATTACATACACAACCATGTTTTCCCCCCTCAAAATAACTCTAGTATTATTCCTATCTTTCAGTTGTGGAAATTAAGTTCTGAGAGATTAAACAGCTTGTTCCTGGTCTCTCATTAGTAGGTAGAAGAGCTACGGCTGGAGCCTAGGTCTGTTGGACTCCAGAAACCATGCCTTAGCTATGCTGTGCTGCTGCTGCATGGTAGGGAGAACATATTTATTTGTCTATTTTAGTGGCAAATTTACCACCTCCTTTGGTGAGACAAAGATAAAGAATTCTTTCAGCCTATTCACTGAATCCTTTTCCATTCTGAGTGCTAGAGAACAGGCTCTGCCACTTACCAGCTGTGTGACTGTAGATAAATTATATGCCCTCTCTGAACTTCAGCTGCCCACTCTATAAAGTGGGAATACAAAGTCCTATCTTACTCTCTATGTTGTTATACATGAAAGCACCTTATAAAGTGCTATCTGCACCGGAGGTGTCATTGCTGTTGGTGAGTCCTTAGCTGGCTTTCTCTCTTTCACGTCTTTTTTTTTTTTTCAAACTTTTATTTTATGTTCAGGGGTATGTGTCTTTGTTATTGATTATGGAGTTCCTTGCAAGGCTCTTCTTTATATATTTTTAATGGCCTGGTTTCCATTTCCACCTTACCCGCAATGTCCTCTCTTGGGCTGTCTTTCCATTTGACTCCACTAATTAGTCAGGGAACCAAAGTTTTTCAAGCACCTGGTCTTTTGGTCTCTTTCACAATTGTCCCTCCTCCTTCCCAGCTTTCCATCAGGCCTGCTTAAGGAGTCTTCAGGCATCTAGTGTGTTACTACATTTTACAATTCTAACTTCTAGTGTTTTCCTACTTAATACTTCCTGTTCTGTTACAATCCTGTTTTTCCCAGGCAGGACAGCTGGGAAATGGAGGGGAGCAGTTGCTTTTGACCTTGGAAGGTGGTGTGCTGGAATAGGTGGTATCAACAGTGTCAGAATAGCCCTTATGCTGTGGGCTTTGATCCTGCTTCTAAATGGGTGTCAGTGTTCTAAATCTGCTTTTGGAATGGGAAACATGGAAACATTCATCATTGTTCTAATATTGAAGAAGCTATTGAGCCACTACTCTATATTCACTGGGGACTGACTGTGTCAGGCGCTAGGTTAGGCACTGTGGGGCCATCAAAAAGAATGAGACACAGTCCCTGACCAGTAGGGCTACTGGGGACCAAAGACTCATAGACCACCGAGATAGGAGTAAAAGCTAAGTGGGGGCCAGGGGTGTGTTATCCCCAGTGGGGCTCCTTCCCACCCTCCCACAGGCTTCAATGTCAGCTGCACATTCCCACCTGCACCAACCCAGGCTTCTGGAGACCTTGTGAAAATAAAAATGAATTCCTCCTTTTTCTCCTCAAAGAAAAAAAAAAAGCCAGCCTCACAACAATACCTCAAGGGATCTAATGTAACCTCAAATGCCAAGTGAGCTATGCTAATGGCGACATCCAGGGTGAGCTGGATGTCTCAGTGCCCTGGCCATAGGTATAAATTCCACCCTAGAAGGGCCCTTTGCACACTCAGGTCTTACATCTGCCTGCCTCAGTTATGCTTATGTCAGGTTCACGATTATGCCAAATGTCATGTTGCAGTCCGAAGGGAGTGGGTGGATGAGAAGAAAGAACACTTGGGGGGCTGTAGGCAGGTGAAAGATGATTTTATTCAGCATCAGCTCTCATCAACAGCTTTCTCACACTGTCCACCCTGTCTCAGCTGGTTAGTTCAGTGGCTCCCACACACAGCTGCATGGTTGGCTCTCCTTTGCCTTCAGGGTCAGCAGCTTAACTCTTTCTCTCTCTGGACATGAGTGAGCCAAGCTGCATCCTGGCTCCCCTCTGTCCATCTGCAAAGATGGACAGCTTTGGCTCTTTCTCTGGACACCAGTGTGCCTGTACAGTGTCGGCAAAGCAATTATACCTTTTATAGACAATAGCGGCTTAGAGCCAAGTGATGAGCCTTCCCTATATTATGACTATGGTGGTGAGCTTCTCTATGTTATGTCTACATGGCATGACAACAAGTGGAGTTATACGCCTGCGCTCTAAACTCACTGAGTCACTCTGAACGTTTACCTCGGCCTATCCTTGACCAAAGCAAGCCAGGTTCCTTACAGCTCAGTTCAGGGAGCATGCCTACCTTGCACTCCTGCACCCTGTTCCCAGGACACCTTGGAGGGTCAAGTTGGATGAGGAAATCAGTTGCTGTTCGAGTCCCTGGAGGGAGAAGGGAAAAAGACTTTTCCCATTTGATTTCTCCTAAGCTGTGGCCCAAGTGCTACACTTATAATATTATCTCCACCAACCACACCTGGGTTGGCCCTGGACCGAGCCAGAAGTCTTTCTTTACAGAAGCTATGTGATATGGGGAACAAGTTGCCTATTTCTTGAGAAAGTCAAGGTCACTGTATTAGTTTGCTAGGGCTGCCATAATAAAAAGTGCCACAAAGTGAGTAACTTAAGCAACAGAAATTTTTTATCACAGTTCTGGAGGCCAGAAGCCCAAGATACAAGTGTTCCTTCTGTGGGCTGTGAGGGAGAATCTGTTCCATGCCTCACTTCTAGCTTCTGGATGTCTTCTCAATATTGCATTTCAAATGCAATATCTGGGCCAGGCACAGTGGCTCATGCCTGTAATCCCAGCACTTTGGGAGGCCGAGGCAGGTGGATCACTTGAGTTCAGGAGTTCGAGACCAGCCTGACTAACATGGTGAATCCCTGTCTCTACTAAAAAAATACAAAAATTAGCTGGGTGATTTGGCAGGTGCCTGTAATTCCAGCTACCCGAGAGGCTGAGGCAGGAAAATTGCTTGAACCTGGGAGATGGAGGTTGCAGTGAACCAAGATCATGCTACAGCCTGGGCAACAGAGCAAGACTATCTCAAAAAAAAAAAAAAAAAGAACAATTTCAATATTTGGTATTCCTTGACTTGTAGGCATATCATCTTGATCTCTGCCTTCAGGTTCACATGGCATTCTCCCCATGTCTCTGTCTTAGTGTCCATTTTTCCCCTTTTTATAAGGATACAGTCATATTGGATTAGGGCCCAACCCACTGGCCTCATGTTGACTTGATCAACAGCAGACACCAAATAAGGTCACATTCGCAGATATTGGAGGTTAGGACTTCAACATTTTTTGGGGGATAAAATTTGACCATGACAGCTAAGATCTCTCAGCTTCTCCTCAGAATTCCTTGGTACTTTCACCTTCCTCCTTCTTTGTTCCAGAAAAGTCTCTCTTTTCTTTGACCAGGCTAACTCCTTCCTAGGCCTTCTAATTCCATCCCTTCCAACTTCCTCCTGGGTCCTTCTGTGCCAATTAGCCTTTCTTAGGCTTCTCTTCAGGATCTCCCCAGACTTATACATTTGCTTAGGCTTCTATCTGTTCCCCTGGGTCCTGCCATTGCTGCCTTCTGTTCTTTTGTTCTTTTTCATTCCACTGCCTACTGCATCCACTTCCCCACCACTCACGTGTTCTCTGCACACTAGCTGTCAAAATAGCCCTTACAGATGCAGTAAAGCATGGTGGCCAAGAGTGCAGTCTTTGGAAGTCAGAATACCTGGCTTCAAATCCTCGTTTACCTAATCTCTCTAACCTAGTTCTGTTCATCTCTAAGCATGGATAGTAACAGTACTATAGTTTGGATGTGGTTTGTCCCTGCCCAAACTCGTGTTGGAATTTGATTCCCAATGTCGCAGTGTTGGGAGGTGGGATCTGCTGGGAGGTTTGGGTTCACAGGGGCAGCTCTCTCATAAATAGATTAATGCCCTCTGTGGGGGTGAGTCAGTTCTTCCTCTTGTGGGGATGGATTAGTTCTGGTGAGAGTGGGCTTTTAGAATCTGGCTTCCTCAGTTTCTCTCTCTTGCTTCCCCTCTTGCCATGTGACCTCTTTGCACATGTCTGCTCCCCTTCCACTGATAGCCATGAGTGGAAGCAGCCTTAGGCCCTCAACAGATGCAGCTGCCCAATCTCGGACCTCCCAGTCCCCAGAATTGTGAGCCAAATAAGGCTCTTTTCTTTATATCCAGCCTCAGGTATTCTGTTCTAGCAATGCAAAACAGATAAAGACAAACAACATATAATTTATAGGGCTTTTTAAAAAAATTTTATATATGTATATATTTTAGCTTAATTATCTTAGCCTAATTCCTGGTCTCAGCTATGTGTTAGAATTACGATTTTTTTTTTTCCATTCAGGTTCCATTTATTTTTGACATTTTTAAATAACCATCCTTGTGGGAGTAACTCCTGCATCACTCTAGAACTTCAGGTTCTGACTCTAGGACACAGGTCCCTGAAGGCCTCATGGACGCCAAGTTAGCATTTTCACCCAGTACTGTCCCCTGCTTAGTCACCTTTGTTTTTCTAATCACAGTGAGCACGTGCCTGAAACACACTGGCTCTGTGCTTCCTTTAAGATGCACCTGACCGGGCCCGGCTGCTCATGCCTGTAAACCTGGCACTGTGGAAGGCAGAGGTGGGCAGATCACTTGAGGTCAGGAGTTCGAGGCCAGCCTCACCAACTTGTGAAACCCTGTCTCTACTAAAAATACAAAAATTAGTTGGGCATGTTGGCGCACGCCCGTAACACCAGCTACTCAGGAGGCTGAGGCAGGAGAATCACTTGAATCTGGGAGGCGGAGGTTGCAGTGAGCTGAGATTGTGCCACTGCACTTCAGCCTGAGTGACAGAGTGAGACTCTGTCTCAAAACAACAACAACAACAACAAAATGTACCTACGTCCTAGATTTTAGTGCCCAAGTGTCCGGGAGAAAGCCTATCCACCCCACTAACCAGGCCTTCCCTAGAAGCGAAGATGCAGCTCCAGTTTCTCAGATGGCCATGAGCCACAGGAAGGGCAGGGGGCAGGACCAAGAAGATCCTCTTGGGCTGCCTTACTTCCCTGAGTGTACGCATCAGCTCAGCCTGAATTGGGGCGAGGATCTCCCAACTGACATGACCCCTGTTGTTAAGACTCTCCAGAGGGGCAGGATATGTCTCCAGGCCTAACTTGCTCAGTTCACCTGTGTGATGCAACAGAACTTTCAGAGCATTCATGGAGGTCTCATTTCCATGAAAGTAGAAGGTGGTGAGCTGGGAGCAGCGGCTCAGGGCAGGTAGGATGACCATGAGTTGGGAGTCCTGGATCCGACAGTCCTCTAAGACGAGGGTCTCGATAGTAGCAGCAGCTTTCTCTAGCAGAGCTCCAAGGGGCTCAAGATTGGTGGTCCACATTAGGATATGAATCAGATGCAGCTGCTTTAGCTGACTGAGGCTTGGGTACTGACACCCCATGTCCCGATCAGCTAGGTAAGCATGACAGAATGTAAAGGCCTCCAAGGGGTTCTTGAGGCACCTGAGCAGGTGCTCTTTGATATTATTGACCTTTCTTATTCAAAGCATCTGGGGGTTCCAGGCAGAGGAATGGAGAGTCCAAGTCAGGAATGAACTGCTGTTGGCCGCACATGTATAACTCACACCCATAACTGAAGGCTAAAAAGAGTTTGTGAAGATTGCTCATCTGGCCCAGGTAAGGGGCAAACTTTCCTGTTCTATTCAGCGAGCACTTTTTCCAGACTTCCAAATCATGGATACTGCTGTCTGGGTATACCTTTTCCAATAAATTTCCGAAATTTGAAGTGGGCATTGAGTAATTCTGTACCTTACTACAACACAGGTGTACTAAACCTCTTCTGTAGTGGATCCACCCACAGAGGTAGCGCAGACATTCATCCAGGGTGTTTTCCTTTAGGTAGAGGTCTATGAACACCTTCAAGGGCTGGTGCTCTCCTGTCCTTGGACAGTCCACCACTGTCTGCCTCATACTCATGGCCTCTGGGGAGCAGGACAGGGCCCTGGCTCCAGACCATATGGTCCAGAAATTCTCATCAACATCCCGCAAATCCAGCACTTGAAGTTTCTACCTCCTGTGGCGAACCTTCTGGCCAGTAGTGTATCAAGTCTCTTCAGCATAGCTCGCAAGGTCTCCAGATGAGGTGTCTTCATCAGGGAACCCAGAGGGAGGCGGGGGAAGGGCCAGGCCTGCACCATGGCCTTTAGAATCTCACAGCATCTCCTGGTGGAGGCCTCAGTGAACAGCAGACAGAAGACCTCCTTGGGCAGCTCCTCCAGGGTGAAGATGGCCAAGAACTGGTTCCTCAGCAGGCTCTGCCCCACCAGCTCCAGGAGTCTGGGTGTGGCCTGGAGGCTCATTTTGATAAATAATCAGAGGAGCAGCCTTCCAAACAAGAGGTGGTCCTTTCACTTTGAAACTGCCATCCACAAATCCAATAGCTTTTTGTCAGTGAGGGAACTGCTTATCAGGAACCATGGAAACTGGCAGCTCCTCACGTAGTTCCAGAGTCAGTTTTAGGGAAAAAGAAGATCTGTGCCTGTGAGTATCTCCTTCTGGCATTCCCCAGGTGGCATGATCCTATACAAACCATTGCTATTTAAGTATGGAACTCTGGGAACTGCCATCCTCATTAACATATTTATCTGACATCATCCCAGACAGTATGGGTATTTCAGGTATCAGGATCATTTTATGTCCTTCAGTGATAGGTGTAGTTTTCAGTTAACATTCCATATACAGGCAGTAAACACCCCTCAACTAGAAACTCTCTCGTCATGACCGGGCGCGGTGGCTCGTGCCTTTAATCCCAGCACTTCGGGAGGTCGAGGCAGGCAGATCACTTGAGGTCAAGAGTTTGAGACCAGCCTGCCAGCATGATGAAACCCTGTCTCTATGAAAAATACAAAAATTAGTCGGACATGGTGGTGCTCTCCTGTAATCCCAGCTGCTTGGGAGGCTGAGGCAGGAGAATCGCCGAACCTGGGAGGCAGATGTTGCAGTGAGCCGAGACCGCACCACTGTACTCCAGCCTGAGCAACAGAGTGAGACTCCATTTCAAAAAAACAAAACAAAACAAACAAACAAACAAAAAAGAAAAGAAAAGAAACTCTCTCATCCAAAATCCGTATGAGACCACCTTTTCATAACTATGACATTAACAGAAACCTGACATAGTTGACTCTTCTTGCTTCTGATCTCCAAGCTATCTTTGATCATTCCTGGGCATAAGCCAAGCTAGCATTGGGGGGAATTTAATTAACAGTTTAACTTGAAAGCAAGGATGATGACAGCCCCTCCCTTAAACTACCACACTCCTTGCTCAGGAACTGAACACTCAGCATTACAATTTTTTGTGTGTGTGATTTTTACTACTCCTATTACTATGAAGCTAGTCATTATGTCTATATATTCAGCCACAAATCATTTACTTTCTGTATTTTAAATACTGGCTAGACATTTTATCTAAATATTCTACTGACATTTCAATACATCCCAAAACAAAGACCTCCCCTCCCCCTACACTTCTGAGCTTCTTTCTGATTTTTAAATTTATGTTAATGGCACCATTACACTTCTATCAGCTCTGGACACACACCTTGGAGTCAAGACTTCCTTTCCTGTATCAACTACATCCAATCAATAACTAAGTTCTGTAGGTTTTATCAATGAAACATTTAAAAATATATGTATCTGGGTTGGCCACAATGGCTCATGCTTGTACTCCTAGCACTTTGGGAGGCTGAGGTGGGAGAATTGTTTGAGCTTATGAATCTAAGATTATGGAGCTATGATCATGCCACTGTGCTCCAGCCTGAGCAATAGAGCAAGACCCTGTCTCATATATATACATATATATGTCTCATATGTATATATATATATGTCTCATATCTATGTCTCATATCTATGTCTCACATATCTATGTCTCACATATATATGTCTCACATATCTATGTCTCACATATATATGTCTCACATATCTATGTCTCACATATCTATGTCTCACATATCTATGTCTCACATATCTATGTCTCACATATATATGTCTCATATATATGTCTCACATATATATGTCTCATATATATGTCTCACATATATATGTCTCTATATATGTCTCACATATATATGTCTACATATATATGTCTCACATATATATGTCTACATATATATGTCTCACATATATATGTCTCTCTATATATGTCTCATATATATGTCTCTATGTATATCTCATATATATGTCTCTATATATGTCTCATATATGTCTCTATATATATGTCTCATATATATGTCTCTATATATATGTCACATATATATGTCTCTATATATATCTCATATATATGTCTCATATATATGTCTCTATATATATGTCTCATATATATGTCTCTCTATATATGTCATATATATATATATACACATATACACACGCACACACACACAAGCCTAGTTTAGGCTATTACTCCCCCTAGACTATTCTAGTAGCCTTCTAACGGGATTCCTTGACTTCAGTCCTTGTCATGATGATTACTTACATATATTGCTGCCAGATTATTCTTCTTAAAATGCTACTTGGTCATAGAACTTCCCTGCAGAAAAATTTTCAATGGCTCCTGTTTACCTGCAAAGTAAAATCCAAACTCTGACATTCAGATGCCTTTATAACATGGCTTCTCTTCCTTCTAGCCTCATCTCCTTATACCTTTGACTACACAGAAGCATCAGTCATATTTAAAACATGCCCAGTACTTTTTCATTTGTGGGTCTTGGTTTAAGGTGTTTCCTTCTTTATTTTCATTTTTTAGAGACAGGGTTTTGCTCTGTCACACAGGCTGGAGCACAGTGGTGTGATCATTGCAGCCTCAAACTCCCAGGCTCAATCAGTCCTCCGGCCTCAGCCTCCCAAAGCACTGGGATTACAGGCATGAGCCCCCTTGCCCAGCTGAGGTGTTTCCTTCTACTTGGAATTCCTTATTGCATTCCTTATCTTTCAGTGCTCTTCTTAAGTATGCCTTCCTCTTGGTAGGCTTCTCTGACTCCAACTGGGTGAGTTCTCTCCCCTTGCTGACTCTCAGCATCTTAGTAATATCTACCCTCCTGTGGCCCTTAACATCATCTGTCTTACACTCCTTGGTAAGACATTCTTTGGTCTCGTTTTCATATCTCCACAACTTCTAACAGTGCCTCATATATGCAGATGCACATAATTGTTGAGACTCTTGACCTGACTTGAAGAGTGCTTAACTTTGAATATCAAGTTTCGTTTTCAAAAATTCTCAATAGGCTAAGAGTGAGTGACAAGGCAAATGTGAGTGAACACTGCAGTGAAGTGTGAAGCAGGGCTTTAGCTCCCAGCCCACTACAGCCTCTCCCTGCTTACCCCTCCATGTCTTTTCATGGTTTCACCTCATCTGCCACTCACACCGTGGGGGAATTAATGGATTTTGGGGGAAGTGTCAACACAGGACTAAGATGCCCCTCCCTGCTCTCTTCCCACAATCCTTTCTCTCCCTCATCTTGGCCGTCTTTCAACTTCTTGACTCAGACACTTTCTTCTCTCTGCTTCTTCTCCTTCTGCTTTTCCTGTTTGCCTCACCTTCTCTATCACCATCTAGAGCCATAAAGGACATTGAGTCTGGGGCTGGGTTGAAGATGAGAAGCAGAGACAAACAGATACATTCGCATGGAGAAAGGCTAGCCCACCGAGCCAAGGTGTGACCCCTCATGGCTTCTTTGGTCCCCAGTAGCACCAGACTTCTGACTCCCCTCTGACTACTGCCATCTCACTGCCTTCCTCGCTAACTTCAAACTACTCAGCTTGCAGACATGCAGCAACCACTCTTTGTCCTGTTGGTTTGAGTTAAGAACAGAGGTTTGCAAAGTGATGGCTTTATCCACAGACACCTGTGGAATGCAAAGTACTTTCTTCTTCCATTTACAAAACAAACAGCTGAGAACCAGGAATGCTGCCTCCTCATAGAGCCCTGCTAGCCCTCCCTCTGGCTTCTCACCTCCAGATCACTCTACCCCACAAGCGCACTATCGTATGACTGCGGGTGCCCCCAGGGAGGGGCAATTTAATCTTCAACCTGTTTCTCCACGGAGATTGCTTTTCCGGAGCACATTTTTGGAAGAGCTTAAATGTATTAGTCTGATCATCTAGCATTCCTCGTCCTGCCTGCCCATCCCTTAATGCATTCCCTTGTCTCCATCTGCAGCCTCTTTGTAAACCAGTTTCATTATCTCTAGCTGTACCAGTAACTTTCCCCTCATTACCATGATTTCTCCACTACCAGTTTATCCCAAATGACCTATGTGTTTAGAGACCACTGCGCTGGACACAGAGATGACTCACTTGGGCATGTCCAGGTGAATGGTGAGTTCTTGTCTGTCACAAGGCCAGAACTCCCTGAACTCCAAATATGAAGTCCTTTAATTATTGGGAAGTTGAATTCTGTTTCTGGTGCAAGCATTTTTAGGAACCAAGAGGACACTCGTTAGAGCATTTTAAGCTCATGTAAAACACTTTTGTAAATCTAAGGGATTCCTTATATCTGTATCACTACTATTATTACTCAGATCTCCCTGGTTTTAGCACAGGATAACAAAAGGGTGATATTCAAGTTCACTAGAACTAATCATGGTTGCCCAGATTTCTTGTGAATGTAACAAATGTCTAGAGTTTTGTTTCTGAGCTGACCTCAGTATATGATTGTCAGTAAATCCCAGGCCCCCTTGGGACAGCCGGCTAGTGCAACAGCAATCTTTCTAAAGTGGTTGGTCAAATACAACCACATACAATATGGATGACTGTCACAAACAAAATGTCGAGTGAAAGAATCCAGCCCTAAAAGAGAAAATACCATACAATTCAATTTTTCAAAATTTGAAGGCAAAGAAAAAAATCAGTTGTGCCAGGTGCCAGGGTAGTGGTCACCTTGGGAAGGTAGTAACTGACACAGATCGGGGGCACCTGGGGTGCTGGTAATATTTCTTCAGAAGATATGTTTGCTTTGTGAAATTTCACTTTGCTTTATGAAAGTGCACTTATGATCTGTGCACTTTTCTGTATGTGTGGAATATTCCAACAGTTTTTTTAAAAAAAGTTTGTCAAGATTCTGACTGCTGAGCTTGGGATACATGTGGGGTGATACTATAGAGGCCAAAGCAATTCTATCTTAGATGCTAACTCGCCATTTGGCTTCTGATTGACCCCTCTTCTGGGAAGGCCTCTAAGATTTTTGGTTTGTTCCTTATGGGTGAGTTCCTACTTACTGTAAATTCTGCCCTTATGGCACATTCCTACCTGTTCTCTCTGAAGCACTTGTGCTCCTCTTCTACAGTATATAAACACCCAGTCTGGGGGGTAATGGTGCAGGATCATCCATCTTGTCGTGCCACTGCCTGAGACACAGACATGGCTTCTGTTTGTTAAGTTCCTATTAAATAAATGTTCTTTCTAAGAAACTGGATTTGTTAGCCTCTTTCTTTAGCAGCTGAGAGGCTTCCTCAGACTCTGGGGACAGGTTTGTGTAGGCCTGCCCACCAAGAAACAGATACAGTACTCAGTTGTCTACCACAATGACTCTTGAAGGTGGCAAGCTCACCCCAACCCCAACAAATGGCTGTAGAAGGGGCAGATACAGGATCAGACTGTAATTAAAAGTATATGTAAAACTTAAGGAGTTCTAGGAGTTATACTAGACATTTCTCATGCTCTTGGATAATCTACTTCTGAATCCTAAAAGAAGGAGGAAGAGTGAGGAGGACTACTCTCCCATTAAGAAAGCTAAAGAACGGAAAATACTCTTCTCTTGTTCCCTGGCACTGAGGAGTGGCTATGCAGCCCAGCCTTGACCAATGGACACTTTGGGCCTGGTCTTTGAATTTTAGGAAGGGTTGAAAATGTTTAAAGCAGGAGGGATTCAGGTGCCTAGGGATTCAGTATTTAGAGTCCAGTACGAGTCAAGGTCCATTAGCAGTGGAGCCTGCCATGGCTTTCTAGACAGCATGTTTTTGTTGTGTGATCCAAATGAGGTTTCGGCTGCCCAGTCTTTCTTGGGTTCTGTCTGACTTCCAAGCCTCCTCATCAGTTCTGAGTATACATACCTGATACCTTTTCCAATCTCATTTCTGATTAAGATAATTAGGGAAGGTTTCTGTTACTTATATCCAAGAACCTTGACTACTACAAAAGCCCCCCCAGCAAAAGATATGTCAAATTCTGTTTGCAATTTTCCACCCAGATTTTATCACAGGGCTTGTAATTCCACTAAGTAGAGCTTATTTGGGGTTGACTATGTTCCTATTTTACAAATACCTGCATTCTTGCAGGGTAATTCATCATTCATACTTTAGTGTGAATTCTTACAGTCCAGTTGTTTTTTGTCTTATCTCTCTGAGAAAATAGAATGGAGGGAGGAGTTCAGGAAGGGTTCATTTTGGAGCTTGGAGCATTTAAGGGAGGGCAGGAATGAAATAAAATACCAAGGTGGGGAGCCTTGGGAAGTCAGAGGGTCTCATGAGGTCACAGGATTCATATGGGGTAGGAAAGAGAGGATACCGTGCAATAGAGGAAGGCTGAGAGCAACGTGTCAGAGAGCCAAAGAAAAATTTTGCCATCTTACTTTAGGCTGGTCTTTTGCATATATTCATTTTTTGTTTTGTATTGGGTAGGTAATTGGTAATCCTGGCTTCTTAGGGTTATGCAAGTGATTATAGATTATTTATTATGTTATCACAACTCCCACCTTAGGTACAGACACCGTCAGCAGAAGCAGTGTGGGTTTAGGATCCATCCTGCCAGATGAACCTTCATAAAATAACAGGAACTCACTTGAAACAAATTATGCCAGACTAAACCCATTTCCTTTGTTGATGGGGTTACTGAGCTAGTGAGTTTCAGCAGGATATAGACCTGTGAGCTCAGAACAGTTAAGCAGATATGTAACTGGTTGAACAATCACATGTGAAGACTGGTGATTAATGAATCTGCGTCAACTTTACAGGAGGTCTGTAGTCATTTGCTGCAGGGTTTCATGTGTGTCCGTGTGAAGAGACCACTAAACAGGCTTTGTGTGAGCAATAAAGCTTTTAATCACCTGGGTGCAAGCGGGCTGAGTCTGAAAAGAGAGTCAGCAAAGGGAGATAAGGGTGGGGCCGTTTTATAGGATTTGGGTAGATAAAGGAAAATTACAGTCAAAGGGGGTTGTTCTCTGGCGGGCAGAGTGGGGGTCACAAGGTGCTCAGTAGGGGAGCTTTTGAGCTAGGATGAGCCGGGAGAAGGAATTTCACAAGACAATGTCATCAGTTAAGGCAGGAACAGGCCATTTTCACTTCTTTTGTGGTGGAATGTCATCAGTTAAGGCAGGAACTGGCCATCTGGATGTGTATGTGCAGGTCACAGGGGATATGATGGCTTAGCTTGGGCTCAGAGGCCTGACACAGGGTCCCAGTCAACGTTTTTATTAATGACATGGATGGATTCACAGAATATACTGATCAAATTTGCTGAGAGGGTTAGTGACTATGTTGGATGACAAGATCAGGATTTAGAAAGATTTCAGCAGACTGAAGTGATATCCCAGATACAACATTTCCTTCTCCACAGGGAGAAGGAGGTCTCCAGCTGAACTTTGTAACAGTGTGAATAGGTCAAGAAGCCTCCTGGCCAGAACTCAGGGGAGGGTGGGAATCTGGTGTGCAGACTCCACAGGTGGGGGAAGAACCAAGCCCTTTTCTTTTGCAGCTGGGAGGTGGGTAGCCTGGGGCAAGTTGTCAAGCCTGGCTCACCCACTAGCTGGAAACAGACTCAGTGCTGTTAGTGGGGGCATGGTGGGAGTGAGACTGGCCCCTCAGTTTGTGGGGAATCTGGGTGAGGCCTGTGACTGCCAGCTTTCCCCACTTCCCTGACAACCTGCGTGAGTCAGCAGAGGCATAATCCTCCTAGGTACACAACTCCATTGACCTGGGAGCCTCACCCCCATCCCCCACAGCGGCCGCAGCAAGACTGGCCCAAGGAGAGTCTGAGCTCAGACACACCTAGCCCTGCCCCTACCTGATGGTCCTTCCCTACCCACCCTGGTAGCAGGAGACAAAGGCATATAATCTTGGATGTTAAAGGGACCTGTCCATTGCTTGTTCCTCTCCATACTATCACAGTTGATGCTCTCTGGAAAGTGCCACCTCCCTGCAGAAGGCCAGCCAGCACAATAATAGAGCATTAAACCATAAAGCTAATAACCCTCACAGAGTCCATTGCACCTCCTATTGCCACCTCCACTGGAACAGGCACTGGTATCCACGGTTGAGAGACCCATTGACGGTTCACATCACAGAACTCTGTGCAGACAACCCCCAGTACCAGCCCAGAGCTGGATAGACTTACTGGGTGGCTAGACCCAGAAGAGAGACAACCATCACTGCAGTTCAGCTCACAGGAAGCCACATCCATAGGAAAACGGGGAGAGTACTACATCAAGGGAATACGCCGTGGGACAAAAAGAATCTGAACAACAGCCTTCAGCCCTAGACCTTCACTCTGACAGAAGCTACCCACATGAGAAGGAACCAGAAAACCAACTCTGGTAATATGAAAAAACAAGGCTCTTTAACACCCCCCAAAAAATCACACTAGTTCACTGGCAATGGATCTAAACCAAGAAGAAATCCCTGATTTCCCTGAAAAAGAAATCAGGAGGTTAGTTATTAAGCTAATCAGGGAGTCACCAGAGAAAGGCAAAGTTCAATGCAAGGAAATCCAAAAAACGATGCAAGAAGTGAAGGGAGAAATATTCAAGAAAATAGATAGCTTAAAGAGAAAACAACCTACTGGGGAGGCTGAGGCAGGAGAATGGCGTGAACCCAGGAGGCGGAGCTTGCAGTGAGCCGAGATTGCGCCACTGCACTCCAGCCTGGGTGACAGAGCGAGACTCTGTCTCAGAAAAAAAAAAAAAAAGAAAAAAAAGAAAAAACAATCAAAACATGAGGAAACATTGGACACACTTATAGAAATGCAAAATGCTCTGGAAAGTCTCAGCAATAGAATTGAACAAGTAGAAGAAAGAAATTCAGAGCTTGAAGACAAGGTCTTCAAATCAACACAATCCAACGAAGACAAAGAAAAAAGAGTAAGAAAATATGAATAAAGCCTCCAAGAAGTCTGGGATTATGTTAAATGACCAAAGCTAAGAATAATTGGTGTACCTGAGAAAGAAGAGAATTCTAAAAGTTTGGAAAACATATTTGGGGGGATAATGGAGGAAAACTTCCCCTGCCTTGCTACAGACCTAGACATCCAAATACAAGAAGCACAAAGTACACCTGGGAAGTTCATTGCAAAAAGATCATCACCTAGGCACATTTTTGTCAGGTTATCCAAAGTTAAGATGAAGAAAAGAATCTTAAAAGCTGTGACATGGAAGCACCAGATAACCTATAAAGGAAAACCTATTAGATTAACAGCAAATTTCTCAGCAGAAACCCTACAAGCTAGAAGGGATCGGGGCCTTATCTTCAGCCTCCTCAAACAAAACAATTATCAGCCAAGAATTTTGTATCCAGTGAAACTAAGCATCATATATAAAGGAAAGATACAGTCTTTTTCAGACAAAGAAATGCTGAGAGAATTCGCCACTACCAAGCCACCATTATAAGAGCAGCTGCCCGGGCGCGGTGGCTCACGCCTGTAATCCCAGCACTTTGGGAGGCTGAGGCAGGCAGATCACGAGGTCAGGAAATTGAGACCATCCTGGCTAACATGGTGAAACCCCGTCTCTACTAAAAATACAAAAACTTAGCCAGCTTGGTGGTGGGTGCCTGTAGTCCCAGCTACTCAGGAGGCTGAGGCAGGAGAATGGCGTGAACCTGGGAGGCGGAGCATGCAGTGAGCTAAGATCGTGCTCCTGCACTCCAGCCTGGGCAAGAGTGAGACTCCGTCTCAAAAGAAAAAAAAAAAGAACTGCTAAAAGGAGCTGTAAATCTTGAAACAAATAAATCCTGGAGACACGTCAAAACAGAAACTCTATAAAGCATAAACCACACAGGACCTATAAGACAAAAATACAAGTTAAAAAGTAAAAACAAAAAACAAAACAAAGTACACAGGCAACAAATAGCATGATGAATGGAATGGTGCCTCACATCTCAATACTAACATTGAATGTAAATGGCCTAAATGCTTCACTTGAAAGATACAGAACCGCAGAATGGATAAGAACTCACCAATGAACTATCTGCTGCCTTTAGGAGACTCACCTAATACATAAGGACTCACATAAACTTAAAGCAAAGGGGTGGAAAAAGGCATCTCTTGCAAATGGACACCAAAAGTGAGCAGGGGTAGCTATTCTTATATTAGACAAAACAAACTTTAAAGTAACAGCAGTTAAAAGAGACAAAGAGGGACATTATATAATGGTAAAATGCTTTGTCCAACAGGAGAATATCTCAATCCTAAACATATATGCACCTAACGCTGGAGCTCCCAAATTTATAAAACAGTTGTTAATAGGCCTAAGAGATGAGATAGACAGCAACACAATAACAGTGGGGGACTTCAATACTCCACTGACAGCACTAGACAGGTCGTCAAGACAGAAAGTCACCAAAGAAACAATGGACTTAAACTATACCTTGGAACAAATGGACTTAATAGCTATATACAGAACATTTCATCCAACAACAGCAGAATACACATTCTATTCAACAGCACATGAAACTTTCTCCAAGATAGGCAATCTGATAGGCCATAAAATGAGCCTCAATAAATTTAAGAAAATTGAAATTATATCAAACACTCTCTCAGACCACAGTGGAGTAAGACTGGAAATCAACTCCAAAAGGAACCTTCAAAACCATGCAAATACATGGAAATTAAATAATCTGCTCCTGAATGAGCATTGGATCAAAAACAAAATCAAGATGGAAATTAAAAAATTCTTTGAACTAAATAACAATAATGACACAATCTATCAAAACCTCTGGGATACAGCAAAGGTAGTGCTAAGAGGAAAGTTCATAGCCCTAAACGCTTACATCAAAAAGACTGAAAGAGGCTAGGCACAATGTCTCATGCCTGTAATCCCAGCACTTTGGGAGGCCGAGGTGGGTGGATCACAAGGTCAGGAGATCAAGACCATCCTGGCTAACACAGTGAAACCCCGTCTCTACTAAAAATACAAAAAAATTAGCCGGGTGTGGTGGTGGGCCCCTGTAGTCCCAGCTACTTGGGAGGCTGAGGCAGGAGAATGGCGTGAACCCAGGAGGCGGAGCTTGCAGTGAGCTGAGATTGCACCACTATACTCCAGCCTGGGCGACAGAGTGAGACTCCATTTCAAAAAAAAATAATAATAATAAGACTGAAAGAGCACAAACTGGCATTCTATAGTAAAAAAAAAAAAAAGACTGAAAGAGCACAAACTGACATTCTAAAGTCACACTTTAAGGAACTACAGAAACAAGAACAAACCAAACCCAAACCCAGGAGAAGAAAGGAAACAACCAAGATCAGAGTAGAACTACATGAAATTGAAAGAACAACAAAAACAATACAAAAAATAAATGAAACAAAAAGCTAGTTCTTTGAAAAGATAGATAAAATTGATAGACCATTAGCAAGACTAACCAAGAAAAGAAGAGAGAAAATCCAAATAACCTCACTGAGAAACAAAACAGGAGATATTACAACTGAAATACAAAAGATTATTCAAGGCTACTATGAACACCTTTATGCACATAAACTAGAAAACCTAGAAGAGATGGATAAATTCCTGGAAAAATGCAACCTTCCTAGCTTAAATCAGGAAGAATTAGATACCCTGAACAGACCAATAATAAGCAGCAAGATTGAAATGGTAATTAAAAAATTACCAAGCAAAAAAAGTCCAGGACTAGCTGGATTCACAGCAGAATTATACCAGACATTCAAAGAAGAATTGGTACCAATCCTTTTGACACTATTCCACAAGATAGAGAAAGAAGGAACCCTCCCGAATTCATTTTGTGAAGCCAGCATCACCCTAATACCAAAACCAGGAAAGGACATAACCAAAAAAGAAAACTACAGACTGATATCCCTGAGGAACATAGATGCTAAAATTCTTTTTTTTTTTTTTTTTGAAACGGAGTCTCACTCTGTCGCCCAGGCTGGATGGAGTGCAGTGGTGCGGTCTCGGCTCATTGCAAGCTCTGCCTCCCGGGTTCACGCCATTCTCCTGCCTCTGCCTCCTGAGTAGCTGGGACTACAAGCGCTCGCCAAGCCCGGCTAATTTTTTGTATTTTTTGTAGAGACAGGGTTTCACCGTGTTAACCAGGATGGTCTTGATCTGCTGACCTCATGATCTGCCCACCTCAGCCTCCCAAAGTGCTGGGATTACAGGCATGAGCCACCACGCCCGACTGATGCTAAAATTCTTAACAAAATACTAGCTAACCAAATCCAACAATATATCAAAAGATAATCCACCATGATCAAGTGGGTTTTATACCAGGGATGCAGGGATGGTTTAACATATGCAAGTCAATAAATGTGATACACCACATAAACAGAATTAAAAAACAAAATCATATGATCATCTCAATAGATGCAGAAAAAGCATTTGACAAAATCCAGCATCCCTGTATGATTAAAACCCTAAGCAAAATTGGAAAACAAGGGACATACCTTAATGTAATAAAAGCCATCTATGACAAACCCACAGCCAACATCATACTGAATGGGGAAAAGTTGAAAGCATTTCTTCTTAGAATGGGAACAATACAAGGATGCCCACTGTCATCACTCCTCTTCAACATAGTACTGGAAGTCCTAGCCAGAGCGATCAGACAAGAAAAAGAAACAAAGGGCATCCAAATAGGTAAAGAGGAAGTCAAACGTTTATTGTTTTCTGATGATATGATAGTTTACCTTGAAAATCCTAAAGACTCCTCCAGAAAGCTCCTGAACTGATAAAAGAATTCAGCAAAGTTTCTGGATACAAGATTAATGTACACAAATCAGTAGCTCTTCTATACACTAACAGTGACCCAGCAGAGAATCAAATAAAGAACTCAACCCCTTTTACAATAGCTGCAAAACAAACAAACAAACAAACAAACACCTTAGGAATATACCCAACCAAGGGGTCAAAAACCCTCTACAAGGAAAACTACAAAACACTGTTGAAAGAAATCATAAACGACACAAACAAATGGAAACACATCCCCTGTTCATGGATGGGTAGAATCAATATTGTGAAAATGACCATACTGCCAAAAGCAATCTACAAATTCAATGCAATCCCCATAAAATACCACCATCATTCTTTTCAGAATTAGAAAAAAAATTTTAAAATTCATATGGAGCCAAAAAAGAGCCCTCATGGTCAAAGCAAAAAGAACAAATCTGGAGGCATCACACTACCTGATTTCAAACTATACTATAAGGCCATAGTCACCTAGTCACCAAAACAGCGTGGTGGTGGTATAAAAATAGGCACATAGACCAGTGGAACAGAATAGAGAACCCAGAAATAAACCCAAATACTTACATCCAACTGATCTTAAAGCATAAAGTTAAGGAAAGGACACCGTTTTCACCAAATGGTGCTGGGATAATTGGCTAGCCACATGTAGGAGAATGAAACTGGATCCTCATCTCTCACCCCATACAAATATCAACTCAAGGTGGATTAAGGACTTAAATCAAAGACCTGAAACTATAAAAATTCTAGAAGATAACATTGGAAAAACCCTTCTAGACACTGGCTTAAGCAAGGATTTCATGACCAAGAACTCAAAAGCAAATGCAACAAAAACAAATTTAAATAGTGGGGACCTAATTAAACTAAAGAGCTTTTGCATGGCAAAAGGAACAGTCAGCAGAGTAAACGGACAACCCACAGAGTAGGAGAAAATCTTCATAATCTATAAATCTGACAAAGGACTAATATCCAGAATATACAACAAAAACAAATCAGCGAGAAAAAAAAACAAACAATCCCATCAAAAAGTGGGCTAAGGACATGAATAGACAATTCTCAAATGAAGATATACAAATGGCCAACAGACATATGAAGAAATGCTCAACATCACTAATGATCAGGGAAATACAAATTAAAACCACAATGCGATCCCACCTTACTCCTGCAAGAATGACCATAATAAAAAAATAATAAAACAGTAGATGTTAGCATGGATGCGGTGATCAGGGAACTCTTCTACGCTGCTGGTGGGAATGTAAACTAGTACAGCCGCCATGGAAAACAGTGTGATGGAAAACAGTGTGGAGGTTCCTTAAAAAACTAAAAGTAGAACTACCATTTGATCCAGCAATCCCACTACTGAGTATCTACCCAGAGGTTAAGAAGTCATGATATGAAAAAGATATTTGCACACACATGTTTATAGCAGCACAATTCACAACTGCAAAATCGTGGAAGCAACCCAAATGCCCATCAATGAATGAGTGGATGAATAAACCATGGTATATTTATACGATGGAATACTACTCAGCCATAAAAAGGAATGAATTAGCATTTGCAGCGACCTGGATGAGATCGGAGATTATTATTCTAATAGAAGTAACTCAGGAATGGAAAACCGAACATCATATGTTCTCACTGATATGTAGAAGCTAAGCTATGAGGATGCAAAGGCATAAGAATGATACAATGGACTTTGGGGACTTGGGGGAAGCGTGGGAAGAGGGTGAGGGATAAGACTACAAATAAGGTGCAGTGTATGCTGCTTGGGTGATGGGTGCACCAAATCACCACTAAAGAACTTACTCATGTAACCAAATACCACCTGTACCCCAATAATTTATGGAAAAATAAATATAATTTATTTTTTAAGAATTAAAATTCCATAAATTAAATTTGGAATTATAATTTATGGAATATTATAAATTATAGAATTGTAATTCCATAAATTAAAAATAATTTATGGAAAAATAACAATAATAAAAAAAGAGATGGGGGCCAGACCATGATGTGATCTGAAGCCATTTTATAAGAGGGACAACAGCTGAAGGATGTCTAGCCCAGAGATAAGAGGTCTTGGAGTCACACCACCTCTTTTTAATTATTTGCAGGCTGGTAAAGTAGAAGGGGAATTAGATATGTTTTGATGGTCTCCAAGAGGAAAACTCACAACCATGGGTGAAATTTGCAGCTTCCACCTAAATTACAAAATTTAGGAAACTTTTCCGGTGACTAAGGAAGCAGGAATACCTAATGGTAAGAGCATAGGCTTTGGAGCTAGATCTTTATTTGAATCTCCAATATGCTACTTAGGAGCTGTGACTCTGAGAAACTGACCCTTTTGTTTTCATGAGGATTAACTGAGATATTAAATAATCTAGCATATGGTCTACTACTTGTAGAGACTCAATATGGGATAGCTATTTTTATGATGCTTGTTGCTATAGTTGCTTAAAAGTTTAGTGAGTAGCCTCAGGTGGAAGTGAGTTTGAGCATAGCTGGAATGATGGAAAGGGGATTTTGTGTGTCTTATGTGGTGTGATGTGCTGGTTAGGTTAGTAGGGCCTGTTTCATTCTGAGACTTGACATCTTTTGGACAAAGTGAAGTGTTTATCCCAGCAGATGAAGGAACGTGGGGTATGGCTCATACCTACATTTTCTTTCAGGTTTGTTTTTAGAACAGCTAGATTTTGTGATTCACAATGTCAAAGAAGTTAGTTTCTTTCTAACTATGTACCTTTAGAGCCTGACCTGTGGGGCAGATATGAAGTTATTCATAATCTTAAAATAGTTCTTTTTTATTGAGGCTGAGTTATAGGCTGCTCAGAGTGCTAATCATCTTCCATATACCTTTATGGTACCATTTTTATAATAATGATATAGGAATACTGCATAATATATATTATGTAATAAATAGATAACATTTTAATATAATGACATGGGAATATTATACAATAAACATCACAGGAACATTGAGCAGGGGACAATTAATTCTAACTGGAGGACTAGGAAAGGCTTCTTGGAGAAAGTGGCATTTGAGTTGGGCCTTCAAGGATGAGTAAGACTTTAATTGATGGGCATGCAGGTGGGGGCAAGGCCTTCTGGGCTGGGCAATAGTAATTAGCAGAGATAATTATCCATCTTCCCAGGGCTAAGTCTGTCCTTTTTTTTTTTTTTTTTAATGAATGTCTTCATCATTCCCGTCACTGATGACAGAATGTTAATATGAAATTGTAGGAATGATTTTGCAGCCATTGACTGGTTGCTGTTGTCCCTATGCTGAGGTCATTTTTGTTTTATTATTAAAATAGATGAAATGCCTACAGCACGTGTGCAGAGCCCTGAGTGCTGAGGCAAGTGATGCAGGGTGACTGACTCAGGGAGGGCGTTTCAGGCAATGAGAGCTGCACTGCAGGAAAGGGAGTGTCAGATGTCACGCTGAGGTAGACCTCCATCTGCCTGGAAGAGGCTTTTTTGGCTTTGAGAAGGCCATTTCTGGCTGAGTTAAATCCACTACCTGGAAGGGGCCATTGGTATAGGAATACATCAATCAGGCTGGGAGACCCTTCACAGTTGTTTTCACTCACTCCTTTATACACTGGACAAGGCCTGGGAAGATGAGAGTGACCAGGGTTCAATAGCAGGTCTAGGGAAGCAAGATCCAAGGCTAGGGTGGTTTTCCCATGGGTGGATGAAAAAAAAGAACATCCCCTCCATCTTTCCAGCCTTAGAGCAGGGCAGTGCTTGGGCAGCTGCCCCAGCCCAAGTTTAGCCCAAGTTTCCAAGTTTAGCAGAAGTCATCTATCAGTGACCAGGGGACAGGGTTAGTGGTGGCTCTAGAATTTCCATACTGGGGTAGCACTTAGGGACAAGAATCAGATTGGCGGGTGCTGTGGTCTGAATGTTTATATACTCCCTAAACTCATGTTGAAATCTAATCACCAATGTGCCGGTATGAGGAGTTGGGGCTTTGGGAGGTGATTAGGTCATGAAGATGGAGCCCTCATGAATTGCATTAATATTCTTATGAAAGAGGCCCTAGAGAGTTGCCTTGGACTGCCTGCCATGTGAGAATACAGTTAGAAGGAAACAGAAAGAAGCTCTCACTAGACACTGACTCTGCTGGTGCCTTGATGTTGGACCTCAGCCTCCAGAACTGTAAGAAATAAATTTTTATTGTGTATAAGCCATGCAATCAATGGCATTTTGTTATAGCAGCCCAAAAAGACAAAGACAGAGTGGGTGTTAGGATTCTTGTCTTGAAGCTGCTTTTGCATAGCAAGCACTCTGTTTTTACTTAGATTGTACAGCATAGATCAATCAACAAAGCAGTACTTTAAAAATAAACTTTTAGGCCAGGCGTGGTGGCTCATGCCTGGTAATCCCATCACTCTGGGAGGCCGAGGCAGGTGGATCACCTGAGGTCAGGAGTTCGAGACCAGCCTGGCCAACATAGTGAAACCTTGTCTCTACTAAAAAATATAAAAATTAGCCGGGTATGGTGGTGCACACCTGTAGTCCTAGAGGGAGACTGAGGCAGGAGAATCGCTTGAACCCGGTGGGCAGAGGTTGCAGAGAGCTGAGATTGTACCACTGCACTCCAGCCTGGGTGACAGAGCAAGACTCCATGTCAAAAAACAAAACAACAACAAAAAACTTCTATTCATGTTTTATGTAAGGTTTAGAAAATGGCAGTTGTCCACATAGGTGGGAGAAGCGCTGATGGAGATGAAGAGTATTGAACTTCAAGCTATTCCTCAGCAGTTGGACCATGTAGAACCTGGGGCAGAGAATCGATGCCTGGGATTATTCCTGGGCTTTAGCCCCAGCCTGAAATGTGACTCAGGGACAGGAATCCAGTGTCCCAGGTGCAGAAAATGTTTAGTCCTCTCTGGAGAACTGGGAAACTAGAATAAAGCTTAATCAGAAGCCCAATTCAAGAGGAGCTACAACTCAGGGAACAATTCAGGAGCCCAGGAGTCAGCCCCACTCTATCTAAGGCAGTGTTGGTCCTGTTCCTTCACTCAGCATTTACTAAGCATCTACCTTTTGCTAGACATGGGGCACTGTACAGGGGGTCAAAGATAGATTAGTTAAGATCCTGACCTCAAAGACATGCAGGTATATGGAGAGAGTGATCAAAATTAAGTACCAGATTGGGGTGGGAAGTGTAATAATAACAGCAACCATTTATTGAGTACTTACTATGTTTCAGGTCTGGTACTAAGCTCTTTATACATATTATCTCACTCCTCACAATAACCCCAAGAGGTAGGTATTTATTGTTCCCATTTTACTGCAAGATGATATGACTTGTTCAACGTCACATAGCTAGACTCCAAAGCTCGTGCTTGTGCAAACATACTTTCAGCCTCTCAGGATGGATCTGAGAAATGGAGCAGGGCTAAAAAGAGGGAAATGGTTAATTGAAGGGCTGGAATATAGTATTCAGAGGCAGGAATTGACTGGCCTCTTTAACTGATGCTAACTGATGTATATTTTCCATACCATTCTTATCCCCCTAAGAGTTAATTCTGATAAAGACAGGTAAGAGCTTGGGCCCTGCAGTGATGAAAATGGAAGTAGGGGAAGAGGGAAGCCAGTGATGGGGAGGAGATGTAGGAGGAAAAAAAAAAAAAACACACATGTGTTTGAGACACGCAATTTTGCTAGACTTACAGTTTGTCAAGGGCTGGCCGTGGCTATAGATAAGACTTATCCAGCAATTGAGAATTTGAGAATTAAGCCAGCTAAGATGGGTGTCACTGTGCTTCTTAGCCTGGTCAAGCTGGAGCCATTCCATTTGTGGAAGAAGGGGAAGCTCTAGAGAATTCTCAGTGGATTTATTAGCTCTATGAAGAATGGTGTTAACTAAAGGGAAACAATTGTTCAGGTCACACAGTCTGGACTTCAATGTCAGATTTATTAAGTAATTAACTGTGACTCACTCAATGAACATCTGCTAGTTGAATTGTTTATTGGAAGGCACAGTCCTTGCCCTCAAGCAGCCTGTCTCTGAGATGGTAGGAAGGTAGGGCAGAGGGGAATGGGGATAACCAGTCTTTCTGCTTTGGCTAAAGGATGTAAGAAATGAGATAAAAATGAGCCACAGCATTAAACTACCCCAAACAAAATAATGATATGGCAATTTGACTTATTTCTCAACCTTGCATCTGTTTATGTTTCTATTTTTGGAGGATTCTCCCTCCATTCACATCACTTGGACATACTGACCACTTTCCAGGCATCTCAGCTCAGCAACACCCAGAGTGTGTGTCATAAGATCTGTGGGTCTGAGGAAATGGCAACACATGCAACAAAGGACTAAAATGTTCCAGGCTACTTGGCAAAGAAAGGTCAGCCCATGACCGAATGGGACTTAACATTGTTGGCAACAACTCTAAAAACCCTTAGTGATCAGCGAATGAAGAAGGTGTCTGTGATGACTATGCTGTTTCCAACAGTCCCAATGTCAAATTATCCAGGACTTTTTGCTGAGTTTTCTTTCTTTTGATGTAATTTCATTCTTTAAAAAGATAGTTCTTTACATACATAACTGAATGTATCTTAATTATTTTGCCTTTGAAGGACTTGTCACATAAATAAATTAACATATCTGAAAAGAAAAAAACCCATCCGTATGGTGAGGCCATGCATTCCAGTCTTTGGTTTTGGAAAATTTGGTTATGGGAGAGTTAGGAAATCAAAATCCTTTCTTGTTGTACCTAGAAGAGGCAGCTCCTTGTCAGCAATGTAGTTTAGGGGAGAGTAGAAGTTAGAAATGGGATCTAGGAGTTTTGACACAGTGGCTTCCCAGAGCAAGTTCTGGGATTACAGTCAGGTTGAGAGAAGTTGGAAAGGGACCTAACAAATATCCATGGAGCCTCTCCCTTGTGCCTGGCTCTGACCAGGTGCTTCACATGCAACTTCATTTGATCCTCACTTCTGCCCTCTGAGGTGGGCATTATTAATCCAAGTTATAGATAAAGTCACTGAGGCCCACTATTAGTACCCTTTGAAAAGAACAAACAGTGGATTTCAAAAGTTCAAAATTTCTTTTATACAAAGCATACCTATTAAAAAATACATTTTTCTAGTGCAAAAAGAAAGATGTCAGGGAAAGATTAGCTTGCTTAGAAGAGATAAGCCCTCATTCTCTGCTCACGCCACAATTCTCACTCTTTCCCCAGTAAATCCACAGGTGATACGTCATTGGCTTCATGAGAGCTTTGGAGATGATCTTACATTTGCACCTTCTTCACACCCTAAAGGGAGCTTTGAATCTCCCCCACGGTTCCCATATCTTGCATGTGAGTTATTTGAGATAACTCTCTGGAATTAGCTGATAAATCTTTCCTGGAAGCTTCTGCTTTGACTCAAGAGGAACTAAATAAAAGCTTTCAGAGTGCCATTGTGTATTATCCATGCTGTTTCACAGGAATCCCAAGTGGAGGATGCAATATATTGTTTTAATTACAAAGGGATAATAGCCCTGTGTAAGGAGTTATTTGTAATGAGCTTTGTAAAGGAGTTTTACCACGAAGAAATGAGTCTCACATAATGAGCTATAAAAGCTACTGTGATTATTATTATTGGTTTTATTCAGGGCCAGACCTCAGTGAGATTGGGACAGAGGCTGACTTTTACCTGAGCACCATTTTTCCCTGCCCCATACATCTGTTCTTCTCTGGGCATCATTGCTTTCCTCCCTTTTCATCATTCTTAGCCCCCGGAGGAGCCTAGTCCTTTCTACGAGGAGAAGAGCCTGGGTTAAATGCATTTATATAAAAGTAATAGAGATGTAATGTGTTTCTTTTCCCAGAGGTATTTACATTTTAAAACTTTGGGCTCAAGAGGGCTATACTTAATTCAAAGGAACAAGTCTCCAGTGGCGGAAATGCAGGCCTTATGGAAGGAGGAGTTTCAAGAGAGACTTTTTGAGACAAGACTAAGAAGATAGAGGAGGAAGAGGAGAAATATTAATATATTCCCACCCATTTTCATTACAAAAGGATAATGGCCTAAAATATGGCATTTGGGTGGGATGAAATCAGTTCTCCCACTTCCTGATACAATGTCTATGGAAGTGCCTGTTGGCTTTCCTCTACAGAGGGACGGCCCTTGTTTCATTTATTGCTTTCTAAATCAAATGACTCCTTTGGGAAATGGTATAGCTCAAATCAATTCAGTTCAACTTGTGGAGATGTAAATTCACCATAAAGTGGTGATACAAGTATAAAACATGGTCCTTGCCTTCAGGGAGCTATAATCCCCTTGAGAGATGCAGACGATTCTTCTCCATGATGCAGTAAGAAAATAATGTAAGACAGTGCATTATGGAGGACTATGTACAGCTTTAAAATAATTTTTTATCCCTTCTTTCTGCCCCTTGCAGCAAAAGTGCCATCTATAATATACTGTGTCGGAGATTTGAGCCTCTACTTGTTACCAATTTGCTGAGAGACAAATGCATATACAGGTTAAGTATCCCTTATTCGAAGTGCTTGTGACCAAAAGTGCTTTGGATTTCAGGTCTCTTTGAATTTTGGAATGTTCGCATTATACTTACCAGTTGAGCATCCCTAATCTGAAAATTAAAAGTCTGAAATGCTCCAATGAGCATTTTCTTGAAGCACCATGTTGACAATCAAAAAGTTTTAGATTTTGGAACATTTCGAATTTCAGTTTTGGATTAGGATTACTCAATCTGTACTAAGAAGTTTGTGGTGTTTTTCTCCACAACAAACCAACTTAATGTCGTCAATAGTTCTTTCTCTTCCATGGAAAGCCACAGGCACCCCTAAAGGGAAACTGGTTGTATCCCTCTCAACTTCCAGTTCTCTCTCTTTGTCTTTCTCTCTTTCTCTCTCTCTCTCTGTCTTACTGACCCAGGTTACGACCTGTTCTTTTCCTTGGCCTGGTCTTTCTTTTCGGATCACTGTGAATTGGGCACTTGAATTGGACTGTCTTTGAGTTTCAGGCGCTATTTTAGCCCTGAATGATTTCTCTTCCCCAGTTACTCCATACTCCCTGCTGCAGCTGCTTCTGTTCCCTTGCCCGATCTAAGCTCTATGAGGACAGTGCAGGTCAGAACTGGGCCCCTGTTTTCTCAGGAGGGGAAGTTAGGCACTGTGACCCTACTTTGCAAGAATAGCAGCCGCCGCCGCTATTCTTTATTTAGATCAATGCATGGGTATTGAGTGATTGGGTGAGCCCCTGGAGAATCCTGAGACTCTAAAAACATTTTACACCATGCAGTTTCTCCATGAGGTACTAAGGAAGTCAATAAATCTTCCCATATCACCCTGGAGGGATAACATGAAGAAAATAGATATAAAACCAAGATTTTCAGCTATTTAGTTCCCAGGATGTTAAGCAATCACAGATAACTTTTAAAAAAGAAATTCTTAAGTGTAGAGGGTACGTGGAACTTTGTACAAAGGCAGTATTGATGGTCAAAGCAAGTAAGAACTGTGCATTTGAGGCACCCACTTGAATCAATCGAGGTGATCCATCTCGTGGAAACATGGTTTTTCTGATACAGCTGAGATGTTTGCCATCATTTTAGAGCTGAGTTTCTCAAAATATGGTTTCTAGACTACCTGCATCAGAGTCACCCAGGGAGCTAGTTAAAAATATAGATTTCTGGGTTGGGGCCAAATTTGGATGCTTTCAGCTACAAATAAGAGAAAACTCAACTCAAAGTGGCTAGGGGAACTGATTAATTTAGAGACTCAATAACCTCTCCAAAGACACTTCTGCTATGATTTCAAGGTATCCCCAAAGTTCATGTGTTGGAAACTTAATCCCCAATGCAATAATGTTTAGAGGTGGAACCTTTAAGAGGTGACTAGGTCAAGAGGCCTCTGCCCTCATGAATGGATTTTTGTCATTATTGTAGGAGTAGGTTTGTTATTGACAGAGTGGGTTGTTATAAAAGCAAGTTCAGCCCTCTCTTGTTCTCTCTTGCCTTGCCAGACGCGGCCCCTTGATCTCAGACTTCTCAGTCTTCAGAACTGTGAGAAATAAATTTCTGTTCATTATAAATTACTCAGACTGTAGGATTCTGTTATAGCAGCACAAAATGAAATAAGACACAAAATTGGTACCAAGCAGTGGGGCTGTTGCTATAACAAATACCTAAAAATGTCAAAGTGACTTTGGAACTGAGTAATGGGTAGAGGCTGGAAGAATTTGGAGGAACAGGCTAGAAAAAGCCGATATTGTCATAACTTGAGCGTTAAGGGTGATTCTGGTGGGAGCTATGAAGAAGACAAGAGCTGTAGGGAGAGCCTGTCTTCTTAGGGATTACTTAAGTGGTCATGATCTGAATGTTGGTAGAAATATGGACAGTAAAGGCCATTTTGATGAGGTCTCAGACAGAAATGAGAGACAAGTTATTGGAAACTGGAGTAGAGGTCATCCTTGTTACAGAATGACAAACAATTTGGCTGAATTTATCCATGCCCAAGGGCTTTATGGAAGGCAGAATTTAAGAGCAATAAACTAGGATATCTTACAGAAGAAATCTCTAAGCACCAAAGCACCAAAGGTGCTGCATAGCTTCTTTTGGCCCCTTGCAGTAAAATGAAAAATGAGACAAATAGTTTAAAGATTGAATTTATGATCAGAAAGGAAGCAGAATATAAAAATTTAGAAAAATGTTTTCTGTCCATGTAAAGAATAAAGAAGCCTTTTTTTTTTTTTTTTTTTTTTTTGAGACAGAGTCTCACTCTGTCACCCAGGCTGGAGTGCAGTGGCACGATCTCAACTCACTGCAACCTCTGCCTCCTGGGTTCACACCATTCTCCTGGCTCAGCCTCCTGAGTAGCTGGGACTACAGGCGCCCACCACCACACCTGGCTAATTTTTTGTATTTTTAGTACAGATGGGGTTTCACTGTGTTAGCCAGGATGGTCTCGATCTCCTGACCTTGTGATCCGCCCGGCTCGGCCTCCCAAAGTGCTGGGATTACAGGCGTGAGCCACCGTGCCTGGCAAAGAAGCATGTTTATGAGAGGACACCAAGGATGCAGACAAGCAACTATTTAATAAGGAGATGATTACAGATGGAAGGAATCCAGATGCTATTCATTGAGACAATGGGAGAATGACCCCAAAGGTATTTCAGAGATCTTCAAGGCTGCCTCTTCCATCACAGGCCCAAAACTCTAAGAGGGCAGAATGATTTGGGGGGATGAGCCTTGAGTGCCCTCCATGAGCTCTCTGCTCAGGGTTGCCTTGGGATTCTGCTCCCCACATTCTGGCACAGTGCTCCTTGGTCACTCTAGCCTTGGTGAATGTAGGCCCAGATGTGGTTCGTGCCCCAGCTCCAGAGAGTGCAAGCTGTAAGCCTTGGTGTTGTCCATGTGGTGCTAACTCTGCAGACACAAAGAGTGCATGAGCTGTGGGGCCATGGCGGCCTCCACTGAGATTTCAAAGGGTGTTGTGGACAGCCTGGGGGCTCAGGCAGAAACTTGCTGCAGGAGTGAAGCTGCCACAGAGAATCCCTACCTAGGCAATGACTAGTGAAGCCATGGGAATGAGGCCACCGCAGAAAACTCCCACTATGGAAATATCTACTGGAGCTGAGGGAACAAGACCACCACCAAGACTCCAAAATTGGTGTCTCAGTTCATTTTGTGCTGCCATAACAGAATATCACTGCCTGGGTGCTTTAGTGTAATCTAGGCTGGGATTGCCGCAGATACCAGACTCCAGCTTGAGAGAGATGAAGCTTGGCTGAGCCCAGCAAAGTTGTGGGGGTAGGGCTGCCTGGGCCATGGGGGCTTAACCTCCACCCAGGTGTGCCCAGGATTCAGGATTTGGAGTCAAAGGAGATTATTCTCCAGCTTTAAGACATACTGTTGCTTTCCCTGTTGGGTTTTATAGTTAGTTAGGACCAGTTACTCCTTTCTTCTTGCCTATTTCTCCCTTTTGGAATGGGAATGTTTATTATATGCTTGTCCCACCATTGTATATCGGAAGTAGACAATATGTTTAATTTCACAGGCTCACAGCTGGAAGAATTTGCTTTGGGATGAATTCTGCCTTCAGTCTCACTGATAATCAGTTTAGATGAAACTCTGGACTTCAGACTTTTGAGGTGATGCTGGAATGAGTTAAGACTTTGGGGATATTGGGATGAAATAAATGTATTTTGCATGTGAGAAGGACATGAATTTTGGGGGTTAGGGGAAGAATGCTATGGTTCAAATGTGTCCCCCAAAGTTCATGTGTTAGAAACTTAATCCCCAATGCAATAGTGTTGGGAGGTGGGACTTTTGAGAGGTGAGACTTTTAAAAGGTGATTAGGTCGTGAGGGCTCTGCCCTTACACACGGATTTATGTCATTATTGTGGGAGTGGGTTCGTTATGGAGAGTGTGCGTTGTTATAATAAAAGTGGTTTAGCCCTCTCTTGCCCTCTCTCACCCTCTTTTGCCCTCTCTCACCCTCTCTTGCCCTTCTGCCTTCTGCCATGGGATAACTCTGCAAGAAGGTCCATGCCTGATGCTACCCTCTTGCTCTTGGACTTCTCAGCCTCAGAATTGTGAGAAAGAAGTTTCTGTTCCTTATAAATTACCCACAAATTGATATTCTGTTACAGCAGCACAAAATGAACTGAGACACCATTCTTTCTTTCTTCCCTTATGTCAGATGTGTCCTCAGGCTAGTTCCCCTCGTGGTCGGAAGATGGCTGCCATATCTCCCAAATACAGCACAATAATGGCCAGCAGAGGGAGAGACATTTATGTGATTGATGAACCCTTTTCCAGGGCTGGCTCCATGGGCAGAGACATGTGCAGTCACATAGGACCCTGTGCTCAGAAGACCCCTTTACTTGGCTTAGTACACTGCTCTCACCATCTTGAAATTATTCCTAATCTTATCTTTGAACTTTTGTTTGATAAGTGGAATCTGATGGGAAAACGGAGCAGGTCCACGAACAGAGAGAATATGTGTCTCTGCCCTTCTGTTACCCTATTTACATATAACATCTACAATGTCCCATGAGCACAGAATGTGTGGGAAGTTCAGCAAGACTCAAAGCAAGTACATGTTGTGGGGGGGAAATGTTTTTCTCTCTATCCTTCATAGTTTTTAGATAAGAAAGACTCCTGTAAAAAAAAAAAAAGACAGAATAATAAAAGAAAAAGAAACAGAAGTTTAGTAACATGTATACCTCATGTATATCTCTGGGAGATACCCAGAGAAATGAGTTAATCTCAGAACAGACTTAAATACCATTATCTGTTAAGACAAAGAAAGAAAGGTGTGGGAAAGGCTGGTTATGAGGAGATGCCCAGGAGAAGCATGGGAAACAAGGGTAAGATTGGTTATGCAGATTAAAGTCAGTGTCTTCTCCATTGATAAGTCTCTTGTTATTTAGTCAGCCTTCTCTTCCTTATACTGAGAGAAAGATGCCCTTACAAATGGAGGCTTATGGGTATAAATTTCCCTTACAAAAGGGTAACTTCTACTCTGTTTTCAGAATTTCTCCTGTGTCTGAAGTTTCTCAAAATAATCAGCTCAAAATAATCCTTATGCCAAAAAGGCATATTTGGGGGTAGATATTCTTTTCTGCCATAGTCATACTTTGGGGTGCATATTATGTTCCCCATAGTCATATTTTGGGGTAACATATTCTGGTCTCCTACAGTCACATGTTGGGGGGTGCATATGCTGGTTTCCCACAAGGGTTCCCCTTTGTTTTTCATTTATTTTCAGAGCATCTTTAGGACCAACTGCGCACACTTTGAGAAACACTTCTTCTTTGGAAGGTAGGTTTATCAAGACAGAATTTAGTGGGCGTATTTTTCTTTTCTAGATACTATGTCCAAAGTTGGGATAGGAGACACCAGAATAACAGAGAGGAATGTTCATGTTGGTGTGGGCCCACCTACCAGGCCTTCTTGGAGAGCTGAGTCTCAGAACAGTTAGTATGTGTTTCTGCTAAAGATCTTCTTTCTCTATTAAAATACAACTCTATTAGAATAACTGTACAACATTTTAGCTAATGTCCTAGTCAACTAGTCTAACATCTCCAATCCCACTCATTTTCAGAAGTTTTGATATCCCTCTTGCCCTCCACTCACAATTATTGAACTCTTTCCTGTGGCTCCTTCAGCTATTAATAATAAGTTTAGAAAGACAATAAAAATAAACAGATGATGATGGAATTTATGGCAAAGGGTCACTAATCTGACTTTCTTGCTGTACGGATAAGAAACTGAGTGTTCCAGAAAAGGAAGTGAGTTAAATAAGATTATACTGCAAGTTAGGAGCATATTCAGGCTAGAATTCAGATGCTTCATGTTCCTCTCTGGCTGGAGGTCTAACCTCCATGTGTCATTCTACATGGCTCCTTTCTCCAAACTCCTTCCTCCTACCAGCCTCAGACCTGAATTTCAAAACATCAGTTTAGTAAATACAAGTCAGTGCAATGTGACTTGGTTGAATTTCCTTAACTTCTGTTTTTCTTCATTCCTTTGACAATGTTTTAAACCTCAAAATCATCTCCACACCCTCTTTTTTGTTTCCTTTCTTTCATTCCTCCTCTGCACTTAGTCCTCCACCTCCTACTCTGTCATTTATAGCTGCCACTCTTCTTCTGTAACATTTCTTGGTGAAGCAGAATAATAATTAAAAATAAAAACTCAACTATTATCTTAGTAGCTGGCATCAGAATTCCTGTTAGGGAAGAAATAATCTGTTAAGAACACAGACTTTTTAATATTAAATTTTGATTTGTTTCCATTGCTTCTGGGTAAATCCTCCCTTCTTCATTTTTCTCAAAATGTCAGCAAAGGCCTTGTAAAATTGTAGTGTGTGTGTGTCTATGTATGTGTGTATAAGTAAATCAAGGAAAGGGACTGGGTTTCAAGGGACTGTCACTCAAGGGACTGGGTAAGAGGGCTACACGCACTGGAAGGTGAGATCACTAACAACAGAACTAATTCCAGAACCAGAGGAGGCCACAAAAAAGTAACTGCTCTGAGAGAATGCAGACATCTTGGGGAGGGCATTAAACTTTCCACAGGATGTGGAATGGAGATTCGAGCCAATCTTATCTGAATCTCAAGTGGCAGGGTGCCTGAAACTGACATTTGGGTTATGTTAGATTTTTATTTTATTTATAATATCACATCCATTTCCTTGACCCTTCATAACCTTGCCTCACCCTACAAAGCAAGTCTCCAGACAGAATCCCTCTGCTCCAGCTAGGCTAATATTGGTGTAGGCTCAAGAACACATCACATTGGCTCGGAGCTCCCACCTTGACTCAATTTCTCTGGATATTGGATCTTAAATGCCTTTCCCACCCCACTATTCTGACTCATCCCTTAGCGCCTTGCTCAAGTTCCCCTGTGAGTTTGCTCACACTCTCTCTGCTTCTGGCTGCTTACTACTCTTATAGTTGATACCCATGAGGTCTACTCTTGATTAACATGCTGTTTTGCACATGTGGGCCCATTACTGGTTCAGATCTGCTTGGTTTTCAACCTTACTGTGATGTGGGCTCATTAAGGCCAGGATCTATCTTGTTCCTTTGAACTCCACAGCACCTAGCTAGGTGCTTTGTATTAACATTAAATACTGACAGCCTACTTTAACCTTCCTCTTTGGAGCAATCCATGCACCAGACCCTTTGTTTGTTCTGCTACCTTTAGTCTCTCAGTTTTGTCCTTACTGTTAGCAGCAAGAATCCTTTTCTTTTAGGACTGTTGAATCCTCTGATCAGTCCCACTCTCAAATCAAACTCCTCTGGATGCCCTGATACCCACGAGCTAAGGTGACTGTCAGGTCCTCACAGTTCACATCCCATGATTCATGAACCCCAAGCTTGTCCTTGTTGAGTGGGTAGGACAACCGCCTTTGGAAGACCCTCTGCCACAGCTTATAATAGGTGCTTTTCTTTGATGGGTAAATTCTGTGTCATAACAGCAAAAAATACACTCAATACTCCACCCAGAATACACACACACACACACACACACACACACACAACCGAAAGAGAAGTTTTATAAAACAATACTCACCTTTACTTTGTGCAACGCAAACTATTTTCTTTTCTCTTTTAAGATAAAATATGGTGATTTCAGCTCACTAAATTGATTTCATGTCTCACTAATGAGCTGTGATTTGCTGTGTTTAAAAAACACTCTTCTAGAGGATCAAAGAACAGTTGGCAGGGGAAGAGAGGGCCATTCTCAAGCCCTTAAACGGTGGCTCCTGGAAGGGGTGGTGGTTCCTGGAGATCATTCCTCCTGCAGGCTCCCTTGGTCCTGCAAGTTCATCTGAAGTTAAAAATCAGCATGAGAGACACACTGATCTGGAGTTTACCTCTGGGTCATCTCGCTAGTCTCTGTGTATGGGCTGGGTGAGCAGCTTCCTGTAGAGTGACATCTGAGGAAGGGCATGAGGTTGTCTAGTGGGGGCTGGACACTGTCAGCTCTGCAGACACGTAGGACAGTATTATGGTGGTGTTTTATACACAGGCATTGAATAAATAATTGAAGAGTGATGATCTTTTGTTTCTGTAATTTTCTGTTGGTGGCTACTGACAAGGGAAAGGCACTGCAGGGTTAGGGGGCAGTGGGAATGATGGGACAGTAAAAGGGATGAACGAATTCTTACTGCCAGTGATCTTGGATGGTAAAGCCTTGAAACAGGCGGAAGGTGGCCGGGGCATTCCCTGGGGCTCCCTCTGAGTCCAGAAGCAAGTGCTGTCAGTGAGGGTCAAGGACACATGCAGCCTCTTCAAGGCCTTTGTCTGCAGACGGCATGCTTGGAGCTGGGCAGAGGAAAGGCTGTAGCAGGGCAGGAGGGCTGAGAGACACCCTGAAGAGATTACGCTGGCTGTGGCATGTTATCAGAGATGGCGCACACAGAAGAAGAGGTGGTGAGGAAGCGTTAAAAGTCAACAAGGTGCTATTGATGTGCTCCGGGCTAGCCCTCTTTCTGCTGGTCATGGTCACAAAAAGCAGACCAGTGTCTCCTTTACTCCCTCTCCCCAGTCCTAACCTCCCTACCTCCAGGTGGAGGATATTCTGTTCTCTGCCTGGCACCTTCCTGGGAGGCAGGGTGGCCAGGGCACAGGGCTCTGCTGGTCCTGCAGGGTACAAGGGATCTTCCATACTTCCTCCGTCTTGGGAAGGAGAAGCAGCAATGCTGTGTCTCAGCTACAACCTGGAGGGAGAGCCTTTGCCCTGCCTACCCCTCCTTATAGTGTTGGCAGTGTGGGCAGCCCTGTGCTGTTTGATCTTGGGTGAGTTATTTTAAATCTTTCACTTAAGTATTCATACCCATTCAATGGGGCTTGGCAATACCACATGCGTGTATATTTGTATAGTTCCTGTGAAGATTAAAATGAGATTCATTTCTGTAAAGTCATGGTGCATATTTGCTCAATTAATTAATTCCACAAATATTTAATGACTACCTGTTATGTATCATTCACCATTCTAGGTGCTGGTGATACAGCAGTGAGTAATTCCTTGCTCTCGCAGAGCTTATATTCTAAATGATGGAGATAGATAATAAATAACAACAAAAATAAGTACATATATAATATCCCAGACTATAAGTCCTATGGAGAACAGTAAATCAGGTTAAGGGTAATAAGGGATGGTTGGGGCAGGGGTTGGTTATTTTATATAGATTGGTCAGAGGAGGCCTTTTGGACAAGGTGACATTTGAGCAGAGACCTGATGAAGTAAGAGATGGGGTCATGCAGATGTTGGGGCAGCTTATTCAAGCAGATGGAAGAGTATGTGCAAAGGCCCTGAGCTGGCAGCATGTTTAATGTTTCAAAAAATGCCAAGGAGGCCAGATTGGTTGGTGAGAAGTGAGCAGGAAGAAGAAAGTAAGAGATAAAGGAACTGTTACCATGAACCCCTATAAAAAAATTAATTCTTTTTCACCCATTTTTTCCCAAAGCTGGGAATTTGGAGCAATAGAAGAGGTTTGTGGTGGCGGGAATAGGTTTTGACACAAGTGTACATTTCTTTTTACCTCCTTGGACATAACTGTCCCATCCTTCTCCTAGGCCGCTTGCATCTCTAGATATCTATGAACATATTTACTGACTCAGGAGCAGTAGCCAATGAAACGCCACATGTGGTAGGCAGCTTTACTTGTTGACAATGATGTGTGCACTCCCCGATGGCTGCACTCCTCTGGAGGTGGAGAAGACATCCCTATTGGCCTTGGGCTGGGCCATGGGACTTACCTTGTCAAGTGGAGTATGAGCAGACATGCCCTATGCCATGGCAGAGCTGAAGATGCTAATGAGCTGGTGTGGTTTGGCTGTGTCCCCTTCAGAGCCTGTGCTCCACAGTGAAAACAGGTTATCTTAGACGATGGCCATCCCGTTGCTATGGGTCACTGAATGAAAAGATAAATGGAGATCTGTGGAGACCACCAGAGCCAAAGCCAATTCACAGCCCTCAAGAAATAAATGTTTGTGTTTGTAAGCCACTCAGATTTGGGAGTTATATGTTGCTGCAGCAAAATCTGACTAATCCAGTCAGATTCTGTGCTAAGAACTTTCAAATGTTACCTCATTACCTGTGCAGTGGATCATTCCATTTTCGTGGATGAGGAAGCTGAGGTCCACCAAAGTCAAGCAACTCGCATAGGATTATAAAAAAATGAAAACAGACAAAATTCAAATGTTGGGGAGTCTATCTGACTCCCCAACTGTTATGCCATGTACCACTTTCTTTTTTTTGATGTGATCCAACAGAAGAGGAATAGAAAACGAAGTCCTTATGCTAACTTCAAACACCCTGTGTGTAATTGGACTTCTCTTTCCTGCTGTGGCCCCACAAGCCCAGGAGACTCCATTCCTCTCTACTCCCTCCTTCAAACCCTACTCTGCTCCATTCCATTCCACTGCTGAAAGTGCTCTTTTCATCTCTCATTTTCTTCCAAATAGCTATTAAAAGTGACCTTTTCTGTGAAATGTTTCTGGAATGATAAAAGAGAAAGTTTGGTCTCTCTTATCTGATTATTTCTAAACATACATGAAAATTGCTTGGCTATTTCCTCTGCATTATTCATTCCAAAATACACCAATTTTTGCCTGACTCTGTACATGTGTATACTGCCACACTTAGTAAGCACCTACTGTGTGCCAGCCACTGTACAGGGACTGTACACTGTACAGAGTGAGAGGTGTCAGATGCATTGCTGGAAGACCATAAAACCTAGTGGGAGATGGCATGTTATTAGCTTGGTGCAAACTTAACTGTGGTTTTTGCATTGTTGAAATTGGCCATTTGATATTGGAACACATTCTTAACTAATGTGGTTATGTTATACATCATTTTAACGTGCACTTCTTGCTTTTTTTTTTTTTGCTAATGACTTATTACTTGCTTTTTATTTTATGTTTATTTTAGACTGTGGAAATGATGTTAGACAAAAAGCAAATTCAAGTGACTTTCTTATTTGAGTTCAAAATAGGTCGTAAAGCAGTGCAGACAACTCACAACATCAACAACACATTTGGCTAGGAACTGCTAATGAACATGCAGTGCAGTGTTGGTTCAAGAAATTTTGCAAAGGAGATGAGAGCCTTGAAGATGAGGTGCATAGTGTCTTGGCATTGGAAGTTGACAACGACCAATTGAGAGCAATCGTCAAAGCCGATCCTCTTACAATTACACAAGAAGTTGCTGAAGAACTCCATGTTGACCATTCTATGGTCGTTCAGCCTTTGAAGCAAATTGGAAAGGTGAAAAAGCTGGAAAAGTGGGTGTCTCATGAGTTCAGTGAAAATTTTAAAAATCATCATTGTGAACCATCATTTTATTCTATGCAACAACAACGAACCATTTCTCGATCAGATTGTGACATACTTCGAAAAGTGGATTTTATATGACAATCGGTGATGACAACTCAGTGGTTGGATGGGGAAGAAGGTCCAAAGCACCTCCCAAAGCCAAACTTGCACCAAAAAAAGTCGTGGTCACTGTTTGGTGGTCTGCCAGTCTGACCCACTACAGCTTTCTGAATCCCAGAAACCATTACATCTGAGAACTATTCTCAGGAAATCGATGAAATGCACTGAAAACTGCAAAGCCTGCAGCTGGCATCAGTTAACAGAAAGGGCCAAATTCCTCTCCATGACAACCCCCGACTGCAGGTTGCACAACCAGTGCTTCAAAAGATAAACGAATTGGGCTTTGAAGTATTGCCTCATCCACCATATTCACCTGACCTCTTGCCAACTGACTACCACTTCTTCAAGCATTTTGACAACTTTTTGCAGGGGAAATGCTTCCACAATCAGCAGGATGCAGAAAGTACTTTCCAAGAGTTGTTGAATCCCAAAGCACAGATTTTTTATGCTACAGGAATAAACAAATTTGCTTCTCATTGGCAAAAATATGTTGATTGTAATGGTTCTTATTTTAATTAATAAAGAAGTGTTTGAGCCTAGTTACAATGTTTAAAATTCACGGTCCAAAACCACAATTAATTTTGTACCAACTAATATTAAAAGTGCTAAGCTGTATACAATAAGTAAGTATAGGCTTGTAGTCACACAGAGGAGGGCTCAATGCTCAGCTTGGGAGAAATGATTTAAAAGGTTTCCAGACACAAGAGCTGAGTCTTGAATGCAAAGTGGGAGCCACTTGAGGAAGAGGCAGGAAAGAAACAGCACAAGCAAAGACACAGTAGTTGAGTTTAGCTGAATTGTAAGTCGGGTGAAGGTAGTGGCTGGAGATGGTCTAGAGAGACAGAGGCGCTGTGATGCCTGAGGGCCTGGTATTAACGCAATAGGTTGCAATGCTAAGGAAGGTAAGAGAGTGCCTATATATAGGATTGTTTTGGTCAGGCCCACATGCTGGGGCAGGCCACACGACTAGTTTGTTTTTGAAGCCCCCTTATATCCTTTTCCCCATTTCTTCATGTGTGCTCCCACCCTGACCCTTATCAAAACCTTTTCTAATGAACTTCCTTTACCCTCGGGGGCAGGTTTAAAGCATTACTCTTTTCAGGCACATCTGCATCCTAACAAGGGATTAACTCACAACACCAACAAGCATTTTCTGACACTTTTCTTTGCCCAGCACTGTGCTAGGCACCATATACACATGCATTATGTCACTTGATCCTTATAACCACCTTGTAAGAAAGGTACTATAATTGTAATTGTTTGGACAAAGAGAAGGCCAAGTCTTAGCAAAATCAAGGCAGATGAAAGCCAAGATGTGGGAAAAGATTTTGGAGGTGAGGTGGGGACTGTGAGCAGGATTTAGAGGGTAGGGAACAGCTTCCAGTGCCAACATTCCACCGTGCAGGCTGACCATTGATATATATTCCTGAGGCTATGAGTCCTTCATAACTTAGTACTCAGTATCAGAAAAGAGACCAGGACGAGCTTCATGGTGCAGGGTGCCTTTGGGTTAGTAATTGTTATTTTCCGGCACACATATGACTTGGCCAATGACAAGTCATGTATAATGAGCCATATAATGGGACTCTATACATTTAATTTTTTTTTTTTTTTTAGTCTTAAGAGAGGGAGAACTGGAGAGGACTGTGTCTACACTATCTGCCTGCCTCTGGACCTTTAAAACTACCCAGTCCTGTAGGAACCTTGTCCCCACCCATCCAGAAAGACCACAGAGGCCAAACTAGGTATTTGCTGAGATCACCCACGGCCTTCTTAGCTCATACCCAATTTGTCCTTGATCTGACACAGTCTCCCCTGACCCTTAACTTGACTTTACTCAGATTCCTCCTTCCGGTTCTTTGGGTTCAGTCTTCCCCACTTTCCCTGAGAGACTCCAGCTTGATTTTCCTCTCTGTCCAGTGCTAAATAAATCTAGCTGCACTCATGAAAACCCAGGCTTCTTATCCCTCGGTGTCAGGCAGATGGGAGCAGGGATGCTGATACAATTGGGTGTTTAATAAAGCCTATTGATGAGGGTAATGGTAATCACTATTCCGGAGCACACCTTTCACCAAGCCTCATGTGTTACATCAGTTAATCCCCAAGGTTTCCACATCGCTAGATCACATGGTTAGTTCTCAGTTGTCTTCTTACTTAAAATGACCTATAGAGCTACACTCGACTTTCTACGCTGGTCTGGCCTCTTTGGGATTCCCTCCTTTTAGTCTCCTGTGAGAGTTCCTCTGCTTCCTCCTCATCTCTTAATATTAGTGTGAACTAGGGCTTGGTCCTTTCCCCTCTTTTCCATTTATATTTGCATCTTTGGTGACCTCATTCACTGTCATGATTTTTTATTTATTTATTTATTTATTTATTTATTTTGAGGCAGAGTCTCACTCTGTTGCCCAGGCTGGAGTGCAGTGGTGCGATCTTGGCTCACTGCAACCCCTGCCTCCCGGGTTCAAGTGATTCTCCTGCCTCAGCCTACCAAGTAGCTGGGATTATGGGCACCCGCCACCACACCCACCTATTTTTTTTTTTTTTTTTTTTTTAGTAGAGACGGGGTTTTGCCATGTTGGTCAGGCTGGTCTTGAACTCCTGACTTCAGGTGATCTGCCAGCCTCGGCCTCCCAAAGTGTTGGGATTACAGACGTGGGTCACTGAGCCTAGCCTACTGTCATGACTTTAAAACCTTTCTCCTGAACTTACATATCCAGCAGTCTACTTAACATATCCACATCTAATAAATATCTCAGCTCATCCCTCTGATCCACCCTCAGAGTTCCCCATTTTAATTGATGGCAACTGTATTTTTCTGTGGAGTCATCTTTTTCTCCCCGCCTTCTTTCCCTTATACTCCATATCTGGTCCTTCAGCAAATTCTGTTTGCACTGCCTTCAAAACATGTCTGGAATCTGACCACTTCTCACCACCCCACCGCTACCACGTTTGCTATTGCTTCCCTGGATTATTGCAACAGCTTCCTATCTGTTCTTTCTGCTTCCACTCTTCTCTCTACAGTCTATTATCAACATAGCAGCCAAATAGGTCTTTTTAGAAAGTATAAGTCAGACCATGTGTCTCCTCTGCTCAAAGTCCCGCAATGGCTCTCTACTTCTCAGAGTGTAAAAACCAAAGTCCTCACAATGACTGATGTCATCTGGTGCTGTTACCTTTCTGACTTCATTTCCTTCTCTTTTCCTCCTACTCCATTGCTGGACTCCGGCTACACTGCTTTCCTTACTACTTCTCAAACATGTCAGGCCCACACCAATCTTAGGGCTCTTGTACTGGTTGGTCTGTCTGCTCCAACACTCTTCCTCCAGATACAGGCCTGACTCACTTCCTTGCCTCCCTCCAGTTTTTGCTCCAATGTCTCCTCAGTGAGACTTACCATGACCATTATTTAAAAGACGGCAGTCTACCCCTGGTACACTCAATCTTGTTTTTGCTCTATTTCCCCAATCTAGTAGTTACCAGCTTCTAACATATTAAATAATTTGTCTATTTATGATTTTTTTTGCTCCCCACTTAGAATGTAAGTTCCAACCAGGAGTATAGTACCTGGAAAAATATCTAATATTTATGTAGTGTTGTGTTCCAGGCCCTATTCTAAGCTTATGTTAAAAACTTTAATTTTTTTATACCAACTCCACGAAGCAGGTACTATTGTTACCTTTGTGTTATGAATGAGAAAACTGAGGCATGGAGGGGTTAAATGACTTGCCTAAAGTCACACAGCTAGTAAGTGGTGAATCTGGAACCCAGGTATTCTGGTTCCAGAGTTCATCCTTTTAACCTGAAAAGTATACTGCTTCTCATTGCATAGCACTTAGTAGGTGCTCAGTAAATGTTTGCAAAATGAATACATGAATGAATTCCTAAAATACCAAATACTAGGTATTTGGTAATGTTATTGCTACCTTAATGATGAAGGAACTGAGAAACGAAGATGTTAAGTAACTTGCTTTCACAAGTAGGTAGCGGCAGAGCTGGGACCTGAACCCAGAGGGCTGCTTCCATTTCCAGCATTCACACCACGGATAGAGGATGGAGATAAACTGCTGATAAACATTGATTTTCATAATTTCTCATTGTAAATGCTTCATATAAACTTTTGCTTAACCTACTGTCTAGGAATTCTCATTAAATACCATAAAGTAGGTAAGAGAGAGCACCAGTCTCCAACATATAACATGAAAGCTAATCTCATATAGGTGAATTGACTTTCTCAAAAAGACAACATAGCTCTGGAGCAGAGCTAGTTTCCCAGACGAATTCCAATTTCCCAGTTATCTACAGGGAAGCAGAGGAAATGAAGAGTTACTCCCATTCACTTAGCTCTTTTGTCTTAAGAATACTGGAATTTAGACCTGTGTCATTTGTTGAAACCAGATTTGGATGGAGACTGGCCATACATGGTCACTGCTGCTTTTAATCCTGGTTTGAGAATCACTCTGTGGCTCGAGGTAATTTTTGTCAGCTTTCCAAGTGTGTATTGAGAACCACGTTGTCCTGATGCTTGCTCAGCCAGCTCGCCATCTCATGGAGATATTCCCACATTGGGAAACTCATTTAATGTATTTTCATGTCTGCATTCCTGACTTTGCCATCCAATCACCTAAGAATCACTAAAGGCATATATATGTCAGGGATATTAGGGAATGGAGCCCTAGAAGAGTTTGTGTTGCCTCTGAATGCTGAGAGCACAGGGAGCGTAGAGAGGGCAGAAGCTAAAACTCCTTGCTAAAACAGCAACCGGCTTGGATGTCTTAGGCAGAACTGTGCTGTTGAGAGAAGCTAGTCTTAAAAGCCCTTCCATTTCAAAGTTTTTCTTTTCTTTTTTTTTGAGATGGAGTTCCAGTCTTGTTGCTCAGGCTGGAGTGCAATGGCATGACCTCAGCTCACCGCAACCTCTGCGTCCCAGGTTCAAGTGATTCTCCTGCCTCAGCCTCCCGAGTAGCTGGGATTATAGGCATGTACCATGACTCCCGGCTAATTTTGTATTTTTAGTAGAGATGGGGGTTTCTCAATGTTGGTCAGGCTGGTCTTGAACTCCCAACCTCTGGTGATCCGCCCATCTCGGCCTCCCAAAGTGCTGGGATTACAGGTGTGAGCCACCGCAACTGGCCTCTAAGCTTTTTCATTGTTATCCCTTGTTCAGGCCTTTCCTTAAACTCCTTCAAGCAATGAATCCTCTCTTCCTGGCTCTGTGATAGCCCTCATCATGTTCAATTGTCACCCATTCACTCTGTGTCTCCCCAACTAAATGCTGGGCTCCTTGAGGGTAGGGATGAGTCTTATTTGTCTTTTTGTTTTTGTTTTTGTTTTTTTGAGATGGAGTTTTGCTCTTGTTGCCTAGGCTGGAGTGCAATGGTGCCATCCCGGCTCACTGCAATCTCTGCCTCCCGGTTTCGAGCGATTCTCCTGCCTCAGCCTCCCGAGTAGCTGGGATTACAGGCATGCGCCACCACGCCCAGCTAATTTTGTATTTTTAGTAGAGACAGGGTTTCTCCATGTTTGTCAGGCTGGTCTCGAACTCCCGACCTAGGCCTCCCATGATCCACCCGCCTCAACCTCCCAAAGTGCTGGGATTACAGACGTGAGCCACTGTGCCTGGCTGGGATGAGTCTTATTTGTCTTTGCATTTCCAGGGCTCAGTGCACAGCCTGCTTGGGCCACACAGTATTGGGCATGAAATGGTAAAACAAATAAAACCTCATGTGGCCTCAGCCAAAGGGGGATGGTGATCACAGAGAGTTTATGTTTCATTTATGGGATCCATTTTCAGCACCAATAAACCTACCGGTTACTCTTTTTGCCAAAAGGAACAACCCTACAATCCTTGTCCCCACTGCCACATTACAGGTAGGATGACGCAGAACACGTGGGCAGAAGGCAGGCAGCTGACGAAGAGACACCAAGATGATTAAGGGATGCTGGCAAATGGTTCACCACATGTATTGGAAGAGATGAAAACCTTATTCGTGGTGAGGTTATGGTGCTGTCAGACCAAACAGTAGGTGAAGATGCCGGACTTTGCTGAAAATAGTAATGAATCCATGACACAAGGAAGTGACCTCTCCCCTGGGTAGTGCTTGAGACAAAGATAGTGTAGGACATAGAAAAGGATCAGCAGAATCTGGGGAAGCAAAAGGGAAAAAAAATCTGGATGCACCAAACCAAAGATGGTCATTGGCGCACTGCAAGTTAAAAGTTGTCATCAGTTTCTTACTAAGGAGGTGCTGTGAGTCACCATGAGGGGACTACTGTGAGATGTTTGCATCTGTATGTGTTTGCCATTTACCACACAGTAAACCATATACAGTTCTCATCCTCTAGCAAGGATAAAATACATTCTTTCCATGTTGCTTAACTTTCTAGGGTTTGGATCTGGCCCCGTGGACCCTGCAACTATTTCAGTCCTGATTCTGTAGTTCAGTTTGAACATAACTTGGTTTTTAACAACGCATTTTCTTGTATATGTATGCTCTGGTTAAACTAGAACATAGTAGGTCCTCTACTGTTGTTAGATGAATAAATGAACTTGGCTCAGGCGCCTGGCGCTATCCCTTACACAGCCATCCACAGTGCCCCACTCAGGACCATTTCTTCAAGGCTAGTGTGCCCTATTCTGAACCTACCTGTCTCTAATTTTTTAAAACATTTAACAAATGGTTAAGTATTAGGGAATCAGGTACAATTCATAGTACAACTGTTTACTTTGTCACTTCATGGAAGAGAGAAAAACAAATCTACTCAAAGGAGTATCTCAATGGCTGAAATTTATTCTGTCCCATCTTTTTCTTATGTCCAAGTTAAACAGTGGCAGACTCTGTTTTGGTTTCCCTGCTTGCAGTTTCCCAGGTAGGAAACCATCTGCCTTGAAGAAAAGGATTTTTCACTGTAATTGTGTCTAATAGCAAGAGGGAAACGGAGTCCACTTGGTTAATGTTGACTATAAATTTCTGCTGTGAGCCAACCACAGTAAATATTCACTTGGCCGCACCACTGTTGAGAATGGCAACACAGCCACCTGACTCTAGGCCTTGGGCTTAGATGGTTCTGCATTTGAGTCTCAACTTCAGTACTTTCCATTCATGGGACTTTGGGCATGTTCCTTAATGTTTCTGAACATTTCCTTATCTATAAATAGGGAATTATAATTCCTACTCGCTAAATAGCTATTATGAAGTCATATGATGATGAGAAGGAATCTCATCAATCAATTCACACAAATTGATAATGGACCTTAAATTAATGCACTGTCTCCTTCCAGAAACATTTTAATAAGGCCCAACACCTTACTCCAGAGAACAAAACTCTTACGGAGGCACAGGATGGTTCAGGATCTTGGGAAAGTCACACTGTGTGAGTCAGAAGAACAGAACTTCCATAATCAACAGAACTAAGAGGGTGGACCTCAGAAACAGGGAAGGAAGTGGCCAAAAGGAAGATGATTAATTCATTCAGCTAATATTTGAGTGTCTCATATGTGCCAGGCACTGTTCTTAGGGCTGCAGGTCCAGCAGCGAATTGAAACAAACCCTTACCTTCATGGAGCTTACATTCTAGTGGAGACAGACAGGTAATAATAAACAAACTAAATATAGGGTGTGTCAAAAAGTGTATAAAGCAGGGGAAGTTGGGAGGTGGGTTGCTGGGGTTTGAAATTTTAAGCAAGGTGGTCAAGAATGCCTCCCTAAGATGGTGACATTTGAGCAAAAACCACAGGAGAAGAAGTTGTCTTCCAGAGGTCATAGGCAGCCTGGGTAGGGGGCGGAGATGAGGGCAGACAGGGAGTAGAAGCCCCTAGGGAAGACTTGTTACCAGGTCCCAGCCTCAGCTCTACTCAGTACCTGGTGATGTCGGAGAGAACAAAGGGTAGTTTGCGTTCATTTTGTTTTTATAGGACCAGTTGGCAGGGTCCCTTTCTCCAGGCCTCCACCCCACTGCATCTCAGCCAGCTCCCAGAGCCTCATTTTTAGGAAAGCAGAGAAGCTTTTCTCTGAAGTAGAATTGTTGTGTATGGTTGTGCAGGTTGTACACTGCACAGAATGCCACATGTAAGGGGGTTCTATTCACATTTTAGATATGCCAGATTTGTATATTTAGGATGATTTTCTGGTAGGTGGCAGAAAAGTGTCTTTGAATTAAAGTAGTAGTATATTATGAGTTTTCTGACATCCAGGAATAAAGCATCTTGAAGGAGGGGCACATTTTTTTTAAAACTTTCATTAAGGTACCTGGGAACCAATAGCTGCCCTGAAGTTCCAGATTTCCAAAATCTTCCACAAGTGGTTTGTTGGGGATAGATTTATTGGTTATTATCATATCCCTCCTTTGCTGAAAATGTTGTGGCTACCATCACATACTAGAGAAAACTCCCCAGTGAGGCATAGAAGCAGAGGGAATTCCAGAATTTCTATGTTGAAGAGGTTTAAGGGTGGCAATCTGATAGGAAGGATGAGGGAACCAAGGAGAAATACCATGAGGCCACGTTGGCAGGGCAAGCATGCACCATTTATTTGGTTTGGGAGGTAGTTGCTAGAGATGGGAAGCAGTAAAGTACCACATACTAGCCCTTGGCCCCATCACTGCAGATCGTTCCTTGTCAATCCGGTCTCTGCCAGCACCCCTCACTTCATTTCTTGTCACCCCTATACTGAATCGGCGACCCAGCTACTTGAGATGCCAGATCACCAGGATGCATTTGCCCAAGATGTTCCTGTTGCCGGGAGTGTCCTCATGCCCACTCCCCCTCCTGCCCCACCGTGTCTGCCCTTAATCATCAGTTGCTTTGCAAAGTCTTCCCCCATGGCCAAATCCTGCTTCACACACTCTTGGTCACTCTATCCTGGTGCTCACGACACTTTATAATAGTATTTTAAGTATTTTTTTCCTTTCTGTATTGAAATGACAGGTTCACCTGTTTATACCACTAGACTATGAACTCCTCGAAGGCTGGACTGTGTCTTGTTAACCCTGCTAAACACTCTCTAACGCCATAGTTGCTCAATAAATGTACTGTCGAGCATTGCTTCTCAAGTATAATTACTATTTTCTGGTGAGAATAAAGAAAATGGCACTTTAAAATTATACAGTTTTAAACTGTGACACATGCTATGAGCAGCTTCTAATCCTTTAAGTCCTAAAGACTGTTTTTTCCATCTGTCATGTCTGCACTGAGCCTGATAATTTCTCAGGAACTGAGATATAAATATGCATCAAATGAGTACACATGCAGATAAGAATAATACCTGCAATTACAGGGACATGAATCAAATAGCCCTGGCTATCATCCTCATACTTGAAGGATATACGCTCATCCCAATTTGAGGTTGCAGAGAAATCACATACCCCAATATGGCAAGAATGGGCCACCTAAAGCCCTGAGCCCATATAACAGGGCAGCACCCTGGGGTCTTGTTGCAGCCGTTTTAGTTTCTGCAGGCCTTGATCACAGGGGAAACATACAGAGTATGTGGCCTTTGTGACCCCAATGCATAAGTCTACTTGGAAAGTTGCCATTCTCAGGCGTCAGGCATGTTGATGAGCAAAGTCCCGAGGGTGACTATGGGGCAGAAATATCCCAATTTAAAAATATTCTCCAAGTGGTTTATAAAATGTGTACAAGTTCAGTTACTCTTAGTTTCCATGTGCTGTGGCAGCTGGCCTGTCTGTATTTATTTGTTCCTCTTACTTGTGATTATTCAGAGAGACTGCATTTGTCTAATCCTGTCTCCTCCATGAGGGACAAGGACCCCTTAAAACAGAGATCAGCAACCCCAAGTTAATGGTGGGCTTGGCTGGGGACTCTTGTACTCTGGGGGTAGAGATCAGGCAGTACTGATCCTCCTGAGGAAGCTGGGGGAGGGCATGGGCAGCAGTGGCAGGGCTGGGTGTCATCTGGGTGGCAGTGTGGGCACCAAGGGAGGGCAATGTGCTAGTGTTCTTCCCACTGGCCACAGAAACCAGCCCTGGTGCCATCTTGATTCCACTTACTATAGGTGGCAGTCATACCTTTGCCATGTCCTTAGCCAGGGAGTGACTAGTCTAATAAGGCACAGTGCTCAGAGGATAGTTGGCAAACATTATAAATATGATTTAAACACTAGAACCCACAGTGTCTAGAACAGAAGGCCTATCTCTCAATTCCCTTTGGCTGGCAAGAGGACCTGGGGATGGCCCAGCTAGTAGGCCAGGGCTGGAGGAGGGAATTCCTCACCTAAGATTTCTGGGTAATGTCAGCCAGAGAAGACATCCAAATAAGCTGCAAGAAAGAAAAAAAGAGAAAAGAAAACAAAAAGTAGGGGAGGCTAAGAAGATAAAATAAGGCTCAACCTTCAGTTCTCAGTCTGATGGGGTCCTGAGCCCAGCTGTGACTGCAGCCACCTCAAGTGCCCAGGAGGGACAAAGAGGACACAAAAGCCTACCTAGGTTACTTCAGTTAGCAATTGGTTCTCCACCTGGTGCCTCTCCTGTCACTCTTGGTGTGATCCTCTGATTGGCCTTCCTGACTTTGGATTTCAGCTTTCAACACCAGTGCCGTAGCCACCCCACCTGTGTTAGTCTGATTTCTTGCTCACCTTTATGTGTCTCTTTGCTGTTTGTAAAGTCTCACATCCCTGATCTCATTTGATCCACTCAACAACCCTGAGTGGGTAGCATTACTATCCCCACTGCACAGATGAGACGAGCAAGTCTCTGGGAAGTGAAGTGACTCCTGCAGGTCACTGAGCTAGTAAGCAGTGGAGCCTGGGCCTGAACCCAGGCATTCTGACTGTATTTCTGTAGTGACACGTTGGCTACACCCAAAACCCACGAATAGCCATGCTTTTTAAAGTGTCATATGTTTGAGCGTGCCCTCTAATATATGTACGTTTACTTACCTAAAAATTATAAAATGTGTGATGTTAATACATTACGTATATTACACAATATATTAAACCATATTTTAGAAGGCTGAAGAAATTGAATAAGTGAATTTTAAAAAAACATGGGCTAACATTTGTTGATAACTGTTAAAGATAGATAGCTGGGTACGTGGGGAGTATTTTATTATTCTGACTACTTTTTCATATGTTTGGGATTTTTTATAATAAAATGTTAAACAAAGAACAAAGGACAAAAACCAGTTATGGAAACTTTAGCCAGGAGTTGCAGAACTAAGCAAGGTAAACACAGAAAGCTTCCAGGAATTGCCCTAGAATTGCCTGACTTCTATGTGGCACTCCCACCAGGGTGTGTGAGGTGACAAAGACAAGGTTCGGTTAATTATCTCAATGATGTTGATGTTGCTTCTGAGGTTTCAGCAGCATTACTATAATTTGTCCGAGTTCCTCCTTCTGTGAGACAGTATGTGGTATATTGGTCCAGAGGCTGGACTCTGGGGCTGGAGTGCTGACTCTATAATGCTGGCTCTGTTACTCACTAGTTATATAATCCTGGGAAGTCACGTAACTTCTGTGTGCCTCAGTTTCCTCCCCTGGAAAGAGGGGATAATAATGGTAGTTATTTCATTGAGCTGCTGTGAGGGTCAAATGACATATACATACATATCACTTACATAAATTTATATATACGTGTAAAGTAGCATATATACATAAAGTAGTAGAATACTGTTTGAAATGTAGTAAGTGCTAAACGCACTTGCTATAATAATAATTATTATTACTATTCCTTCTGCTCTATCTTCCTAGATATAATGCAGTCTGAATTCTCAGGGACTCTGCTTTCCCTATTTCTATGTTTGACTCAATTTCTTTTTTCTTTTTTCTTTTTTTTTTTTTTTGCGACAGAGTGTCGTTCTGTCACCCAGGCTGGAGGGCAATGGTGCAATCTTGGCTCACTAAAAGCTCTGCTTCCTGGGTTCACACCATTCTCCTGCCTCAGCCTCCCAAGTAGCTGGGACTACAGGAGCCCGCCACCATGCCCAGCTAATTTTTTGTATTTTTTTTTTTTTAGTAGAGACGGGGTTTCACCGTGTTAGCCAGGATGGTCTCAATCTCCTGACCTTGTGCTCTGCCCACCTCGGCCTTCCAAAGTGCTGGGATTACAGGCATGAGCCACCGCACCTGGCCCGTTTAACTCAATTTCTGAAAATGTCCGAATTAGACAGATGCCAGCTGTCTCTGATCAATTGTGATTTGGAAAAAGGGAAAATGGCTCTGGCTTAGGTGACATGTAATAGGAAACAAAATCTGATGGAAAGAGGTGGCATGATGATTTGGGAAAGCAGATTTTAGTATACATTCAGCCACCGATTGCTCTGGGACTCTAGACACATCATCCGCCTCACTGGATTCCACTGTCATCATCTCTAAAATGAGTGATTTGGAGCAGGTGGTCACCAAGTTCCTTTCAGAGTTGACATTTTTTTGAGTGTGTCTTGGGTTCTGATTTACTTTTAGCTGTGGGCAGTCTCAGGATTTTGAATTTCAAACACCCTCATAGGTTTAGAACCTGATCATCGTTAAGGTCTCCTGATCTTAGGTTCTGACAGATGCCATAGCCACCACATGCCTTGTGACATATGCCAGGTTAACCTTCAAAATAACAAATCACAAATAATATGTTAAACTTTTGAAGGAACAAATGTGTCATATTTATCATATGCACATAATGATTGGTTGATAATTTAAGAATTCATACTAGAATGTCAAATAAAAATACACACATTGTATAAGCTGATCTCTATTTAGGTAGTTGTATATAGCTGGCCATATAAATATCTATCTACTTATAGATATTTTATTATACTGTATATCTAGTTATATATAGGTAGATAAATCTAAGATACAGATCAGATACCAACCTATTTCCTGGATCCTTGTGTCAGAAATATCTAGAACACTGCACTGAAAAAAGCGTTCATAATTTTTAAAATGCACAGCTTCTATAAAAAGTCACACGTGTGTATATGTCTGTATGAACATAGATCTAGATATGTGGATTACATAGATACAGTCGCTGAAAGCAAATGGTGATTATATCAGGGTAGTGGCATTTTAGGTGATTTTTTAACTTTCTTCATGTTTTTGTTATGGTTGAACTTTTTTTACACTGAGTATCTATTATTTATATAATCAAAAGAAAAAGCCCTTTTCAAGGTGAAAAAGAGTAAAGACACAAATTCAGATAGTGGTATAAAGATATAATTATTAAAGGGAAAAATGAGCAAAATGTCTGATGCAACAACTAAATTTAACAGATAAATGATATTTAAAAATCTCCTAAGGTAATAAACCTCTAACACATGTTTTTTAAATACAATGCTTAGATATTTTTGTTCCTTGATTGAGTTCTAGGCCTTCTTCAATGTCCCAGAAGACTAACTGCAATTGAGAAAGTTCAAAAAAATGTTCAGAATGGGGACAATTTGGTTTTTTGAGAACAATTAAGTACTTTAACACTTGGATAAACACTTTTTTGTGGAGACTGTTAATTTTCCTTAGTTTTGCAAAACTATTCAATTCACCAGATTGGTATTGGGTTTCTCAATATGCTTAACACTGGGCCACGTTTGGGCCTTAGATTGCCCCGTCTCAGTCTTCTCCATCACAACCCCCTACAGAGCTCAGTCGTCATGTGAAGGAGAGACTCTTCCCAGCTGTAGTCGTGCCTCTGTGTTGGCCCGGCGTCTGGGCAGTGGTTCCCACAGCCGGGTTATCAGAAGAATGGTGAGTGCTGAACAATAGCAGAGGAAGCTGGTGTGGGCTCTGAGCTGATAGCCTCCCAGACGGCATGTCCGGGGCCGGTGAGGGACCTGGGCACACTTCCTCCACAGTGGAACTTGTCTCCTTTGCTCTGAATCACTTTCTTCTTGGGAACAGAGTCTCAGAGTAACTCAGTTCCCACTGCTCTGGGGAGATGAGGGCTAACACCTTAAGAGCTGGTGCCTCCAGGGCTGCTTATGATCTGCTCATTTGCCCCTTGTGGTCTCAGTTGAGGACCTCCCAGAACCCAGTCAGGCAATATCCCAGTTGGCTGGAGAATTCTCCCTAATGAGGCCAGTTTGATGCATTCCCTGTGCCTAGGCTCACTCTTATTTTAAAAATTCTACTTGAAATACTCTTTTAGCACTTAATGCAATAATAGTAGTGAATATTTACTGCCGGGGCAAGCTAAATGCTTTACATATGTGAGTGAATTTAATTTTCACAATAGTTCTATGAGGTAAGAACTATTATCAATTTACAGATGAGAAAACTGAGTAATGTGGTGTGACTACCTCTAAGTCACACAAAAAGTTGCTCGGTTGAATTCAAATCCAGGTCCATCGTACCCTTGAACCCATGCTCTTAATCTCTGTTCTATACAGCCACACACTAGACTCAAAGTTGTGAATAAGACTTGGAGCTTCTATTGTATAACAGGACAGGAGGACAAAGAAGAGTTAATTCCATGTGTGAAACATGAGTGAAAGAGAATGCAAGATTTACAGCACTGACAGCAGAGAGCTAACCTAGGCTGGCCAGATGGTTCACCTGTATTTGTGAAACCACATGCTAGAATATTTTGTTGAACACAAGTCTAACTAAGAAATCATTCTCTTTAAAAAAATTCATAAACTTGCTTACTCAATATCTTGTCTGAATCTTTGCTGTTAAGGTGTGGCAGGCATTTCAGTGATTCAAAGCCTAACATTAGTTGGGGCTGGTGTGTGTAGGAACCAGGTGAGGCAGAAATGCATGTCAATTCAGTGTGGAAAACAGCGATTCTCCTGAAAATCGTTTACTTCATCTTGCCCAACAATCTTGGAATTCCATCTCGGCAAGGAGAGTGGGAGATTGTTTTCTCCCCAAAACATTTTTTTAGCACATATTTGAAGATTCTAAACGTGACCAGTGATCTACTGGGATTTTGAGAGGAAAAAGAGTCCCCCCAGAATACTGGCACAAACATGTCCATTCATCCAGTTTCATTCCCAAAGCATTTTTACTTCCCAAGTCTTAATGTGGAAGTTTGAAAGCCAGAGAGAGTAGAGTGTTGGCCTCCTAGAATAGAAATTTAATTTCAAAAAACTACATGACTATTCATATTTCAGTCTGTCTCCATGAAAGTTAAACATTATATTTTCATTCTAATTACACTGGTAAATAAAGCATTTTTTCCCTAATCTGTTCCTCCTTCAAAGATGGCAGAGGATAGCGTAAAAATATATTCCAACTGATGGTGATCCTTCAAGGCAGAAACGTGGATTTGGAGTTTTATAAAGTGTTTATTAAGAGAATCGTAAATGTCAAAGACTTCATCTGAAGCTTAAAATCACCAGCAAAAATTTTGAAAAATTTCATCCAAGCTTTGTGCTGCCTGGCAATATTCTCTCACCGTTTTGATTCATTTCAACACACGTTTATTGAGCCCCTACTTTATAGTGCAGTCGGAGAAAGAGCTTTAACTTGGGGTCCAAAAGTTTGGGTTCTAAACTCATTTGTTGGATGACTGACCTTGAGTAAATTCTTTAACCTTTCTGTTCATCAGTGTCTTCATCTGTCAAATAAAGATTGTACGTACTTGATAAGGTCATTTAGAGGATCAACAATATGATTTCGGGGGGCCTGATAAATGACTTTCCCATTCTTTGCCTAAGTTAGAAAAAATGAGAGAGATAGACACAGGAGCCAGTCAGAAAAAAGTCAGTATATCACCTTGATTACTGCTGGGACTGTTTGAAGGCTTGGCGTAGGGTGTGCAGCAACAGTGGGCTTCTCTTCCCAGTTACTCAGCAATGCTGGACATGGTCATGCCCCTGTCAAATGTTGAGCCTGGAGGAGCAGGCTAAAGGCTCCCTGTTTCCTCTAGGCAGGCAGCTCCCTAGGAGGAAGGGGAGAAAAGGATGAGCTACTTATGCCCACAGAGCTGTGTGACTTTGGTGGGTCATAGGCACTGTTGGTTTCATGGGCTCATTCTTCCATGAAAAATATTAAAAATTATATGTGCATTGGCATAAAGATAAATATATTAATATTATATGTTAAAACATTTTGCTTGACCTAAAATTTTATTTTTTCTACTGATTTCAAAAGAAATTGAATGCTTTTGTGTGTGTGCGGGCCTTTAAAAGTATTGTGGACTCTAGCTACTGTTCTTCATGGGTAAGTCGGCCCTGCATGCTTAGTCCTTGTACCCAGGTTTCCAAACTAGATAATCCCCTCCTTCTTTCTTGGGGAGTATTGATTGAGGCCTAAATGGAGGGACTAAGTGTTAATTCAGATGGAGATGTGAATTCAGGGATATGCTGCTGCCCATAACCCCATACAAGTAAAATGCCGCAAAAGAATGTGCAATGCAGCCTAGACTAACACCAAGTTGAGTCAGACATTCTCTCTGTCTACAAGAACTAATTACAACACAAAGTACAGGGGAATCAGTGCAAAACTGAAGAACAAGTCACATGCTGAGGAAGTTCCTCAGTTCCTTGAGGACATGATATTTGAGCTTGGCCTTGAAAGATAAAAGATGTTTGCTAGATAGGGAATAGATCAAGGTAGGATGGAATGGAGTGGAGAGATCATTCCAGATTGTGAGAATGGCTAAGGACACTGTTAGTCTGTTTGCATTGCTCTAAAGGAATATGTGATGCTGGGTAATTTATAAAGAAAAGAGGTTTGTTTGGCTCACAGTTCTGCAGGTTGGACATGAAGCATAGTGCTGGCATCTACTTCTGGTGAGAGCCTCAGGCAACTGACAACCATGGTGGAAGGCAAAGTGGAACCTGTGTGTTACATGGCAAGAGAGAAAGAGCAAAAGAGAGAGGAGGAAGTTCCAGGCTCTTTTTCTTTTCTCAGATGGAGTCTCACTCTGTCCCCTAGGCTGGAGTGCAATGGCATGATCTCAGCTTACTGCAACCTCTGCCTCCTGGGTTCAAGCAATTTTCCTGCCTCAGCCTCCTGAGTAGCTGAGATTACAGGCATGTGCCACCATGCCTGGCTAATTTTTGTATTTTTAGTAGGACCGGGGTTTCACCATGTTGGTCCAGCTAGTCTCGAACTCCTGACCTCGTGACCCACCCACCTCGGCCTCCCAAAATGCTGGGATTACAGGTGTGAGCCACTGTGTCTGGCCCATTCCAGGCTCTTTTAAAGAGCCGGATCTCATTTGAACTCATAAAGTGAGAACTCACTCAATACCACAAGGATGGCACCAAGCCATTCATGAGGGATTCAACCCCATGATTTAAACACCTCCCAACCAGGCCCCACCTCTGACATTAGGAATTACATTTCAACATGAGATTTAGAGGGGCCAAACATCCAAACTATATCAGATATGGATTCACTAGAACACATGGGGCATTCTGGAAGTTGATGAATTCAACAAGCATGCACTTACTTTATTCTTCTGGCTCCAGGGACACCCTGTTCTATGCATTGTTGTTTTGTAACAGTGAGTGAGAGTGTAAGGAAAGTTATCATTTATTCAGTAGCCCCTATGTTCCAGGTGTTTTACAGACATTCCTCATTTAATCTTCACTTCAATCATTTGAGGTAGATACCATTATGCCCACTTTTTCAGACAAGGAAGTTGAGACCCTGAAAGGACCCAGAGCCTACTAGCATCAGCAGAAGCCAGAACACAGAGCTCTTGATTGCAAACCCAGGGTCCGGTTCTCCAACTCCTTGGAGATTTCAGAGGGTTTCTCCGAGAGCCCTACAAAGAGGAGTTCTTACAATTATATTTTAAGTAGAATGTTTTTCCAGAGCTTCATTTCTGGCATTCCACTATCCAGACTCTCAACTCCTGGGAGGCTTTTCCTCTCCTCACCTGCTCATCTCTCTGCTAAGGACCCGCATCTGTTGGTGGTGCCGCTTTCCTGACCTCCCATGCAGAAACCAGGTCTCTGCTTTTCGGGGGTCTCTGCTTATGATTCCCCAAGAGGGGTTTCTTCCAGGCACTCAACCTGTCGGCCTGTCCCAAGACCATGTTGGGCTTGTAGGAGCTCACATACAGTGGCCGCGTGGCTAACGTTTAGTAAGCACTTGCTATGTGCCAGGCACTGTGCTTAAGACTTTACCCTTTCAACACTCCTCTGACACTACTAACAATTATTAATAACTATTAAATTGTTAATTTAATAATTAGGCATTATTAAAATCTTACAGACGAGACCGAGGCACAGACAGGTCATGTAATGCTTTCAAAGTGACACAGCTGGAGGTGCTGGAGGCAGGATTTAATTCTGGCAGCCTGACTCCAAACTTTCATTGTGAATCATGATGGAGTGCAACCTCTTGTAGTAGAGTTTCACATCAGGTTTTCACTATTTGTGAGAAATTGGCCTCTCTGCTTTTCTTCATTTTATTTCATTCTCAAACTTTTATAGGACTTGGAATCTTTTCTTTGTTGTCTTTCAAGTTATACTTTGATAGGCATTTTTTTTTCTCTCAGAATTTTGTCATTTGGTTGTATCCTGTTCAGGAACTATTTGTTCTCCTATGTTTCTGTTGCACTCAGTCCTTTGTTATATCTTTTCTGTTGTCTTTTTGCTCCTTGCTTTTTTTCTTTTTGAGACAGGGTCTCACTCTTGCCCAGGCTGGAGTGCATTAGTGCAATCTCGGTTCACTGCAACCTCCACCTCCGGGGCTCAAGCAATCCTCTCACCTTAGCCTCCTGAGTAGCTGGGACCACAGGCACATGCCACCATGCTCAGCTATTTTTTTTTAATTTTACTTTTGGTAGAGGTGGGGTTTCACCATGTTGCCCAGGCTAATCTCGAACTCCTGGACTCAAGCAATCTGCCTGCCTCAGCCTCCCAAAGTACTGGGATTATAGGTGTGAGCCACCACACCCGGCCTCCTTGCTTTGTTTCATCTTCTCCTTGCAATAACCAAGAGGGTTAGGATGGAAACTAGAATGTAGAATTCCTGGGTCAGAAGACACCTCGGGAGTCCTCTCTTTCCCTTCTAGCAAGACCAAGCCCTGAGAGAGCATCTGTGGGTTTTATCTCTTAGCATCCATTCCCCTTCTTCATCAACATCAACATTTTGTCTTAGGGAGCCTATCCTTTCCATTTTGATATTAGAGCAAACATGGTGGCAACCACACTGCCTCACGTTGAATGACAGCTAACATTCTCTGTCTCAGTTTCTTAGCTATAATAGTAGCTATCTCATAGGGTGTCTGTGAGAAGAAAATACATGCAGATGTGGTGCTTAGAACAGTGGCTGGTAGAGAATAAACACCATAAATATTAGCGATTTTTATTGTCGATCTTTCCCAAGGCTAGGCCAAGGGAATGTTCTTTCCCTGGAACTTGAATCTTAAGCAGAATGGCAAAAAGACAGAAATCCATTAGAGCTGATTTATTTGGGTAATTGTGCCCTAAAGAAACGGTTAATCAGTTCCTGCTCCCTGGATCCTAGGGCAGTCCTTGTTTCTGGTCCTTCTTGAATTTGAATCTTCAGCTGTTTATTTTTTCTGCACCCCACTTCCAACAAATGCCCCTTTTTTTGCCTCTTCCTCCTCCTCACTTTCCTCTTCACCTTTCTTCTCCTTTTTTTTCCTGTCCTCCTCCCTCAACCCCATCTTCTCTTCTTCCTCTTCCTTCTTTTTATTTTTTAGCTTAAAGTTGTTACATTTGGTTTCTGATGCTTGCTGCCAAAGAACTTTTACCGAGTCAGCATCCCTTGAAAATGGCCCCTCAGCCTTGGTTTAAATATCTTCATAAAACAGCAACCCCCTTTTAATTGGTAAACTCTTATTCTTAGAAAGTACTTCCTCACATTAGGCCAAAAAAATCTTTATAGGACTCTGACGCCAGAACGTTTGGATTTGGAGCCTGGCTCAATTGTTTACTTGCTACGTGGCTTGGACACGTTGTTTAACCTCTGTGCCTTGGTTTCCTCATCTGTAAAACAGAGGATAATAATAGTAACCACTTCATGGTATTGTTGTGAGGATTACATGTCATAACATTTGTAAAGAACAGTGCCTGATAAGAGTAAGTTAATGTGAGCCCTCTTCCTCCCCGTCCTCACTCAGATCCCAGTTCCATCCTTCTGAGCTGCCCAGAATAAGTCAAATCTTCCTTTTCATGCCAACTTTTTGAAAACCGAGATGCCATATTCATATCCCTCTTTCCCCCAGGCTCGATATGCCCTGCTTCCCCCTGACCCATCTGGAGACCTCTTCCCTGTGAGGCCAAGCCCTTCTTGGAAAGATCCAAACCTGTCTTCAACTTTCCTGCCTCTTTAGTTTACTAAAAGTGAAATACAAACAAGCATTTTATAAGGCTTTGTGTTAAAGTTTACCCAACTCACCCAGCCCTAGACACTCCAGACTCTTGGAGCCTATCCCACTGCCCAGGCCTGAGGGTAGAGCCTGGGGTCTGGAGGATGGCACAGGAAGGCATACGGGCAGAATGCAGGGGGCAAACCATTTCCCCTTCCCCTGGCCCGTTCCATCCAGGGTTGTGCAGAAGCTGACCAGACACATTTCCTGCACTTGGCTTGTCCTGCCCCAGACCTATGGCATGACTCTGTGCTAAGCTGTGTCTGGTTGTTGACATGCCAGTGACAAGGCTGAATAATTTCCACTCATAGGAAGAGGCTTCACTGCATGGAGAGCAAGAGTCTAGTTGATAATAACATCACTTGCCTGGCACATTGCAGCTTGGAACACATTTGTTCATCACAATATTTTAATGAATTTGTCACAGTCAGAAAGCCTTTTTACAAAAAGGGGCACCCTTTTTATACATGAGAACATTAAGGCTTGGAGACATTAAGGGACTTGCCCAGAATCACACAGCCACCAAGTGACGCAACTTCCATTGGAGTTGAGTTCAGTGTTTTTTGTGATGTGCTTGTTCTGAAGCCTTCTGCTGCTGTTTGATTATTCCTGTGACTATATCGGTTTGCCCTTGAGGCCGCAGGGCCTCCAGTGGCCCCCTTCTCAATGGTCACCACAGACACTTAAAAGCAGGTGCCCTGAGAGCCCTTGGACTTATAGACTTTCTGCTTATAAGTAGGGGAACTTTTGGATGAAGAGCCACAGCTTAATGAAAGACTCATTGTTTTGTAAGGCTGCAGGTGTGTCCTGGAGAGAAAGATAATAGACTGATAAATCGGAAGAATCATGTCTTAGGGAGAGTCAAGTTATATCTATTCATTCTAATGTTTTTGAAGCCCAAGGGAGCTTCTAACTGGGGGCTTATTCTTAACAGATTCTTGCAGAGACTTTAAGGAAATCTCTTCACCTTTCTTCCCCTTTTTGTTCCTGTCCTCCTCATCCCTCTCTTCACTTCTTTCTCTTCCTTTTCTTTTTCAGCTTAAAGTAGTTACAGTTGTTTTCTGATGCTTGCTGCCAAAGAACGTTTACTGAGTCAGCATCCCTTGAAAATGGCCCCTCAGCCTTGGTTTAAAAATCTCCATAAAACAGCATTCCCTTTTTTTGCTGGTCTCCATTTGGATTTTCTTGAATTCAGGGCTCCCAGGTGAAAGAATGGTCCAAGATTCTGAGGTGGAACACTGGTAGAGTGCCCTGCCATGCTCTGCCTTTGAGCAACTATGCATCCTTCACTTTCCAAGTCAGTAGGAGTAAAGTTACCCAGCCCTGGGCTCTACCTGCAATGCTGAAGAGACTAAAAGCAAGAAACAAGTGGCCAGAGAAATGATTTTACTTAGCACTGGGTGTGATCCAGGACACGCATACTGAGGAACCATCCTGGAAATCCCTGAAAACCGTAGGAGGATTCAGACTCATCCCCTTACTTGGCTCCCTGCTGCCTGCAGAACAAATTAATGTGGTTTACAAAGTTCTTAACAATCTGGCCCCAAACTCAGGATTCTTTGGAAACCAAACTCCCCCATCCTTTTTGGTCCAGCTGTGTAGAATTGAGTTAGGCAGAACTTGACTCTGGACCAGATCAAAGACTGGCTAAAACAGGGAAGAGGCACGGGAAGCACTGCTCCATAAGACATGTCCACCAGTGCCTTAATAGTTTACCATTGCCATGGCGATACCCAGAAGTTACTGCCTCTTTCCATGGCAATGACCCAGAAGTTTCACCCCCTTTCTAAAAATCTCTTAAATAACCTGCCCCTTAATTTGTATGTAATTAAAAGTGAGTGTAAATATGACTGTAGAACTGCCCTGAGCTCCTGCTGTCAGCGCACTGCCTGTGGGGTAGCCCCGTTCTGCAGGAGCCGTCACAGAGCTGTAACACTGCCACCTCCATAAAGCTATTTTCTTCTACCACTGGCTCACTCTTGAATTCTTTCTGGAGCAAAACCAAAAACCTTCCTGAGCTAAGGCCCCAGATTTGGGGCTCACCTCTCCTGCAAAAGAACTACTCTGTAGTCTTCCAAAATGCCATTGCCCATCTGTCCCATGGTGCCTGGGATGTACTTCTCCCACTTCCAGTTCTCTGTCTGAAACTTCTACTTATTTTGCAAGACATATCACAAATGTCGTCTCCTATGCGGAGCCTTTCCTGGCACTTTCATTCCTTTCTCAGTTCCCACAGCATTCTGATCGTAGCTCTATTGTAGCACTTCTCACATAGTCATATAATTTATTTTGTGGTTAAGTGCACAGATGTTGAAACTAGACTGCCTGGATTCAAATCCCAGATCTACCACTGACCAGCTTGGATAAGGTTTCTGTTCTTGATTTTTTACCTATGTTAAATATGGATACTAATTCTTATCTCCAAGAGTTTTGTAAGGGTTAAATGAGCAAACTCTGCTAAGCACTTAGACCACTGCCTGGCATTCTCTGTTAGCTCTCTATTATCTGTTTGCAGCCACCTGTCATGGTCCCTGCCTATTCAGGTCCACTGGAGCATCAACAATCATGTTTAGGCTGCTTGCAGGCCCACAGTTCATAAACCAGACCTGGAGGTAAATGGGAACTCCCTACACCCCCTTGTATGGAGGGTGAATAGATGCAGATGTCCATGGTTCCTAGTTTCTGGTTTCCATTCTATACTCTCCTGCGATCAGAGCTCCACCTCAATCCCTTTTACAGGCCATGTCAGCATGCATTGCCTAGCTCCCTCAATCCAGATAGATTCCTGGAAATCGCAGTATTATCATAGACTTGATGGTCTAAAACAAGGCAGCATTTTTATTCCAACTAGGTCTCCAGCTAGTCTTGTGGGATTCTAAGTTGGTGACATCACTCAGCTCTCAGAGGGGTCAGGGAGCATTGATATTTATAAAACCCCTAGGTTTTGATTTCTTAATTCAGATGCCATGTCTGAATCACTAGTATATCTAGTTCCTAGCACAGTCCCAAACTCAGTGGGTTTTTAAAATCAGTGGATACATGAATAAATGAATAAATAAATGGATCAGCTGTAAGTGGGCCATCCATTAACTTTGACACCCTCTGTGCATTCCCACAGTGTAGTGGTCAGTGTGTTTGACTCCAGCTGGGGTTTCTGTTACTGATGGCTGGTAGCATCCTAATTGAAACACACCTCCAAGTGTTGCTCATTTGTATTTTCCTTATTTGGAATACCCTTAAGTTTTCAATACCGCAGCACCATCTGGAATAAAAAATGGCCTAAGAATATCTCTCATGCTCCCCAGAGTGCTGTATAGGTAAAGAAAGGGAGGAGCTACAAGTGTAAATACAGTTGGGCACTTAAGACAAATTTCAACTTCTTCCAAGCTTTGGCTTGGTATGGAGATAACCAATTACTTAGAATCATAGAGATATTAAAATTTAAAAGTAGAAGGCACAGTTGATGTAGCTTAACCCAAGGGCACTCAATTCTTTAAGTGTTAGAGATAGGACCTGAGACCTGATTCCTGCATTTCCCTGGTCCCTCTCTGCCTCATCAGCTTTTGTCAGTTACACACGTCCTTCCCACCACAGGCAGAGCTGGTACTTCAATCCCAGGGTTGTGTGTGAATTCACAGAAACCAGAGCAGGATTGGAGGCATGAGGCACAGCTGGCTGTTCTGGGGTAACAGGCTTGTGGTGGTGGTGAGCTTTTGCAAAGTTTGGTTTAGCCCTTCAGGATTTGAACCTTTACCCCATTTACCCATAGAAATCTTCTCCCAAGATTCATGAGGGGTTTTCTCCGAACCTGTCAAGATTATTCTTATCTGCCCTAGTGTTTCACCACTCGCTCAGCACACTTCCTTTTGCGTCTTATGTGTATGGTAGAGAAGGGGTTGGTTGAATGGAGGAAGCTAGTATTTTTTGTTTTGTTTTGAATTGTTTTGTTCAGAAATTCTGCTTTTTCCCATGAGCTGTTTGCAAGGCTTTGAAAGGACAGCTCAGAATTACATGGAGTAACTTATTTGGGGCAGAGAAAGAAATGGGTTAACAGCAAGTTGCTTTGTCTTAGAAATTAAAAGGGCACCACTTACATTCAATATGGTGATATTTATATTCACCCAAAATTGAAGTGCTCAATAATAGGGCATTAAATGAATTTTGGTAAATCCAAGAGCAGGAAACTGTGTAACCCAGGTACTTAGCAAAGGGTGGAGGTGATATATATACCCTGACATTAGTCTAAAGAGTACTGCACAGATACTAGTCCTTGATAATTCTAGTGCAGTGGTAACATCCTTATGGAAAGAAAAGATACAAACACATTACATTGCCTTTGGGTGCCATTCTCTTTGACTACACTCCTGATAATCATTAAAAAGGTGAAGAAGATGTATTTCTATTGACATAGAAAACGTCTCTGACACATCGTTAAGTGAAAAAAAGCAGATTACCAAAAAGTGTTCATAATACAATTCCAATTTTTTAAAAACATTTATAAGTACAAAAATGTGGTAGAAAGCTATCAGTATTTTAATAGTACTTATATGTGATTTTATCTCATGTTTAGACTCTTCTATATTACCTACATTTTTACAATAATACGCTATTACTTTTTCTAATTAGGAAAAGACTGGAACAGTTTGAAAAATATAAAGCTTTCTTTCTGTGGTTGGTCTCGGATATTAGTTTATGAAAGGGACAATGCTGAGTGGGTCAGTCCTTGCATTAATAAAGTTAGGTGATCAATAAATATTATTTCCCTTCCCCATGAAGACAGGGAGACAGGAAGACGCCATCCTCATTGCAGGGATGGAGTGGAGACGCTTGAATCTGAAACTCTTCAGAGGGAGATATATTCCTGGAGTCCCCAGCCAGAACTTGGCATCATTCTCTCCCATCCAGAGACCATGTTAACTAGGTTGTTAGCTTCTCTAGTACTCTCAACACTGTAGTTGAGCAACATTATGCCTGAAATAAGCTTTTATGGGCTAGCCTGGGAAGCTAACTACTCTTTATAACATTATTTCTATGGGAAAACATGCTCCAAATTCCACACCACCAATTTACATTGAAGCTTTTAGGATGCAACTATTTTCAGTTTGGAGACCTGCTTACTTGCCCCCTCCCCTTTATTCACTAATTATTTGAAAAATCTCTATTATTTTGTAGTAGATTACAAACTGGTGAACAAGTCTTTTGGCTTATGCTTTATTTGTTAACCCAGCACACAGTCAAAGGGGTTTCAAGATCGGAGGGGTCTTAGAAATTGGCACCTAGTTACTGAATATTACTGCTCATTGATTGTCAAGCTGGCTGGAGTTGTCCAGGGATGGGGCAGTTATGCCAGGGTTCATGTCTCCCCCAGCACTCCTCCAGTCTCACTTCCCTTGTCCACACTGTTGGGAAAGGCATTAAGGAAATAATTCATTTCAGGGGCATGCACTCATTTACCTACCACATTTACAAACGTATTGCATTCAGGGACAGTTCCTGTAATCCTATAGCTCCTGTAGTATTTGGGACCATTTCAGGACCATCTAGAAATGGTGCTTAATAAATCCTTAAAAACCTTCTGAGGTGGCAGAAAGAATACTGGACTAGGCATGATGAGAGGTGCCAGTCTTGGCTAGCTGTTTGAGTTTGGGAAAGTTACGAAAGGAAGGAATAAGCATGCTTATCTCAGAAAACCTTTTTATATTTGACAGGTGAAGACTCTGAACTGAGAAGTGGCCTTATGCCTATGGAACAGATTTCAACCTGTTCAATAAGAGGCTTCTAGGTTGGGGAAGGGATAGAACATATTGGCATTTTGGTGGTTGTTTCAATTACTTTGGAGGTTGATGTGAAATAATCTTTTTTGACCTCCTATACCTAGAACAGTGACTTTTAATCTTTTTTGGGTCAAGAGTGCTTTATGAATAGATCAAGACTGTGGTCCCTCTTCCCCTAAAGCTTTGAAATGAACACAGGGGTTTCTATGCTCCATGAAGCCCACCAAAAATCTTCTAGGGGTCCAGGCAGGTAATACTGATAATCTTTGGACTAAATTTCAAATCATTAAGCTCAACAGATCCTCGTGATTTTACCAAAGATGTTTAAAAACAGCTCAAGTAGAAGTTTTGCATCTCTTCTCAGAAAACTTTAGGGTCTAGAATCATGTGTAGCTCTTGGATACAAGCTGTTCCAGGATCTAGAGAGGTCAAGAAACCATGCCTTTTCTCTAGATTTTAGTAATTTAAGCTCCAGGGACTTTCAGCTAAGTGCTCTAACAGCATCATAGGAATATCTATGATCAATAACTGGCCCATTCTACCCTCAGGGAAGTCCCCAGGTTTCCTGATTCTTTGGGAGATCTGGCTTCTGCTCCTGACCTTAGATAAATTGCTTGCCTTCTCTGGGCTTCAATGTTCTCATCTGGCCCACTTGATCTTCAGTTTCTCTTCAAGCTCCAGTGTTCTGGTATCTGTGATTCCTTGATATCTGTATGACACTGAGACAGTCCTCTAAGGAGTGATGAATTTCACAATTCCCAGCTTTGGTCTGCTCCTGTCACTGAGGAAATTCCTGTTCAAAAGGCAATTTCTACAGCACCTGTCTCAGAAGCATTTGGCTTCCTCGAGGCGTTCAGGAGACCCACAGGAAACAGATATTTTGTTGTTTTTCTTTTTGCTCTAGGAAAAAAACTCATTAAGAGCCATCTCAGACAGCAGATGTCTGTTAGGTGCACGTACATATCCAAATGAAACTTTCACCCAGAGGACCAGAAAAGGCAAGGCCAGCATCAGAGATTTAGCTGTGTCCTAAGAAACAGAAATCTCTACTCTTAGGCATCCTCCCACTTCCATGACTCACCTCCTCTCATTCCAGAAAGTCATGCACAGGAATTAATTTATAGGTACTGTCCAGAGGTCTTTAAGTAAACAGTGCTACCGGTCCTTTCAGCTACCCAGACAAGCTTGACTTCAGGCCCCAAAGAGGAAGCTAATGACTTGTAGTTACTTTGCTATTGTTTTCCGAAAACAATCTGACTTCCTTTTTGATAGCCTTGGAATTCCTTCTTTACAAATGAAGGCGCTGGAGCCAGGGAAGGGCTGAGCTGGCCAGCTCAGGAGCATAATGCTCTCAGGACAAGATCTCCTTTATAAACAAGCTGCAGAGGCTCCTTAAAGGATGGTGGGCAGACCCTGTTTGTGAATGGAGGGACTTCTGTGCTGTCTCTGCCTCCTTCCTAAGATCTCACCTCTATCCCAGAGCATATGACAATAACTAAGGTGTTTGGTGTCCAAAGAACAAATTTGTGAAGACCATCTTATTATGACCATTCTTAATTCTTATTATGACAACAAAGTTGAGGCTTATTGACTTGCCTGAGATCACAAAACAACAAATGGACAAGGTTAAAATTCCATCTCAGATCTCCTGACTCCAAGTTCACCTCTCTCAAAGAGGCTATGAAGATGCAAAGAGAAGGCATCTGTCTAAAGCTGGCGGGCTTTGGTCTATCCCCCGAGAAGGGAATTTGGTCTATCCCCTGAGAAGGGAATCTTCATGTTAGGTAAGAATCTACATTTCAAATTTACTGTATGAGTGATAAATCCCTGTCCTTTCTTCTGGTCTGGGCTGGTATTAGGGGAGCTATTTTTGCACCTTCCTTCTACCAGAGGTGCCTCTGCTAGAGGTTCTTAGTAGAGTCCCTTCCTGCCACAACAAAAGATCCCCACTGGATTTCTCTGAAGAAACTGTACCCCATTGACTTTTTCTTGACTTTTAAAAATGGTGTTTATGAGAACTTTTTTTTAAGAGAGTTAGACTTGTCTCATTTTTGCTTCTGTGAATCCCCACACTACCCCTGTCCATGACCACTGCCATGTAGAAAGAAAGCTGGCAATCCTCTAATCTCTTGTACATAGATGCACTTTAGCACTCTTTACATTGCATTCTACTTCTTGGTGCACAGGACTCTCTCCCTAGCCACCAGGAGCTTCAGGGCAGAGTTTGTGTTTCATTTATCTTTGTATGCCCAGTCCTTGCACAGAGTATGTTCTCAGTATACCTTCACTGAATTAAGGACTAATGAGTGAATGGCTCTATAGAGCAGGTGCTGTTCCTCAGACTCTGGGAGGAACAACTGTGAGGGAAGCACAGGCTTACCTGAAGAGTAGTTGCCATGTGCTCTCAGGTACAAAGGGAAGGTTATATGTGAATGGTGCCTTTGGATGTGTGCAGTGCCCAAACTGCTTGGCTGTATCTGGTGGCCTTGCTCAAAGGAGGCAATGAAGGTGGGCACAATAGTTAGAGCTATAATCATCAGAACCCATGTTTCCATTGTGAAATCTTATCTCCTTTCAGAGTACTCTCCCATTTATAATTTAATTTTTATCTTCAGCATAAATGGCATGATTCGTTGTATCTATATATCTATCTCTCTGTATATTTAGCTATGTATGTATATATAGAGAGGTATATATTGTATATTATATACAATATATATGATAGAGAATATTTAGCACTCACTACATGCCAAATATGACATATATCTCACTCAATCTTCATAGCCAACCAAAAACTACCATTGTTATACTCATTTTAAAAGCAAGAAGGATATAGAAATAGAGGGTCACATTGCTGCCAAGTGGTGGAGCCAAAATCTGAACCTGAGTACTCTTAACCACAAGGTTATTTGCCTCAAGTCCTGTCCATTCTACCTTGTGTATTCAGCCAAGTGAACATGTGACTAATCTTTGAAAAACCAGGGAAAAGTTGTAATCTCCTAAATGCCTCTAATCCTGTATAATAGCTTGACCCTAGGAGCTAACGTTGACTCTAGACACTAATTTGGGAGGAAACATAAAACCTTTGTTATTTGTATTAGTACGTTTTCATACTGCCATAGAGAACTGCCTGAGACTGAGTAATTTATAAAGGAAAGAGTTTTAATTGACTCACAGTTCAACCTGGCTAGGGAGGCCTCAGGAACTTACAATCATGGCGGAAGGTGAAGGGAAGCAAAGCACCTTCTTTGCACGGTGGCAAGAAGGAGAAGTGCTGAGCAAAGGGGGAAGAGCCCCTTATAAAACCATCAGGTCTCATGAGAACTCACTCACTATCACGAGAACAGCATGGGGAAAACTGCCCTGATGATTCAATTACCTCTACCTGGTCTCTCCCTTGACACATGGGGATTATGGGGATTATAATTCAAGATGAGATTTGGGTAGGGACACAAAGCCTAACCATATCATTATTGAATTAGGCTTTGAACATCAATGGCTAAATTATCAGGACAGGTACAGGGTATTGTACCTCACTTTTACACACAAGGAAATACCTCTATTTCAGAGTGACATGTCTGAGGGTGTCTGAGTTAACAGCATATTTGGCAGAAAGTTTCTTGATCTTGTGTCTTACGACTTTTTTTTTTTCAATAGACCACCTAATACTATATCTTGGACATGACTGAAACACCTTTCAAAATAAAAGAAAAGCAAGACCTTTTTGGTCTTGTGAGGTAGGTAGGGAGTGTGGATCAAGGATGCATAAGTTGTTAGAAGAGGAAGGAATGTATACCTGGGGTGCACTACAAACTCTAGACCTTGCTTATAATCAGACCAAAATATGAGGCTCTCAGTCTTCTTGCTTTCAGAGATTTCCCTCTGGATGTAGAGAGCAAATGCCATTCCAAGATCTCCCAGGCCAAGGTCTAATTTTTTGCTGTAGAATAAAATCCCCAGGCTGGGTGTGGTGGCTCACACCTGTGGATCATGAGGTCAGGAGTTTGAGACCAGCCTGGCCAACATGGTGAAACCCTATCTCTACTAAAAATACAAAATTTAGCTGGGCGTGGTGGCAGGCACCTGTAATCCCAGCTACTCGGGAGGCTGAGGCAGGAGAATTGCTTGAACCTGGGAGGCAGAGGTCGCAGTGAGCCAAAATCGTGCCATTGCACTCCTGCCTGGGCAAGAAAGCAAGACTCTGTCTCAAAAAAAAAAAGAAAGAAAGAAAGATTAAAATCCCCAGTCCTGGGACTCTCAGAGCTCAAGTGAAGCTGCACTCAGCTGTTGCCTTCATGCCCTGACTTCAGTGGGAGAGAATTAGGCATGGTTGGTAGTGGATTCCCTCTCCTTTTCTCCTGTCCGTGGAGGCTATTGTTCCAAGCCCACCACAAGAGTTCTTAAGCCTGGGATCCCAGAAGATTCCATTTGCCTTAAGCCTAAGAAGTATGGACATGATCTTGATCTTGTCTTTGGGATTAAAACTTGAGATATGATAAGAGTAGGCTCATAGATCTAAACACCAGGAGCAAGGAAGTCTGTGTTTCTTTTGCTTTCTGCTTCTTGGAACAGAGTGTTCTTGCCCTTTTTAGCCAGTAAAAGTCTTAAAGGGGACGGCTTATGCCTGTGGTGTCTGCATCTTAACCAGCAGAAAAGTGTGACCTCAGCCCACTAACCGTGGCTCCAATTACCCATTTATGGCCTCCAATGAGGCACGGAGGACTCACCGTTCTTGCAATTAGATGCTGACAAATAATTTGCACATGTTGTCATGTAGGCTGTAAGGGAGGTAGCCCTGGACCACAGTGTCTTGGGAAGGAAACTTGTAGAGTCAGAGATTCACTTGGTAGAGAAGACATTGGAAGGTCTCCTCATTTCCCCCCCTTGCCACTAGAGAGAAGAAAAAAAAGAAGCAATTTTCAGTATGCCAGTTTTAAAAGACTTGTGAAGAAGGTGATGGTGCTTCTTCCTGGAAATCAGTGACAGTGCTGAACCACCTTCATAATCAGGGCTGAATACAATCTCTTCTCCTAGGGTTGGAGTCCATTCTTCTTGTGCTATCTGCAGGTCTGTTTGCTCCTACCTGGAGGGCCCTGTGCCCGCCTGTCTTACCAGGCCAATAGGTTTCATGAGAATTTCTTCTACAGCCATGGGGAGAAAGTGCCTAATCTTTCGCACCAGGTGAACCTTTTCTGTACTTATTGAGTGATCTTGGGAAAGTTACTTCACTTCTCTGAGCCTGAATTTTCTTTTCCATGAAATGGAAATAATAACATACTATCTATCTCACAGTGTTGTGAGGTGAAAATACCTGGTACACTGAAGGCCTTCAATAAATGTTCCTCACAGCCATTAAAAAGAACAAAATCATGGCTATTGCAGCAACATGGATGCAGCTGGAGGCCATCGTCCTAAGCAAATTAATACGGGAACAGAAAACAAAATACCCCGTGTTCTGACTTCTAAGTGGGAGTTAAACACTGGGTACTCATGGACATAAAGATGGCAACAATAGACACTAGGGAGTAGTAGTGTCTATTGTATAGAAGGAGGAGGGAAGGAGAGAGGCAAAAGTTGAAAAACCATCAGGTACTACCCGCCCACTACCTGGGTGACAGGATCAATTGTATTCCAAACCTTAGCATCCTGCAATATGCCCAGGTAACAAACCTGCACAGGTACCCCCTGAATCAAAAATAAAAGCTGAAATTAAAATAAATAAATTTAATTTAAATATAAAAAATGTTGCTTTTTCTTCCCCTTCATTATAGCACAACAAAGAGATCACTCTGTACGAAGCTGTTTCCCAAATGATTTTTTCTCACATAATTTAGCACTTCATTATACCATCACTGACACACATACATATAGGATACTACCCTTTATACTAATTGTTTTGTCTCAATAGCTCTTTTCTACAACTAGAATGTCAGCTCCTTGTGGACAGGGAGAGCCCTTGTTTCTCACATAGAATAGGCTGGGCCCATAGGAGTAGCCAATGATTCCTGTTGAGATAAGACACTGATTATAGTGAGAAAGGCTTTATAACGTCATTTTTCTGTCTTTTTATCTCAAAGTAAAAGAATGTGAAATGTGCCTAGTACAATGCCTGGCATGTAATAAATGTTGAATAAAGTTTATTTTGCAATCCCACCTCTACAGCTTTTCCTTACAGGTATGATTTACTAATTCTTTGACTGGATTTGGGCTTCCTCTCTAAATCCCGAGTCCTCCATATTTTGTAATGCGTGGAACACAGACTTTGATACTTCTTTCTAAGACCGTTTCTTGTGTGAAATATGAGGAAGAAGGGGAGGGCATGGGAGAACCTCAGTTCCCACCCTTGGCCCTCGTCCTGTCCTTTTCTCTGGTGCATTGAATATCTGCTTACGGGGTCCTTCTTAGCTATGTGGTGATTGCCAGGTTAAGCCCCTTTAGAGAATCACCTCACATCCACAGCCCAAATGACTTTTTTTTTTTCTTTCAACTTTTGTTAGTCATTGCCTGAGCCAGGTGCGGAATAAACCACATTTGTGAAGCCCTTGCTGAAGCAACGTAGCTGTCCTGGATGCCATGATGAATGGTCCCCGGGTGGAGAGTTGTTTGACCTCATTGACTTGGGATGATCACAGTCAGAGACCTCAGCCTTCTCCCAGCCCTGAGGCGAACTTCCTGGACTTTTCTAGCAAGCCATCCAGTTTCTTCACTGCTTTAGTTCTCTGTCAGCCAAGCACGAAGGGAAAATTTACCTTGTATACCCTGCTCTCCCTCCAGGGTCATGAGTGTGTCTGTATCTGGGCAGCTCTTCCCTTCTGCACATTCAGAGGAAAACGGCATTTTCCTGTAATCTCCAGGCCTGCCCGAGATCATCTCTCCTCTGGCAGCCCAGTGATCTAGGAGTGTACATTCCACTAAACCTTTCCCACTTTCAGACTATCTCCCAGCTGAGACTTTATGGGTTCTTTAACTGGCTACCTCCTGGATGGAGATAATAAGGTGTTCCTAGGTGTCCCCTGCTCTTGTAGAGAGGCTGGGATGTAGGGGCAAAGTCACAGTGTGAAACTCATCTCTGTTTTGGAGAAGCAGGGCTTGCTATTGGTTTCACATGCTAAATTCCATCACAGGACTTTGGTACAGCCATGGCAAGTACAGGCAGGGAGGAGGTTGTGTATTGTATTGCATTGCATTGCATTGCATTGCATTGCATTGCATTGCATTGCATTGCATTGCATTGCATTGCATTGCATTGTATTGTATTGTATTGCATTGCATTGTATTGTATATTGTATTATTATTTTGCAGCCACATCTACAGTACCTCCATGTTCCCAACCATTCTATGTGCTTTTCACATACTCGTTAGTCCTCATGACAGCCCTGTGAAGTAGATAATATTCCCAATTTAGAGTTGAGGAAACTGAGATGCATAGAGGTTAACTTGCCCAATGTCACACAGCTAGTAAGTGGCGGAGCCGGGATTCAAACCCAGTCAGGCTGGCCCCAGAATCTGCTCTGATGCTGCATAAAAGTGGGGTAAACTCTGGCCAAGGAATCAAGAATCCTGCATTTCCTTTCACCAGGGCTGTTGCCTCCCTTGAAACTGGAAATTCAGCCCCTTGCTCTTTTCCCTCTTGCTGATCCTAAGCTCATTCACCCATGAAAAATATAGCCCATTAAGGAAACATCTTTGCAGAATCTTGGAATGCTTGTGACCGGTGCTTTGCGGGAAAGGCATGTTTCAGGTGATGATGTGGAGCAAAGGGACCATTCCGGCTTCCTGCCCTGCCTCTGCCACATACTACTGTATATGACATTGACAAGTGGCCTTTTCTCTGGGCCTCAGTTTCCCTGGCTGTTCCAGATGATCACTGAAATTTTCTTTAGTTCTCATAATCTGTGGGCTCTTAGTCATTGTTTTGTCTGATTTCAGTCCACTCATAGTAACCTCTGTTGTTGACACTTACCTCATTCCAACTGGGTCCACGGCTAAGTGTTTAAGTTGAGGAGTCTGGGGGAGAAGTTGGAGAATGGGAGGGTTTGAGGGAAGAGATACCCCCACAGTTTCTGAATTTGGTCACCTGTGGCATGTGATCTAACAAGAGCCAACCTTACTTTCATCAGTTCAATTCCAGTTGGGAGACCTGTTTGCTTTCACGGAAGGAGCAATAAGATAAATGTTGGCATTGGTGAAAACTTCTAATCCTGATTCTACCACTTACTTTACAAACTGGGTCGCCATAATCATGTTACTTAATTTCTGTGAACCTCAATTTCCTCAAATGTAAAATGCAGAAAAGGTCTACCTTATAGAATTGGAAAATAGAATGATTAAGATAAAAATAGGCAATATATATATATATATGAAGTCTCTAGCCCAGTGCCTGATGCGTAGAAGGTGCTCGCCTCTCTTTAGAGGAGAAGGGGAGAGAGTATGATTCTGGGAGTGAGGAATGCCCTACACTTTTGGAGCTGGGAGGTTAGCATTTCTTTCCTTTCAGGTTAGTCCTGGTGCCTATTCTGGGCGCTGGATGGTTGTGACTTGTGAGACCGTGTTTTCCTGTGCTGGCTTATGCTTAGTTCATTGGTGTGGGCATAGTGGAAATCCCAAAAAAGGCTTGTTATGTGAGTGAACACCCTCTTTTTTCTGATGACGGGAAAAGGATGGGAAGAGGGATCTCTTGGGCAGTGCCAATTTTCCTGCTGATGCTCCAGGAAAGCCATGGCCTGGGAAGTCTGAGGCGACGCAGCAGAGGGGTGGGCAGGAAGAGACTTAGGGAGGTGGTGCACCAGCGGCCCGGGGGAGAGGCAATGTGGAGGACTGCTGTGAGGACAAGGACAACAGGCAGACAGACAGGGGGAGGGCTGCAGGGAGGAGGGGGCTCTGCCTCCTTGGGGGCCAGAGAAGGGGAGCACAGTGAGCTGAGGCTACGAGGAGGTGGAGGGAAGAAGACTTTTAGAGCAAAGACTCTAAGAGCACAAAAGAGAGAGAGGGGAGGGAGGGATTCAGAGGGGAAAAGGGGTGGAGAGAGAAAGAGTAGGAAGAAGTGGGAGGAGGGAAGGCGACAGATACGATTAAAAAGAGGGTGGAAGAGGAACAACTGACAGGCTCAAGAGCAAAAAGCGTGGGCAGTTGGAGAAGAAGCAGCCAGAGTGTGAAGAAGCCCACGGAAGGAAAGTCCAGGGAGGAGGAAAAGAAGCAGGTAAGAGTAGACTTGAATTTGAACAGCTAAAGCTACAAGTGGATATGAAGTAGCCAGAGGAAGGGAGCTTGGATTCTAGGCTGGATAAAAACAAAGCTCTTTCTTTCTACCTGTGAGTTTATTCCTTACCCCTCCCGCTATTTCCTGTGATAGTGAGGTATGGATATATTAAAAAGGAAGGTTTAGCGAAGCAGCAGATAAATTACTTCCTTGATTTAGAGGGAGATGAAGAATTGCGAGTGGAGGGCCCTTGGGGTTCCAGCCTACTTTTGTGGAGTTCAGTCCTCTGGGGGCATCTTAGAAGTGGGTCACCAGTCCATTCCCAAGAACTTTTCTTAGAGGGAATTGGCCCTTTAAAAATAAAACCAACACTGTTTTACGATGCTTCTGCTAGGCATGGAATCTTTTTCAAAATGCCTTTAGCAGCATCTAGGGGAGTGTTTTGCTTTTTTTTTTTTTTTTCTCCCTAAGGCATGTTGGATGGTTTAAAAATATTCCCTGCTTAGTTTCCTGCAGAGTATCATGTCCCCGCTGTGCAGTGGCCACATGTGAGAGATCCAGGCTGCCACTTGCAGCCGGAGGAAAGAGGCATGTGAAACCAGCGAGGAAGGCCAGGAAAGCACCCACTGAAGGTCTCCTTTCCACTTGTGGTGTGAAGTAGGAGGCCATGGGGTAGAAAGATTCTGTTAGTTTCTTCCTGGACCTTTCTTCTGAGCATGCAGTGAAAGAGCCCAAACTCAGGGGCTGGGAGGCCTTGTAGCAGACACATCCCCATGCTGGGCCTCGGTTTCCTCATCTATAAAATGGGGAATTTGAAGTAGAAGGTTCCCTCTGGTTCCATTCAGCAGTAACGGTGTGTAAGGCTGTGATTCCATAGGCTCAAAGGCAACTCAGAACCACTGAAAAAGGGAGGCGCAACACAAGAATTTCTCATCCTGCTCTGTTGCTCAGTTTTTTCCTTATTCTCCCTCGCAGTATTCCATTATAATAGAGGGATTCCTTGTTCTCACTCCCCAGCAAATCACTGGGGCTGCTGTTTCTGGAAAAAGGCTCTGGTGCAAAGAGGTCCAGCTGGCTGCGTGGGGAGGCAGGGCAGTGCAAAGAGCACCGAACAGGGAGTCAGAAGACCTGGAACCAGCAAAACTGAAGGAGAGAAGAGACCAAGGGGAGCGTGTGGAGGTGCAGCGCCTCTGACTGCCTGGTGCTGTGGCTCATGGCTGGGGACACCAGCTGGTATTTAGAGGCCTTCTAACCTGACTTTTACATCAGCAGGCCAAGCAGCCTCCATCCCCTCCACCCACTGTCCCCAGAGTCACAGCCAAGCCCAGCCCAGTCCTTGATTCACTGCTCTCTAGGGACAGCTCTGAACTTTCCACCTTCCTGCCAAGTTGCCCGGCGGCAGAGCTGTTTGGAGCCTGCTCCCCTGGCTGTCCCTCCAAGCCTTTTCCTCACTCAGCACCTGCCAGTGAGGAGTCCCAATGACCACAGTCTGCAGAGCAGAGAGTACCAGGAGGGGATTCTGTGGCTTCCAACCCAACACTCTCTGAGCATCCTTCACCCACACATGTGACGTTCACAGAGCCACAGCAGTCACAGAATCAGGCTGCCCTGCTTTGTCTCTGCCTTGGAACCCCAGAGGTGTGCTTGCTGGGCTCCTGAAGCTGGTCACTGTTCTTACATCTTAACTGCCTCACTCCTGTCCCCTCTCCTAGTACTGCCTAAGGTCTGAGAACATTAGAACTGAAAGAGGTCTCTTCCATTACCAGCCTCCTTCTTTGGCAAATAAGGAGAACAAGGACTAGAGAAGGGCATGACTCGTAGGAGACGACACAGTGAGTCAGGGCTGATTGAGTTGGGAGAGCACCCTGCCCTGCTCACTCATACCGAGGGCTCTTCTAATGTCCATCCCCCGGCTGGATTTTCCTAGCCTCCATCTCTCCCTGAGTCTCCCTGATTCTTCCACTTGAGTGTCTCTACAATTCCATTTTTTGGTATTGACTCCCACCTGCCCACCTGCTCTTCATCGTCTACACTGGCTGTTCGTGGGGCACAGGCAGTGGAGGGCACTGCCACAGTGCCGCCTGGTCTCTCAGGTACTGGCTGACCCCACCTCTTAGGACAGGGGACCTGTCTATGTGGATCAATCAGGACAGGAACTGGATGACCTGCCGTTTTCAGGGACAGGGAGACCCAAGGCCAAAGCTCTGCCCCCGTCCTAGGGAAGGACTCACTTACTGGGGATTCCAGTAGCTCTCTGTGTGAATGAACTCCCATAAGCACCAACCTGGGCTCAAGGGTTGAGCTGGACAAAGGGGAGAGATGACCATTTTCCTGGAAAGCTTCAGGGTTCCTGGAAAGGAAGCTGACTTCCTTACTATTGTTGGAAGCTGCTGGCTCCTGGTGATGCCAGCTTGATGCACTTTGAGAATAAATTGTTTCTGATATATTAGTAAATAATGGGCAAGTAAAATTTAGTATTCAACAGTCCACTGAGAGTCAGGAGGTCGCAGAATGAGAGGTATTGAAAAAATCACAGAGGGACCTTAGAGTTTATCTAATTGAGGGGTAGGGCCGAAGGAAGAACCTGGGCATTTGGAGTCACATTTGGCTAGGATTTTAGCTGTGTGATCTTGGGGAAATTATTTAATGTCTCTTACACTCAGTTTCTTCATCTGCCAAAGATGCTAATAAATATCTTCCTCATAAGGTTTTATGAGGATTAAATATTTTAAATGGCTATCAAATAGAAAGGCTTCCTACGACATATAATTCCAAGGAGGTATTGCTGGTTTTTTATGACCACAGATTTTTTTTTTCTAGGACTCCTTCTGCTGTCCTCTAAGCTAGAAGTCAGAAACTCTGGACTTGTTTCTTGGCTTTGCCACTAACTTGCCATGCTATCACAACTGGGCAAGTCACAGACTCCCCAGATGTTCTAACTTAGAGATGGAAGAGCCTCTACACTTTTGTTTCACATGTGAGCAAAGTGAGGCTCAGGGAGGGGAAATATCTTGTCTAGGATCACAAAGAAACAGCTGGAACCAGAAAAGAGCCTCTCTTCATGAAATGATAACATTGCATTTTCACAGGGGATTTCCCGAATCTTACTCCAACCTGGCAACTCCATGATTCAGAACCTCAGGAGAGGACAGAGGTGGCTAGGGATCAAGATGTCCCTTACCCTCAGATCACAGAGTAGACAACCCCCTCTTTCTCTTCCAAGTAGAACTGAGCCTGCTTCAAACCTCTCATTGTGAGTGTGCCTTCTGCTTGGTGATCAGATTCAAAAGTGCTGCAGCTTCTCAGAAGAGAGGCATCCCATGAGGCATACATTTTATAATATGGAGCCATGTGGAGTCCAACTCCAGGCCCAAAATCTTGAGTTAAGGACACATTAGGAGGCATGCTGGACTTGAAACAGGAATGAGAGTGGCTTAATTTGATTGGGCCCTACACCTCCCTGATTCTCCAGACTTGACCCAGGAGGTCTGGATGCCTTGTGAGATAACTAATTTGTAGACAAATTCCTATACTTTCCATTGTCTGTGTTTTTCCCATCTCTGACAGTTACCCTCTTTTACCTGTGCCACATGAGGGTCCTTGCTGTGTCACTAACCAGCCTGAAGCACTATCAGATTCTGCATCAAGTTGGCTAGTTGGATCATGTCTGAGAGGAGTTTTTACTGGAAATGTCAGAAAAGAAAACAAGGAACTAATATCATTGAGTGCCTATATGCCAGATACTGTTCTAGGTGACTCCACATGTCCACACATTACGTTATCCCCATGAATAAACATTCCTATTTGTTAGATGAGTTAGAAATTGGGAGGATAAGTGACTTGCCTAGGGTTACACTACTAGAGAGTGATGCAAGCAGGGTCCTAGCCCTACTAGTCCTTAGAGACCGGAAGTTCCTCCGCCTAATAATTGCTGTTTCTGTTGTTCTTGTTATGATTTCACATCAATGGAACACCAGAGCCTGCTGTTTGGCCAGCCAAGAACCGGGCAGTAGACACTGCTGCAGCCAAGAACACTTGCTGGCTAAAAAAGGAAATAACTTTCTATATGTGAATTCTGGCCAAATGATGGCAGAGGCCGAAGAGTCTGGGAATCCTGACCACTGTGGGCTGAGGGCCCCAATGTAATAATTAATTCTAGGAACAGCATATGTAAGGGATGGCCAGCCAGTAAGGCAGAAGCTAAAAGGAAAAACGCTGGGTCTCTTCTGAGGCAAGGTAAAGTGGGAAAAATAGATGATGATAACTCTGAGAGTTAAGAGACTGGAGTTCTGGGCACGGGCTTATCATCATCTATCAGTCCTAGTCCTTGGTTTTCTTTCTCTTGTCAGAGATGTAGAGAGGATGTGGGCTTTAGAGTTAGGCTAGCTGGATTCAAACCCTTTATGCAGCATTTGCCAGTTGTGGCACTTAGTACAAGTACTTAGCCTCTGAGCCTCAGTTTTTTCATCAGTGAAATGGGGCAATACTACTTTCCTTGCAGTGTTAATGGGAGGGTTAGAAAGTATAGTTATAAAGGGCTTCACACATGGGAAATACTCAAGTTAGTGTTGTTATCACTCTTACTTTACTTCCTTGGACCCTTGTCATCTTGTTTAAAAATAAGGAGTTGAGTTTGATTGATCTCTACATTCCGTTCAGCTCTACTGCACTATAAATCTATGACAAATGGGGAAAATAATAAAGAAATGTGGGTATTATAATTTTCATTAGTAATTAATTGCATGGGTACTAAGTTACCCCCTTGGAGCAATTAATAAGGACCTACCAATATTTTGTTGACATTTAATATCTCCATTTACTACTCCCTTTCTTTCACTTTTCATATTTTTTCTTCCAACAGTTTAAGAAAATTATTTATCCTAGCACGAATCTCTTTCTGCACTTTACTCCCTTCTACTTCCTTGGCTTTGAAACAACTGTCTGCCAGCAGGGTGTCTCTGAGTGGACCCATCTGTTCTTGCCAGAATAAAATAATTAAATTTAAAAAGGAATTAATTATCTGCCATTGGTGCCACTGGCCAGAGTAAGAGGAAGACTGAAGTGAGTACTTCATCTCACTCATCTCTTCTCCTCTCTTATCTCTATCTTCCTTTCCCCTCTACAATGAACAAGGTTCAGGGATGCTGGCCCTCAGTGGACTTCTAATTCTGAGGAAGGTGCCCACACTGCCCAGCTCAGTAGCTACAGTTACATCACATGCCTGATCATTTCTCCTGAGGCTGAAGTAGTTACCCCAAATGTAAATCAGGAAAAGAATGAAAATCCTAAATGTAAGAATTAGCACCAGTCACCTACAATCAACTCCCTATCCGAACAATGATCTCAATGAACATTCCTGCTTCAATCATCTTATATAAAAGTGGCCAGCCTTTGACTGGTTAGGATTTTCCAAAGAAGGAACTTCAAGTGATTTAGATAGAGTTTAGCACAGTTGTCAAGGCAGGGACACTGCTGTCAGATGAGCTGGGAGCTCTTACTAGCAGTGTGATCTTGCTCAAGTTACCCTCTCTGAGCCCTGTAACAAAAGATGAGAGGCCAGCCATGGTGGCTCATGCCTGTAATCCCAGCACTTTGGGAGGCCGAAGTGGGTAGATCGTCTGAGCCCAAGAGTTTGAGACCAGCCTGGGCAACAGGACAAAACCCCATCTCTAAAAAAAAAAAAAAAAATAACAAAAATTAGCTGGGTATGGTGGTGCATGCCTGTGGTCCTGGCTACTTGGGAGGCTGAGGTGGGAGGATCACCTGAGTTCAGGAGGTCAAGGTTCCAGTGAGCTGTGATTGTGTCACTGCACTCCAGCCTGGGTGACAAAGTGAGACCCTGTCTCAAGAAAAAAAAAAAAAGAATAGTCCCCACTTCCTCAGGCTGTTGTGAGAATCAAATGAAAACAGATATGGAAAGACACTTATAGAGTGTCTGGCACATAGAAAGGTGTCAGTGAGTGTTATTTTATTTCCATTATTATTATTATCACCTAGATCCAAATTCTTTTTTTGTGTGTGTAACTGGGTAAACTAGAAGACGTAGTTGGGAATATCAAAGGATAACAAAGATTACTGAAGTAGCTGAGGATCAAGACCACTTTCTCATGCAATTCTCCCTACATACCCATTTTAAGGAGAAATTATTGGGGTGAGAGGAAATCAGAAAACATGTACACAAATTAATAAGGTACAAAAGACTTCTGACATAAAGGTTATGCTTGGTGCTTTGCTTTATAAAGCTACCTTGATGTCTGACATGGCAGAGGAGCTCGATAAGCACTTTCTGAACTAAACTGCACTGATATGATACTATTTCTCAGGCAGCCTTTCAGTGAGGCCCTTTGGGTCCTTTCACAACAGAATTTTCTTAATTGGGAAGCAAATGAACTCTGCCCTGCACCACATTCCACTGTATGGTGAGTGGAATTATAGCATGGGCCCAGGGGGTTGTTATTATTACTATGAATAACAACCTTTATGGAGAACCAGAGATCTGTTAGATACTGTCCAGAACATGTGTCGTTGTCCAGAATTAGACTCAGACTCTGTGGAGTGGTCTTGTCATCTAATTTTGACAAGCTTGGATAAGTTCCCCAGTACTATGAGGGGAGGAGGCAGTGAGAGAGTAGTCCACAGTGATGGAATTTCTGCTTGAGACACATTCATTCCTGCTGAGAGAACGGCTCTGTCACAGGTAGAAGAAACACTCAGTGGCTTCCATCTCCCTGGTGTTCTGGTCACCATCGTCATTGGGCAGGTGTCCCTATGCCAGCTTCCCAGGCAGGCCCCTCCACTGACATGCAGCATGGCCCCAACGTGTTGCTTGGCCTCTGTGTGCATTCTCATCCTTTTCTTCAGCAACCGGTAAATAATTGCCTTGATCAATTTGGCATTAGGTGTTTTGAGAGACCTAAATGCTATCAATTCATCCATCGTTGTTTTTATAAAGTACATACCACACTGTGCAGGGTGTGGTATTGAGCACTAAGGGGTTTGGGGTGGAGGGAATTTCAGGAGGATAATACAATGATGAACAGAAAAGCAGTTTGTCTTCAAAGAGCTCAGGGTTGAGTGGGAGAGAGAATACATGGCCTGTAGAGCAACTAATTCTCAGGTGTGTGAGACCTCCAAGGCTTTACAGTTCAGCCCAAGGCCCAGCTGCTGACTTGGGGGACACAGAAATTATTGTAAAATACTATATTAGAAAGGCTATTATGTGTGACTCCACAGGACAGAACTGGAATCAAGAGAAAGAAGAGAATTTTCAAGGCATCCCTATGGTAGGGCCTCACTCACTAGCAATATACCTTCTTAAGCAGGAGAGACGAGGGTGCAGTCACAGCAAGTGTGCTGGGAGGTACCTGTCATCTGCAGCCTACCTAGTTGATGCTGCAGCCACTACTAAAAGACTGCTACAAGCATGGACATTACTAATTGTGCAGTCCTTTACATCCCCAACCCCATTTGGAGGCTTCAGATTAGGCCCTCAGGAGCAAATAATGGACTAAGCATGGCCTATCATGTGGGTTGAGAATGACTCCAAACTCCTAGGCATGGCTGTTAAAGCCCTCCACAATCTGCTCCTGCCTGCTATGCAGACTCTCCTTCCATGCTCTGCTCATTGTACTCTAAAACCATGCTGGTTTTCATTTCAATGAATTTGTTCATGCAGTCTTGCCTTTGTCTGAAATCCCCTCATCTCTTCTGCAACTCCTCCATCCACTCCACACCCCTACAGACATCACATACCCCTAACTCCTACACCAGAGTTATCTCCACTGGGAAGTCCTCTCGAAGGTCTAAGAATTGATGAGCTCCACTCTTGGAGGGGAGATGGAATGAAACTTTCTGGCATGCACCAGACTTGAACAGAAACTCTGGAATGAAGCCCTGGTTCTTCCCCCATTAATTGTTTATTTGAACGAATCACTTTTATATGTTTCCTCCTCTGCAAAACACAGGCAATAACAATCACCCCACAGAGTGGTTATGAGGATTCATTCATTCAACAATAAAAATTGAATGTCTATAACATTCTGAAGGTATTCGGTCTTGAACAGAACAAATATGATCCTGCTCTCTTGGAACCAACAAGAGAATGTAGAAGCACATTTTGAACAGTATGTAAGCTTTTATTTTTATTTATTTATTGTGAGGTTTTATTTTTACTGCTGACCTTAAGAAGAAAGACTTGAGCCTCCTTAGGACCTCTTTGCAATCTTACTGCTAGCCAAACATTTTCTTCAATCATTAAGAAAGCATTTATTGTGTACCAAATGAGAGAACCTAATGCAATAAGAATGCAAAGTAGAAGACAGGGCTTTTAACTTTGAGAAGCATACTACCCATTTGAGAGAAAAAGCTGTTAAATACTTGACAGAAGGAATCATGCCTGACTTTATTAATTTTTTTTTTTTTTTTTTTTGAGACGGAGTCTCACTCTGTTGCCTAGGCTGGAGTGCACTGACGTGATCTCAGCTCATTGCAACCTCCACCGCCCGGATTCAAGCAACTCTCCTGCCTCAGCCTCCTGAGTAGCTGGGATTACAGGTGCCCACCACCACACTGGGCTAATTTTTGAATTTTATTAGAGATGGGGTTTCACCATGTTGGCCAGGCTGGTCTTAAACTCCTGACCTCAGATGATCTGCCCGCCTCGGCCTTCCAAAGTGCTGGAATTACAGGCATGAGCTACCACACCCGGCCGATTTTATTAATTTAATAGACACCATTGAGTGCCCAGTGTGTGTCAGGCCTTGCACCTCTTTGGTACTGTTCTCATTACTCAGAACAGTGGTAGGCACATAAAGGGGACTCAGCAAAGTATCTGCAGGTTGGCTGATAGACAAATGTTTGGAAAACAAGTCTAAGGAAATATATAACCAAGTGTGAGGATGTATCCTCCATGCTGGATGGTAATTAAAATTGCTACCATGTACCAGATGCTCAGTCTTCTGGAGTTCAGGGGACACCAAAGAGGGCTGAGGTCAATTTTAGAAGACTTATCCATTTTGCTGTAGATTTGCGGAGTCAGAGGAAGAGGTTCTGGCTATGAGTTTATGATTAATCTGGGTTGCTCTGAAATGATTTTCTTTGAAAAACACTGGCCGTGTAGGGGGACCACGAGAAGGAGCACTGGGCCGGGCATGGTGGGTCATGCCTGTAATCCCAGCACTTTGGGAGGCCAAGGCGGGAGGATCAACTGAGGTCAGGAATTTGAGACCAGCCTGGCCAACATGGTGAAACCCCTTCTCTACTAAAAATACAAAAACTAACCAGGTGTGGTGGCACACACCTGTAATCCCAGCTACTCCAGAGGCTAAGGCAGGGAGAATTGCTTGAAACTGGGAGGCAGAGGTTGCAGTGAGCTGAGATGGTGCCACTGCACTCCAGCCTGGGTGACAAAGCGAGACTTCATCTCAAAAAAGAAAAAAAGAAGCACTGGATTCAGAATGTAGGTGCCTGAGCTTTATTTCTGGTCATTGGCCATACAGTACATGAAATAAAATCATAAAATGATTCATGCTCACTATACACAAAATCCTTCCTCTGGCCCTCTTCCTCTTATCTAAGCACCATGTTGCTATTGCCAAACAAGTTTCCTAGTGGCCCCTCCAAAATTTGCTTTATCTCAGGATAGGACAAGTTGAAAGAGGATGTTGAAGGTTTGGGAGTGAAGAACCTTTAGAGTTGGGATGGTTCTCTTCCAGGTTCTAGGGACCATCTCTTTTTGCCTTGCTGATTTCAGAACTTGTATCAGTGGCAGAGGGCTTTAGAACGCAATTCCCTAGGACTCTCCCCAAAACCCAAAAACCAGATTCAGGCTCCTGCCCCACATTCCCATGACACCTTATACTTCCTTTATGTTAACACACATTGTGTTTTACTGAAATCATGTATTTAATGTCTGCTGTTAATAAAGGGGTATAAAGGCAGTTACACTCAGTGAAGTCAGGGAATCCCTTGTTTGTTTCCCCTCCTTCCTGCTGTATCCTCATTGTCCAGAATGATGGCTGGCACCCTGTAGCCACTCAATAAACGTATTAAATGAATTTTAAAAAGGACATTCTAGGCAGAGGGAACATAAGAAGCCAAGATAAATGGGTGAGAAATGGTGAGATGCACATAAGTACATGTGAAATTGTGTAGCTTAAGTATTGAGTGTGTGAGTGGAAAAGTGGAAAAATGATAGCATAAGACTGTACAGGGTTTCACATGGCAAGTTAAGCAGTTTGGACTTTCTAAGTGGTAGGAAGCCAGTGAGGATAACTGCTAAAGCAGTGAGGTAAATTGCCATTGTGTTTGATAGCATTTATTCATGGCATGGGCAGCTTCCTTTGCCCCTCCTAATACACTTCCTGCCAAGAAGCAGATAATAATCTACAAAGTATTTTATATGCTATACGCCCAGTAAACTCACTGAGTATCTAATCTACAAATTTCTTTGGCTGAGATGGGGTATCCAAAGGGAGCCAACGTAGCTGGAAAAGTAACTACAGCCAGAGACCTTTCACATTATAAACTGAGCATCTGGTACATGGTAGCTATTTTAAGTTTCTCTGACCTTGCCTGAGCGTCAGCAGGAAGTCATACATGAAAAACCCTTCACCCTATTTCCTCTGCCTGGGCCCAGGAGGTCTGCCTCACCCCTATACCTCCTCAGATAGTTTCTCTTTTTCCCTCCCAATAAGATATCCTTCCTAATACTGCCTTTCTGGTTTTCCAAGGTGTTCCTTTCTTGTATCTGTGCTTTACCTCTTCCAGGTGGAATTCCTTGGACAGCAGTGAAGGAGTCAGCAGTCAAGCCTCTTGGCAGACTAGACCAAAGGGTCACATTCTTTGCCTGGAACTATTTTTATACTTCCTTGGGGACTTGCAAGGAATGAGTGACAGAGTGAGAAGATCAAGGGAGAAGTCTTCAGGGACTGAGTGTGGAAAACTTGCCCCAAATCCTGGAAGAATATGACATTTGTTTCTTTTTTTTTCTATTTCCATTTTCCTCTCATTTCCTCCCCTTCTACTCTTGCTCCCATTTCTTTTCTCCTTTGTAATGCACCTTTCTCTACTTTCTGCTTTCTCTTTTTCCCTCCTTCTTCTACTCTCATCCTTCCCCACTGCTCTTGTTGCTAGTAATGGCTACCTTTTATTCAGTTCTTATTTGCTGAACACTGTGTTAAGTGCTTTGCACGCATCATCTCATAGCACTCTATGAGTTAATAGTATGTCCATTTTGCAGGTGAGGAAAGTGGAACACAGATTGAATCATTTATCTAAGCCCAGCAGATGGTAATAGAAATTTGTCAAACCTCAGTAAGCTAACTCCTGCATCTGTCTTTTCTTAACCCTACATGGTCTTTTTCTCCATTTCCAACTCTCCCTTGTCCTTCCCTTTTCTTCTCTTCTTTTTATTCCTCCCCTTCTCTCCCTCCCTCTTTTTCTCAGACATTTACCATAGTTCAGTCACTGCACGTGTGTGGCTGACCCTGAAGGTGCTGAACACTGTACATGTGCCCAGAAGAGAGGACAGACAATTCAAACTCTTATCTAATCAGCCATTTTCCTTTTGAGCACATGCTCCACAATTTTCCACATTTGGAGGCTGAAAGAGGGGGCGCTTCGCCACCTAAGGAAATGGGGCAGATGTCTGATCACAAATGACAGGAAAGGCCTCAAGACCTGCATGGGTCTTTGATATAGAGAGGAGCAGAGATAAGATGCTTTCCGCTCACTCAGGAACTCCCTCATTCCCAGGGACACTGTATACTCTCAAGTTTGGGGACCTGGGGTCTGAGAGAATACAGGGCCAGGAGGTTGGTCCCTGTCAAGGCAACAATCAACTCAAGAGCTGAGGAAGCCTGGACTATGAAATGCACCACCCTGACCCCATCTTTCCCCATAAGCATGAAGAATGTTCAGACAGAAACCAGGAGCACGTTGGCAGCAAAGATATGACGGTCAAAGTTTGAATTTGACAAACCTCTAAGGACCCACCCAAATCTGAGGTTTATGATTCTAAGAAAGGAATATTTATGCTCCATTCCCTCCGAGACGTTTGTCATCCTGTTGGTTAGGAATGGTTAGAGGCTTAAACTGTAAGAACATTCGTTATTCACTAAGTAAGAATTCTGGAGGTAGGGAGCCTCAAGAGTTGCTTCAGAGGCCTCAGGGCACTGGTTGACATTTCTGAGATTCTCTGGACAGCTTTAGACATCTTGGTTCATACAACTCTGTCCACAGGCAGGAAGCGGTGGGGCTAAGTGAGGCTCACTCCTATTCACCGGGGGATGGGAGCACTGTGAGTAGTCTCCCTCCTGTTCACCAGGGGATGGGAGCACTGTGAGTGAGGTTCCCTCTTGTTCACAGGGGGATGGGAGCACTGTGAGTGAGGCTCTCTCCATTTACTGGGGGGTAGAAAAACCTTTTCTGGAGCATTCCCTCTACTTTAGATTCTCCCCATACCTCACCTACCAGAACTAACTGCAGAGGAGATTAAGAAAGTGATACCTGGCTTTTTCACCCTGCCAATGGGAGGCAGGCAAGAAACAGGGAATTGGTTTTCTATTGGGTAGGAAACAACAGTGCCTGTCAGCCCCTCCTTCATTCACTCAACTAAGATATATTAAACACCTACTCTGGGCCAGGCTCTGGTGATACAGAAGAAAAGACAGTCTCCATTTTCAAACAGTCCCTCCTGGGAGAACACAGACAGGCAGAGGATTACAACACAAGGCAGCAAGCACTGGGAGACGAGTAAGTGTCCCGGGGGCCATCACAGGAGCTGAAGAGGCTCAGCTTGAGGGAGGAGGGAGGGCTGGAGGAGGCAATGACTGGGTTAAGTTTTGAAAGGTAAATGGGATTCAGCTAGGGGTGAGGGGACATGTAGGGGTACAGAAGGAGGGCATTTGGGAAGACTTGGCATGGCTGGACAAAAGGAACTCATGTGGACAGGCAGGAACAGGCTGGAAAAGCAGACAAAGGCCAGATGAGGGAGGATTTTGTAAGGGACATAAAGTTTTGGGACATTTATTCTGGACATAAGGGTGGGCAGATCTGTGTGTGGGAACCTTATTTAAATGAGACACAGAAACTTAGCAGCAGGGCGAGCTGAGCTGTGTGGCTGGAATGGCTGTGTTGCACCGAGGCATGGGAGATCAACATTGCCTTACCAGCCAGGGGAAGTGAGCACTCATCTGTGATACTGTTAGCTGGTGTGACCAAAGCACACTTTTTGTTTGCCACCTCCCAACACAGCTGGTCCATGCTGGATGGTTCTGATTTTTGCAGAGTGCTTCCTGAGGGGCCAAATTTGCCAATCCCATCCTCACTCTTTCCTCCTCCACCTAGTTCTGCCCTCTGGAGCCATAAAAAAATTCCTTTTCCATCCAACAGCCATTTAAACATTTGGAACAGTTGTGGAATGATTTTCAGAATATCACACACCTCATATCATTTAATCCTCAGAATTCTCTGGTGTAGCTATTCCCATCCCCATTCGATAAATGAAGAAACAGACTCAGTGAGGTAAATGCCCAGAGTCACATTTGCAGACCCCAGTCTTGTGTTCTTTTTAATACTCGTGTTTCTCCAGGTGCGGTCCCTCACCGCCTGCATCAGAATTACTTGGGCTGCTTGTTGTAAATCCAGATTCCTGGGGGCCATCCCAGACCTCCTGAAGTAGAATTACTGGGGCAAGAGCAGAATCCATATTGTAACACACACCACGATTTCTAGATCCGTTAAAGTGTGGGAGCCATGCTCTAATTTTGCTAATATGGCTACTTTGAATCTTCTCTTTCTTTTTATTTTTGCTGGGAAAGGAGAGCGAGCTTTTCGTTGGTTGCTTTGACTTCTAAGTTGCATTTTCTTAAAGAACCCATTGGATGGATGGATCAGTGGAATCCCAGAACATGATAGACATTCCAGACCTTCACAGAACATCCTTCTTCTTTTCTCTCTTTCTCTCTCTCCCATTTGCAGAAGTTTTGGCATCTGTTCCCTGGCTGTGCCAAGATGGGCGATTGGAGCTTCCTGGGAAATTTCCTGGAGGAAGTACACAAGCACTCGACCGTGGTAGGCAAGGTCTGGCTCACTGTCCTCTTCATATTCCGTATGCTCGTGCTGGGCACAGCTGCTGAGTCTTCCTGGGGGGATGAGCAGGCTGATTTCCGGTGTGATACGATTCAGCCTGGCTGCCAGAATGTCTGCTACGACCAGGCTTTCCCCATCTCCCACATTCGCTACTGGGTGCTGCAGATCATCTTCGTCTCCACGCCCTCTCTGGTGTACATGGGCCACGCCATGCACACTGTGCGCATGCAGGAGAAGCGCAAGCTACGGGAGGCCGAGAGGGCCAAAGAGGTCCGGGGCTCTGGCTCTTACGAGTACCCGGTGGCAGAGAAGGCAGAACTGTCCTGCTGGGAGGAAGGGAATGGAAGGATTGCCCTCCAGGGCACTCTGCTCAACACCTATGTGTGCAGCATCCTGATCCGCACCACCATGGAGGTGGGCTTCATTGTGGGCCAGTACTTCATCTACGGAATCTTCCTGACCACCCTGCATGTCTGCCGCAGGAGTCCCTGTCCCCACCCGGTCAACTGTTACGTATCCCGGCCCACAGAGAAGAATGTCTTCATTGTCTTTATGCTGGCTGTGGCTGCACTGTCCCTCCTCCTTAGCCTGGCTGAACTCTACCACCTGGGCTGGAAGAAGATCAGACAGCGATTTGTCAAACCGCGGCAGCACATGGCTAAGTGCCAGCTTTCTGGCCCCTCTGTGGGCATAGTCCAGAGCTGCACACCACCCCCCGACTTTAATCAGTGCCTGGAGAATGGCCCTGGGGGAAAATTCTTCAATCCCTTCAGCAATAATATGGCCTCCCAACAAAACACAGACAACCTGGTCACCGAGCAAGTACGAGGTCAGGAGCAGACTCCTGGGGAAGGTTTCATCCAGGTTCGTTATGGCCAGAAGCCTGAGGTGCCCAATGGAGTCTCACCAGGTCACCGCCTTCCCCATGGCTATCATAGTGACAAGCGACGTCTTAGTAAGGCCAGCAGCAAGGCAAGGTCAGATGACCTATCAGTGTGACCCTCCTTTATGGGAGGATCAGGACCAGGTGGGAACAAAGGAGGCTCAGAGAGGAAAGACGTGTCCCTTCTGAACTGATGCTTTCTCACTGTCATCACTGCTTGGCTCCTTTGAGCCCCGGGTCTCAATGACGTTGCTCATTAATTCTAGAAACTATAACCAGGGCTCTGGGATAGTAAGAGAGGTGACAACCCACCCAGACTGCAGTTCCCTCCCCACCCTCTACCCAGTATACGAAGCCTTTCAGATTACTCATGAAACAGGGTAGAGGGAAAGAAGGGAAGCATGGCAAAAGCTGGCCTGGAAGGGATAGCCAGAGGGATAGAATGACTCTCTCTCTACATACCAGCAGCATACCAAATGCGTTCTCTAAGTTCCTACCTCCTTGACCTGATCACCCTCCCTCCTCCAAGGAAGAGCTCAAAGTTCCCAGCCAATAGACAGCATGAATCAAGGAACTTGCATTATATGTGCTCTTGAATCTGTTGTCTCCATGGACCATTCCTCGGAGTAGTGGTGAGATGGCCTTGGGTTGCCCTTGGCTTCTCCTCCCTCTACTCAGCCTTAAAAAGGGCTTCTTGGAACTTTACCAGCAGCCTCAGCTTTACAAATGCCTTGGTATGTACCTCTGGCAAATGCCCTGGTATGTACCTCTGGCAAATGCCCCACCTTGGTGATGTTGCAACCTTTCCTTCTGCTAGGGTGTACACCTAGCCTGTGCAGGTGTCAGCCCTGCTAGGGAGTCACTGTACACACAAACTCTACTGGAATTCCTGCCAACATCTGTCACCCTGCAGCTCCTTTACAGTTCAATCCAATGATAGAAACCATCCCTTCCCTTTCTCCCTTGGCTGTTCACCCAGCCATTCCCTGAAGGCCTTACCAACAGGAATATCCAAGAAGCTGTTGTCCTCTCTCGAACCCTGACCAGATCATCAGCCACTGAGGCCAGTGGAATTTCCCCAGGCCTTGTTAAAACAAAGAAAGCATTGTACTTCTCAGATTCCCCTTGTGGAAAAAAAAATTCTGCTGTGAAGATGAAAATAAAAATGGAGAGAAAACACTGGAAAACTATTTTCCCCTCCTATTTACTTCCTTTGCTGACTGCCAACTTAGTGCCAAGAGGAGGTGTGATGACAGCTATGGAGGCCCCCAGATCTCTCTCTCCTGGAGGCTTTAGCAGGGGCAAGGAAATAGTAGGGGAATCTCCAGCTCTCTTGGCAGGGCCTTTATTTAAAGAGCGCAGAGATTCCTATGTCTCCCTAGTGCCCCTAATGAGACTGCCAAGTGGGGGCTGTAGAAAAGCCTTGCCTTCCCCAGGGATTGGCCTGGTCTCTGTATTCACTGGATCCATAATGGGTTGCTGTTGTTTTGGATGAAGGTAAACGATGCTTGGAATTGGAAACTGAGACTTATAGAGGGATTATTACATTATTAAAATGCACGTGTGTGTGTGTGTGGGTGCTGATGGGATGGGTAAAGGCTTGGGGAGTCCTGAAATAAGGAAAGGAAACCACAGAGAAACTTGTGTCTTCCTGCTCTCCTCTCCGGCTGCCTGGCAGTTATTAACCTAAACAGATAGCCACAAGAGGTTGGGACAGAGGAGGGTAAAGGCTCAGAAGGAGGTTCAACCTCTGACTCACCTGCCCATCTCTGGGCCCTCTGCTGACACTTGGATGCTATTGTTGGGTGGAAAGATAAATGAGAGTGGAGAGGTGGAGGAAAGTGACTAGGATGCCATTTAGGAAGGAATGTCTGATCATCCCGGGTCCCTGGAGGGGACACCTTTTAATCTATTGCCTAGCATTAATATTTTCTCTCCTTCTATCTCTGAAATGTTTTATGAAATGAGTGTTCTTGAATTAGAAATTCTGTGGGATCAATCTTTGATGGTGAGGGTTTTAGAAAGGAAAAATATAGTAAAATGTGTAATTTGTCTTAATAAAATCTATCTCTACATCTATCTCTCTTTTGTTGTCCACTTCATACTGTGACTACAAGAGAAGGATGGCAGACTTGGTGGGGAGGGGAGCGCTTGGACTATACCCATCAGTAAGCCAGTAATGCAAAGAGCTTTGAAGTCAGGCATGCAATGGTTAAAATTCCAGTTGTTAACTTACATCTGGACTCCAGCAAGACAATCTCTGAGCCTTGGTTTCTTCATCTGTAAACTGGGCCCCATTAATATCTACCTCATGGGGCTGTTAACTGAGCTGTTAAGTACCTCATAGGGCTGTTAACTGAGTTGACTGTAAAGAGTTTAGCAGAGTGCTTGGGAAATAACAGTCATTACATGGTAATTGTTGTTATTATCTGATTATTTTTGTTATTGTTTTGAATACACAGTATTTGAAAATGGGATGTTGAGGGATGATTCCAGAACTTCCCTTTATCAAGCCCACAATCTGCCTAATGTGATCAGAGTAACTCACATTATTCTATTCTAACAATTAGAACAGAATTAAACACGAATTCATTTATCATCAATTCTAGGAACCATAGGCTCCAGGAGGTGATACATAAAAAATAAAACAAAACAGAACAAAACAAAAAACTAACAAACTACACAGAGAAGAGGGGAGACCTGACCTGGACCTAAAAATGAGAAGGCTTTAAAGAAGTATAGACCCCAAGGATGAGTCTGTGAAATAGGTGTTTGTATCACCATTTTACAGATACGTAAACTGACGCCCAGGAGAGCTCCCTGAGAGTGGGGCTGCTTCTCACTGGCTCGCTATTGATATTTCATCTATTTGGAAGAAGAGAAATAACTGTTGCTCCAAACAAAGGGTCAAGGGACCGGCCACTTAGCCTTTCACCAACAAATGGGTGTCATTTCTGAGAGAAGATTAGGAAAGACAAACAGAAGTGTAATCTTAACTACCAATCAGTCTTGTTTATCAGGGCAGGAAAGCTTTTTAAAAAAGGTCTTGCAAAGAGATCATAGAACGCATATTATGACACCAATATGGAGACTTAGGAGTACACCTGGCCTCTGTCTGAGGATAAGGTGCTCCACCCAGAGATACCGCAGTAGTCTAACCAGAGAAAGCACTTGGAACCCATTTTTTTCTCCTAGAAAAAAAAAAAAACAGTCCATCTCACATGTTTATAAACATAGTCATTAACATTTAACAGTTCATTATATGCTGGACTACAAAAAGTAACTTATAGTAAGATTTCAACCTCATGTATGTCTACTCTCATTTTCTTTCTTTCTCCCTCCCTTCTAAAGCTTCATCACTAAAGAGCATAAGCTGGTTGGTAATAGAGTGAACACACTCAAGTTGCAGGCCTCTTTAGGCCCATTTCCTTAAATTGCTTCCTCCAGTGCCAGATAAGACCAGAATGTTTCATTCCAATGGCTCAAGTGTTTAAGTGGTTAAATGCTAATAATACTCCTATGTAAAATCATAGTATGAATGGGTTTCAGATTTTTTCCTAATAGCAAATTGCGATACCAGAGAGAAAAACAAAAGAACAAGGACGGTAGGCACCTTGCAGGCATCTTGAAGGATTGCTGTCATGATGTGGAAATCAGGAAAACAGCGAGGCTGGAGGGAGCTGCCCACGTCCCAATCCTCAGGAAGTTCTGGAAGCCCCTGCAGTTGGTCCTTGATAATAAACAGATTTTTTAAAATCCTAGATTTTTAAGTAGAATATGATTAAGGATTTTCCCTTTCACTGGTCACTTGATGATCATCAGAGATAGGTAGAGTCTATAGTTTTTTACTGTTTCAAGTGGAAAATATTGTCACTCAACAAAGAATTATTGACCAGCTATTTTCAGGTAGGCATTATGTTAGGCTTTAGGAGTATAATTTTAGAGACCAGACATGATTTCTGCCTTTTGGATCTTAGAGTTTGGTGGGGAAGGCACTCTAACACAAATAAACAAATAAAATAATTTTTTTGTGTGTATGTGTGACAGGGCCTCACTGTGTTGCCCAGGCTGGAGTGCAGCGGCGCGATCTTGGCTCACTGCAAACGCCGCCTCCTTGGTTCGAGTGATTCTTGTGCCTTAGCCTCCTGAGTAGCTGGGATTACAGGCATGCAACACCATTTTTAGTAGAGATGGAGTTTTGCCATGTTGGCAAGGCCGGTCTCGAACTCCTGGCCTCAGGTGATACACTTGCCTCAGCCTCCCAAAGTGCTAGGATTACAGGTGTGATTCACCACACCCAGGGCTAAAGAAAATAAATTGTGACAAGTGTCATGAAGGGAACAAGGGGTTAGCAAAGGTGGGCTGAGAGATTCTAGTATTCAGATAGGGTAGCGGAAAGTCTTTTCTGAGGAGGTAACATTGAAGCTGAGATGTGAAAGTTTAGAAGCCAGGCACTGATGCGCAGGGGAGGAACCCAGGTGGGTGAATCTAAATTCCTTCCAGAAAATTCCAGAATACAGCTGTCCCTTATCTCAGTTTAGTCCAACATTTTTGAAAGACAGAATTCAAGCAGTAACTAAAACAGCATGGTTTGGCGCCAACTGTAGCAAAACACACATACCTCTTTCTGCAAAAAATTCAAAGGACAGTAATCTTTTTACTCAAGGAAGCAGAAGGGGCATATGTAAAAGATCTGAATTAAAACAAGAAAATATATGTTAAGTTCTAAAAGCCCTATTTTTTTTTCATGATCAGGAAGACTGTCAGAATCCACCAGTATCAATTCTGATAACACACTTTGGGCCTTCTAAACTAGGCCTATTCTGTGGGGTAGGGCTGGAGAGGGGAGGCAGGGGTGCTCGGGGACAGAAAGGAGTACAGTCCAGGCTTGTTGGAAGAAGACTATATCCAAAGGGGCTGGGAAAGAGCCAGCAGGGCATGGCCCAGAGTAGCCTTAGCATCAGGGAAGTCAAAGCAGCAAAACATCAAGTACACAGAGAGGTGGGGAATGGGGAGGGTGGAGGAGCACATAGCAGGGAAGCCAAGCCGTGGAAGTTGTGTAAGACACCAGACAGGCAGGCAGGCACTGCTGGGGACATGTCTCAGCTGGCAGTAGGGCCCCAGACCCTGATCTGGATTTGGAGCTGGACTTCCAGACTCAGGGAAGGGAGTCTGACATGGGCAGAGCGGAACTTCACCCTAGTAGCTGGGTTACTAAGCAAGGCACTAGGACAGAGTCTTGGATAGAGTACAAGCAGGCTCTTGTACTCTTGTGGGGCCCATTATCAGAATTACAGAGCTGCAGATGAATAAACTGAGTCAAGCTCTTCATGGCAATATATATGATGTTTATAGATACAGTACCTTCAAAGCCTTAAACCAAAGGAATGACAACCATGAGACTTCTAAGCACCTCATCAAGCCGGCGGGTGGGGAGATGATTTGGGGGTTGGAGGCTAATGCTTTTCTTTATCTATCTCCACCTTCAGCTAAGGGCAGCACAGCCCCGGGGGAGGCCATCGCTTGGCAGCAAGACTCAAGCCCCCTCAGTCCCTTCAACCTGACAGAATTTTCCATTACCCTGATTCAAGGCCCTTATGGGACTGCGTGCATGTACTTGCTAACAAAGGGTTTCTCAGAGAAAGTGAGAACTAAGCAGGAACCTTTCAGGAGTGTTCATCGCCCTGGGCTCTGCAGCCTGGCCAAGGCTAAATCCCCTCCAGCAGCAGCTGCTGTTCAGCTAACGGGGCAGGATAGAAAGTTATTTTATACCTTCTTGGGACTTGTCTTTAAATGTGATAAAATATAACCTGGAGGGGATTACATTTACAAAGGTTTGAGGTAAAATTCCACATTTGAAACCATTGTAAAAGCTTGTGCAGGGTGTAGTTGGCTGGGGAAAAGTCAATTTAAAAACCCTCACATATTTTAATAGTAATAATGAAATACACCTTCAATTATTAAGTGCTTGCTGTTTTCTAGGCATTGTGCTAAGAGATTTTATGAATTGCTATTTCATCCTTACAGTAATCCTTCAAGGTTATTTGACCCCATTTTACAGATAAGGAAACAGACTTAGATTCAGTAACTTGCACAGCTACTAGGCAGTAGGATTGGGATTTAAACCTGCCTTATACTTCTCTTAAGTGCTCATCACATATTCTTAAGTAAAAAGGCAAGACACAAAATTGTATGTGTAGCATGATTACGATGTGCAAAAATAGGCATTTATGCTTGGCGTGGTACTGCGCATCTATAGTCCCAGTTATTTGGGAAGCTGAGGTGGGAGGATCACTTGAGCCCAGGAGTCCCAGGGCAGCCTGGACAACATAGCAAGACCCCTATCTCAAAAAAAAAGGCATTTATAAGAGCAAAGACTTGAGGGCAACAAACAAAAATGAAAGCAATTTGGTGGATTGGTGGGGGTGCTTTAATTCTCTTAATTTTGTAAACTATTTTAATGTAATGATGCTATTTTTGAAATTAACACACTTAAAATATATTTATATTCAACTTTTGGGCTAAATTTGGTGTTCCCCTGGGGTGGCTGCCAGGAGCTGCCTTTCAGTTTCTGCAATCCTCATGCCTGGGAAAATTTTTTTGTTTGGGCTCAGACTGTCACCCTTAAATGGGATATGGTTAGCAGGAGGTGCCCACCCCAGGGTTCTGGCAGTCAACTGTGTGACAGCGGATGGCCCACCAGCTGTGGCCTCTGGGAATGGCAGAGCACTAGAGTGAATTGGGAGGCAAGGCTTCCCCCATGAACCCTTCTTACACATCCCAGTGTGGTGACCGCCCACTGCACACCATGTCAGGGCCACGGGCAGGCACCGTTTGGGAGGATATCTGTAAGAGAGAATCCTGCCCTCAACCACTCGGGACCTTGTAGAGGAGGGGAACAATGCCATATTACCAGGGAGCAGTGCTCAGTGTGGTAAGAGGAAAAAATGTCACTGAAGGTCTTCAGAGGAACGGGAGAACCTGGGGAGGAGGAAGAGCTCAGGAAGGGCTTCATAGAGTTGGTGGCACTTGAAATTGCCTTTGAAAGAGGAATAAGATTTTCTATGTCAGAGGAGAAGACTTCCCGGTGGGAGAAAATGACACAAATTAAAACAAACAAACAAACACCAGCAACAGAACCGATAAGGAACTGATGTGTTCCAGGAGCTGGGAGGAGCCCTGAGGGAGTGAGGCCAAGAGGTGGGATGCGCAGTGGGGGATGCTGGACACTTTCACTCTGTAAGTGGTAACGACCTGTTGAGTTTCTTTGTGTGTTGGGAGTGGGATGATCAGGGCTACACTTCAGAGTTACACTTCAGAGTTGCAGCAGGTGAGACAGGGAAGACTGGTGGGGCTGGGAGAGGGGTCAGCATGAGCTAGGAACACAGGCAGTAGGACTTGGTGACTGGTCAGGTATGGGGTGGGGGATGGTGGTAGGAAGAAGTCAGGAATGACTAAGAGGCTTTAGGTCTTAGTCATTCAACAAAATTTATTCCATTCACTTATTTAACAAACGTAAGATTCAGGCCTGCTGTATGCCTCATGCAGCACCAGGACCTGGGGATTCAGAGAGGAAAACTGCGGTCAGACAATTATTATGCAGTAGAGGGATCATGGGTGTGTTAGACCCTTCTCTGCTTTACTACAGATCCTCTCCGCCTCACCTGCCTCTTCTTCCAGCTGTCTGGAAACCATATGGATCAATTTCACATGGGTGCAGCTGACTGCATCTGACTTCCCCTAGGATTTCCCTAAGGAAGCAGTGGTAGAACCCTGCTCAGTACTTTCCCCAACACATGGGCAACCTTAAAGTGTGGGCCTAATGCAACACATGGCAAACCTCTGTTCAGTGGGTTTGTCTCCACCCCTGTCCCACTCCCCTGGTGGTTCTGAGATCTGGATGATAGGGCTACTCAAGGGTGTGGTCCTGTGGATTGAGCAGCCAGTGACACTTAGCAGTGTCCTGCTTGATGACACATCTTCCTATTGAGTCTGTCTCCTTACCTGTCTTTCTCACCTCATTCCCTATTGTTGCCCCTAAGACTATACACTCTATTGATGTGTTAGCACATCAGCCTTTGCCTCAGGCCTGCTTCCTGGAGAATCCAGACTGAGCCAATGATTCCGGTTTGAAATGTAGCTTTCCTCATTCTACAATAGTATGACATTCAGACCAAGCCTGGAGCATCAAAGTTAGTAGGTATCCTTCACTGCTAGAACAAGTATATGTGTGTAGGGAAAAACATTCTGACATTTGATAGTATTCTTGCCAGCATTTATAGGGATTTTTAAAAATTCCTGTGGTTTCCTGTGTGTGAGTCTTGTCTACCTGGATAGACCTTTCCCTCCAGACCTTGTGCCTTGCAACATTTAGGACAACGTTAGGCAGGCAAGAGATGCTGGAAAACATCTGCCATGTTGAACTGAAGTTGTTCTTTCTTATTTTTCTGGATTCTACCTTGTCTTTTGCTGATTCACTTTATCTACAAACTAGTTTCCAAAAGGGCATTTTCTTCCTCTCCTTGTGCTGCCTGTGCATGGTGAAATACAGCACCAATGGAAACTTACACTGAGCATGAAAGCATGACCACTTTCCAACAGACACAACGGTTTATCCAAAGAGCTCTCCTCTCCAGACAGTGGCTCTGAAGGCCCTGCTTGGGAAATATCCAAGCTTGTTGCTACTATCATGTCCCTATGTCCTCCTATGTTTCCAAGACATCCTGCCTCCCATCCCCCACCACCACTGACAAACTGTGACAGCCCCCCAGTTTTATTTGAATTTTCTATCAGAAAGGAAATTAAAATGTGGAAAGAAACAGTTAATCAAGGACTTCCCTGTCACTAACTTGTCTGTCTTCTTCCCTGCCCCCTAAAATAGTCTCAAGATTTTAGGAAAATAAAAAATTACTACACACATACTCACACATGTTGGGGTCCCTATTTTAATATGTATAGCAGCCTTTAACCCAGTGGGTTCTGTGGGAGTGGGAGGGGGCAGCTAAAATGATGGTGGCCTTTTGCTCTGCCTCCCATGTCGGGCTCAGGCAGGAGAGCTGAGAGTGTGGAGGTGTTGAGTTCAGGACAGCCAGGGCACTTCAGCTGGTTAAAGAGAGTGAAAGGTGCCCTCTGACAGCTGGGTCTGGGAGCTGTCAAGGCATGGATAGAGCTGCTCTGTGTAGCAGCTAAGCTTTCAAAGGGAAACACCTCTGGCTTTTCAAACATGCACTTTCTGCTTCCTTTCCCTGGCACCTACTTAGACCCTGCCATTCTAAGCCCCCATGCTCATTCCTTCCAACACTTTCCATCCACCCCACTGACTTTCCCTTCCCATACAACAGAGCACTGGGTCATGGAGGTTGTGAGATATGACTCGCCCTCCCAACTATACTCTGGGACATCAGAGAGTACATCTGACGTTACTTTTCTGTTGCCCTCTGTCCCTAGCACATGAGTCACAGGATTTTATAATGGTGAGGAGCCCCTAGCAATCACATTTAACTCTTATTTTCCAGGAAACTGAGCCTGGAAGGAGCAAGAGTCCTAGAACCTCAGGGCTGAGCAGTCATCTAGCCTAACCTAATTGCTGCTATGATCTCTCCACTGCCTGCCAATGGTCTTCCACCTTCTTCTGAGCATTTCCACTGGCAAAGCAGCAGAGTGGTTAAGTGGACTCGGCCTGGTTTCATGGATCTTTGGGTCAGATCTTAGCCTTGCTACTTAACCTCTTTGAGCTTGTTTCCTCATCTGTAAAAGCATCTAACACATAGGATTACTGTGAAGATTAAATGAAGCAAGGCATGTAAAGCACTTAGTATAATAGCTTAATAAAGTGATTGCTGAATAAATATTAGATATGCTTATGCCATTTCCCAATACAGCCCAGCCTATCATTAGGTAGCTCTGTTAGAAATGTTTTAGTTTTCTTTTAGCTGAAATCTTTGCTCCTAGAATTTCCATCTTGTTTGAGTTGCCCAAAGTCACCCAGTGAGTTAGAGTTGGTGACAGAGGTGAGACCAGAACCCAGTTCATTCCACAAGGCAGGCTGTCTCTGAAATACTTGCTGCATGAATGAAATGGACTACAATTTGCCATAATAAACAGCTGTTATCATTATTCCCATTTTAGAAGCTGAGACAACAAAGTGGTTTTCCCAAGGCCTCAGAGCTAGTTAGTGATAGAATCAGTTACAATCCCATGTTTCCTTCTAGTTTGATGTTCTGTCCCATCACAGGTGCAGCTTTAATGAGATTCTCTGTGCTCCTTCTATCTTAGCAGGCCAGAGAGAAGGATGTGTAGATGAAGATAGACAGCAGCCTGCTACGAGGTCCCCTGCACATACTTTCCCATGCTACAGGACCAGGGTTAAAGGACAGGAATAGTTCTGACCTGTAAGTGTACTTGCATCAAAACTGCAAACACATTTTGCTCCCAGAGAGCCTATCTTGTAGGGATGATGGCTCAAAGTATGGGGTACTCCAGTGGAAGCATCCTGGGGAGTCAAGGACAAGATAAGTACCCTGAGCACCTGAGGGGACAGCTGGAAGATTGTTTAAAAGGGCATTTACCAATTCTATGGCACAAGGGTGGATTGAGCACAGGCTGAACCTCACACTTTCATTCCACATTATATATATGATATGGTTAGGCTTTGTGTCCCCACTCAAATCTTATCTTGAATTGTAATTCCAATAATCCCCATAAATCCCCATGTGTCAAAGGAGAGACCAGGTGGAGGTAATTGAATCATGGGGGCAGTTCCCTCATGCTGTTCTTGTGACAGTGAGTGAGTTCTCACAAGATCTGAGAGTTTTATAAGGCGCTCTTCCCCCTTTGCTCGGCACTTCTCCTTCCTGCCACCTTGTGAAGAAGGTGCCTTGCTTCCCCTTCCACCATGATTGTAAGTTTCCCGAGGCCTCCCCAGCTATGCTAAACTGTGAGTCAATTAAACCTTTCCTTTATAAATTACCCAGTCTCAGGCACTTCTTTATAGCAGTGTGAAAATGGACTAATACAATATGATAAATTGAGTATTTAAAACTCCATCCATACATAAAACGCTAGGAAGAGATGTCTTCATGGACCAAAAATAAAGTTTCTACCCTTAAGAAAAGGAGAAAAAAAAATATATGGAAGGAACTTACAGCCACAGGGAAAGACTGGAGCCTCATGATCCATGGGAAGAAGAAACACATAAGCATCATCAAGGCCATGGTTTCAACACCCAAGCAAGGATAGAGGCCACTGTTCTAGTTGGGAGTCCTATTATTGGCAAAGGGCCTGAACCAGAATCCCTGAATAAGTGGATACCTAAAGAAGGAAGTTGGAATAGCTCTGTCCTATTTTCTGGAATTGCACACAAAAACAAGGTGCCTACCAGAGGCTAAGAAAGAAAAGTCACCTGCATAATACTCAGGCATAGACCTTTGTGGTGAGTTCAGAGCTCAGTATTCTATTTTCTCAGCGGCTGAGTCTTGAGCCAAGCTTCAAACATAAGCCCTACTTTGGTGCTGTGCATTGAAACTGCAAATGTGCTGTGCAGTGAGGCCATCATAGTCCAGGGGTACATATGGAATAAAATGTCATGGAAGGGGTCATGAAAAATTGATTGTGGTGGTAGATTCACAGATATTTACATATTCTGAGAGCCATTGAGTTATACTTTAAATGGGTGATTTGTGTGGTATGTGAAGTATATCTTAATAAAACTGTTAAAAAGTGCCACGGAAGACAAGCTCAGAATTTGAGCTTGATAAAGCATTTGAGGAAAGTCAGCACCATGAGTCACCATACACAACCAACTGGAAAATCACACCTGAGAAAATACAAATAACAGAATAATCTGAAAAAAGACTTTAAAATACGTTGAAAATTCTTACAGAAATAAAGGATGGAGTAGCACCCACAGAAGAAAAACAGGGTTTATGAAGCAAGAACACGGAGATAAAAACAGAAGTATATCTTTAAAATGAAAAATACAGCATTTAAATAAGAAATGGTTAAAATTAAGATTTGACAGAACTGAAGAGAAAATGAGTGACCTGAGAAATAGAACTGATGAAATTTTCTTACAGTTTCAGCACAATGAATTAAAAGATAGAAAACCTGAAAGAAAAATTGTAAGACAGAGAGACACTCTAATATAGTCTAATAAGAGTTTCAAGAGAGAAGGGAATGGGAAAGAGTCAATAATTGAAGATAGAATGTTGGAAATGTTTCTAGAACTGAAGAAAAAAATTAGTATCTAGTTTCATAAAGCTCATCAAGTGTTAAATGATAGATTTGTAAACTCCACATTATAGATAAACTATAAAACATTAAAAATAATAAAAATTTCTAAAAGTTATGGAATAGACAAAAAAGTACAGCAGATTTCTCATCAGCAACAATGGTAATTCTTTGGTATAATGTAGAGGAAGGAATCCAATGATTTAGGGAGACAGGGATGTTGGAATGTATTGATCATGTGGAACCCCACTTATTTACCCCTTAACTTTGTCCTAGTAAATGGGAATATAGTGGGGGTCACCCTTCTTGCCTCTTTCAAGGCTTTGACGGTGGTTCTACTGTGATTCTACCATAAATGGGGCATTGCTTTGGTCCCCTATTTCGGTTGGGTAGTTCCAAGGATTCCGCTTTCTTTCTACTGTGATAGCCCGCATTCTACAGGTCAGGGAGAAACATGAAGATTCTATTAGTGTTTTGGTATCTTTATTACCAATATACACTCAGGAACTTGGGGTGAAACTACAGGATGTGTTTGTGGACCTACTGGGACTACTGTGATAAGGACTTAGAGTAAATTCCATGTATTTCCTCCTCACTATCTTGGTCAGGCAGGAAGCCTGAGCTAAAGCCACCTACCCTGATACCTTTGAGAGAGTGAAAAAATAAAAGTCTCTAAGTCACAACACCCATTCCCCAAAGCCCCCCACCCTGACTGGTGTGTTACAGTGATGTTCTGGGTCGTCAGGGTTTAGCTTAGAGCTAGTGTTCAATAAACTCTGAAAAGGTCTGAGAATTTCCTCTCCCCCAGTGCACAGTTATTTGGGAAATGGCTGTAGGAGGGCCTCCATGGGGAAGGATACAAAGATTTGTAGTACATGCTTGTGACACTATCTCAGAGTTCTTTCTGTAGTGTTTTCAGCCTTTTTTTTTTTTTTTTGAGATGGAGTCTTGCTTTTGTCACCCAGGCTGGAGTGCAATGGCATGATCTCGGCTCACTGCAACCTCCGCCTCCTGGGTTCTAGCAATTCTCCTGCCTCAGCCTCCCAAGTAGCTGGAATTACAGGTGCCCACCCCCACACCCGGCTAATTTTTGTATTTTGATTAGAGATGGGGTTTTGCCATGTTGGCCAGGCTGGTCTTGAACCAGCCTCGTGATCCACCTGCCTCGGCCTCCCAAAGTGCTGAGATTACAGGCATGAGCCACCAATCTCGGCGCAGACTTTCTTTTATTCAAGGAGCTCTGGGTCTTTGAACTGATTCTGGTCTAGATTCTCTACCGTGGTGATTTGTGTCAGGCTTATGTTTGTCAGACCTCCAATTTATTTGATTATCCAGTCAAAGAAGTAATTTACTGAGCTGCCCCTCTATGTTGCTCTTAGGGACCCATAATCAGGTTAATACTTCCAGTGATTCCCGTGGGTCAAACCTGCTGATTCCACTCTGGCCCTGATGTTCTTTGTAGTAACCATGGCTGCCCTACCTCTGATGGCTAAGTGTTGCCTCTTCCACTCCAGGATCCAAACATCTCCTGTGAAATCAGGGAGCTCATTTCAATTGCATCATCTCCTACCTGCAATGCCAGCCTAAAATAATCTAGTTTACAGATGGATTTGTATAATATTCTGGCACCAGCAGTAAGCGGACTGCTCTTACAGCTCTACTTCAGGGGTGACCCTGCAGGACGGTAGAGAAGGGAAATCCTTCCACTATGCAGAGCTTTGAGTGGTATTTGTCATGGTGCACTTTGTGTGGAAGGACAAATGACCTGAGATCTGGATCTAAGCCAATTCATGGACAAGGGCTAATGGTTTGGTTAAGCAGTCAGGAACTTGGAAGGAATAAACTTCATGGATTTGTGACAAGGAGTTTTGGGGAAAATACATATAAACAAACTAATCATAATGGGTGAAAATATATTTATTCCATGAGAATGTTCTCCCAAAGGTGTCCACAGTGTAGGAGACTCTCAAATAGTGTACAAGATTTCATGCCATATGAATGTCAGTCAACCTCTTTCCCACTCACCGCAGTATTTTTCTCAGTGAGTTTATGAACATCACCATGGTGGTAGGATTAAGATCATAGATAAGCTCAACAAGTACTTTCCTTTACTGAGGCTGATCTGACCACACCACTGCTGAGTATTCAATTTCTTAGAGGCAGTGACTAACCTTGAAACCTTTAATCTAGTACCATGGCCTAGAGGTCTCAGTCTAGCACTTGCCTGGAAGGCTGATTACATTGGATTCCTTTTCATGGAGGGGGCAACAATTTGGTTCTCATTGGAGCAGATATTTATCTGGATATGGATTTGCCTTCTCTGTCCGCCATGCTTCTGTCAGGAACATCACTTACGGGTTTAACAGATGCTTGATTCACCGTCATGGAATCTTTTGTTTTGTTTTGTTTTTGAGACAGAGTTTCACTCTGTCACCCAGGCCAGAGTACAGTGGCACCACCACAGCTCACTGCAGCCTTGACCTCCTGGGCTCAGTCTTCCCACCTCAGCCTCCCTAGTAGCTGGGACTATAGGTGAGCACCACCATACCCAGCTAATTTTTTTTTTTTTCTAATTCTAGGCTCAAGCCATTAGTCCGCCTTGGCCTCTCAAAGTGCTGGGATTACAGGCGTGAGCCACCATGCCCAGCCTGTCATGGAGTCTTACATGTAATTGTTTCTAGCATCACCATAATGCTAAACCAACTGCATAATTACCATAATGCTGTAACAACAGCAATGACAACAACAAAATTCAGTGGTTTAACAAAATGAAAATTTATTTCTTGTTCATGTAATTGTCCAAAGTATATATTTCTGATTTGCAGTATCCCTTCATGTGGTGTTTAGGGGCCATCTTTTGGCTCTAGTATTCCTTAGAAGCTGAACATTCCCAGCATTCAGATGACAGACAGGAGAAGAGAATGTGGATCATCCCCATCAACTTCTTAAAAATCAAAGCCTGGAAGTGATACACATCACTTCTACTCATATTCCATTGGGGATAGCTAGTTACACAAATGGAAGGGATGCTCAGAAATAGTCAATCCCAATGTCAATTCTATATGAATATTTGGTGAACAGCTAGTCATCTAGGTCTAATGTTATCTGTGTGCCAGGCAAATGCATTATGGTAATTATGCATTTGGTTTAGCATTATGGTGATGCTTGAAACAATTACATGTTAGACTCCATGACAAGCTGGCAATGGTGGCTCACACCTGTAATCCCAGCACTTTGAGAGGCCAAGGCAGGTGGATGGCTTGAGCCTAGGAGTTAGAGATCAGCCTGGCCAAGATGGCAAAACCCCATCTATACAAAAAAAATACAAAATTGATCACCAAATATCAGTGGATACCTTTCTTCCCATACTTAAACACTTAGAACATAAACACACACCACGAAATAAAAAATCTCATTCAGCCACCACATCCAGCTCAAAGTCTAGGATCTCTGAGAGGTGTGCAGTTCTTTTTGGCAAGTCTGGATCTACCTCCTTATGGTCTGGAGACTTAGAAACTCAAAACAACTATCTGTGTTCCACTAATCACCACCCAAAATACAACATGGAGGTAGAAACACAGGAATAGTACAGGACATTCTAAAGTCCTCTTTCGGGAAGGGAAGAATGGGAGCTACAGAGCAGTCTCTTGTCCATCACAATGATGAAATCTTGCTTGAATAGGCACGATAAAAACTGCCTGCTCCAATATGAGGGGAAATTTCTGGATTAGATCTTAATTCTGATCTCTGGTGGAATTTCCTTGTCCATTGTTCTCCCTGGTACCTGGCTCCACCTTTGGCAGATTCTTCCGTGTACACTTTCCTCCATGGTCTCATCTGAAATGAACATCGTTGAGTTGGCCTTCCTTGGAACTACACAACATTCACAGCCTGCTTCCTGCTAGTGCAGATTTGGAGCCCTGAGAGCTGTTTTATATTTCAGGGTATTTTTTATTTATTTTAGCCAGGATTATGATTTATCTGCCAACACAATTCTCTCAAAGACAGTAGGCTTCTAATCTATTTGCTTCCAGTCAATTGCATGTGCCAGTAGCCCAAAAGTCTTTCCTAGACACAAGTCTTAGTACTGTCCTATTTCTTTGTTTCCTCACCCTCATGCCTCTCTCAACTCATCTGAGGCTACCCTATAACCATCTGGCCACAGGGTTCAGTATGGAGGTAATAACTTGAAGCTGATCTTTTTCATAGCCTGAGTCCTTCTGTATAACTGTGAAATCTTAATGAACCTTTGTTGCCCAAATATACTTTGCACCTTAACTCCCATTGTTTGAGGCCCAGAAAGTTCAATTTTTCCAGTCCCACAAGGTCCCATACTGCCTTTATAACCTTTAATTTGGATTTCATGACAGATTACTAAACCCAAATCATCTCAGTGTCTATTTGTGAAGAACTTGACCCAAGATCCTTGTATATTGACCATCTCCCTATTAGGATGTAAGTTCTAACATGGCAAAGACTTTGTCTATCTTGCTTATTACTATATCCCAATGCCTAGACCAGACCAGTGTCTAGCACATAATCATTTAAGGTGCTAAACAAGTATCTATTGAATGAATGAATGAATGAATGAATGAATGGAATAGGCACAAATAGACATTTATTTAATGAATAGATGAAATGAATTTAGTGTTCTCCTTGACAGATGTTCTGGTAAAGCTATTCTTCATTTCACTACATCCAGTGATGTTTTAGAGCACAGTAATGCTTTAGCAACTATCATAGGTTGACACTTTGGAAAACTGCCTGGTTGGCTCATGCCCAACTCTCACTGAGTGAATAAATGTGGTGCATGCCTAGGACTAGGAGAAGCAGAAGACACACAATGGGGGAAATGAGGTAAAGGAGGGCTTGCTTACTGAGTGCAATCAGATTGAGGCAGTGCCACCACTGATAATCAATAGGGAGAGGGAACTCTGTAAGCAGCTACGACTCTTCTGTGTAAGTAGCCACACTTTCTTTTGGCCAAGCAAGGGAAAGGCTGGCTATCCCTATAGAGATGTGGGAGAGAAGGGAATATGGCAGTTCTAGGTGTTTCCCTCTGATAAGGTAAACCCTGGAGCCTGATGCCTGATCCCTCTTTAATCCGTAGCTTTTAAACATCTTTGCCAAGCATGGAGCAGGGTTGGGTGGCAGCTAAAATTGGCTAAAAATAAATGCTGAAACAGACATTGTTTGTCAGGAGCAGGTGTTTTAGGAAAGTATAGTTTGACTTCTGAAAATAAAGAGTACCTCACAGGACTTTTGTAAGGGGAGACTGGGCACCTGGTGGCAGCAATGAAGGTTGTTTTCCTGTCCCAGGTCTCCTGAAGGAAGGCTGGCCAAGCCTTCCATCCCACCCCCATCCCTAATACCACCACATACCACAGCCCTGTCTTGGCTCTACCGGGTTGCTTTACCACCTCCTGCTCAATATAGATTCACAAAGCCACCACCTTCTGAGTCAAGGATTATAGAGTTTCTCAAAATAAGTTGCACTGAACAACTGCTGTACCCAGAAACAGACTGAATGGAAATTCCAAAGCCTTGGGACAAGGTTCCTATTCCCTCACACTTAAGCTCCTGCCCCTGGGCCCCTGTAGGCGCCTGACCGGGAAGCAAATAGAAAGAACAAATCTTTCCAACCCTGTTTTCCATTTTTGCATCGAAAAGAAGTTGGTCTAGGTCAGTGCATTTAAAGCCTTTTTGTAATAGGGAAGCTCTTCAAATACGATCTCCTGTAAGCTCACGCACAGAACTGGCCAATGCTGATTGAACAGTCCTAATTGAATTGTGAGGCAGGGAAAGGTGGGTAGCTGAGCCTTACCCACTTTGTCTCATCTCTGTCTCTCCTTTCTGTGGGCCTGGATGAGCTATCAAAATCCCTTCTGTCATAGCTAAGGGCAGAGCAGTGTGAGACCCAGCAGGCTGGGACACACTGAAGAGGGCCAGGACCTGGAAATAAACTACATGGGGCAGGTCTTCCTAGCTCATGTCAGTATTGCACCAAGGGAGCTGGGCCAAACTTAGCATACAAGCCCTGTAGGTATGAGTATAGGTGGAGATGGGGGGTCAAGTTGGCCTCAGCTGAGAAGAGAGAGGCCCTCTGTGTTAGGAACCCAGGAAGGGCCAGAGACCATGAGCAGTTTGATGTGACCAAAATGGAACTAAATGGTTACAGTATTAGCGTTTGCAGATGACATTGGAGAGGAAACCATGAAGGATCCAGTTAATGGGCCCTTGAAGGTGAGTATGGGAAGCTTGGACGTCACTGACCCTGTCTAGGTTTAGATGCCCCAAACATTCCACCTAGGCTTTCGCTCAGCCTTATTCCTGGCACCCACCTTCCACCACCCAATATGAGTCCATCCTCCACGCTGATGCTGTCATGATCTTCCTGAAACACAACTTGGCCTATCCCAGCACTCCCTCCTTCAGCTCCTTCAATGTATCCTTATGGAGTAAAGTCCAAACTCCTAAGCCTGCCTTTCAAAGTCCTCCACAACCTCCTTTTGAGCATGATCCTTCATGCACCTGTCCTTCTACAGGCCCCACCTCTCTGGCTGACTCGTGTTGGGCCCTCTACCCATTCTCCTTCCTCTCTGCAACCTCCCTTGCCTTCTCCCAGGGTCTTCTGTTGAAGATCTGTTATTCTTTAAGGCCTGGTTCTAATCTCATGTCCTTCAAAACTCCTTTTAAGATCTTCTAGTTTGAAATAGTCTCTCAAGCCACTGTATTTGTATATCATGTATCTACACCAGCACTTATCTGTCTGCCCAGTATCAGAGTTATTTATAAATGTCTGTTTCTCCTATTATGTTGTATGCTCTTAGAAAGCAAAAATAGAATTGACAAAAGAAATATTTGATGAGTTTCTCGTATTGGAGTTTATAAAAACCTTTTTGGAATAGTTCTATAGATATCTAAACACTAAGAGCAACCATCCTGAGCCTAGGACATGCTGATCTTTCAAGACCCACACAATTTCTACTCCTTGTTCTATGGTAGGTTATCACTAGATAAGAAATGCCACCCTGACAGGCCAAGAATCCTCCCCGCCCCTCTCAGCCCAGTGTTGTGTCTAACCGTGGAGCCAGGCTGGCGATTTGGGGCAGAGCATGGTGTTGATATCAAAACATTTGGACATCATCCACCACACTGCCTTAGTCCCTTTACTCGACTCTGGACCTATCATCTGAGGTGAACACATGACTGCTTAGTCTGTGAGGAATGGAGGAACGCAGGAACTTAGCAAGGGAGGCAAGTGGTTATACAGGGGGAAAAGCAGCCATCTGAGATAATTTATTGAGTATACTTATGTGCCAGGCTCTGGACCAGAGACTCTGGGTGATACAACCCTGAAAGGTAAGAAATATGGTTAAGTAGAAGTCAGGATAATGTGCAGTAGACAGACAGATTGTGCTCCTGAACCACAGGAAACTTAAAATGTTTACTTTGGAGAAACCTATGAATAGGAAAGTGAGGTTTCCAGTCTATTCCAGAGGAGCCAATTTAATTCATAATGTAACTAACTATAGTATCTTAACATTATAGAACTCAAGAAGCTTTTAAAATCTGATTCCAACAGAAAAAGTCATTTTGCATTCCAGTATGAATGCCATTTCCTCCAAGTACAGCCCTGGCCACACGCTTGAAGGTCCTCTCCCCTGCACAGGGCCCATGTAGTGGCAGAATGTGCCCTCAGCCAGTATAAATGGCAGGGAAGGAGAGTTCCTGAAGTGTCTAGTGTTTGAAGTGGGTGCCTAAGTGTCCCCAGCAGCAAGGAGGAGAGGAGAGTTTGAATGCTTCCTTGCTTCAGGGATGCGAGTCCTTGGCTGGAATGGTCATTTGTGTGGAATGGGCATTCACTGAGCATGATTTGTATGCTGGGAAGGGTCTATTTACTTAATTTGTTGAATTGGAGAATATAAGAGCTGAAAAGATCATTTAAGGTGAACTAATCGAAGGTGCACACTTTATAGAGGAGGAGACAGACACTAAAGACTTGCCTCTGGCTATACAAAAATTGTGGCAAGACCAGGCTATGAACCCAGATCTTCCATGGAGCAGGTCACTTCATCTGAGTTCAGTTTCTTCATTTGTTTAGTGGGAATGATCATGTCTCCCCAGCTCCCAGGGTTGTTGGGAGGTTCAAATGAGGACATGCTTATGGAATCTTTATAAATTGCAAAAAGCCATGCAAATGGAAGTTACTTCTGCTTCTTCTGTTCCCAACTGCTTCTTACTCCCGTCTTCAAACTTAGTAGTATAATGAAGTAATACAGGAGCCAGGATGTGTGATAGCAGGATCCCGAGATAGCCCAAATCCTACTAGCCCCTCCAGCCTAAGAAGCTGTGGGGCCTGTTAACACTTGACCCATTTTTCCTTTTTTTTTCTACCCCTGAAGCTGATATTTCTCTTTGGACAGGCAGCAGAAAACATGCTTGCTCTTCTTACTCAAGCAAGAGAGGGCCAGCCTCCTAGAAAATGTTTACAAGCTTCAAAGAAGACGTGCTTGCATGGGACAGCACGAGAAACATCCCCAGGTGCGTGTCAGAGCAATGCTGGCAGCCCTTTGGTCTCACCCAGTATGAGGCTGTAGAGAGCAGGGGTTCTCAGCAGAAATCCCTCCTGAAACAAGAGCTTTCCCCTGGGTGCCACCTTTGTGCCTTCAAATACGCTGGTTTAGGTTGTATGTACATGTTCCACCTACTCCCACTTGCAGATATTTCTGCAATAAGTTAAAAAATATTTTGCAATTGTTTGCCATTGATGGGTCATTTGTTTTTCAATTACTTGGTGCCATTTTTAGAAATGTCCTATCAACTACCACTATTCAGCTATGGCATTCTATTGCTGGTGTGAGCCCACACATCTGGGCACACTTTCCTATAAGAAAGGTCTTACTGAGTTCTGATTGGTTGATTTTCCTTGTGGTCCAGCTGATTACAACACCTTTCTGCACAGGACATTCACAAGATTGCCCATAATAGCAACCACTCTGACAGAAAAATCATGTGTCAAGTGTGTCATCTGTTTTAAAGCATCAAACAGCTGTGAGTGAAAATCATAATGGGAGGTAACATTTATTAAGCAATGAATGTATCAGGCCCAGTACTGAGTATGTCACTTGAATAATTTCATTTAATCCTCACAACAACCTTCTAAGGTAGGTTGACTAATATTATAAATATTTGCATTTTACAAATGAGGAAACTGAGGCTTAGCTAAGTTAAGTGACCTGCTCACAGTCCCATAGCTTGTAAACAGAAGAGGTGGGATTTGGTAACATTAATCTAGGTCAGTGGATTTTGCATGTGAAATTCTAAAAATGATTTAAAAATAAAGGTGCACTTCAGCATGTTCTCACTCATAAGTGAGAGATGAACAACGAGAACACATGGACACAGGGAGGGGAACATCACACTCTGGGGCCTTTCAGGGGGTGGGGGCCTAGGGGAGGGATAGCATTAGGAGAAATGCCTAATGTAGGTGACAGGTTGATAGGTGCAGCAAACCACCATGGCATGTGTATACCTATGTAACAAAACTGCACGTTCTGCACATGTACCCCAGAATTTAAAGTATAATAAAAAAATAAAAATAAAAACAAAGGTGCACTTAATTGCATAGTTGATAAAAAGTGCTCCTCAGTGAATAAAATGGAAAAATGTTCTGAGCTGTTGTTTCAGGCCAGGAAGGCGTTTACTGTGATCTGATATGAGTCTTGTGGTACAGAGAGGACCTTGCATGTAGCAGGCCATAGATGGTTACTAAGTTCTGTAGGACAGTCGGAGGTACCCCAAGAGGGCAAAGCTGGGCCCCTACCCAGCATTACATGACTCTGAACAACAAGAAATTATGGAAGGATGGGTGTGGTGGCTCACACCTGTAATTCTAGCACTTTTGGAGGCTGAGGCAGGAGGATCCTTTGAGCCCAGGTGTTCGAGACCAGCCCGGACACCACAGGGAGACCCTGTCTCAAAAAAAAAAAAAAAAAAAAAAAAATATATATATATATATATATACATATATATATATATATATATGGAAAGGTTCCAAAGAGCACCATCCTGCCCAAGTCACTTCTGTATTTATTCTCATAGATGCCTATTTAGTCTGTAGGCATGGGCTACTTGTAGGTTCAGTGCCAGAAACAGCACTGGATATTGCAGCACATGTAACATTTTGCAGGTAAGATGTAAACCCACCTTACTCCCTTCTTTACCCTCTCCTCCTGTGGCTTCTTCCATCTCCCTCACCTATTCCAGGAGGCTTTGATGTAAGGTTTTTTGTTAGTATGCTCAGTGAGTAGGGAGCAGTCAGTATAGGGAGGTGGGTGGGAGCCATGATTGTCTCCCTGTCACCACAAGTACAGCTGAGACTGTGCTCCATCCAGTCACACTCCAACAGCAGCTGCCACAGCAACCACACTCTCAGCCTAGTTTCCAAGAGTCAAAGTGGCTGTCCCCAAAGCCCCCTGGAATGTTGATAGAGCTGAAAACTCAGATTAAAAAATGACTCGATAAAAAATTGACTGAGTCAGAACTTAAAGACTATGCCTTGCTCAGCCCTACCCCCATTCTGCTTCTGTTTCCATCTCATCCAGTGCATGTTCTAGCTGTTATATGCAGTGTAAGGACACCACACATGTGAAGTAATAATGTGATAGTCCTTTAGAACTTCTCTAGAAAGGATCTCAGTAGACATGTGTTGCAGATACACAAGTAAGCCCAGGAGATCATAGGCTCATGTTACACAGATTATGGGGTGATCACATGCCTTTAGTCAAGCTTTGAGTCTTATTAAATACTAATCTATAAAAGTTCATCTTCTGCTTAAGGGAGCTCTACATCTGGAAATGAAAGAACAATATCTATCATCATGAAAACACAAAATTATAAAATTCACTGGTAAAGCAGACACATAAATGAGAAAAAGGACTCAAATGTTACCACTCAGGAAAACCACCAAGCCACAGTGACAAACAATAAGAGAAAAAAAGAAACAAAGGATATACAAATCAGTAAGAAAACAATCATTAAAATGACAGAGATAGTCATTATCTGCCAATAATAACCATAAATGTAAATGGATTAAATTAACAAATTGAAAGATAAAACTTGCCATGAATGAGTAAAAATTCATGACCCAATCATATGTTGCCTACAAGAAACGCATGTCACCTGTAAAGATATATACTGACTGAAAGTAAAGGGATAGGAAAATATATCCCAAGTAAATGGAAACCTGTGGGGAAAAGAGAGATCAGATTGTTACTGTGTGTAGAAAGAAGTAGACATAGGAGACTCCATTTTGTTCTGTACTAAAAAAAATTCTTCTGCCTTGAGATGCTGTTAATCTATAACCTTACCCCCAACCCTGTGTTCCCTGAAACATGTGCTGTGTCCACTCAAGGTTAAATGGATTAAGGGCTGTGTAAAATGTGCTTTGTTAAACAAATGCTTGAAGGCAGCATGCTTGTTAAGAGTCATCACCACTCCCTAATCTCAAGTACCCAGGGACACAAACACTGTGGAAGTCCGCAGGGACCTCTGCCAAGGAAAGCCAGGTATTGTCCAAGGTTTCTCCCCATGTGATAGTCTGAAATATGGCCTTGTGGGAAGGGAAAGAACTGACCGTCCCCCAGCCTGACACCCGTAAAGGGACTGTGCTGAGGAGGATTAGTATAAGAGGAAGGAAGGCCTCTTTGCAGCTGAGACAAGAGGAAGGCATCTTCTCCTGCCCGTCCCTGGGCAATGGAATGTCTCGGTATAAAACCTGATTGTATGTTCCATCTACTGAGATAGGGGAAAACAGCCTTAGGGCTAGAGGTGGGACATGTGGGCAACAATACTGCTCTGTAAGGCATTGAGATGTTTATGTGTATGCATATCTAAAGCACAGCCCTTAATTCTTTACCTTGTCTATGATGCAGCGACCTTTGTTCACGTGTTTATCTGCTGACCTTCTCTCCACTATTATCCTATGACCCTGCCACATCCCCCTCTCCGAGAAACACCCAAGAATGATCAATAAATACTAAGGGAACTCAGAGGCTGGCGGGATCCTCCGTATGCTGAATGCTGGTCCCCTGGGCCCCCTTATTTCTTTCTCTATACTTTGTCTCTGTGTCTTTTTCTTTTCCAAGTCTCTCGTTCCACCTAACGAGAAACACCCACAGGTGTGGAGGGGCAACCCACCCCTTCAGAAACCAAAAGCAAGCAAGAATACCTATACTTATATCAGATAAAACAGACTTTAAGTCAAAACAGTAAACAGATTGACTATTCCACAGAACATGTTAAAAAAAAACAGTAAAAAAAAAAAAGACCATTCTAAATATATATGACACCAGAGCACCCAGATATATAAAGCAAATATTATTAGATCTAAAGGGAGAGATAGACTCTAATGTGGTAATAGTTGTCAATTTCAACGGTCTACTCTCAGTATTGGACAGATCATCTGGACAGAAAATCAGTGAAGAAACACTGGATTTAAACTGCACTTTAAGCCAAATGGACCTAACAGACAATTACACATTTTTTTAACTTTTAAGGGCAGGGGTACATATGCAGGTTTGTTACATAGGTAAAACTGTGTCATGGGGGTTTGTTATACAGATTATTTTGTCACCCAGGTATTAAGGCTAGTACCCATTAGTTATTTTTCCTGATCCCCTCCCTACTCCCATCCTCCACCCTCCAGTAGGCACAGTGTCTGTTGTTCCCCTCTATGTTTCCATGTGTTCTCATCATTTAGCTCCCACTTATAAGTTAGAATATGTGGTATTTGATTTTCTGTTCCTGTTAGTTTGCTGGAAGTTCCTGGAGCTTCCAGCTCCATCCATGTTCCTGCAAAGGATACAATCTCATTCTTTTTTATGGCTGCATAGTATTCCAGGTGCATATGTACCACATTTTCTTTATCTAATGTATTCTTGATAGGCATTAGGTTGATTCCATGTCTTTGCTATTGTGAATAGTGCTGCAGTGAACCTATGCATGCATATGTCTTTATGATAGAATGATTTATATTCCTTTGGCTTTATACCCAGTAATGAGATTGCTGGATTTAATAGTAGTTCTGTTTTTAGCTCTTTGAGGAATTGCCACAATGCTTTCCACAATGGTTGAACTAATTTACACTCCCACCAATGATGTATGAAGCCCCAAGTTCAAGTGATTCTCCTGCCTCAGCCTCTCGAGTAGCTGGGATTACAGGCACCCACCACCATGCCCGGCTAATTTTTGTATTTTTAGTAGAGACGGGGTTTCACCATGTTGGCCAGGCTGTTCTCAAACTGCTGACCTCAGGTAATCTGCCCACCTCAGCCTCCCAAAGTGCTGTGATTACAGGCGTGAGCCACCACGCCTGGCTGTGATTTCAATATTTTAAAATTTGTTGAAACTCATTTTGTGTCCTGACTTATGGTTTATCCTGGAGAATGCTCCATGTGCTGATAAGAGCAATGTTTACTCTGCAGAAAAAATTGACAAATGGGGCCTAATTAAACTAAAGAGATTCTGCACAGCAAAAGAAACTATCAATAAACAGACAACCTACAGAATGGGAGAAAATTTTTGCAAACTATGCATCTGACAAAGGTCTAATATCCAGAATCTATAAGGAGCTTAAACAAATTTACAAGAAAAAAACAAAAAACCCCATTGAAAAGTGGGCAAAGGACAGGAACAGACACTTTTCAAAAGAAGACAGACATGCATCCAACGAGCATATGAAAGAAAGCTCAACATCATTGATCATTAGAGAAATGCAAATCTGGCTGGGCGTGGTGGTTCATGCCTATAATCTCAGCACTTTGGGAGGCCAAGGTGGGCAGATCACATGAGCTCAGGAGTTCGAGACCAGCCTGTACCACAGTAGAGTAAAACTATAAATTAATAACAAAAGGAACTTTGGAAACTGTACAAACAAATGGAAACAAAACAACATGCTCCTGAATGACCATTGGTTCAAGGAAGAAACTGGGGAGGAAATCACAAAATTTCTTGAAATATATGAAAATTTAAGCACAACATACCAAAACGTATGGAACACAGCAAAAGCAATGCTAAGAGAGAAGTTTATAGTAATAAATGCCTACATCAAAAAAGTAGAAAGAGTTCAAATAAACAATCTAACCATGCACTTCAAGGTACTAGAAAAGCAAGAACAAATCAAACCCAAAATCAGTAGATGGAAAGAAAGAATAAAGAGCAGAACTAAATGAAATAGAGACTAAAAAAAAAAATACAAAAATTAATGAAACAAAAAGCTGTTTTTTGAAAAGATAAACAAAATCAATAAACTGCTAGTTAGACTAACCAAGAAAACAGAAGACTCAAACAAAATCAGAAATGAAAAAGGAGACATTACAACTGATGATATCACAGAACTACAAAAGATCATCAGAGACTGTTATAAACAACTATACACTAAAAAACTGGAAAACCTAGAGGAAATTCGTAAATTCCTAGACAGATACAACCTGCCAAGATTGAATCAGAAAGAAATAGAAACCCTAAATAGACCAATAACAAGCATTGAAATCAGTAATAAAAAGTCTCCCCAAAAAGAAAAAGCCCAGGACTGGATGCCTTCACCACTGAATTCTGCCAAACTTTAAAGGAAGAACTAATACCAATTCTCTTCAAGGTATTCAAAACAAATTTAAAAGGAGGGAATTTTCCCTAACTTATTCTATGAGGCCAGCATTATCCTGACACCAAAACCAGCCAGGGGCACAACAAAAAGAAAACTATAGGCCAATATCCCTGATAAACATACGGGTGAAAATCCCCAGCAAACCAAATCCAACAGCATATGAAAAAGATAGTACACCATGATCAAATGGGGTTTATTCTATGGATGCAAGGATGGTTCAACATATGCAAATCGATTAATGTGATACAGTACATAAACAGAATGAAGGACAAAAGCCTCCATATGATCATCTCAGTAGATGTTGAAAAACATTTGATAAAATCCAAGATCCCTGCATTATAAAAACTCTCAACAAACTAGGCATAGAATAAGCACACCTCAACACAATAAAGGCCATATATGACAATCCCACAGGTAACATCATACTAAATGAGGAAAAGCTGAAAACCTTTCCTCTAAGAACTGGAACAAGACAAGGATGCTTACTTTCACTACTCCTATGCAACATAGTACTGAAAGTCCTAGCCAGAGCAGTTAAGGCAAGAGAAAGAAGCAAAAGACATGTAGGTTGGAAAAAGAGAAGTCAAATTGTCCCTGTTTGCAGATAATGTGATCTTACATTCAGAAAAACCTAAAGACTTTTAGATCTGATAAATAAATTCTGTAAAGTTTCGGGGTACAAAATCAACATACAAAAATCAGTAGCATTTCTATACACCAATAATGAACTAGCTGAGAAAGAAATAAAAAAGGCAATCTCATTTACAATAGCTTTTTTAAAATACCAAGGAATAAATTTAACCAAAGAGATGAAAGATTTCTAAGAGGAAAATTACAAAACACTGATGAAATAAATTGAAGGGGACACAAACAAATGAAAAAACATCTTATGCTCATGGGTCAGAATAATTAATATTGTTAAAATGTCCATACTACCCAAAGCAATCTACAGATTCAATGTAATCCCTATCAAAATACCAATGCCATTTTTTCATAGAAATAGAAAAAATAATTTTAAAATGTGTATGGAACCAAAAAAAAGAGCCTGAATAGCCAAAGCAATTCTGAACATAAAGAACAAAGTTGAAGGCATCACACCACCTGACTTCAAAATGTATTACAAAGACATAGCAACCAAAACAGCATGGTATTAGTACGAAAACAGACACATAGATCAGTGAAACAGAATAGAGATCCCAGAAGTAAATCCACATATTTTTAGCCAACTGATTCTTTACAAAGGCAACAAGAATGTACATTGGGGAAATGTGACCCTCTTCAATAAGGTGCTGGGAAAATTGGATATCTATATGCAGAAGAATGAAACTAGACCCCTATATCTCACCATATTAAAAAAATCAACATTAAGTGAATTAAAGACTTACACTTAAGATCCAAAACTATAAAACTACAAGAAGAAACACAGGGGAAACACTTCAAGACATTGGTCTAGGCAAAGATTTTATGGCTAATACCTCAAAAGCATAGGCAACAAAACCAAAAATAGACAATGGGACTATGTTAACTGAAAAAGCATCTGCACAGCAAAGGAAACAACCAGCAGAGTGAAGAGACAATCTGTTGATTGGGAAAAAATATTCACAAACTATTCATTTGGCAACCGAAACAACTCAACAGTTTAAAAAAAATAGTTCCACTAAACAGTAAAGGACATGAATAGATATTTCTCCAAGAAATAAAATAAATGGTCAACCGATATATGAAAAATTTTCAGTATGAATAATCATCAGGGAAATGCAAATTCAAACCACAATGACATATCATCTTACCTCAGTTAGAATAGCTATTATTAAAAAGACAAGAAATAGCTGATGCTGGCAAGGATGTGGAGAAAAGAGAAACCTTATACACTGTTGATGGGAATGTAAATTAGTACAGCCACTATGGAAAACAGTATGGAGATTTCTCAAATATTAAAAATAGAGCAATCCTCTACTGCAATACAATCCAGCAATACTCCTACTGGTTATTTATCCAAAGGAAAGGAAATCAGTATATTAAAAAATTATCTGCACCCCGATGTTTATTGCAGCACTATTCCCAGTAGCCAAAATATGAAATCAGCCTAAATGTTCATCAGTGAATGAATGGATAAAAAAAGTGGTATGTATGCACAATTGAATACTATTTAGCCACAAAAAAGAATGAAATCATGTCATTTACAGCATCATGGATACAGCTGGATGTTAGTATGTTAAACAAAATAAACCAGGCACAGAAAGACAAATATTGCATGTTCTTGCTCATATATGAGAGCTAAAAGAGTTGATTTGGTCTCATGGAGGTACAGAGTAAAATGATAGATACTAGAGGCTAGGAAGCGGAGCAGGGGTTGGGGGGATGAGGGCGGGGGTTGGGGAGTAGGGGGGTGGAGGGAGATTAAGAAAGATTGGTTAAGAGATACAAACATACAGTTAGATAGAAGGAAAGTTCTAGTGTTTGATAGCACAGTGGAGTGCCAATAGGTGAAAATAGTATATTGTATATTTCATAGTAGCTAGAAAAGAAGACTTGAAATGTTCCCAACACAAAGAAATGACAAATGTTGGAGGTAATGGATGTTCTAGATACCCAAATTTGATCATTACACATTGTATGCATGCTGGAACATATCACATGTACCCCATAAATATGTGTAAATATTATGTATTAATAAAAAAAAGTTTATTTCATCCCATCCAACAGGGACCATTATGATAACAATCTGGGAAGATATCTAGAAATAAGAATATTGCCAATTACCAAACCTTTTGCTTCAAAGTGAAACTGCAACCCCCTTTCCACTGGCCTGACCCCAATCCCACCCCAGCTGTCTTATTGGGTGATGGTGGAATCTATATAGATAGGGCTGAGAGTGTCTAAAGCACCTTTATCTCTAACATTTGATACTCCTCTAAACAATTTTATCTCTAACCTTTGATCCTCCAGCCTCAAAAGGGATAAAAGGCAGCGAGTCCACAGTTCTGACCTCCTTTGAGGTTACAGTTCAGCTCCTCCAACCTAGACCCCCTCTATGTAATAAATTTATGGAAAGTGAATGAAAAGGACATACATTAAAAACACAGGAGTAGGAACCTACAGGCAAGGGAGAAGGATCGAGAGGGGATAAAGGGAAAAACTGAATAAAAATTTAAAAGGTCCCCGAATAAGACAACAATCATAGGGAGCCATGAACTGAGGAGTGTACTCAACTCAATTCACAAAACCTGAGGTCTAGTAGAAACTTAAAAATGAATAAATAAATAACACGGCATTATTCAGAATTAAATTCTGAGAGAGTGCTCTGGACTGAGACAAAAAAAAGAAAAAGGCACTACGCACTCACAAAATTGACAGCGATTGGTTATTTTGGGAAAACTCACCCATAGTTACACCTCGGCTCTGACTTGATATATTTAAAAATATACCCCCATGCAATTATTATATAGTGGAAGAAAGTTCAAATCATTGTAGAAAATTCTACAGCTTTTCTTTGTCAAATGCATAGAAATCCAGTAAAAATGCCAAGAAAGGAAGAAATAGCCTTGTGTGTTCCTGGCACATAGCAAGTGCTTAATAAATAATTATTGCATAGGCACACACATTCAGTAATGTATATTTTGTGTACTGCATGTACTATAGACACACACTTATGCATGCTTCATGTATATTTAATTGCATTCTTTCCTAAAGTACTAAAATTTTCTTTCCTTTCTTCATTTATGTAACTCATAAAATCTTCACTCTTTGATATCTTTCTTTGTTTAACTTTTTAATTGTCATTTGCTTGCACAAAATAATGTCCCAGAAACTATTCCCAGCCTCTCTTCTTAATGTATCTCTGTCCAACTTCCTCCCTTTTCTATATACACACACTCTCACATCCCACATACCACAGTGTAGTCTCCTTTACTTTAACTTCCTATAGACAGCTCAACATATACCTTTTAATCAGAATGTAATAGTTATCCATAAAACTTTCAAATATTTTATTTATTTATTCATGTATTTTATTGTAAACACAATTAATCTTGTTTTTTCCCTATGCTTAACAAGACCAGTGCCTTGAGAGAGCAACACATAGTTATGAACACAATAATGGATATATTTACAGCATAAATTGTTAGTATAAAATGAAAATATTTGTCCTTTGTCTACTTGACAAATCTGTTTGTCAAATCAAACCTATTCCTGTGGCATATTGGAAGCATATTCAATTTTAAAAAATACTTTTATGCCTTACATAACTAAAAATGGGTGATTTATAGAAATTCTAAAATTATTTTTTAAGACAAATTAAAAATGCTTGTAAATAGAACTTCTTACCTGTTAACTATTAATATCTAAAATAACAGCTTGTTTTTCATGATTACTGAATGTCTGTCCAATCATTGGCTAAATAGTCTCCTGAGAACCACACACCCCTGAATCCTGGGGAAAATAAATATTTTTATTTTAAGTAAAGTGATGACTTGTAACAGTGCCAGATTTTTCTCACTCTGGCCCAATACTAGTTTCTCTTCGTTTTCACCTTTCCCCCACTCAAGTCCAGCCACCTCTGATAATGAGTGTTCACAAGTTTGTCATATGGCTCTCTATGCCTTCGAAGCCCTTTGTAATTAGGCTAAAACTTACTTCAAGGCCCAGCCTCAATGTCACTTCCTCTGTGAGGTGGCCCCAGTAACCCACAACGGAATTAGCCATTCCCTTCCCTGTGTTGCCTGGTACTCCTGTGGCACTTTTCACCCAGGGGTGCGTATTTCCCTATGTGACTTCTTTGGTTTCAGAACTCCTTGAAGACAAGGACCATGACATATTTGCCATTGTATTCCTACACATGCTTGGCATATGGTAGGTGTGTAATAAATATTTCTTTCATGGACTTATTGAATCATTTCTGGTCTGCATTCAGCATATTTTTTTATATCTCTACTAACTAATGATGCCCAGCCAGTACAGAGGAAGTGGACCCCCACCTCACACAGCAGAAGCCGTTTGTCCTAACTTCTTTGTTAGGTCTGCTTCCGTGGCAACAGCAAGCAGACTTTACCTCCCCCAGATCCCTTTGATTCTCTGTTTACTGCTCCATCTCTTTTTGTGTTTCCCTAGGAGTGAGAATGAGAACAAAACCTCTGTAATGCATATGATTTGCAAAGACTTATCTGCTAAAAAACATTTTTGTAAAAATTCAGTTAAGCTTACCTTATTATATACTTCAGTAGCCCTCCCAGCAATGCCTAGCACAGCTCCTGGCTCAAAATAGATTGGATCAATTAATACGTGGTTTTGTCAGTGCTATAAAATTTCCAAGGAAGTTAAAATATTTCAGATGGCAAAAATGATACATTATTGGGATATCATTTTCATGGGTACATACATGGGACTGGAGAGGTTAAATGCTAGGAAATGCTGTGCTTCCCATGTCATTACCAACAACCCTCACAAGCTACTGAGAGTTTTGCTTTTTGTTGTTGTTGTTTGTTTTGTAGAGATGGGGTCTTACTATGTTGCCCAGGCTGGTCTTGAACTCCTGAGCTCAAGCGATCCTTTCACCTCGGCCTCTCAAAGTGCTGGGATTACAGGCATGAGCTACCACATCCAGCCTACTGGGAGTTTTGACATATTTACTGTGGTAAACTTGTTTCATAAACTCAGTAAAGATAGACTTCAACCCAACCCCGGTGAAAGTAACCCCAATTTTGAATGATAGCATCAAAATGGAGGAAGACTGTACTAAACACAGAGCTGCAGCCAGCCCTAACATGCCCCTTTTGTATGGACCTCCAACCTCCAGCTCGCATCAACTCACTATTGACACAAGGAGATCATAGATTTAGAACATTTTTGCAGTGGAAGGGACTTGAGAAATCATCTAGTGAAATTCTTCCAGCCCAGAGACCTTAGATGCTCAGGTTTACACTAAAGGGCCAATGGCAGAGCCAGTGCTATTTTCAATATTTCAAAAAAGTCTAGTGGAAATCGTGCGTTTACTAGCAATTATACAAAAGCTTTTGAAAAGGCAGGCTTATTCACGTTTGCTTTAGTTAAGGTTTTGTCAATTCTGTGTTACAAAATTCCTTTCTCTTGCTGATTTAAGTCTTTGAGTAATAAAGGATGGAAAATGATCTATCTGTTGAGTATCTATACAAGGGAAAGGCAATCAGCACCTCATAGGGATAGCTGCACTCCCATATTAATTCACAAGAGCCAAGATATGGAAACAACTTAAGTGCTCATTGATGGATGAATGGATTTTTAAAATGGATATATATGTATATATGTATATGGATATATATGTATATATGTATATGGATATATATATATGTATATGGATATATATATGCACAGACACACACACACACACATGCACAATGGAGTATTATTCTGTCTTTAAAAAGAAGGTATTGCCATTTGTGACAATACGGATAAATGCGGAGGGCATTATGCTAAGTGAAATAGGACAGACATAGAAAAATACTGTATAACCTTACTTATATACAGAACCTAAAAAATATGTTAAGTTAAAAAAATAGAAACAGTAGATGAGTGGTTACCAGGAGTGGGGAGGGAGGAAATGGGGATAAGCAGGTCAAAGGGTAGGAATTTGCAGTTAGGTAGAATGACTAAGAGACCTAATGTACAGCATGAGGACTATAGTAATAATGCATTATTGTACTGTGTACTGAAAATTCACTGAGAGAGTAGATTTTAGGGGCTCTTACCACAAAAAAAGGATGGGGGTAACTATGGAGAGTGGTGGATGTATTAATTTGTTTGACTGTAATAATTATTTTACTATGTATATGTACATCAAAACATCATGTTGTTTACCTTAAATATATACAATAAAAATAAATTTTAAAAAATGGAAAAATAATTTATTAAATGGCAGGGTGTTTTGAGCTGATCAAATCTTTTCAAACATAAAGTCCATGCAAAGAGAAATAGTAAAAGAGTTCCATGGTAGAGAAAAGTTTGCAAACTACTGACCTCATCCAACCCTCTCACTTTACATCTAGGAAAGGAAACTGAGGTGGAGTGAGGTGCTGGGTCACCTGACGAGCTAGAGGCAGTCAGGGTGAGCCATATCCATATCTCTAGGCTCGTGCTCTTAGGGCTTCTGAAGAGCCCTAAGACATTCTGTTTCCTTCCCTGAACTTGTCTTTGGTTCCTGATCTTCCTAACATCCCTGGATGGCTCAGGGAACCAGAGCACACTGCACCTAGGAGGAAAGAGACTACTGCAGATCGCTAAGAGCAGGAAAAGCTGGAGACCAGCGACACCCACTGCCCAGACTGTGTGAGAACCTCAAGGGTCCCAGGGAAAGGACCTCAGAACTGGGGCTCAGGTGGACAATGTGGATGATTAAAGGAGATGGCTGAAGGAAAGCACACTGGACAGGAATAAAAGATAAAGACAGCTTCTGTTTCCTGGAGGCAGAGCCTTCCTTATCAAAGGGGCATTGGGAGTGTCAGGCACTTACTGCACTGGCTTGTGATGGCACATCACTGGCCCTGCAGGGCGGGGTGAGGAAGCAAGTGATTCGGTAGAGACCTAGGAAAGAAAAAGGGAAACAAAGGCAAAGGCACAGAAAAATTCCCGGTTGTGTAGGGGACAAACTTGCCTCTTGAGATTTCTCTGGTCACCTCTCCCATAGTACCTGATGCCTGCCTCTGTGACAAAACCTGATGTCAGCCTCTGTGGCTGAACCCACAGCTGGAGTCACCCAAAAGCAGGGGCAGAGGAGTTCCTGCAAGGGACTGCCCCAAATGATTCCAGGATGGGGCCAGTTGGGATTCCAAAGAAAGAAGTACTAAAATGTCAAGGTGATTAGTTAAAAGCATTTACTGTATCAGGTGAACTGTATTACAGAGGGGGGCTGGAGAGCATCCTCCCGAAGGACAATGAGACAAGGGATGTCCTACCTAGGTATGTCTGCAATGAGAAAGTCAGGGTATGGAGCTTATAAGAGGGTTTAAGGAGTTTGACTCGGGGCTGGGGCTAGTCTCTTTCAGGGTTTTGGGCAAAAATGCAAACACCTTTATCGGTGCCTGGAAATGTTCAAGGGCCCCACTTGGGTTCAAGCCTGCAGGAGAAAACATATATCTGGCTGGGAGAGTGGTGCAAGTGTTCTACGTTTCCCGGCAGGACCAGAGAAAAAGTGGGGGAAGTTGGAGGACCCTACAATAGTGTTTATTTTATTCCAGGTACTGGTTGAGGCACTTTGTATGTGTATTAACTCATTCTTTCCTCACAACAACCCTATGAGTAGCTACTACTATTATCCCTATTTTATAGATGGAGAAATGGAAACAGAGAGGTTAAGACTCTCGCCCAAAGCCATACAACTAATAAGTGGCAGAACTGGGATTCAGATCCAAGCAGGCTGGTTCAGTGCCATGCTTGTAACCACCATAGTGGTTCACACCTTCTACTGAAATGTACCTTTTTCCCCTCAGTCTCAGACTGTGGATTCTGAAAGGTCAGAAACTTAGATTTACTCATTGTATCTACTCTGCTTAGCTGAGTACCTGGCACATGGTATGTTCTCAACCAATGTATTCTCTTTCCCCTCAGATCCTCCATATTCCTAGGATTCTAGGAGCCCCCTGAACCCTCATAGATTTCATCCCATCATCCCCACTTCAATCCTTACCACCCAACAGGCTTGCTCTCTCATTAGCAGGGTCCCCTACTCAGAGTATTTTTTCTCTTTTCCCTTTCTCCCCTCTCCAAATCCTACGCGGCCTTCCATTTGACAAGGTCCTGCAATCAGAAATATTAACTTATGCCAATGTTAATCATTTATAAGTTATTTCCTCTCTTGGTGGAATTTACTATCCCAAGTGGAAAAAAATTCCAAATCCATTATTTCAGACAATTCAGCAATTCTTTAAAATTGGACTCATGAGACTGTTCCCTTCTGAGACTGTCCCCAGGTCAGGGACTGAATGGGACCTGCTACTTCCTTCAGTCAGTGTGATCACAGCCTCCTGTGGTGGTGTCCCATCTGGGAGCTTCCTCTAACCCTCCTCCCTAAGGACATCGCCCCACCCCCATCACCTTCTCCACTCACTGGGCAGCCAATAGAACAGCAAGGACTGGAGCTCAGCTGTCCTCAGCAGCTGCAGTCCCCTCCCCTGATGGCTAAGCTGCCCACCTGAAATATTCTGCTGGGAGGCATGCAGGGATGTCTGGGGGGCTGTCATGAGGTAAGGTGGTTTGCGATCAGCCTCTTTGAAGAAGTCTGGCTAAGAAGCCATGTGGGGAGAATTGGTGAGGGAAACTTTGACCCTGTCAGAACATAGGAAGCTCAGAGCCTTGTGTCTCCTGAATGAGCCATAAGACCTCTGACTGGCCTCAAATGGCACTACCCAATCTCTCTCATCTCTCCCCATTACCCAAGAACTCTCTGAATGTGGAAATTTCCCCCCAGGCCTTCCTGATGCAATGAAATAAGCATGGGATTAGCACCCAGGCATGAGAATTTGCATTCTGGCCACACCACCTATGGAGTGTGTGCTGGGCATTGTGTAAGCACTCCACGTGTATTAACTCACTGATTCCTTGTGACATCCCTAAGGAGCTGGCAACTGGTATGTCTCTCTCTCAACCTTGGCAGTTCTCCTCCCACCCTGCACTTCTCTCTAGCTGCTGCCTTACAATGCTCTCCCATCTCAGCTAGGCTTCTGCCAAAACCTCTACCTTCTCACACCTTGTTTGCTTCTCATCCCACTGCAATCCTCTCTATTTTGATTTATCGGCAAAGTCCCATAATGACCTCCATGCTGCTAATTTATCTGTGTGTTTTCCTCATTTTATGTCATCTCTCTGTGGCAGTAGATGAAGTTGACTGATATCTCTTATTCAGCTTCCAAGAAACTGTGTTTTCCCCTACATTTTCCTGTTGTCCTTCGAAATCTAGTTCAGACTCCACATCCCTCAGGAAACCATCTTCGATCTCTGCCTGTCTTCTCTCTAGTCGATGACTCTCTCTTTTGTGTTATTATACCTCTGAACACTGTACTTCCCTTCTTTGTTGTACTTATCACATTATACTGTAAATTTTTTAACCCATTTATGTCCTCTATTAGGCAGAGAACTCCTCTGAGGGAAGAAACCGTAATCTATCCTCTATTCCCAGTCTATTATTCATAGTAGGTCCTCAATACATTGCCTATTGCATAAATTCATAAATGGGTAAGTTGCTGAGGAAGGCCAGGTATATGGATAGCTCATTTAACATGTTTGCTAAGGAAAGACAAATGCAACTATAGCTGTTGGTTGGAAACAGGACTAAATGGTAGAAGAGTATGGTTTTGTGTGTTTGTTTTTTTGAGGGATGGCTAAGACCTAAGAGAAGTGGTCCCAGGAGACAGAAGAGGTTTTTAGAAAAGGGGAGAGCAAAGCATATTTGCAGGCTGAGGGGAGAAAGACCATGGAATAGGAGGAAGCCTGAAATGAGTAGGGGAAGTGGTTGAAGCAAGAGACTGTGAGGAAAAGTCAGGATGGGCCCAAGAGCACAGGTGAAGGGATTACTGTGAAGGCGGAGAAGCCAGGGCTCTCTCCTTAACCAGCTGGGCCCCTGCCCTTCGCAGCTGCTGCCAGCGCTTGACCACTCCCTCAGCTGGGATTCCACTTCCTCAGGCATCAGCACACCTATTACCATCTCAGCTGCTGCCACTGCAGAGACCCAGAGAACAGGTGCTGCTTCTCCTCTCAGCAATTCCTGAACTCTGATGGCAGCAGGGTCACCACCCAGATGTTAAAAATGCCTCTCTTAGGCCACAGCATAGAGCCGCCATGTGCCCCTAGAGCCCTTACAGCCGCCCTAGCCCCAGAGCTCCTTCGCTGACTTGCTCCTCTTGCTTAGTATAATTCCCTGCTTAGCTGGAGGGCCTGGCAGGGCCAGAAGACACTGTGGGTGAGACCCTGTTGTTACCAGAAATGGGTCCCGATCCAGACCCCAAGAGAGGGTTCTTGGATCTCACACAAGAAAGAATTCAGGGCAAGTCCATAGAGTAAAGTGATAGCAAGTTTATTAAGAAAGTAAAGGAATAAAAAATGTATACTCCATAGGCAGAGCAGAAGCATGGGCCACTCAGCTGCTTATACTTATTGTTACTTCTTGATTATATGCTAAACAAAAAGTAAATTTTTCGTGAGTTTTCTAGAAAAGGGGTGGGCAATTCCCAGAACTGAGGGTTCCTCCCCTTTTTAGACCATAGAGGGTAACTTCCTGACATTGCCACAGTATTTGTAAACCCTCACGGGGCTGGTGGGAGTGTCTTTTAGCATGCTGATGCATTATAATTAGCATATAATGAGCAATGAGGACGACCAGAGGTCACGCTCATCACCATCTTGGTTTTGGTGGATTTTGGCCGGCTTCTTTACCGCAAACTGTTTTATCAGCAAGGTCTTTGTGACCTACATCTTGTGCCAACCTCCTATCTCATTGTGTAACTAAGAATGCCTTAACCTCCTGGGACTGCAGCCCAGTAGGTCTCAGCCTTATTTTACCCAGCCCCTATTCAAAATGGAGTTGCTCTGGCTCAAACGCCTCTGACACTATTATTTTTGTATATACTGGAGTATCTGCAGTGGGCATAAAATGATCCAAAAAAACACAAACAAAAAATGACTCTAACTTTATGTGTGTGTTGGTGGTGGTGGTTCCAATGAGGGAAATTTGTTTTTAGATCTGTTAGGTCCAGGGTCAGGGTCCAGCCCATGCAAGGGGACTGGGTGGATAGCTGGAAGAACACTTGTGGGGGCCATAGGTAGGTGAAATACAGCTTTATTCAGTAGCTCTCTCATCAGCAGCTCTCTTACATTGTTTGCTTTGTTTCAGCTGCTTGAGCCAGCCACTCCCATGCACAGCTGTGTAGCCGGCTCTTCTTTGCCTCCAGGGTCAGTAGCTTAACTCTTTTTTCCTCTGGGCACAAGCTGGTTCCTGGCTGTCCCCTGCCTGCTTGCAAGACAGACAGCTTTGGCTCTCTCTCTCTCTCTGGGCACCAGTTTGCTGAGGTATGTCGAGCTATGTCCAGAAGCTGAGCGGATCCATGTTCCCCATGCACAGCATCAGCAGGGCAGTTATACCTTTTCAAACAATAGTGGCTCCAAGGCAAGTACGAACTTACACAAACAGGTTGTATAAAAAGTGGAGTATGCGCCTGCACCCTAAACTTGCTGAGTCATTCTGGTCCAGATGTCCACCTCAGTCTATTGTTGACCAAAGCACATCCATGTACTTTACACTCCACCCCCTAAGCTGAGGGAGACATAGATTTTAGACACATAGGTCCAATACACGGGTTTGGCACATAAGCCCCTGATTCACACGTCTGACACATAAGCTTTCGGCCCACAGGCCCGATACATACACATATGCTTGACACATAAGCCTGGCACATAGGCTTTGGGCATGCAAGCCCAATATACACACATAGACTTGATACATAAGCCTGGGAACACAGGCCTGACACACAGGCCTGATACATAAACATAGGCTTCTGGGCACACAGGCCCATTACATACATAGGCCCTGATAAACTGCCCAGCTATTGGTGCAGACTACCTTAGGTGTCACCTCCTTGGTGATTACCATTTACATTGCCCTGAGTTCAGCTCATTAGCTACTCTGTCTACACCTGATTTCAAACCATGTGGTGTCAGAACTAGGCTGGACTGCACCAGCAGTCCAGACAGCAGTAGCACCCTGGCTAGACCTAGCTATGTACCATGCCCTATCAGGAATGGGAGGGCACCCTTCCTTAAACAGTGATGGCTCAGGGTCTAGGGGTGCCTCAGGCCCCATGGCCTCATCTTGCATTAGGACTACAGGCCCTAAAACCTCTACTGCTAAGGGACTTGTACTCAGAGTACTCCACTGTTCCAAGTAGACACCCCACTTCACTAAAGTGGATGTCTGTGCCATTCCTGTCTGGCAGGGGTAGTTACCCATGAATGCACCCATCCCACTATTGGGTAAGTCATCCAGACGATGACTGTAGCCCATCCTGCCACACTCTTATGAGCCCGAAGGGCAGCATATGCAGTTGCTAACCACTTTCCCAGTCCGGGGGGTTGTTACCCATGAATGTACCCATCCTGGCACTTTGGTCAGTTCTCTTATCAAACAGAAAAGGCTTTACACTTTTGCCTGACTGCAGCAGGTATTTTTTGAACCGGAGCACTTGGGTGGGACTGGGTTGCACAGCAACGTCCTTCTCCTGAATGACTTGCACTAAGTCTGTACATGACTGCCGACATTACTTGCTTAACTCCCACAACTCAGTAGGGGCACCGGGACTATAGGAAATGTGTTCCATCACAACTGGGGAGGGTCCCTGGGCTCACCCTTGGGGCCCAACAGCTGTCCATGCTCTATTTTCAGACGGATCACTGGGCAAGCCTGCAACAGAAGTTCTTCCTCCTCCCTGCACTGTGTCTCACAGGGATTGGGCGTGCACTTCCTGCAGCACAGTCACAAACGCCCATCTGACTCTGCTGGCAAAGGCATGTTCCTCCTTGGTGTTGTGCACCTCCAGGTACTTCAGGGCCTTCCCCATACTCATGGGGGCCCTGTCCATTGCCTCTCACATTTCCACTAGGGCCCATCCAAGCAGCACCACTGCCACTGGGTACCACACCTCATCCTGCCAATGTCACCAATTGTTAGATCCAGGGTCAGGGTCCAGCCCATGCTTAGGTCTGAGGGGAGTGGGTGGATAGCTGAAAGAACACTTCGGGCGGCCATGTGTAGGTGAAATATGGCTTTATTCAGTAGCTCTCTCATCAGCAGCTCTCTTACACTGTATGCTCTGTTTCAGCTGCTTGAGCCGGCCACTTCCATGCAGAGCTGCACGGCTGACTCTCCCTTGCTTTCAGGGTCAGCAGCTTAACTCTTTCTCTGGGCAAAAGCTGGTTCCTGGCTCCCACCTGCCTGCCTGCAAGACAGACATCTTTGGCTCTCTCTCTCTTTCTCTGGGTGCCAGTGTGCTGAGCCATGTTGAGCCATGCCCAAGAGCTGAGCCAAGCCATGTCCCCTGTGTACAGCATCAGCAGGACAATTATACCTTTTCAAACAACAGTGGCTCCAAGCCAGGTATGAGCTTACACAAACAGGTTATATAACAGGTGGAGTAAGCGCCTGCACCCTAAACTCTATGAGTCACTCTAGCCCGGATGTCTGCCTCAGCCTACTGTTCACCAGAGCACATCCAGGTACCTTACAAGATCAGATTTCAATCAGGAAGTTCTTCACTCCAGCAAATGCACTATATATATTGAGTCAGAAAACAAATATGGGTCACTGAATGCTCAGAGCAGTGAAAATAGTTGACTGGAGCTGCAGCTCTTTGCAATTTAAGAGATAGAAGCTGCTCCAGATTAATAATCAGGGAAGGTAGACAGAATTTTGCAGAGCTTTATATTCAATTATTTATTTAACAAATATTTGAGTCTTGCTATGTGCCAAATACTGTGCTGGACACTAAACATAGAACAGTCAATAAAATAGACAAAATCACTGCCCTCGAGGAGCTTAACCACCTAGCATGATGATGTCAGAGGTGTTTAAACCAGAGCAATTCCATCTTGAATAGGCCCTGGATAAAATAGGGCTGAGATCTACTAGGATGCATTCCCAGGAGGTTAAGACATTCTAAGTCACAGGATGAGACAGGAGGTCGGCACAAGATACAGGTCATAAAGACCTTGCTGATAAAACAGGCTGCATTAAAGAAGCCGGCCCAAACCCACCAAAATCAAAAGGGTGACAAGAGTGACTTCTGATAGTCCACTGCTACACTCCCACCAGCGCCATGACAGTTTACAGATGCCATGGCAACACCAAGAAGTTACCCTATATGGTCTAAAAAGAGGAGGAACCCTCAGCTACCGGAATTGCCCAACCCTTTCCCAGAAAACTCATGAATAATCCATCCCTTGTTTAGCATATAATCAAGAAATAACCATAAAAATGGGCAACCAGCAGCCCTTGGGGCTGTTCTGCCTATGGAGTAGCCATTCTTCATTTCTTTACTTTCTTAATAAACTTGCTTTCATCTTACTCTATGGATTTGCCTCGAATTCTTTCTTGAGTGAGATCCAAGAACCCTCTCTTGGGGTCTGGATTGGGACCCCTTTCCAGGAACAAGGAGACTAAAAATAAACATCTTGTGAAGGAAAAATAAATCTCAGGATCCCAAGATCACTAAGCCAAAGGGAAAAGTCAAGCTGGGAACTGCATCAGGCAAACCTGCCTCCCATTTTATTCCTAAATAAGATAGTTACAAAGATAAAAAAGCCACATACCTCCTTCATGATTTGACCACTACGAAATTCCTTGTGAGCCTCAAGATCTTTACCCTAAAAGGGTTCTGTTGAGTTTTACCCTGACAATGTAAATTGATAGCTTATCCTCACAGGTAGGACGAAGGACAGAACTCTAAGTCATCGCTCTGCTCACCTGAGACAAATGCATATCTGATTGCTTCCTCTGATGTAAAAATGCAGATTTACTGAGCTAGACTCTTTTTCTACCCCCACCCTCATCATGTGTAAATTTTGTATTCGGTGAAAGGCTGCTCAAAAATCAAAAGTACACAACTGTTTGTCTCTTATTTATCCACACCTTTAAGAATTTTCTTCCTCTTTCCCCAATAGCTGCCCTTTCCCCTTTAAATATGGAAGCCCTCAAGGTCATCTTCAGAGAAAGGCACAGAGCTGCCTCCCAGGCACACATCCTTAACCATGGCAAAGAAAACTTTCTAAATTTATTGAGACCTGTCTCAGATATTTTTGGTTTACAATCTTAAATAAGTAACTTGTATAATGTATTAGAAGGTGATAAGTACTACGGAGAAAATCAAGCAAAGATGTAGTAGCCAACCTCCAAGATGGCCCCCAGTTCCTCACCTCCTGGAAACACACCTTGTATTTCTTCCCACATTTAATGGAGCTGGCCTGTGAGAACAATAGGATCTGGCAGAAGTAATGGTGTATGACTTCCAAGGCTAGATTATAAAAGATATTGCAGCTTCTGCCTAGCTGTCTTAGATTGTTTGTTCTGGGGAAAGCCAGCTGCCATGTCATGAGGCACACTCAAGCATTCTTGGGAGAGGTCTGTGTGGGGAGAACTGAGGCCTTCTGCCAACAGCCATGTGAATAAGCCATCTTGGAAGCCAATCCTCTATCCTGGCTGACATGTGACTATAACCTGATAGGAGATCCTGAGCCAGAACCATTCAGCTAAAGCACTCCCTAATTCCTAACCCACAGAAACTGTGCAAGATAATAAATGTCTGTTGTTATTTAAGCTATTAAGTTTGAGGGTAATATGTTATACAGCAATAGTTAATGAATACAAAAGGGACCAGGAGTGACAACGAGGTGAGGTGGGGGGTGAAATTTTAAATTGGATGATCAGAGTGGTCCTCACTTAAAAGGTGACATGAGCAGAGATTTAATAGCGGTCTGGGAGCTAGGCATGCCCATATCCGGGGGAAAGCATCCCAGGCAAAGGAAAAAGCCAGTGCAAAGCCCTGAGGAGACAGCCTGCCCAGATTTGAGGAACAGTAAGGACAGTGTGCTGGAGTGAAGAAAGGAGGGAGAAAAGTCAGAGATGAGTCTGAAAAGGTCAAGAGGGGAAGGACAGTGGCCGATCATGAGAAATGGCTATTGGATTGAGCTCCATAGAAGTCACTGTTGACCTTGACAAAAGTAGTTTCAGTGAAATGAAGGAGATGAACGCCTGCTTGGAGTGGGTTTACAACATAATGGAAAAAAGGAATTGAAGGCAGCCACTCTTTCAAGGAGTTTTGCTGTAAAGAAAAGAGAAATCAGATGCAGCTACAGAAGAAAGTGGGGTCAAGAAAAGATTTATTTTTCAGATGGGAGAAATAATAGCATGTGGGCAAGCTAATGAGAACGATGCAGTGATGATAGATGATAAAGAGACAAAGATAAGGAAAATTGCTAAGCAATATCCTTGAGTAGGTGAAAGGGGATGGGATTGAAGACAGAGGCAGAAGAGTCAGACTTAAAGAGGAGACAGAGGGTTCATCTGTGTTAGAAGCAGAAAGGCAAGAGTATATGGGACAGATATTGTAGGAGAGTAGATGTAGCGGTAGGAGGCTATGGCAGTTCTTGTCTGATTATTTATCTTTGCTTATTGGAGGAAGTCAAAGATTTTCCTGGCAATATACTGATAGAAACTGTGCATAAAATGAACCTCTAGCCAGTACATAAGAAAGACAGAAAATAAAAGTCCCAGGAGAGGAAAAACGTACCTCAGCATAGCCTGTTGTTTAGAAAAAATGGCATGGCACACAGGAGGGAATCTATAGAACTAGAATAAGAGAATTATGAATTTGACCAGAACACTGGTAATTCTCTTGCCAGACCTAAGGATTTTTATCAGTTCTTTAGCATGTCTACTTTATATCCTTTATAATTTGTGTATGCATTTATGTGTGACTTAGCCATATGGTAAAGATATAAAATTCTAACTCCAGAATATGGGCTCAATTATTCTTAATTAATTCAGCCATCTTCATAAGGTTCCAAGGTAAAAAGATACTTTTCTTATAGAGAGGGATCTGGATTGGATGGACCTTACACAACTTTTGAAGTGGTTCAAAGGTGCCCAAAGTGGTCAGAACCAGCAAAGACAGAGAATCCCTTGAGGTTTTTCCAGGAGGGCATACTATATTGTATATCATCACTCAATGTTATATTCAAAATCATTCCTCCACTTATACCCAGTGTCCCTAAATTGAATTGGTACATGTGTCTATCCCTTTCCTCCAGGTAAAATGTTTCAGTGTGGAACTTTAAAAGGCATCTCTCAGAACGACGGTTCAGAATGATGGTTAGCAAAAGACCACAAGGACAGAAAACCAAACACTGCATGTTCTCACTCGTAGGTGGGAATTGAATAATGAGAACACTTGGATGCAGGGTGGGGAACATCACACACCAGGTCCTGTTGTGGGGTGGGGGGAGGGGGGAGGGATAGCATTAGGAGAAATACCTAATGTAAATGATGAGTTAATGGGTGCAGCACAATAACATGGCACATGTATACATATGTAACAAACCTGCACGTTGTGCACATGTACCCTAGAACTTAAAGTATAATTTTAAAAAATGGCATCTCTCTTACTATCTACAATTATTACAGCAGGCAGTCATTAGCTCCAATTGGTCTCGTCTCCCTTGAGGCTTATAAGGCCCCTATTCAAACAGAACCAGTGGTGGGGTACCCTGCATACTCCGACATGCTTTGATATGCTTGAGCTCCCTAAACAGGAAGGCTGACTTAGCTCCTCCATCCTAGGCTCTCCCTACCTCCCCTTTGTTCCATAAACTGAGGGGAGACTATTTCTCTCTTTTTTTTTTTATTATGACCCATCTAGGAAAAGTTAAATAGCCTGCTGATTTTCCCTAAACATCATGAGTTATTTTCAAGTCTCTTTAGGTGGCACTGGGGGAGGTTGGTGGAGAAAGTGGCAGAGGGAGTGTTTGACTAATGTTTGAGAAATGTACTACAACAAAGAGATTTTCTTAAAAAATTAGATTCCTTCTGTATGTGATTTTCATTCAAACACAAAGCTTCTCTTTATTTAAGAAAAAATCCTTATTGTACTAACACTGTGCATTACCAAAGCCCTCAAATTAAATTATAAGAGAACTGAGAAAATCAGGCTATTAAAATATTTGAGTTATTTACTGAAGTTGAGTGAGGAGAAAAAAAAGACTGTTCCAGCTTCCCCCTACCTCCTACCCACTACCTTGCTTCTCTCTTCCCCTCCCTCTCTCTCTTTCTGTCACCTTCACTCTCTCTGTCTCTCTCTCAGTCCTACTCTGACAGGGGAAATAGCTTTTGGAGAATGGCACGAGGGGCCCTTGGGAACAGGGTCCTGCCACGACTTTAAGTGACTGCCATGAGGACCCTGTTCTACTCCTCCTTTTCATGACATTCCAATTGGAATCACTCAGCCCATAGGTACTGCATTCCTACTATGTCCAAAGCACTATGATCTATAATTTGAGAGGAGAGGCTTAAAGAGTTGAAGACAATAGTCTCTTTATAAAGAGAAATCATATGTGAAATAAGTACTGCACCAGATTTAACAAGTCTTTAAGTATAAACACCATATTGTGTTAAAGGAGAAGGGAAGAAAGAGGGATGGAGAAGAACTAAGATTTATAAATTGCCTCCCATTTGCCAGGCACACTGTGCTAGAGGATTCACATATGATTTCTCATGTACTCTCCAAAACATGATACAGATACAGAACCCACCCATTTCTGTAGAGACAGGGTCTTGCTCTGTTACCCAGGCTTGAGTGCAGTGGTGCAATCTTGGCTCACTGCAGCCTTGAACTGCTGGGCTCAAGCAATCCTCCTGCCTCAGACTCCCAATTAGCTAGGACTTTAGGTGTGTGCCACACCTGGCCAGTTTTTTAAAATTTATTTTTTGTAGAGATGAGGTCTCACTATGGTTACCCAGGCTCAGTGGTCCCACACCCACACAGCCTTGCTCACTGCTAGTGCAGCAGTCTGAGATCCACCTGCGAGGCAGCAGCCCAGCAGGGAGAGGGGCATCCGCCATTGCTGAGGCTTGAGTAGGTAAACAAAGTGGCCAGGAAGCTTGAACTGGGCAGAGCCCACCACAGTTCAGCAAGGCCTGTGTCTCTGTAGACTCCACCTCTGAGGGCAGGGCATAGCTGTACAAAAGGCAGCAGAAACTTCTGCAGACTTAAACGTCTCTGTCTGAGAGCTCTGAAGAGAGCAGTGGTTCTCCAGCACAGCGGTTGAGCTCGGAGAATGGACAGACTGCCTCATCAAGTGGGCCCCTGACCCCCGTGTAGCCTGACCCCCTCCCAGTAGGGGCCAACTGACACCTCATACAGGTGGGTGCCCTTCTGTGATGAAGCTTCCAGAGGAAGGATCAGGCAGCAATATTTGCTGTTCTGCAATATTTGCTGTTCCGCAGCCTCTGCTGGTGATACCCAGGCAGACAGGGTCTGGAGTGGACCTCCAGCAAACTCCAATAGACCTGCAGCTGAGGGACGTGACTGTTAGAAGGAAAACTAACAAACAGAAAGGAAAAGCACCAACATCAACAAAAAGGACATCCACACCAAAACCCCATCTGTAGGTCACCAACATCAAAGACCAAAGGTAGATAAAACCACAAAGATGGGGAGAAACCAGAGCAGAAAAGCTGAAAATTCTAAAAACCATAGCACCTCTTCTCCTCCAGAGGGTTGCAGCTCCTCGCCAGCAATGGAACAAAGCTGGATGGAGAATGACTTTGATGAGCTGACAGAAGTAGGCTTCAGAAGGTTGGTAATAACAAACTTCTCTGAGCTAAAGGAGGATGTTCAAACCCATCGCAGGGAAGCTAAATCCTTGAAAAAAGATTAGACGAATGGCTAACTAGAATAAACAGTGTAGAGAAGATTTTAAATGACCTCATGGAGCTGAAAACCATAGCATGAGAACTACATGACGCATGCACAAGCTTCAATAGCTGATTCAATCAAGTGGAAGAAAGGGTATCTATGATTGAAGATCAAATTAATGAAATAAAGTGAGAAGAGAAGTTTAGAGAAAAAAGAGTAAAAAGAAATGAACAAAGCCTCCAAGAAATATGGGACTATGTGAAAAGACCAAATCTACATTTGATGGGTGTACCTGAAAGTGATGGAGAGAACGGAACCAAGTTGGAAAACACTCTTCAGGATATAATCCAGTAGAACTTCCCGAACCTAGCAAGGCAGGCCAACATTCAAATTCAGGAAATACAGAGACCACCACAAAGATACTCCTTGAGAAGAGCAACCCCAAGACACATAATTATCAGATTCTCCAAGGTTGAAATGAAGGAAAAAATGTTAAGGGCAGCCAGAGAGAAAGGTCAGGTTACCCACTGTAGGGAAAAGAAAGAGAGATCAGACTGTTACTGTGTCTATGTAGAAAGGAAAGACATAAGAGACTCCATTTTGAAAAAGACCTGTACTTTGAACAACTGCTTTGCTAAGATATTGTTAATTTGTAGCTTTGCCCCAGCCACTTTGACCCAACCACTTTGTTCCAATCTGGAACTCACAAAAACATGTGTTGTATGAAATCAAGGTTTAAGGGATCTAGGGCTATGCAGGACATGCCTTGTTAGCAAAATGTTTACAAGCAGTATGCTTGGTAAAAGTCATCGCCATTCTCTAGTCTCAATAAACCAGGGCACAATGCACTGCGGAAAGCCACAGGGACTTCTGCCCTTGAAAGCGGGGTATTGTCCAAGGTTTCTCCCCATGTGATAGTCTGAAATATGGCCTTGTGGGATGAGAAAGACCTGACCGTCCCCCAGCCCGACACCCATAAAAGGTCTGTGCTGAGGTGGATTAGTAAAAGAGGAAAGCCTCTTGCAGTTGAGATAGAGGAAGGCCACTGTCTCCTGCCTGCCTGGGAACTGAATGTCTCGGTATAAAACCCGATTGTACATTTGTTCAATTCTGAGATAGCAGAAAAACCGCCCTATGGTGGGAGGTGAGACATGTTTGCAGCAATGTTGCCTTGTTATTCTTTACTCCGCTGAGATGTTTGGGTGGAGAGAAACATAAATCTGGCTTACGTGCACGTCCAGTCATAGTACCTTCTCTTGAACTTAATTATGACATAGATTCTTTTGCTCACATGTTTTTTGCTGACCTTCTCCTTATATCACCCTGCTCTCCTACTACATTCCTTTTTGCTGAAATAATGAAAATAATTATCAATAAAAACTGAGGGAACTCAGAGACCAGTGCCGGTGCAGGTCCTTAGTATGCTGAGCGCCGGTCCCCTGGACCCACTCTTGTTTCTCTACACTTTGTCTCTGTGTCTTATTTCTTTTCTCAGTCTCTTGTCCCACCCGACTAGAAATACCCACAGGTGTGGAGGGGCAGGCCACCCCTTCCTACAAAGGGAAGCCCATCAGATTAACAGCAGATCTCTCAGCAGAAACTCTATAACAGCAGATCTCTCAGCAGAAACTCTATAAGCCAGAAGAGAGCAGGGGCCAATATTCAACATTCTTAAAGAAAAGAATTTTTAACCCAGAATTTCATATCCAGCCAAACTAAGCTTCATACGTGAAGAAGAAATAAAATCTTTTACAGACAAGCAAATGCTGAGAGAATTTGTCAACACGAGTCCTGCCTTACAAGAGCTCCTGAAGGAAGCACTAAACATGGAAAGGAACAACTGGTACCAGCCACTGCAAAAACAAGCCAAATTGTAAAGACCATCGAAGCTAGGAAGAAACTGCATCAACTAATGAGCAAAATAAGCAACTAACATCATAATGACAGGATCAATTTCACACATAACAATATTAACCTTAAATGTAAATGGGCTAAATGCCCCAATTAAAAGACACAGACTGGAAAATTGGATAAAGACCCATCAGTTGGCTGTATTCAGGAGACCCATCTCACGTGCAGAGACACACATAGGCTCAAAATAAAGGGATGGAGGAAGATCTACCAAGCAAATGGAAAACAAAAAATGGCAGGGGTTGCAATCTTAGTCTCCGATAAAACAGACTTTAAACCAACAAAGATCAAAAGAGACAAAGAAAGCCATTATATAATGGTAAAGGGATCAATTCAACAAGAAGAGCTAACTATCCTAAATATATATGCACCCAATACAGGAGCACCCACATTCATAAAGCAAGTCCTTAGAGACCTACAAAGAGACTTAGACTCCCACACAATCATAATGGGAGACTTTAACACCCCACTGTCAATATTAGACAGATCAACAAGACAGAAGGTTAACAAGGATATCCAGGAAAGCAGACCTAATAGACATCTACAGAACTCTCCATCCCAAATCAACAGAATAAACATTCTTCTCAGCACCACATCACACTTATTCCAAAATTTACCACATAGTTGGAAGTAAAGAACTCCTCAGCAAATGTAAAAGAACAGAAATCACAACAAACTGTCTCTCAGTCCACAGTGCAATCAAATTAGAACTCAGGATTAAGAAACTCACTCAAAACCACACAACTACATGGAAACTGAACAACCTGCTCCTGAATGACTACTGGGTAAATAGTGAAATGAAGGCAGAAATAAAGATGTTCTTTGAAACTAATGAGAACAAAGACACATTGTACCAGAATCTCTGGGACACATTTAAAGCAGTGTGTAGAGGAAAATTTATAGCACTAAACGCCCACAAGAGAAAGCAGGAAAGATCTAAAATCAACATCCTAGAATCACAATGAAAAGAACTAGAGAAGTAAGAGCAAACAAATTCAAAAGCTAGGAGAAAGCAAGAAATAACTAAGATCAGAGTAGAACTGAAGGAGACAGAGACACAAAAAAACACTTCAAAAAATCAATGAATCCAGGAGCTGGTTTTTTGAAAAGATCAACAAAATTGATAGACTTCTAGCAAGACTAATAAAGAAGAAAAGAGAAAAGAATCAAATAGATGCAATAAAAAACGATAAAGGGGATATCACCACCAATGCCACAGGAATACAAACTACCATCAGAGAAACTATACACACCTCTACGCAAGTAAACTAGAAAATGTAGAAGAAATGGATAAATTCCTGGACACATACACCCTCCCAAGACTAAATCAGGAAGAAGTTGAATCTCTGAATAGACTAATAACAGGCTCTGAAATTGAGGCAATAATTAATAGCCTACCAACCAAAAAAAGTCCAGGACCTGACAGATTCACAGCTGAATTCTACCAGAGGTACAAAGAGGAGCTGGTACCATTCCTTCTGAAACTATTCCGGAAAATCAACAGAAAAAGAGGGAATCTTCCCTAACTCATTTTATGAGGCCAGCATCATCCTGATACGAAAGCCTGGCAGAGACACAACAAAATAAGAGAATTTTAGAACAATATCCCTGATGAATATTGATGCGAAAATCCTCAATAAAATACTGGCAAACCGAATCCAGCAGCACATCGAAAAGCTTATCCACCACGATCAAGTTGGCTTCCTCCCTGGGGTGCAAGGCTGGTTCAACATATGCAAATCAATAAACATAATCCATCACAGAAACAGAACAAACAACAAAAACCACATGATTATCTTAATAGATGCAGAAAAGGCCTTCGACAAAATTCAACAGCCCTTCATGCTAAAAACTCTCAATAAACTAGGTATTGATGGAATGTATCTCAAAATAATAAGAGCTATTTATGATGAAGCCACAGCCAATATAATACTGATTGGGCAAAAACTGGAAGCATTTCCTTTGAAAACTGGCACAAGACAAGGATGCCCTCTTTCGCCACTCCTATTCAACATAGTGTTGGAAGTTCTGGCCAGGGCAATCAGACAAGAGAAAGAAATAAAGAGTATCCAATTAGGAAAAGAAGAAGTCAAATTGTCCCAAATTGTTTGCAGATGACATGATTGTATATTTACAAAACCCCATCGTCTCAGCCCAAAATCTCCTTAAGCTGATAAGCAACTTCAGCAAAATCTTAGGATACAAAATCAATGTGCAAAAATCACAAGCATTCCTATACACCAATAACAGACAAACAGAGAGTCAAATCATGAGTGAACTCCCATTCACAGTTGCTACAAAGAGAATAAAATACCTAGGAATCCAACTTACAGGGGATGTGAAGGAACCATTCAAGGGGAACTACAAACCACTGCTCAACAAAATAAAAGAGGACACAAACAAATGGAAGAACATTCCAGGCTCATGGATAGGAAGAATCAATATCATGAAAATGGTCATACTGCCCAAGGTAATTTATAGATTCAATGCCGTCCCCATAAAGCTACCAATGACTTTCTTCACAGAATTGGGAAAAACTACTTTAAAGTTCATATGGAACCAAAAAAGAGCCCACATTGCCAAGACAATCCTAAGCAAAAAGAACAAAGCTGGAGGCATCATGCTACCTGACTTCAAACTATACTTCAAGGCTACAGTAACCAAAACAGCATGGTACTCGTACCAAAACAGAGATATAGATCAATGGAACAGAACAGAGGCCTCAGAAATAACACCACACCACACATCTACAACTGTCTGATCTTTGACAAACATGACAAAAACAAGAAATAGGGAAAGGATTCCCTATTTAATAAATGGTGCTGGGAAAATGGGCTAGCCATATGTAGAAAGCTGAAACTGGATCCCTTCCTTAAACCTTATACAAAAATTAATTCAAGATGGATTAAAGACTTAAATGTTAGACCTAAAACCATAAAAACCCTAGAAGAAAACCTAGGCAATACCATTCAGGACATAGGCATGGGCAAGGACTTCATGTCTAAAACAACAAAAGCAATGGCAACAAAAGTCAAAATAGACAAATGGAATCTAATTGAACTAAAGAGCTTCTGCACAGCAAAAGAAACTACCATCAGAGTGAACAGGCAACCTAGAGCATGGGAGAAAATCTTTGCAATCTATCCATCTGACAAAGGGCTAATATCCAGAATCTACAAGGAACTTAAACAAATTTACAAGAAAAAAACAAACAACCCCATCAAAAAGTGGGCAAAGGATATGAACAGACACTTCTCAAAAGAAGACATTTATGCTGCCAACAGACAGATGAAAAAATGCTCATCATCACGGTCATCAGAGAAATGCAAATCAAAACCACAATGAAATACCATTTCACACCAGTTAGAATGGCGATCATTAAAAAGTCAAGAAACAGCAGATGCTGGAGAGGACTTGGAGAAATAGGGATGCTTTTACACTGTTGGTGGGAGTGTAAACTAGTTCAACCACTGTGGAAGACAGTGTGGTGATTCCTCAAGGATCTAGAACTAGAAATCCCACTTGACCCAGCGATCTCATTATTGGGTATACACCCAAAGGATTATAAATCATGCTGCTATAAAGACACATGCACACGTATGTTTATTGCAGCACTACTCACAATATCAAAGACTTGGAACCAACCCAAATGTCCATCAATGATAGACTGGATTAAGAAAATGTGGCACATATACACCATGGAATACTATGCAGCCATAAAAAAGGATGCATCCATGTCCTTTGCAGGGACATGGATGTGGCTGGAAATCATCATTCTGAGGAAACTGTCACAAGGACAGAAAACCAAACACCTCATGTTCTCACTCATAGGTGGGAATTGAATAATGAGAAGACTTGGACACAGGGCGGAGAGCATCACACCCAGGGGCCTGTTGTGGGGTTGGGGGCAGGGGGAGGGATAGCGTTAGGAGAAATACCTAACGTAAATGACGAGTTAATGGGTGCAGCAAACCAACATGGCACATGTATACCTATGTAAAAACTTGCATGTTGTGCACATGTACCCTAGAATTTAAAGTATAATAAAAAAAAAGGAAAAAATTCTTTTTTTTTTTTTGTAGACAGGGTCTTGCTCTGTTGCCCAGGCTGGAGTACAGTGGCTTGATCTCCACTAACTGCAACCTCCACCTCCCGGGTTCAAGCAATTCTCCCACCTCAGCTTTCCCAGTAGCTGGGATTACAGGTGCATACCACCACACCCGGCTAATTTTTGTATTTTTTGGTAGAGACAGGGCTTCACCACGTTGGCCAGGCTGGTCTCAAACTCCTGACCTCAAGTGATCTGCCCACCTTGGCCTCCCAAAGTACTGGGATTACAGGTGTGAGCCACTGCACCTAGCAGAGAATTGCTTTTCTTGAGCTTTGGTGCAGTTACCCCTAATGAGTTCCATCCCAGTGCCTACAGTAAAGAGTTGTTACTGAAGACCCTTTTCATGATATTACACAAGATCTTCCTTATGGCGTGTCTTAAGATAATTTTCTTTCTGGTTTTAATATTAGGAATAAGTTGTTTTGCTGGTTTTCACCTCGTGACCCCTGTGGCTTGGGCACTTAATAAGCTCCCACCTTTTCAAGTGATCTCCGGGAAGCTTGGCATCAATTGGTGGCCCACCAGTAATCAAGAGTTGGAATCATTAGGGATACATTTTTGTATCCCCCTTGTTCCTCGTCCTTGTTTTTCCTTTCTTTTATTCATCTACCTTTAATTTAATCTTGATTAACTATATCTGTATACGCACTTTAAATTTTTTTAAAGCTATCCCTTACAGGAAGGAAAATCTTTTCTAGAATAAGGAAGAGGAGGAAAGAAGAAAAAAAGGAGAAGGTAAAGAAGGTCAGAGACTACTAAAAGTCCAAGGAAACCACGAAGGCCTAAGTCAGATAGAATGGCCAGTTCTTCATAAGCATGGGGTAATGTATAATGCATAGCAAAACAAACATCAAGAATAGAAACCTGTCAGATCAGAGCATCAGAGCTAGTCGGTTGCAGGAGTCATGAAGCATGATATGCTGTTAGGAGGAGCTCCAGAGAGCAGAGCCCCATATGAACCATAAGCAAGGACTGTTTGATCCTCACCCAGATTTCCAAGCTCAGCAAGAGAAAAGGAAGGAAAATAGAGGGGAAAAAAGGTCTTTTCTGTGTTGCTACTCATTATTAGGAATGATTTGGAAAGCCAGTTCATAATATTGTCCTAGAATTGAGCTTCTGCTTCTAATAGTGTCAGTGATCTTGTTATACCTATGGTGTTAAAATATGTATATTTATGTAGCACAGAAGTACTCAAATTCTCTGGCCTTTTAATACACAAATAACAATAGCTAAATTCCTATCAAGCATCCTCTAGGGCTGCAGAAAGTGCCTTTTATCAGGTTCGCCTCCTCAAGTACCTCCAGTGGTCACTGAGAAAACCTCCCCGGTTCCATAAACCCTCTCTGCTTGTCACGTGCCATCTCAGTCCGAGCCCTTGCCCCCCAGAATATTGAGGTGCCATGCTCCTGCTTTCACCTCTTGTTGTCTTGTAACTCCAGGAATACCAACTCCCTCTACATGTAGTGCCTTAAATATGCATATAGCCATGTTCCTTAGCTCCCCAAATGTGGCTAATCTGAATCTAATCTGGGTGTGTAATAAATGCCCTTGGAACAAAGACATACAACAGAGAGTAGCTGACAAATGCCATTATATCTCCATGCTCAGAATCTAGGCTCAATTTCCACCAGACCCAAAGATCTCCCTCATTTTCAGTCCAAAGCCCACCTCATTTCTCTGTCTCTGTAGAGCATCTATTGTCTTCCATTCTCTTACAGGGCACAGTGAGGCCCTATTCTGTAACAAAAATGGCCTATTCTGTACTAAATAAAACCATGTGGCACAACAAACAGTCCACATCCTCTCCAGTCTTTTATCTTGTGTGCAGTAAAGAGACAATAAGTCCTGTGCATCATACCTGCCATAACCTTGCCTCCTGCGTTCAGTGTGCAAATGCTTGAGCAAAACCCCTATGCATTTCATACACATAGAATGCTCAGAATACCACAGCTCAAATCCATGTGTAGAAAAAAATGTCCTAAATCTGAGGTCACACTCCAGATAATAGATCCAAATAGAATACTTAGCAGGTTTCCCCAAGGACAAGTGGATTCTTACCTTACATCTGCCTGACCAAAGAGATCACTTACAAGACTCTCTCAGAACAGAAGGGTCTCAAAACAAGAGAAGGATCTTAACACACTCCAGTATCCTCATCTGAGTGCAGATGCTGTTTACAGGCCTCTAGCTGGCAGTTTTCCCACTCCATTCAGGCAAAGATCAAGCCACTACTTGAAAACCTATGAATTACCACTCTATGACACCTTCATTGTGTCTATTCCTGATTCTGGTTCTAATCATGCACAAAACTTAAATATATAAAATGTCCAAATCAGCTGGTAAGCTAAATAATTATTGTCATTGCATTTTAGTGATATCACAGTGCCTGTGGTATCTTGTAATTTATGTTTTTTTCAATAGCAACTTGATCATTTTAGTTTGAGGTTGTGTCTCCATAAATAGTTGGGTTGAATATAAGAATAAGTAATTTTTTTTAACTTTCATAATAGGCAGCAACTGAATAATGAATCAATCCCTAAAAGAGAGTCACTCCAGTTATCCTGAAGACTAACTACGTGAGTTTAGTTGACATACGTCAGCCTTCTAAAGCTTGGACACTCCTGGGGTACTGATAAAATGGATCCTATGAAGCTGAAGACCAGTCTTCATATTTATGATGAGCTCCCAAAGCGTGGTCATGGCATGAGGACCTTCCTGGGCCATCATCATCCAGCTTCTCTTTGGCATCTCTTTAGCTATAGTGGCACACAGGTGCCACTTAAGGGGTACTTTTTGCTAAATAACAAGGACCTTGTTATCAAATGTAGCTTAAATGAATATTACTCTCACCTGTAGAAACCCTAAGACTTATTTTCAGCTCTTGGTCACTTGCTGCTGCTATTTTTGGCTATCATTTTTTGAGTTGTTACTAACTGCCAATCTCTGTGATAAGCTACTTTCGTATATTATCTCTAATCTTTAAGAAAATCCTGCGAGGTGGCCATTATTTTCATATTTTAAAGGTAATAACAGGCAAGTTCAGAAAGATGAAATGCCTTGTCTATAGCCACATAGAGGTGACAAAACTGGGATCCAAACGCAAATCTGTCTAGCTCAAACACTTTCTTTTTCTTACTTACGTTCTGAGCATTTCTTGCTGGCTTAACAGAGTATAAATATTAGTAGCCATGTGTATAAATTGGAATCCAATAAAGAGAGATACCACATAGTAATATGAGCAGGGAAAGTGTAATATAAGGAATTATTCACCATAACAGAGAATTGGAGTAAAGAAGAATTATCTAGTAAAAAGTGAAGGAGAGCTCTGATAACTCAATGATAAGAAGACAAATAATTCATTTTTTAAAAAATAGACAAAAGATTTGAACAGATATTTCACCAAAGAAGATATATGAATGACTAATAAGTGCATGAAAAGATGCTCAACATCATCAGTGCCCTGTCTGAAGGCAGCAGTTGCTACTTCACTCCAGTCAACTGCAATGTGGAAATACAGGTATAGAATTGCCAGATCACCTAGTTCTCCCCCCACCAAAAGCTAGAAATTCAGATTTTTATCTAAGATTTTCCTTTTTTCCGTGTTGGAAACAAATTCAAAATATTTCTTAAAACATCACATACTTGAAACAAAGCATATCTACAGGACTGATATGACTTGTTTGTGACTTCCTCCATAGGTTTTCTATCTGGGGAGGGACATGGCAGAAGCAGTATTTTGGGAAGATATTTCTGGCAGCAGTATGTACAGTCTAGACTGAAGAGGAGAAGGTGAAGCCAGGGAAGACTAACAACGAGTCCAGAGATGGAGAGGAACAAACCTGACTGGGGTGGTGGCACAAAGGAGAGCATGTCCTGTTCATCCTTCCCTCCACAAAGCAGCTGGACAAGACCCAACCAGTGATGGGATCTCTGTAGCATCATTTTCCAAAGGAAGCTGGCACATGACAAGTGCTGCCTCCATTTCAAAATCCATTCATGTACCGACATTCGCCTACCCTCTCGGCCTTGATCCCACTCTCCTGAGGTGCCTGAGGGATCTTGCCACTGTGCGCATGGCACTAAGGAACTCTGCCTGCCAGTCCCAGAACTGCTCTTGTCTCACTCTGTTACCTTATGCAAATGGCAGGCATGGGAAGCCTGCTGCTCCATCTGGGAAATCCTCTGGACCACCCAACCTTCCTCTCGGAGAAAGTAAAGGGAGCAATAAGGAAATATTTGCCAAGCCCTGTACAGCCACCTGTTTGCAGAGAGAGGGAGAGTTGCCATATTAATTATTAAGCAGACCTATCTGAGCCAAAGAGAGTCATGGAAACTTCATTATTATGGGTGGTATGTGGCTGTCTTTGGAATATTCTGCTTGCTTGGTTTCTAATTTCCTTTTCTTACATGAGTCTTTCTCCCTCATAAATCTTTGCATCTCAATGTTCTGTTCTCTCCTCCCTTGTGTTCTGAACTAGGAGTTCCCACAAACCCTCTGTGGTTAAATCTACTCCTCTAAACACCACAGGCTCCAGGCAGCATTGTTCATGAAAGCGGGTGACACCCTTTGGCCTCCGCCCTCTAGAAGGGCCTGCTGAGTGAAGGCCCAGTCAGGGAGGGGAGGGATGGAGGGGTGTTGAGGAGATTGAGGTGGGCAGGGAGTCCCCCCACCTCTCCCAGCTGCCCAAGGAAACACTCTCCAACTGTTTCTCTAGAACAAACCAACCAACAAGCGCCAGGAGCCTTCCGTGAATCTGACAGCCGGCTGATCACAGAATCCTCCCAGCAATGGCACTTAGCCCATAACTGGCAGCAAGTGCCCTCTAGAGGGAGTCAGAGGCATCCTCTCTGAGAGGCAAATTCTAATGTCCTGCCTGAATTGGGTACTTAGAGGGGCTTAGCAAATGATGCCAATTGGGGGGAAAAAAAGGAAAGAAAAGAGAAGCGGGGCAACTGGTGTCTTCATCACTAAAAGACAGAGAGAAGCCTTCCTTTGGTATCAAGAGGAGTCTAACAGACTGTGCCATTCAAATTAGGCTACATTTCTGTGGCAGAAGCAGTGCACATGGCAGAACTAGCGGTGGGGTATGAGTGTGGTGGGCTCCACGGGCTCACTCTGAGAATCTGTCTCTAGCACACAAGGTGCCAGGCCTTAATTTGGTCTCCCTGTTGCTCCTGCTTCTGAAATGTGTTGAAGCAGATACAGCTGTTTAAACTGGCATCCCTGTTTATCTGTGTGTTCCCAGTGTCTAGTATTTAAACACCTGAACTGAATTTAAATTGCCATCAGCTTGTTAACTGCAAAATAATAGAACGATTTCAAGAAGATGGTGGTAGGGGCTGTATTTCGACCACTCTGCTTTCTCATACAGACACCTCGCTCCCCAGGCCTTCTGCCAGATATCAAAAGTAGAGGGTATGTGCTGGGCCTGGTTTTTTTATGCCCTGAGGATCAACATAGTGTAGTGAGAAAATCCTGGCTTTTGGAGTCAGCCCCGACTGGATTTCAATATGAGCCCCTCACTTACTAGTTGTGGGAATGGTAGACGTTTTTAAACTTTCTGCACATCAGTTTGCCCATCTTTAAAATGAAAGTATTAGTACTTATCTCAGAATCTATATGCTTTATTTAACATAATATAAATGATTTAAATCACACATAGACATTTAATAACATGGAAAATGTATGACATATTAAGTAAAAAAAAAGGTGGTTATGGAACATTGTTATAGACTGAAATAACACCATTGTGTGGCTGCCCCAAGTTTTCTGTGGTGTTTGGGTCCACTGCTACCACATACACGTCGCACCATGTTGGAAATACATGGATTCAACTAGTACATGGGTCCCTATTCACTTCTGCTGGTTTTCATCGAGACCACTGCCTCCTGATTTCTATTGCTCTCCAGGGAGGAATCTCTGTATCTTTTACCGTCACCACCTGCTCACTTTTGTCCTCACAAAAGCATCCTTTGGGGGTTGGCATTCCATGCCTGAGAGTAAGGAATACTGGTAAGCTGATGAGAAGAGCTTTACACTTTACAGTTTCAGGTTTTCTACACATATGGACCAAAGGGAATTAATCTCACCTAAGAAGCAAAAGACTCAACACTGTCACAAATTAATATTTAACCAGTAATTATCTCTTCTATAAAATGATAGAAAAATGTATTGAAATGGGCTTCCTGATGCCCTGCTGTACTCTGTTGACAATAAAAACTGATTCAAGCCTTTGGAAAACTATCCATCAAGAGCACTGAAAATGGCATACCTGGGTGGGCACAGTTACTCATGCCTGTAATCTCAACACTTTGGGAGGCTGAGGCAGGAGAATTGCTTGAGCCCAGGAGTTTGAGACCAGTCTGGGCAACATAGCAAGACTCTGCCTCTAGAAAAAGAAAAAAAATTAGCCAGGCATGGTGGCATGTGTCTGTAGTCCCAACTACTTGGGAGACTCAGGCAGGAGGATTGCTTAAGCCAAGGAATATGAGGCTGCAGTGAGCTATGATCATGTTACTGCAACCCAGCCTGGGTGTCAGAGTGAGACCGTCTCAACAACAACAACAACAAAAATCAAATTCTGGGCCGGGTGCAGTGGCTCATGCCTGTAATCCCAGTACTTTGGGAGGCTGAGGTGGGCGGATCACGAGGTCAGGAGATCGAGACCATCCTGGCTAATATGGTGAAACCCCGTCTCTACTAAAAATACAAAAAATAAGCAGGGCATGGTGGCGGGCACCTGTAGTCCCAGCTACTCGGGAGGCTGAGGCAGGAGAATGGCACGAACCTGGGAGGTGGAGCTTGCAGTGAGCCGAGATCGCACCACTGCACTCCAGCCTGAGCAACAGAGCAAGACTCTGTCTCAAAAAAAAAAAAAAAAAAAATCATACTCTGCAAACCAGAATTCTACACCTGGGAATCTATCCTAAGAAAATAATTTAGAATACATAAAAACCTTTATTGCACAAAGATATTTATTGTAGCACTACTTAAACTAGTGAAAAACTAGAAAAAACTACTAGAAAAAGTATTAATTGTTCAAGGGATAAGTATATTATGATACACCCAAAGATTAAAACCATTACTTACAGTTACGGCAAGTGGTCTCCAAAGATGGCTGCCAACATTGTTAGCGATGTTTTTCTTTCTACTTGAATAATCACCTCATTCTAAAAGAAGAATAATTTTGAATTTGGAAAAAATAAACTTTATTATTTCAGAAAGAGTTTGGGTTAGGTAATCTCTAAAATCACTTGTCACAGGTTGGGTTCTTTGGAGGCAGATATTGAGTTGAAGTTTGGGTGTAAGATGTTTATTCAGGATCAACACCTGTGAAAGGAAGAAGGCAGAGGGAGGATTAAGCAGAGGAAGAAGTTAAACTGCAGTACAGACCTGAGGGAGCTTTAGAACAAACACTACCAACAAGGGTGTCCTACATTGGGTCAAAATGGCCTGGCTTTTATATTCTCACCTCACTTAGACACCAAATACACTCAAAAGGTCATGACCTGAGGTGAAGTGCTTTCTGTGATGAGACCAAATCTGAGGGAGCTACAGCTAGAGGACGTGTGCTCATTACACTCCCCACAGCTGGGGCTATAAGTCTTTCCTGGGAAGGAGATCTGAGTGGGGCCTTTCCATGTCTGTTACCTCCCTCCTAGGTCCGTGTTCTTGTGCTCCAATTTCATATGCTTATTTGTTGAACAAACACATTAGCAATAATAATATAATCTTACGTAGCACTTTTATAATGCTTTCATGTATGGCATGCTTCCCTAATTCACAGTACTGAACCAAGGAGTCTGAAGGCTATTTTTTTAAAGTACTGTACAGATTTTTAATGACATTTGCTTTCACCACACTTCAGTAAGACCATTTCATCAGTGTAGTTAAAATTGTGAAACACGTAACATTTGTGCTGCTTCTTCTCAACATATCACTCTCCCCCTCCTAGCAACTCTTCTCCCTTTCCCTGTCAGACAGTTATTGCTCTAATATTGGTAAAAGTCTCTTTGCTCATTGTAGCATCCTACCCCAAATGCTCCTTCAGGTAGCTCACTCTCTTTTCTACAACTAAACTTCAACTGGCTGAAATTAGAAAATGACCAATACATTTATGCATACATGTTCTATGACTAACGACCATGTGCTATTCTTTTAAACATGTCCTTTTTGCTTTTCAAAAGTAATTTCTGGATATAACACCAAAAGCACCGGCAACAGAAGAAAAAAATGGTGAATTGAACTTCAAAATTAAAAACTTGTGTCTCAAAGGACACTATTTTAACAGAGTGAAAAGGCAACTCACAGAATGGCAGAAATATTTGCAAGTCATATATAAAGTACTTGATAAGAGATTGATACCTGGACTATATAAAGAGCTCCTGCAACTCAACAACAAAACACTCACACAACCCAATTCAACACTGGGCAAGGGACTTGAATAGACATTTCTCCAAAAAAGATATACAAATGGCCAAAAATCACATGAAAAGAAGCTCAGCATCGCTAATCATTAGGAAAATAGCTAATCAAAGCCAACGAGATACCACATCATACCCATTAGGATGGCTGTTATTAAAAAAAAAAAAAAAAAAAAACAAGAAAATAACAAGTGTTGACAAGGACGTAGAATAACTGGAGGCCTTGTGCATTGCTGGTGGGAATGTGAAATGGTGTAGCCACTGTGGAAAACATTATGGTTGCTCCTTTAAAAAGTTAAACATAGAATTACCACATGATCCAGCAATCCCACTTCTGGGTATGTACCCAAAAGAATAGAAAACAAGAACTCAGTCATTTGTACACCCATGTTCATGGCAACATTACTTACAACAGCCAAAAGATAGGAAAAAAATCCCAAATGTCCATCAACAAAATGTGATATGTACACACAGCAGAATATTATTCTGCCTTAAAAGGGAAATAAATTCTGATACATGCTACAGCATGGATGAAACTTGAAGACATTCTGCTACATGAAATAATCTAAACACAAAAGGACAAATATTATATGATTGCACTTATATGAGATACCTAGAGTAGTCAAACTCATAAAGACAGAACACAGAAAGGCGGCTTCCAGGGTCTGAGGGAGGAAGGAGTCGGTGGTTCTTGTTTGATATGATGGAAATTTCTGGAGATGGATGGTGGTGCCAGTTGCACAGCATGGTGGAGGTATTTAATATCACTAAACTTTACTTTCCAAAATGGTTAAAATGGTAAATTTGATGTTATGTATATTTTACCACAATTTTTTTTAAGTGATTCCCACTGACTGGCAAGGCTGTAAGGCCATTGGTGTATAAGCTCTTTGAAAGCATGGGCTACATGGCATGTTACCCAGAATTTGAAATCAGACAGACATGAGTCCTAGTCCTCTCTCTACTAATACATGTTAGCAATGAGAATTTGAGTAACATATGCCAACTTCCCAAGCCATAATTTCCTTATCTCTAAAGTGGAGTTTATTATAACTATCAGAATGGTCTCTGTCTGTCCAGTATCCATTTTCCTTTCACATAATAGGATGCCAAATCACCCTAGAGAGCTACCCTTTCTTCACCCTTCGCCCATAAGGTTTAATTGTCTGAGTCCACTCTAGAAATTAAAGAGGGCAGCTGGGCACAGTGGCTCACGCCTGTAATCCCAGCACTTTGGGAGGCCAAGGTGAGTGGATCACGAGGTCAGAAGTTCAAGATCAGCATAACCAACATATTGAAACCCTGTCTCTACTAAAAATACAAAAATTAGCCAGGTGTGGTGGTGTGCACCTGTAATCTCAGCTACTCAGGAGGCTGCGGCAGGAGAATCACTTGAACCCGGGAGGCAGAGGTTGCAGTGAGCCAAGATCACGCCACTGCACTCCAGCCTGGTGACAGACTCCGTCTCAAAAAATATATAAATAAATTTTTTAAAAAAGTAAAGAGGACATATGATCTAGGTTTAGTCAATCAGTGTATTTCCTCCCTCTGGGCACAGCCATTGGTTTGGGAATGGGCTTGAGATCTGAGAAAGTTCAACAGAGGTAATCCCAAAACTTTTGCTGGAGCAGCTAGAAAGAATTTTTCTCTTTTGACAAGGGCTGCCAACAAGATAGAAGGTAATTGTGGAGGTACTGGGAGCCACTAATGACTATGAAGGGAAAGCCTACCAGAGAATAAAGAAGACACAGGAAAAATAGAGCCAAGAGATGGAGAGTGAGATAGCATCAAGATAGGATCATCTAGTTCCTGGATCCAGCAGCACCTGAAGTCCACATCTGTATATTTTGGATATATGAGCCAATACATTTGATTTTTTGTTTGTTTTATGTCATTAAGTTGTCTTTTTATCTTTTGCAACCAGAAAAATCCTGACTAACACACTTACCTTTCTTTGTTACTGGAGGAAGTAAATGTAATAATTATACAGCAGCCTGGCACATTGTACTCTGTCCTATTCACCTCTGAATCCCACCCAGAACACGGTAAATGCCCAACAAATTTTGCTGGACGAGAACACAAAATTGGGAATTGTGTGTCTTACCTGCATTGTGCAAACTCAGAGTATGAGCATAAACCTAGCAAAGCATTGTGCTTCCCTGGGTAGTGAGTTCCTTCTTTCACGAAGCTGAAACTGGCATGATGTGCTGGCAGACTAACACTCTACCAGTATAGGGTCATCACTTCAGAATAATTAAATTGAACACTTATTTAGTGCTTACTATGAGCAAAGCACTGATGAAAAGAACGGTGAACACAAACAGACAAATGGAATCAAACACAAAATAAAGTTTATTAGAGACGATCACCTGCCATGGTTTGAATGTATCATTCAAAGTTCACATATTGCAACTTAATCCCCAGTTGAACTATGTTGAGAGGTGAGATCTTTAAGAGGTGATTAAGTCATGAGTGCTTTGCTCTAACTGACAGATTAATGTCATTAGGAGTAGGTTCCTGATATAAAGGAACTTTCCTCTCCTGCTCTCTCTTGCCCTTCAGCCTTCCACCAGGGGATGATGCAGCACAAAGGCTCTTCCCAGATGCCAGTGTCTTGATACTGGACTTCCCAGCCTACACAACTGTGAGAAATAAATTCCCTGTCTTTATAAATTAACCAGTATGTGGCATTCTGTAATACCAACCTAAAGGAGACCAAGACAGCACCTAAAGGATTGGAGTGTAGTAAATGGAAGTCTGTCACTCTGCCTATGGGACCAGGAAAGGCATTTCTCAGGAAAGGTGGCCTCGAAAATGAGCTGGGTCTCGAAAATTAGTATGCACATACACTAACATTGCCTAGGAAAAGAATACCTATGAGCAGATATAGCCTGTCCTGTTTTAGGATTGCAGGAGAGTGGGCTCATTTAGCACTCCTATATAAATTAGCCTCTGAAAGGGGCTTGAGAAATTAGGCATTAGTTTATTTTAGTTTGTTTTTTCCACCAATTCTACCCACTTCCTCCTTTGGGGAAAAAAAAATCTTCCCCTATAACAAACAATATAATGTTAGTTAAAAAATCATATCAAAGTATGTCGCTTGTAATTATTTGAAAAATAGTTTAATAAACTAAGCTCTGCAGTTGGAGGAGGGATATGGATTGCTTTCCAGGTAATTTAAGGGATCCTGAGCACATAGCTATAACACAGCTGTTTCTAGGGCTCAGGGAGAACTAGCCTTTCCAAGACCAATGTCCCATTGGTTTATCCTGCCAAAAGCTCTGGGCTTGTCCATGAAGCAGTGACTGTGGGGTTAGATGAGTAACAGTGGATTGGATCCTTAAAATCACCACATCTCACCTTGAATGAGCCATAGTTGCAGAAAGAGTATTTCATTAAGGAAAAAGTCATATTTCCTACCAAAGAGGTAGAGTGATTTCATGGATTTAAAACCACAAGGTACTAAAATAACATCTGACAGGAAGGTAGAGAGGGCTCCTGAACCTAGAAATACTTGGACTGAGAGTCTGAGTGTCTTGATGTAATAATGTTGCCATTTTCTCTTATTAGTCTAGTTACCAGCAAACTATGGATCCCTCAAAAATCAATTCAGTACCATATGACCTGCCAATTCTACTCCTAGGTATGTACCCAAGAGAACTGAAAACATGTTCCTAAAAGACTTGTACACAGATGTTCATAGCAGCATTGTTCATAATAGCCTTTATTCACATAGCATTATATAATGCTATGTGAATGCTATGTGAATAGCATAGAATAGTGTGTTACGTGAATAGCATTATTCACATAGCACATTATTCACAACGTCTATCAACAGATAAATGGATAAATAAAATATATATTATACTGTGGAATATTACTCTGTCATAAAAATGAAGCACTGATTCATGCTACAACACAAATAAAGCTTAAAAACATTATGCTAAATGAAAGAAGTCAGACACAAAATGCATATATCGGATGATTCCATTTATATGAAATGCCTAGAATTAGGGAATCCATAGCGACAGAAAGTAGCTTACTGGTTGCTAGGGGTTCAGGGGAGGGAAGAATGAAGAGTGAGTGCAAATGGGCTTGGGGTAACAAATGAGTTCTGGAATTAGATAGTGGTGATGATTGTGCAATTTTGTGAACATACTAAAAATCAGTGAATTGTAGTCTTCAAAAGGGTGAATTTTATGGTACATGAACTTTAGCTCATTTAACATACAAAACAATTCAGACAGATCCAACTTCATGAAGATGTCCCTGAGCCTCATGGTTAGAACTAACCAGTCCCTCCTGTGCACAACCTTTAGAGCACACTGTTATTGTGGACTAATGCAATTTTTCATGTATGCCAGCCTCCTCTGATAATAGTAAGCTCTTCAGAAGCAGGATTATGTCTTGTCCATGTCCGTATCCTCAACTGGGCACAGTGCTTGAAATTCAGCACATATTCAATAAATATATGTTGAATTGAAGATATTTTCCAAGACTTTTACAATCTGCAGTAATACTGAGCAATCCATTTATAAATATAATAAATAGTACATATAAACTGTGTGTAAGTTTTTTGTGATATAAAAATGAAAGAGGCATAGTCTCTACCTTTGAGGAACTTATATATTTTTGACAAAAATAAGTAGACTTAAATACCTACAAAGCAAGGAAGAAAATAAGTGCTATGTAAACGGCATAATGATCGACACCTAATAGTTCAAAGAAGTAAAAATTACTACCTGAGTGTGATGGGGAAGATTTTTTTAAAAGATAGTTGTATAAAAGTGAGCTTTAGGGATGTAACAAGATGTTAAAAGGAAAGCTTCAGCTAAGGCACATTCTAGAGCTATGTGTTGGACCAAAATGCAAACACTTTCAAAGTAGGTGGTAAAAAGGGGTGGAAGGGTTGGTAACTCTTTTTTTATTATTTTTTTCTTTGAGATGGAGTCTCTCTCTGTCATCAGACTGGAGTGTAGTGGCGTGGTCTCAGCTCCATGCAACCTCCTTCTCCTGGGTTCAAGCGATTCTCCTGCCTCAGCTTCCAAGTAGCTGAGACTACAGGCGCGTGCCACCACACCTGGCTAATTTTTGTATTTTCAGTAGAGACGGGGTTTCACCATGTTGGCCAGGATGGTCTCGATCTCTTGACCCCATGATCTGCCAGCCTCGACCCCCCAAAGTGCTGGGATTACAGGCGTGAGCCACCGTGCCTAGCCCTGGGTTGGTAACTCTTAAATGATTACCCACACTGATGGCGTAAAGGGATGCTGAATTGGAGATCAGGAAGACTTTTGAAAAGGATTTCTTTGGAGGGAAGTATTGGGTTCCAAGAATTCTATCCTTCTCATTATGGGGGAAAAAGGGGAGAGAAGAAGAGAGGAAAGGACAGGAGAGGAGAGGAGAAAGGGGGAGAAAGAGGGTGGGGGTGGGAAGGAGGGATATCTGCTCCTTAAATCAAACCAAAGGACAGAACTTTTATGGAACCATCCGTGGAGCTTAATATGTGTCTTCTAAAGTTTGAGGGACACAGGGGACTTCTGACTGGTTCATGCTTGAGAAATCTAAATCCAGAGTGCTGAGTTATGGGGAAGGGGCTGCATTCCCAGAGTTTTCCTGGACAAACATGTTTCCTATGGACCAGATGTGGCCCATGAGGGAAAGGGAGTTGTGTGGTGTTGCTTAGCCCGTGTTTATAATGACCTCCTGCAGGAGTGAGGAGCCTCAATACAGGAAAGCTGGAGATGAACTGCTGCTGGATACCTAAGGCTGCAGAAAGGTGGGGAAAAGGAAGAGTCTCAGAGCAACCCATGAAAATCCCTTAAAAGAGCAATCAGCTTTAAACATCTGCAAAGGCCAGAGAGCACCAACTTGATCACCTGCACAGCACCAGTCAACTAAGAACTTTGCTAGTACTCCTTCATTGATCTCCCTTCCTAAGCTCCAGATCCTAGAGTGGTCAGAATCAGCTTTAGAAAGATGGTAAAAGGAGAAGAATCATGAGATTATCCCCTAACCCACTTTCAAATTTCAGACTTCTAGCCTGTGGCCAGTACAAACTGGAGGAGAGGAGGAGAAACTTCAAGGTTAAGAATTATCATTCTTACCTATGACTGCCATTTTAATTCCTGATTTCCACCATGTTTTGTGACTTTAAAAATGGCTGAGTACCTTTAATATCTCTGAGGGGCAACCTCTGTTTTTTCCTAGGGTCAAGGAGAACAGCCCCTCAGTGGAGATGTAAAGAGACAGTCAAAAATGAATTTGCTTTAAGATTCCATTCTACCAGTTGTGTTTGTTTCATATAAACATTACAGATAGAAATAGGAAAATGGGTCTTGATAAAAGGAATCGAGGTAGCCAGATCCAAGGTCTATTTGGAAAAGGACACATAGAGAAAAACATCTATCTCTGGGATGGAAATAGTGGAAAATGTAGACGGGAAGCTGATTTAAAGGGCCTCCAGTACCAAACTGAAGGGTCATTTAAATACTGGAGTATAATTTCAGTGTATTTTGGTATTTCAGTATGTTTTGTATTGACATATTTTCAGTACTTGAGATCAGTAAAACTAAGTATTCAATACTTGTAATTATTTATTTCTTTACTTTAATTGACCAGTAAAAATTGTATGTATTTGTGGTATACAACAACATGATGTTTTAATATGTGTATACATTGTGAAATGGATAAATCAAGCTAATTAACCATCATCTAAATATCTATAATCTAAGATACTTTTTTTATGGTGAGAATATTTAAAATCTACTCTCAGCAATTTTCAAATATATAATATATTGTCATTAACTATAGTCAACAAAGTGAACAATATATCTTCTGAACTTACTCCTCCTGTCTACCTGAAATTTTGTGTCATTTGACTAATATCTCCCCAATCCTCCCATCCCTCAGCCTCTGGTAAGTACCACTTTATTCCTTATTTCTGTTAAGTTTGAGGTTTTTGTTTTTTTTTTTTAAAGAGATGGGGTCTCACTATGTTGCCCAGGCTGGAGTGCTTATCCTACCACTGATAAGCATGGGATATTTGACCTGCTCCATTTCTGACCTGGGCTGGTTCACCCCTCCTTAGAAAACCTAGCGGTCCCCTGCTCTCAAAAAGGTCACCTACTACTGATGCTGAACTTAGTGCAGACACCCTATTGGCATAGCACACTACAGCCCAGAACTCCTGGACTTAAGCAATCATCCTGCCTCAGCCCCTGGAGTAGATGGACTACAGGCATGTGCCACTTAACCACTGGCTAAGTTTGAGTTTTTAAATACTCCACATACGAGATTATGTGGTATTTGTCATTCTGTGCCTGACTTATTTCACTTAACAAAATGTCCTCCAAGTTCATCCATGTTGTCATAAATGAGAGGATTTTTTTTATTTTCTAAGGCTGATTAGTATTCCATTATGTACATATAACACATTTTCTTTATCCAGTCATCCTTTGATGGACACTTAGGTTGTTCCATATCTTGAACATTGTGAATAATGCTACAGTGAACATGGGATTGTAGGTGTCCCTTCAACATACAGATTTTATTTCTTTTGGATATAGACCCAGGAGTGGGATTGCAGGATCATATGGTACTGTAGTCCAATTTTTAATTTTTTGAGGAAGCTTCATACTGCTTTCTGTAATGGCTGTACCAATTTACATGCCCACCAACAGTGTACAAGGGTTTCCTTTTCTTCACATCCTCAACACTTATCTTTCATCTTTTTTGATAGTAGTCATTCTAACAAGTGTGATATATCTCATTGTGGTTTTGATTTGCGTTTCCCTGGTGATTAGTGGTTTTTGTTTTTTGTTTTTTGTTTTTTGTTTTGAGACGAGGTCTCGGTCTGTCACCCAGGCTGGAGTGCAGTGGTGTGATCTTGGCTCACTGCAACCTCTGCCTCCTGGGTTCAAGGGATTCTTCTGCTTCAGTCTCCCGAGTAGCTGGGACTACAGGTGCCCGCCACCACACCCAGCTAATTTTTGTATTTTTAGTAGAGACGGGGTTTCACCGTATTGGCCACACTGTTCTCAAGCTCCTGACTTGTGATCCACCCACCTCAGACTCCCAAAGTGTTGGGATTACAGGCGTGAGCCACAACGCCCAGCCTGATTGGTGTTATTGAGCATTTTTTCATATACTATTGGATATCTATATGTCTTCCTTTGAAAAATGTCTATTCAGGTCCCTTGCCCATTTTTTATTTGGGTTATTTGTTTTCTTACTATTGAGTTGTTTGAGTTGCTTTTATATTTTGTATTTTTTTGTATTTTTTTTGCTTTGTATTTGTTGCTTTTATATTTTATATTTTGTACCTCTTATTGGATGTATGGCTTGCAAATATATTCTGTCATTCTATATGTTGTCTCTTCACTCTGTTGATTGTTTCCTTTGCTATGTAGAAGTTTTTTAGTTTGATGTAATTTCATCTGTCTACTTTCACTTTTGTTGCTTTTGCTTTTGGGGTCATATCAAAATAATCTTTGCCCAGACCAATGTCATGGAGATTTTGGTCTGCTGATTTTACAGTCTCAAGTTTTACATTTAAGATTTTAATTCATTTTGAGTTAATTTTGTATAAATATATGGTGTGAGATGAGGGTCTAATTTTATTCTTCTGCATGTGGATATCCAGTTTCCCTAGCACCATTTATTGAAGAAGATATTCTTTCTCCATTTTGTGTTCTTGGCAACTTTGTCAAAAATCAATTGACTATAAATGCATGGATTTATTTTTGAGCTCTCTATTCCATTTCATTGGTCTATGTGTCTGTTTTTATACCAGCACAATACACTTTTGATTCTTCTAGTTTGGTAGTAAATTTTCAAAGCAAGTAGTGTGATGCCTCTGGCTTTGTTCGTTTTGCTCAGAATTGGTTTGGCTATTTGGGGTCTTGGGGTCTTGGGGTCTTTTATGGTTCCATATACATTTTAGGTTTTTTTCCTATTTCTGTGAAAAATGTCATTAAAATTTTAATAGAGATTGCACTGAATCTGTGGATTGCTTTGGGTGGTGTCTTCATCCATTTGTGTTGCTATAAAGGAATACCTGAGGCTGGTAATTTATGAAGAAAAGAGGTTTATTTGGCTCATAGTTCTGCAGGCTGTACAAGAAGCATAGTGATAACATCTGCTTCTGATGAGGGCATCCGGATGCTTTCATTCATGGTTGAAGGTGAAGAGGAGCCAGTGTGTGCAGACATCACATGGCAAGAGAGGAAGCAAGAGAGAGAGGCAGGAGGCGACAGCCTCTTTTTCACAATTAGCTCTTATGGGAACTAACAGAGTGAGAATGCACTCACTGTTTGCCTATAACATGATCTTATATCCCCATAGGGAGGGCATTAATCTATTCCTGAGGGATCTACCCTCATGACCCAAACACCTCCCATTAGGCCCCACCTCCATCTTTGGGGATTAAATTTCAACATGAGATTTGGAGGAGACAAACACTCAAACTCTAGCAGGCAGTATAGAATTAATAATATTAATTCTTCCAATCCATGAACACAGAATATCTTTTCATTTATTTGTGTTTTCTTCTGTTTCTTTCATCAATGTTATATAATTTTCAGTGTACAGGTATTTCACCTCCTTAGTTAAATTTATTCCAAAGTATTTTATCTTTTCTAGCTATTGTAAATGGGATTGTTTTCTTGATTTCTTTTTTTGAATAGTTTGTTATTAGTGTATAGAAACCTGCTGACTTTTGTATGTTGATTTTGTATCCTGCAACTTTACTGAATTTGTTTACTAGTTCTAACAGTTTTTAGTAGTCTTCAAGGTTTTCTTTATATAAGATCATATCACATGTAAACAGAGACAATTTAACTTATTTTTTCCCAATTTGGATACATTTTATTTCTTTTTCTTGCCTAGTTGCTCTGACTAGGACTTCTAGTACCATATTGAATAAAAGTGGTGAGAGTGGGCATCCCTGTCTTAGTCCTGATCTTAGAGAAAAAGCTTTCAACTTCTCACCATTGAATATGTTATCTACAGGATTATTGTATATGATCTTTATTGTATTGAGGTACATTCCTTCTATTTCTAATTTGTTGAATGTTTTTTTATCATAAAGCGATATTGAATTTTGTCAAATTCCTTTTCTGCATCTATTGAGATGATCATTATGGTTTTTATCCTTCATCTGTTATTGATTCATATATGTTGAACCCTTCCTGCATCCCAGGGATAAATCCCACTTTATCATGGTAAATGATCCTTTTATTTATTTATTTATTTGAGATAGAGTCTTGCTCTGTCACCCAGGCTGGAGTGCAGTGGCGCGATCTTGGCTCACTGCAACCTCCCTCTCCCAGGTTCAAGTGATTCTTCTGCCTCAGCCTCCCAAGTAGCTGGGAGTACAGGCATGGGCCACCACGCCCAGCTACTTTTTTGTATTTTTAGTAGAGACAGGGTTTTAACATGTTGGCCAGTCTGGTCTCAAACTCCTGACCTCGGGTGATCCACCAGCTTTGGCCTCCCAAAGTGATTAATGATCCTTTTAACATGCTGCTGAATTCAGTTTGCCAGTATTTTGTTGAGAACTTTTATAACTATGCTCAGCAGGGATATTGGCTTGTAACTTTTTTTCTCGTGGTGGTCTTGTCTGACTTTGGTATCAGGGTATTGCTGGCCTTGTAAAATGACTCTGGAAGTTGTCCCTCTGTCATAGTCTGTTCAGGCTCCTATAGCAAAATACCTTAGACTGGGTGATTAATAAACAATAGAAATGTATTGCTTATAGTTCTGGATGCTAGGAAGTCCAAAATCAAGATGTCAGCAGACTTGATGTCTGGTAAGAACTTGCTCTGCTTTAAAGATGGTGCCTTTTGTCACATTCTCATATGGCAGAAGGGGCAAACATGATCCCTTCATCTCTTTTATAAGGGCACTACTTCCACTCACAAGAGCAGAGCCCTCATGACTTAACCACGTCCCCAAAGGCCCTACCTCTTAATACTATCACATTGGGATTACATTTAAAGGTATAAATTTTCAGGGAAGCCAACATTCAGACCATAGCACCCTTCTATTTAATTTTTTGGACGAGTTTGAAAAGGATTGTTATTAGTTCTTCTATAAATGTTAAGTAAAATTCAGCAATGAAGCCATCAGGTTTTGGGCTTTTCTTTAATGGAAGACTTTTTATTACTGATTCAATCTCCTTACTCATTATTCTGTTCAGATTTTCTATTTCCTCAAGATTTAGTCTTAATAGGTTATATATGTCCAATAATTATCAATTTTTTCTAGGTTATACCATTTGTAGGCATATAATTGCACATAGCAGTCTCTTATGATACTGTGTATTTCTATGGTATAATATCAATTGTAATGTCTCCTCTTTTATTCCTAATTCTATTTATTTGAGTCTTTTTATCTTAGCTAGTCTAGCTAATGGTTTGTTAGTTTCTTTTCTGTTTGCAAAAAACCAGCTCTTAGTTTATCTTTTCCATTGTTTTCTAGTCTCTATTTCATTTATTTCTGATCTGATCATTTCCTTCCTTTTACTAATTTTGGGATTGGTTTATTCTTTTTCTTTGTAGTTCCTTGAGGTGTAACATTAGGTTATGTATTTCTTCTTTTTTGATGTAGGCATTTATTGCCATAAAAGTCCCTCTTTGAACTGCTTTTGCTGTATCTATAAATTTTGGTATATTGCATGTCCATTTTCATTTGTCTCGAGATATTTTTCAATTTCTATTTTAATTTCTTCTTTGACCAATTGGTTATTTAGAAGCATGTTGCTTAATTTCCACATATTTGTGAATTTTCTGAAATTTCTTCTCTTACTGATTTCTAGTTTCATACCATTGTCATTGGAAAAGCTACTTGATATGCTTCTATCCTCTTAAATTTGCTAAGACATGTTTTATAGCCAAACATATGATCTATCCTGGAGAATATTGCAATGCACTTGAGAAGAATGTGTGTTCTGCTGCTATTGTACGGAATATTCTATAAACATCTATTAGGTCCATTTGGTCTAAAGTGTAGTTCAAGTTCAATGTTTCCTTATTGATTTTCTGCCTGGATGATCTATCCATTGTTGAAAGTAGGGTATTTAAGTCCCCTGCTATTACTGTATTGCAATCCATCTCTCTCTTCAGATTTATTAATATATTTGCCTTATATATTTAGGTGCTCCAATGTTGGAACATACATATTTACAATTGTTACATATTTGATGACCGTTTTATTATTGTATATTGACTTTCATTGTCTCCTTTTACAGCTTTTGACTTAAAGTCTATTTTATCTGATATAAGTATAGCTACTCTCACTCTCTTTTGGCTTCCATTCGCATGGAATATTTTTTTCCATCCCTTTACTTTCAATTCATGTGTGTCCTTACAGGTGAAGTGAGTTTCTTGTAGGGTGTGTATATTTGGTCTTCTTTTCTTATCCATTCAGCCACTCTATGTCTTTTGATTGGGTAATTTACTCCATTTACATTCAAGGTAATTAACGATAGGTAAAAACTTACTACTTCCATTTTATTAATTGTTTTCTGGTTGTTTTATAGATCCTTTGTTTCTTTTTTCTCCCTTGATGTCTTCTTTTGTGATTAGATGATTTTCTCCAATGGTATGCTTTGATTCCTTTTTATCTTTTATGTATCTACTATAATTTTTTGCTTTGTGGCTACCAAGAGGCTTACATAAAACATCTTATAGTCATAACAGGCAATTTTAAGCTAATAAGAAGTTAATGTTAACTACATAAAATAACTACACTTTTACTTTATCCACTCCCACATTCTGTTTTTGAGGTCACAATTTACATTTTTTATACTGTATATCCCTTAAAAATTATTGTGACTATTATTATTTTTAATACTTGTTTTTTAACATTCATACTAAAGATATAAGTGATTTACATACCACCATCACAGTTTTATAGTGTTCTGAATTTGACTGTGTACTTAATTTTACCAGTAAGCTTTATTCTTTCATATGTTGTGTTACTATTAATAATTAGCATCCTTTTTGCTCTGCATGAAGAATTCCCTTTAGCATTTCCTGTAAGACAGATCATGTGGAATGAACTCACTCAGCTTTTGTTTACCTGGAAAAGTTTTCATCATTCTTTTATTTCTGAAGGACAGCTTTGCTGGGTATAGTATTTTTGGTTGATAGGGTTTTTTTTTCCCTTCAGCACTTTTAATATATTATCCCAATATTTCTTGGCCTGCAGTGTTTCTGCTGAGGAATCCACTGATAGACTTTTAGGAATTCCTTTATAGATGATTTGCTTCTTTCCTCTTCCTGTTTTCAGTGTCTTCTTTTTATTTTTGATTTTTGACAGTTTGATTGTAATATGTCTTGCAGTCTTGTTTGGCTTGAGTCTAATCAGAGTCCTTTGACCTTCCTGTACCTGGATATTTCTTTCTCAGATTTAATTTATTTTCTGTTATTATTTCTTTAAATAAACATAAATTTCTCTCTCTCTTTCTTCTACTTTAACTCCTATAACTTGAACATTTGCTTTTTTGATACTGTTCCATAAATCCCATAAGCTTTCATCATTCCTTTTCATTCTTTTTTCCTTTTTCTCTTCTTGTTGCATATTTTCAAATAATTGTCTTTGAGTTTGGAGGTTCTTTCTTCTGTTTATCAATTCTGCTGTCAATGCTCTCTATTGCATTTTATAATTTAATTCATTGTATTTTTCAGCTCCAGAATTTGGTTACTTTTTCATAATTTCAATCTCTGTTAAATTTCTTGTTTTGGTCATTTATTGTTTTCTTGATTTCAATGAATTATTTCTCTGTATTTTATTGAAGTTTGCTATACAACTATTATTTTGAATTATTTATCAGGCAGTTTATATATCTCCATTTCTTTAGTGTCAGTTACTCATGTTTTATTTTCTTCCATTGGTGATGACATGTTTCTCTGATTATTCTTGATCTTTGTGGCCATTTGCTGGTGTCTGCTTATTTTAAGAAGTGGAGACTTATTCCAGTCTTTGCAAACTAGGTTTGTTTGGGAAATCCTTCACCAGTCAGCATGTCCAGAGATTCTGGGCAGTCCATCTAGCGTGGCCTGTTGGCGTACTTGCTGCTGGTGTCCTTGGGTGAGTGGGCCTTGTGCCTGGGTTCGCAAGTGGGAAGACCTGGTGCCTGGGTTCATAAGATTGAGCTTGGATCCTGGATCCACTGAGGTAGATGTATTGATTGGGTCTGCAGAGGTGAGCCTGGAGCCTAGGTCCAAGGGCAGATCTAGAGCCTATATCCATTGGGGGTGGCCTGAAGCCTGGTTCCATAGTAGCTGATCTGAAACTAGGGTGAGCCTTAAGCCTGAGTCTGTAGGGGCTGGCTAGGCCATGGAATGGGTCGGAGACTGGGTCCACTAGGATAAGCCCAGAGCCTGTGTCCATGGGGACTGACCTGACACTGGGGTAGACCTGTATCCTGAGTTCATGGAGTTTTGGGTCTATGGGGGCTGGCCTAGAACCTGGGTATTTAGGAGTAGTCCTGGAACCTAGGTCCATGAGGGTCAGCTTAGCACTGAGGTCAGCTGGGACAAATCTGGCCCTTACATCTGCTGGAACATGGGACTGCAGGGGCCAGCCTGGAGTGTGGGGCCACAGGGATCAGCCTGGCACTAGGCAGGACTGAAACCTGTGTCTGTGGTATCAGCCTTGTGCCTGAGATGTACTGACCTGGCACTGAGATGGGCCTAAGGCATCAGGCTGTGTGGGCTGATGTGGCTTTGGGCTGACCTTAAACTAGCGCGGGCCTGTAGCTTGGAGCTGCAGGAGCTAGCCTTATCCTGGGCAGGCCTGGAACCTATATCTGCAGGCCAGCCTGAAGGCTGAGTGCTGGCCTGATGATTAGGGCTGTAGGGGTTGGCCTAGTTCTGAGATAGGCATGAAGCCTGATGCTATGGGGCCCAGCCTGATGCTGGGTTGGGGGGCATCCAGAGCCTGAGACCACTGGGACTGGTCTGACCCTGGAGTAAACCTGAAGATGGAATCTTCAGGGTAGGCCTGGAGCCTGATCTGTGAGGGCTGGCCTGGCACTATAGTGAGCTCAAAGCCTGAGGCATGGGGGCCAGCTAGAGGTTGGGTCAGACTGGAGCATAGGGATGTTAGGGTTGGCTTGGAGATTGAGACTGGGGAGCAGACCTGGAGCCTGGGAATGTAGGATCTGGCCTGGTGTCAGTGAGAGGTGACAGCATGCTGGCAGTCCTCACAGCCCTCGCTCGCTCTCAGTGCCTCCTCTGCCTGGGCTCCCACTTTGGCCGCACTTGAGGAGCCCTTCAGCGCACCGCTGCACTGTGGGAGCCCCTTTCTGGGCTGGCCAAGGCCGGAGCCGGCTCCCTCAGCTTGCAGGGAGGTGTGGAGGGAGAGGCGCCAGCGGGAACCGGCGCTGTGCGCTGCGCTTGCGGGCCAGCTGGAGTTCTGGGTGGGCGTGGGCTTGGCAGGCCCCACACTCGGAGCAGCCGGCTGGCCCTGCCGGCCCCGGGCAATGACTGGCTTAGCACCCGGGCCAGCAGCTGCGGAGGGTGTACTGGGTCCCCCAGCAGTGCCAGCCCACCGGCGCTGCGCTCGATTTCTCGCCGGGCCTTAGCTGCCTTCCCACGGGGCAGGGCTCGGGACCTGCAGCTCGCCATGCCTGAGCCTCCCACCCCCTCCGTGGACTCCTGTGGGGCCCGAGCCTCCCCGATGAGTGCCGCCCCCTGCTCCATGGCGCCCAGTCCCATCGACCACCCAAGAGGTGAGGAGTGCCGGCGCATGGCGTGGGACTGGCAGGCGGCTCCACCTGCAGCCCTGGTGCGGGATCCACTGGGTGAAGCTGGCTGGGCTCCTGAGTCTGGTGGGGAGGTGGAGAACCTTTATGTCTAGCTCAGGGATTGTAAATACACCAATTGGCACTCTGTGTCTAGCTCAAGGTTTGTAAACACACCAATTAGCACCCTGTATCTAGCTCAGGGTTTGTGAATGCACCAATTGACACTCTGTATCTAGCTACTCTGGTGGAGACTTGGAGAACCTTTGTGTTGACACGCTGTATCTAGCTACTCTGGTGGGGACTTGGAGAACCTTTGTGTTGACAATCTGTATCTAGCTAATCTGGTGGGGAAGTGGAGAACCTTTGTGTCTAGCTCAGGGATTGTAAATGCACCAATCAGTGCCCTGTCAAAACAGACCACTCAGCTCTACCAATCAGCAGGATGTGGGTGGGGCCAGATAAGAGAATAAAAGTAGGCTGCCCAAGCCAGCAGTGGCAACCCGCTCCAGTCCCCTTCCACAACTGTGGAAGCTTTGTTCTTTAGCTCTTTGCAATAAATCTTGCTACTGCTCACTCTTTGGGTCCACACTGCTTTTATGAGTTGTAACACTCACCGCGAAGATCTCCAGCTTCACTCCTGAAGCCAGCGAGACCACGAGCCCACTGGGAGGAAAGAACAACTCCAGATGCGCCGCCTTAAGAGCTGTAACACTCACCGCGAAGGTCCGAAGGTCCGCAGCTTCCCTCCTGACCGAGGAGACGGCGAACCCCACCAGAAGGAAGAAACTCCGAACACATCCGAATGTCAGAAGGAACAAACTCCAGACGCGCCACCTTAAGAGCTGTAACACTCACCGCAGGGTCCGCAGCTTCATTCTTGAAGTCAGTGAGACCAAGAACCCACCAATTCTGGACACATCATGGGCCTAGAATCTGGGGCTGTGGAGGCCTTCCCAGTGCTGGGTTTTATCGGTGGGCCCAGTATTGGGGTTTGAGGCAAAGTCTGATGCTTATTTTCCTCATCTTCCCCGAAGTGAAAGGTATCTCTCTGTGGACTGTGCTGCCTGGTATGGAGGTAAGGGTGATGTGGGTAATGTAAAGTTGTCCTTCCTATCCTCTTCAATGTGTCTTTTCTTATTTCTGTGCTACACTCAGGTGCTGTAATCTCTCATTTGGTTTTCTTCACTCTCGTGAAGGTATTTTTATGCATGGATAGTTTTTCAAATTGATGTTTCTGTGGAGAGACTAGCACTGGAAAGTTATTTTCTGCCATCTTGCTGATTAAGACACAACACTTTTCAAATACAAAAATTAATAACCATAAGTAAAATGTAAATATACTTGTAACTTTTTTTTTTTTTTTTTGTAGGTGGAGTCTCAGTCTGTCGCCCAGGCTGGAGTGTAGTGGTGCGATCTCGGCTCACTGCAAGCTCCACCTGCTGGGTTCACACCATTCTCCTGCCTCAGCCTCCCGAGTAGCTGGGACTACAGGTGCCCGCCACCACGCCCGGCTAATTTTTTGTATTTTTTAGTAGAGATGGGGTTTCACCGTGTTAGCCAGGATGGTCTCGATCTCCTGACCTCATGATCCACCCGCCTCGGCCTCCCAAAGTGCTGGGATTACAGGTGTGAGCCACCACACCTGGCCACATACTACATAAAGTTTGAGCTTAAAAATAAAATAGAATTATAATTTTTTAATGTGTACTTAGTCCATCAATGATGTCATCACTGAGCTGTGTAAAGCTTTCCAGTGCTGAAAACCTCTTTCTGAATCTATGCTAGTTAAGAGAATGATAAAGATCTTGTTATAAACTGCTCTTAAATATTTTTCTCTAATCCACTGCCATGGTTTTAATGTGTCCCCTAAAGTTCATGCATTGGAATCTTAATCCTCAGTGCAAGTATGTTGACAGGTGGGACCTTTAAGAGGTGATTAGGCCATGAGAGCACCATTCTCATGAATGATGAATGCCATTATTACAGGAACCTGTTCCTTATAAAAGGACAAGTTCAGCCCCCTTTTCTCTCTCTCACCCCTGTGCCTTCTGCCATGGGATGATGCAGCAAGAAGGCCTTCACCAGATGCCAGTGCCTCAATCTTGGACTTCTCAACCTCCAGAACTGTGAGCCAATACATTTCTGTTCATTATAAATGACCCGGTCTCAGGTATTAATGCTGTAGCAGTACAAAATAGACTAAGACACCCATTATCTACCAACAATCCTATCTCTTGGTTAACAACTTTGAGGAGATTTTTTTCAGGGGCCAAGGTTACATTTCTTTGCAAGAACAGTTTTTTTAATTTCTAACTGCTATGGTTTGAATGTTTGTATCCCTGAAAAATTCATGTTGAAACATAATTCCAATTGTAAAAAGTAAAGTAAAGGTTCCTCTTCAAAAAGACTTTCCTCCCCATCTAATTAGGAATAAATAGTGATTTCACTTAGAAGCAAATTTATTCAAAGACCTGTGCTAACATTCTTAGATATCTGCTAGCCGTAATAAAGAAATCAATGTACTTTGTGTTCTTCGCTCCCACAAGTTAGCCTAAATATTTGCCCTGGCATGCTTATACTGGTCCAAGCAAGCGTTAGGTCATCGCCTGTTCCTCTTCTTTATTTGGAGGTGTTTTTTACCTTTCTCAGCATTCCACAAGTTACCTCCTCCTTCCTTTGTTCTCCACTGCCTTTGCCTCTTTTAAAAAGTTCTAAGTTGCAAGCCAATTGGGACAAATACAGAATGTGAGGTCCCGTTCCAACCAATGGAAACCGGACACAGCAGTAGGGTGGACGCATGAGGTTATAAATAACCTTGTCTCCTTTGTTCGGTGTACTCTCATGGCAAAACTGCTGGTGAGTGTACCCTTTCTGCAGAAAGTAAAAATGGCCTTGCTGAGAAAATTAAATTTATGTTCAAGTGCTATTTCTTTATGGCACCGGGAAACAAGCATTTCTAACACAGTGCAACAGTATTAAGAGGTGGGGTCTTTAGAAGGTGATTAGTTCAGGAGGGCTCCACTCTCATGGGTGGGATTAGTGCCCATAAAAAAGGGCTTGAGGGAGTGAGTTCTCCCTATTTAGCCCTTTATTGCCCTTCTGCCCTTTCATCATATGATCATGCAACAACAGGACCATCTGTGGAGCAGAGAGCAAACTTTCACCAGATGAGAAATCTGCTGGCACCTTGATCTTTGATAACCCAGACTTCAGAACTGTGAAAAGTAAATTTCTATTATTTATAAATTATCTAGTCTTAGATATTTTGTTACAGCATCCTGAATGGACTAAGACAGTAACAAACTTTTTTTTTTTTGCTTCAATGAAAGTATTTCTGGTTTGTCTTTATTTTTCCATCTCATCTTCCATAAATGAAGATTCTAATACAGACACCTTGTTAATACCAATAGTATTCCATTCATGTCCATGTGTTGGAAAGTCTTTGTGATAGATAATAATTATTCTTGTATTAGAAGCTTTGCTTTGTTTTCTTTTTTCTTGAGGATTATAAAGGCATATAAGACAGCTTTCTAAACACAGTCACCTATACGTGATTCCCAAATTGTAATGAAACGTGTCTCTGGTATGTCTCAGAACATAAATGTTTCAGATTTCAGATTTTTTTTAACTTCAAACTAACAGTATCATACCAACAGAAATACCAGTATTCTAGTACCTTTGAAAACAGCATGGAATATCAGAGTGGTGGAACATTGAAAACTGGTATTGTAAGTCACTCTTCTGTGGGCAATGGGGAGCCAATAAAGATGTTTAAACAAGGAAGTCACAAAGATGTATAGACACAGACGTACTCTGTTAGAGTTGTAGGAGTTGTAGAGAGTATTAAGCCCACCTCCCTCTGTCCCTCTGTCGAAAGGTCAGCAACTTCAGCATGAGTCACCAACAATGCATACAGGAAGTTGATTAATGAGGAAAGAAGAGATTGGAGAAAGGCATGAAAGACATCTATTATTCTCCCCTCATCATTCATTCACTCTTTTTAAAGTAAAAACAGTTATCTGAACCTCTTTTGAAGAATCGCCTGTACCCCCTAGTAGCTCATTTAGTTTGGGTGGGTTTGACTTCCCCTTCAACTTCAGGGATGGTTGGAAATGACTGGTTCAAGCATTAAGCATATATCTCAAATCTGGCAAAAAATTCTGAGGCCCAGAATTTCTGCTTGTGTGGGGAAAAGAGCTCTTTATTTCCAGTTAGACTGCTTGAGTCATTGTGTAATGAAGGGGTGAGCTCTGAGTCACCAGAAAAAGTTTGAGGACAAAGACAAAACAGTAGGAGACGGAGCTGGAGGCTACAAAAGAAATAAAAAATCAATATTAACTGAGCTTCTATCCAGCTAAGCCTGAAGGCAGTTCTCCTGAAATTTTCAATTGTGTGGGCTAATCAATTCTTTTGTCTTTTTTCCTGTTAAACCAGCTTGAATCAGGTCTTCTGCCACTTGCAACAGAAAGAACCTAAGTGATATTAAGGAAAAAACAGGAAGCCATCCATCAGGATTGAGAAAATGGTAGGAAAAAAGAGACTTATTGGAGAGAAGTCACAAAGGAAAGTTTTAATCTCTCATCTTACAGGGGTATTATCCATGCTAAATATCACACAAATTGCTACCCCCTCCCTAATATAAGTTAAGCATTATAATATCTGTAATATCTGTGACTCATAGTGTGGGCCCAGATGCCAGACAAACATGGGTTCAAATTTAGTTTACTCAGTTTCTGCCACTTAAGATCTGTGCATTCCTGGGCAAGTTACTTCTCTGTTCTCTAATTTCAATTTCTTCCTTTACAAAATGGTGATAGTACCTACAACTGGAGTTACTATAAGGATTAAATGTCACATTACATAATGCCATGTATATGGTTATGGTAAGCACTTAATTCAATTACTATTATTGATGTTTTTCCTTTTTCCAAGCTTCCTGGAGATATAACTGGGGGAAATAATTTGTTGGAGGTGAAACTACCAATCTTCCCTGCTTCACCATCTATCTTTACCTCCTCCTCTTCATTTTAATAGAAGTGACGACCCTTAATGAAAGATGCAACCCTTCTCTCCTGTCCGAGGGTGACCCTTCCTATTTTCTTCTTTATCACACATTCTCTCAACTCCTTAGGAATTTTTCTCTACCAATTATTTCTTTTTGTCTTCTTGTTTCCCCTCCATTGGGAATTGTCCTCATTGTCTTAGTTCATTTTGTGTTGCTATAAGGGAATATCTGAAGCTGGATAATTTATAAAGAAACAAGTTTATTTGGCTCATAATTCTGGATGGCTGGAAAATTCAAGGTTGGGCATATGCATTAGGTGATGGCTACAGGCTGCTTCCACTCATGGTGGAAGATGAAGGAGAGCCAGTGAGTGCAGAGATAACATGATGAGAAATGAAGCAAGGAGGTGGGGAGGTGCCAGGTTCTTTTTAACAACTAGTTTTTGGAGAGTGAGAATTTATTCACTTCTGAGGGAGGGCATCAATCTATTACTCATGAGGGATCTACTGCCATGACCCAACACTTCCCATTAGGCCCCACTTCTAACACTGGATCAAATTTCAGCATGAGGTTTAGAGGGGACAAACATCCAAACTATAGCACCCATTTTATAAAAAACACCTCCATACTAAAACTAAAACTAACCCCTCTTTGACTCTCTATCCATAGTTTTCAATGTGTGATCTGAAGAGCTTCTGTATCAGAATCACCTGGATGCTTGTTTAAAACACAGAGTTCCAGACTCCACTCGGCTATAGTAAGACATATTGGTGCTCCTGTACCTACATTCTAACAAATAAGCCAAGTGATTATGATGTACCATAAAGTTGGAGAAAACTGTTCTCTATTGGGCTCTCCATGGTACCTGGCAAACCTCTGGCTACCTAGCTGTGACCCTCTCTCTTGTGTATACTGTGGGTATTTTACTTTCTCACATTCCTCAAATTGTCAGGAGCACCAATCACCACCCCTCTAACTCATACTCTGATTTTGCAGAAAAAAAAAAAAACAAAGAAAAAAGCCCCATGAATCTCCATGCCATGAATGTATTTCACCCATGCCTATTCTTTCTTATTCCCCTCCTATAAACATGGAAAATACATACTTTTTCTTTCTGAAGCTAATTATGCCACTTAAGCTCATTTCTGATTTTATCCTGCCCTCCTAAGCACTTAATCAGATCTATTATCCTGTCTCTCCTTATCTGGAAACTTATTTCTATCAACATTTAAACATATATACAAGCTTCTCTCATCTTCAAAAGACAATTCTCCCTTAATTTCATGAATCAAACACCTCCAGCTACTGCATTTTTTCATTCCCTCTTCTCAGCTAAGCTTCTTAAAGATGTCTACACTTACTTCCCACTTGCATTCCATTTCTGCCCCATTATTGGATTAGGATTCCACTATTTCACTGAGACTGCTCTCACTTAACTAACAGAAGATTACTTTGTTGTTAAATCCATTGGACACTGGACCTTACATTACTTGGCTTCTCAGTTCCATTTGACACTATTGTCCATTCTCTTTTTTAAAAAAACCTTTTTTCTCTTGGCTTCCTTGATACCTAAGTACCTTATGATCTACATATTCAAAATTAACTTGGTCATTTCTGCTTAACCTCCTTCCCAGGTGCATGGCATCATCTGCAGGTTGTCCAAGCCAGAAACGTAGAGTAGTCATCCTTGACTCCTTCCTCCTTCTCACTTGTTAACTACCTCTTACATGTTTCATAGCTGGATTGCTGCAACAGCCTCCTAACGGTCCTTTCTCCAGTTTTGCTCCCATCCAATCCAGAGTAATACTCTGGAGGGAAAGATCATAGTTATACTGGCCACTAGATTCTAAATATTTTCTATAGGTAAGTTTGAAAATTAGGCACCAAGCTTCCTGACAACCAAGACAAAATTGAAGGAAAAGTAATCTTCATACTTCTTAATGCTTGTTCTAATTCTAACACTCTAAACCAAATTTCTCAGGAGGAGATTTATAAAGGAAGCAATAAATGATGTAATGAGCAATGGCTCAACAACATTCCTATGATATATCCTATAATTTCATTTGGCAAGTATTTATGGAGTACTTACTACAAGCCAGGCACTGTGCTCACCACTGGGGAAAAAAATGTGAATGTGGTTGTTTCTTATCTAATCTCATTATTAAAACTGAGTTTTTACATAATATTAAATGCAATCCTCTGAAGACAATTTGGCTGGGAAAGGGCTTATTTCCCGAGCCATCCCTGCCTGGTAGTTTAAAACCAGGGTCAAAATAACAGCTACTCAGTGTTCCCCTGCTTCCTGCAACCACCCTAACACCCCCACCCACACGGTCCTACCCTGGGTCAGGACTTCCAGTCTCTCTCTTTCTCTCTCTCTCTCTCTCTCTCTTTTTTTTTTTTTTTTTTTTTTTGAGATGGAATCTCACTTTGCCGCCCAGGCTGGAGGGCAGTGGTGCAATCTCGGCTCACTACAACCTCTGCCCCCAGGTTCAAGCGATTCTCCTGCCTCAGCCTCTCGAGTAGCTGGGATTACAGATGTGTGCCACCACACCCGGCTAATTTTTGTATTTTTGGTAGAGACAGCGTTTCACCATGTTGCCCAGGATGGTTTCAAACTCCTGACCTCAGGTGATCTGCCTGCTTTAGCCTCCCAAAGTGCTGGGATTACAGGCGTGAGCCACCGCGCCCGGCCCAGCCTCTTTTAAATTGCAGCTCACTGCCACTACTATCACACACAAAATACATCTGGACTCCCCATGGTTTGTCTCACATGTGTTGACAAACAGTGCTTTTAACAACCACATGAAATCAGCTATTTTCCACCCTCACTCTGGTTTCTTTTGGAGATCTGCTGCTAAGTTGTTCCCCACACTTCCCCACACTCCCCCTCCAACAGGACACATGAGCCCTGACAGGACCATTGCTGTATTAGTCCGTTTTCACACTGCTATAAAGATACTACAATTTATAAACAAAGGAGTAAATTTACTCACAGTTCTGCATGGCTGAGGACAGGGGGAGGCCTCAGGAAACTTATAATCATGGCAGAAGGGGAAGCAGGCACCTTTTTCACAAGTTGGCAGACCAGAGAGGAGAAAGAAGGAGGAATTTCCAAAAACTTATAAAACCATCAGATCTCCTGTGTGGAGAGAGAGATCCTTCTTTCTCTTCTTATAAAGCCATCAATCCTACTGGATTAGGACCTCACATTTATATCTTCACTTAACCAAAATTGCTACTGGAAAGGGGTCCTGATCCAGACTCCAAGAGAGAGTTCTTGGACCTCGGGCAAGAAAGAATTTGGGGCGAGTCCATAAAGTGAAAGCAAGTTTATTAGAGAAAAAGAGAAACAAAAGAATGGCTACTCCATAGACAGAGCAGGGGCATGGGCTGCTCAACTGAAAATACTTATGGTTATTTCTTAATTATATGCCAAACAAGGGGTGGATTATTCATGAATTTTCTGGGAAAGGAGTGGGATTTCCTGGAACTGAGGGTTCCTCCCCACTTTAGGCCATATAGGGTAACTGCTGGCCCCGACATTCGTAAATTGTCATAGTGCTGATGGGAGTGTCTTTTAGCATGCTAATGCATTATAATTAACGTAAAATGAGCAGTGAGTTTGACCATAGGTCACTTCCATCAACATCTTGCATTTGGTTGGTGTTGGCCAGCTTCTTTACCACTTCCTGTTTTATCAGCAGGGTCTTTTTGACTGGTTTCTTGTGATACCAGTCCTGCTGACCTCCCCCCTCATCCTGTGACTGAGAATGCCTAACCTCCTGGGAATGCAGCCCAGTAGGTCTCAGCCTCATTTTACCCAGCCGCTATTCAAGATGGAGTCACTATGGTTCAAATGCCTCTGACAGAATCACCTTCTAAAAGTCCTATGTCCAAATGCAGTCACTTAGTGGGTACGAATTTGGCGGGGGACACAACTGAGTCCATAGCAAACAGTATTCGATTTTTAATCACATCAGCACACACAATAAGACTCTGAAAAGTGAGTCCCTTGGCTGGGCTAGGGAGAAAATTGTGACAATATGTAGTGTTCCAAAATGACCCTCCTCCCTGCATCAGGGAGGGGAGCACTCAGAACCTTCCAGCTTGGTGAACAGAATTTGTTCTCAGGCCAGGAGCCATGCTCTGTAAGTATGTTGTCTTTACATCTGGCCCAGTTTGATCTTTGGAGATAGACACATAGTGGGTCCCAGATTGTGTCCTGTTGCAAAGATCTGGAAACACAGGCTTGGGATACCTGTATATCAACAGAAACCAGACTAGCAGGTGGTAAGGCTGGCATTGTTCTGTGTTCTTAGGTTTTTTTTTGTTTTTTTTTTGTAGACGGAGTCTTGCGCTGTTGCCCAAGCTGGAGTCGTGTGGCGCGATCTCGGCTCACTGCAAGCTCCGCCTCCCGGGTTCACGCCATTCTCCTGCCTCAGCCTCCTGAGTAGCTGGGACTACAGGTGCCCGCCACCACGCCTGGCTAATTTTTTTTTTTTTTTTTTTTTGTATTTTTAGTAGAGACGTGGTTTCACCGTGTTAGCCAGGATGGTCTCGATCTCCTGACCTCATGATCTACCCGCCTCGGCCTCCCAAAGTGCTGGGATTACAGGCGTGAGCCATGGCGCCTCTTAGGTTCTTAATCACTGGGACACCCACAGGCAAGGCCTGGCTTTTTCCACAAGAAGTATTCTGGATGGAAGTAAACACATCAGTGACCTGAAAGTTCTACATGATTACAATGACTTAAGCTTGAGAATTTTTTTAAAAACAGAGAAGGGAGTAGTAAATGACTAAATATAAAGCACCTAGTGCTGTGTTTCGCAAATGGCAATCACTCGGCAGGTGTCTCAGCTCCTCGCTGCAGCAACCAGGCTTCCAGGACTGGAAGGAAGTCTTCTACATTCAAAACTAGACTCAAACTACTCCCCTCCACCACCCAGTTCTACTCCTGCGCTCGCGATCCTCCTGCCTGGCAAACTCCATGGCCCGACAGATTCACTACCACTCCACTGCCGGACCAGGCACGTCCGTGGGCCATCCACGCCTGGAAAACGGCTGGCTGGGCCGGAGGGGCGAGGCCCGCAGGCGAGGGGGGCGGGTACAAGCCACTTCTTGGGAGCCGCGGTACGCGCAGCCTTGTGGGAGTTGTAGTTTCCGCAGCTCTGAGTCTCCAGGCGAGGTGTCACCACAGGACTCGTTTTCCCGTGCTCCTGTGCGCGGGTCCACTTGGGACGGGTCCCTGAGTAGGTGAGGAGGTGGGTAGGAGCTTGCTTATAGAAAAGTGGAATCGAGTAGTCCTTGCTGGTGGAGCCGCTGCCGCCAGGGAACTCAGGGCCGGCTCCTGTTCCTTCAAGAGTGCTGGAGGCCAAACTTGAAATACAAGTTTAATGTTCCTCGTCGGGCAAAAGATAAGGATCCGATCTCCCCCGGCCCGGTGTGCAGCAGGAGCGACCAACCCCGACCCGGGTTAAAACTCCCAGGGACTCTTCGCTGCTGCCACCTCTTGTTCTCTCCCCCGTTCCCACTCGGGGTCTCCCTCAGGGCCGGGAGGCACAGCGGTCCCTGCTTGCTGAAGGGCTGGATGTACGCATCCGCAGGTTCCCGCGGACTTGGGGGCGCCCGCTGAGCCCCGGCGCCCGCAGAAGACTTGTGTTTGCCTCCTGCAGCCTCAACCCGGAGGGCAGCGAGGGCCTACCACCATGATCACTGGTGTGTTCAGCATGCGCTTGTGGACCCCAGTGGGCGTCCTGACCTCGCTGGCGTACTGCCTGCACCAGCGGCGGGTGGCCCTGGCCGAGCTGCAGGAGGCCGATGGCCAGTGTCCGGTCGACCGCAGCCTGCTGAAGTTGAAAATGGTGCAGGTCGTGTTTCGACACGGGGCTCGGAGTCCTCTCAAGCCGCTCCCGCTGGAGGAGCAGGTGAGAGGTCGGCCCGGGCTGGGGCTGGTGGGGCGAGGACCGTGTGCCAGGCCAGGAGTCTCGCCCTGACACACATCTTCAGAGCTTTACTCGCGCGGAGCGGGGCTCGGGTTGGGTCCAGAAGAAGGGAAAACAGCAGTAGCCAGTGACTCCCCAGGCTCTTGAGCAAAGGACCTGCTGGGGTTAGGACAGCCCCGGAACTTCCAGTTTTGCCCTGATGGCGCAGCCATCAGTAAGCGCTGCTTAAGACGCATGGGAGTCGCCTGGGGATCCTGCTACGTTGCAGATTCTGATTCAGCAGGTGTGGAGTAGTGCCCCAGGTCAGCATTTCTATTAAGGGTCTAGGTGAACTTGAATACAAGGGTGCAGTGCACTTCTGTGTGACCATTTTGAAGGTGGTTTGTCAGAGCTGAAGGGCTGAAGGGACTTTAGTGATAGGAACCACTCTTAACTGAGATTACAGTGGATAAGAGGTCGTTGCCTTTGGAAACAAACTTTATAACTGCTTTTTCTCAGGGTTTGCTGGAGGCCATTTGAGATCTCCTGAAGTTTTTTTTTGTAACAAGTGTTGTATTCTAGGGTTCTCCTTTTCTATTTAAGGTTACTAAACCTATAGTGGGAGGGATCTGAGGTCGGAACAAATTTAAAATGGGCTAGTCTGTGGCAGTAATGTTTTAAAAATCTGTCTGGTTTTGTCAGGATAATTATGACTAAAGCACAAATAGTTTAAAAAAAAATGATTATCTTTCCTGGATGTGACTTTTTATAGCAGAAAGGCCTAGTGAAGAGGAACAGGCAACCTGAAATCCCCAAACTCCCAGGTATTACACCTGTGGAGTGCTTTTGTATCGTTGGTCTTCCAGGTTGATGTTGGAGGAGGTCGAAAAGATTGTCCAAAATTGATGTTAGGTATACTCTTCATAATAACAGTTGCTTTCTAGAAACCTTCAGGATTGTGTCTTTACATTGTACAACTGGAAACCCATTTTTCAAGGTTGGCCGCACATGAAATTAAACTTCTAAAGCATTTTCCACATAAATAAATACATTTGGAAGGCACTTAATTCTATTACCAGGTTTCTAGTTAGCCTTACTCTGGCTTTACCACTTGCTCTCTGGAACCGGGATTTCTTCTTTCATTTTGATTCTTTGATTTTTTTTTCAGTCTCTTACTTTGCCTTTTTATATTAGATCACTAAATTTTCCTTATGATTTTGTATACAGCCCATCTCTGATGCTCCCCTTCCCCCAATTCTTCTCTATTTATTCTTGGTACAGAAGGACTGGGGAATCACATGTAGGAATATATATTATATTCACGTAGAAGACAAAAAATTATCAGTGGTAATGGAGAGTAAAACTTTGAATGTGTAGGCCTAGACCTAGTATGTACCATATATATATATATATATATCCTGAAGGCACTAGGAAAAGATTTAGATTCTTTTAGGGCTTTATCCCTAAGGGAGAGTGGGTGTGTGATGGATATCTTCTGCCTTTATGGTTGAAAGGTCCGTTGTAGCTTAGGATACCAGCTTCATTCATCTTCAATCTGTGTAGCCACAAAATAGCATCTGAATCCATGGCCTGACTTTGCAATTAGAGAAGGCATATTACCTCTCCTTTCTGCTCATATTCTCCAGACTTTAGACAGATGCTTTAAACGTCTTCGGCTCTCTAGTATAAAGTTGTGTGCATGAAAATCAGGGGTGAACCAACTCTCTTTCAATTTAGGCTATGAGCAAATATTAGCCTCTTAAAACTTGTTTCTGGATAGTCTCTGTCCAGTGTTCATTTCAAGATCCAATTTGATAGAGGTTGTTATTGGGATTTTTTTTTTTGAGACAGAATCTTGTTCTGTTGCAAGGCTGGAGTGCAGTGACGCGATCTCGGCTCACCGCAACCTCCGCCTCTCGGGTTTAAGCAATTCTCTTGCCTCAGCCTCCCGAGTAGCTGAGACTATAGGTGCACACCACCAGGCCCGACTAATTTTTGTATTTTTACTAGAGACGAGGTTTCATCATGTTGGCCAGGATGGTCTCGATATCTTGATCTCATGATCCGCCTGCTTCAAGTCTCCCAAAGTGCTGGGATTACAGGCGTGAGCCAGCACCCGGCCGTTATTGGGATTTTTTAATCTTCTTGGTTCTGCTATTAATTATAGTCAGAAGGGACTGCCTGGCAAAAATTTTTTGTCTTTGGTACATGTTTCCTGATTTCTGACTGGTTTATAGATTAATATATGTGACAAGTCACTTCATTCAGCCATCTCACAAATTCTCAGAAAGTAGCATGATTTAAAACTAGATGTTTTGGCTGGGTGTGGTGGCTCATGCCTGTAATCCCAGCACTTTGGGAGGCTGAGGCAGGTGGATCAAGAGGTCAGGAGTTCGAGATCAGCCCGGCCAAAATGGTGAAACCCCATCTCTACTAAAAATACAAAAATTAGCCCGGTGTGGTGGTGGGCGCCTGTAATCCCAGCTACTCGGGAGGCTGAGGCAGGAGAATTGCTTGAACCCGGGAGGCGGAGGTTGCAGTGAGCCAAGATTGGGTCACTGCACTCTACCCTGGGTGATAGAGCAAGACTCCATCTCAAAAACAAAAACAAAAAACTAGTGTTTTATTGGGTTGTTTTCTTATGGCTTGAATGGCTGTTGGTTTAACCTGTTTTGCTAAAAGATTGTGCTTTGGAAATAAAAATATAGAACTTGATTGGCCATTTTTTTTCCTGATCATTAGAGCAGATCCAAATGCACTATCAAAAGAAAAGATTTGGCACTGCTTCCAGGCTTCCCTCAACTCCCCTGGGTGTCAAGATGGCCTCCACCCAGGGAGATTCCTCAGTTTTTATAAAATAAAGTCCAACCTACCCCAGCTTCACTGTTGATTAAGACATTTGGGTCCCTATTTATTTGACAATATAGATGAGCTGGGAAGCATAATGTAAGAATCTTTTATTGCTTAGTACCTTTCCAAAACTCAGCTAAAAGAAGCGGTATTCAAGAAGCATTACATGAGGTCCACCCATTCTTCAGGATCGATGGTTCTTAACCGTGGTGAACATTGGAGTCAACTGGAAAGCTTTAAAAAATACACATGCCAGGGTCTCCCTCCGAAGGATTCTAATTTAATTGGTCCGGGGTATCCAGATAATGTAAAAGACTCTCTGGTGAAGCTTGAGAATTATCTGGACTGAAGAGCATTAAAAAAGTGGAGGCCCCACTTTTTTGGGGGATAATCCAAATGCGGTTATCCCAGGTTGGGACTCAGGCATCAGTAACTTTTAAAAAATGTCCTGGTAATACCAGTATACAGACAAGGTTTAATATGATTGCTTTATTTTAAAATCTACACCTGGGAGGTTTTTGTTTACTTTTATGTAGATTTGTTCTTTTACCTGGAATGTAGTATATCAATCCCAGTACAGAATTGCCTTCGCTGAAATGTGCTTTGGTAAGAGGTTATCTTTCTGTGTTGAGAGAACTAGGAGAAACAATCCCACAGAACTCATTGCTGTGACTGCTGAAAAGATGTTCATTATATTACTCTATCCTCTTTATGAGGACCCTTGGGAGGAATTTGTCTGTTAGCATTAGGAATGGTGTGCTTCTCCTGAACAATTGGCTTGCTTTTTTCTTTAAACTAGTCTAGCTGATCAAGTTTGTTTCTTTATGTAAAAGTCAGGAAGCTGGGTGCCAAGTCTGTGGCCCACCTATAGTAAGTAAACAGATCTTCATGGTGTACATATTTTAGTAACCGTGTTACTGCATCCATTTCTTTGTCCCTACATTTGTTTGCTTTTGTCTTTCTTGCCTACTTTGAATTGGTTGTCTTACTATATTTTAATTTTTGCTATATCTACTTTATTACCCCTTGAAGAGGGGTATACACAAAATAAGTAAAATTATCAAGTTAGTCTTTGCCACTAACTGGGAAGCTTAAGAGCAGGAATGAGAATGAGAGTGTGTATGTGGGGTGGACACTATTATATGAAACTGATGTATCATCCATTCTTGAAAATCTGAAAACTGTACTTTAGACTTGACGTGACCTGGACTCCAGACTCCTAGGAGACGCCAAGGGTCCTCTCTTGGTGAATGTGCCTAACAGATTTCTTAGTGAGGCTGAATGGCCCTGTGGAGCTTTGTGTCAGGCCCTGTGGTGGACACTGGAACTACAAGGATGGATAATTCAGTCTTGCCTTTAAAGGAGTTTCAATGTGATAAAGCAGAGACAACAGATATCAATTAAGGCAATATGCTGGGAGCACTGGGAACACAAAGGAGGTGTCTCCAAATGTCCAAAACTGAAATCAGCTTTCCACCTGTTTTTCTGTCTTGGTCTTAGTTTTAGTCAAGGAATATCTCCATTACAAGGCTCAAAAATCAAAGTAGTCTCTTTTTTGTTCTTCTGTGTTTACCTACCAACACAGTCCCCACATAAAGCTTTTATTTACTCACTTGCCAAGTCTAACTCAAATGTCTTACATCTACCTCCTCTATTGTTAACTGGCTTAGATGAGGCCTTAGGCTCTCATGTGGACTATTGCTAACATCTCAAAATGGGCTTTTCTGCATCTAGTCTTCCCATTCCAATTGTGATGTATGCTGCCAGGTTTCAGATTTATTCTGTGGAGCCTGTGGGCTAAGAGGATGTTGAGCGGCTGGGGCTGTGGGATTCCCTCCTACTTCAACTAGAGAAATTCGAGTTTTTGCCTTTATACATACAAATCTAAAGTTAAACTTTATGTGGTATTTTCTGATTTAAAAATTGGAAAACCATTCCCAGGTTGAGGCAAACCAAACCACTTCTTTGCCATACACATTCTTTACCATCTCTGCTTTGCGCAAGCTTTCTAGTTATTTTTGGAATTCTGAATGTCACCCTTTATAAGTACAGGTATTTGCTTGTCTAAATACTATTCATTTAAAATGCTATTCCCTCAATGAAACTTCTCCTGAATCCCCAGCCAGAAGAGAAGGTCTGTCTTGCCTTTGAACTGCTATGGCCTTCATATGGTTTCTTGCAGCACATGTCAGCTTCTATTATGGTATTGCTGTCATTTACATTCACAGCTGGCCTTTTTTCTTTACTAACTTGAACACCCAGGAAAGGCAGGGTCAAGTTTTCTCAAGATGGGTATCTTCCACAGGAGCTGGCAAATTGTTGGAGCTATTAATTGTACCTACTGTGTGTGAGGCCCTTTGCTGGGAAACAGAAGTCAATAGATGACCGAGTCTCTGTTCTCAGGAAGCCAGGACAGACCAGTAAAGGAGCTCGTTTAATACACTTTGGTAAAGGCTACTAAAGAGAGCCACTGAAGCTACTGTGAAAGCATAAGGCCATGACCAAGGTTTCTGGGAACACTTAAGCTAAGTCTTAAGGAATGAACAAAAGTCTTTCTAAATGAATGAGGAGAGAAAATTCCAGGCATAAGAAACATGATACTGAAAGGCCATGAAATATGAGAAAGGAAAGGAAGTTGCGTGGCTAGTGAGTAAGTATGTAGAATAGGGAAGAAGTGGTAAGGGGGCTGCTAGAGAGGAGGTGGGGCCACATGAGCCATGAACCCTCGAAGGGTTTTTTTTATCCAGAGGGGTTAGAGGGTCAGAAAGAGGGAGCAGTGATTAACTGTGAAAGAAGGAAGAAGGCCTCTCTGTGAACACCTGGTCCTCTGATGTGTCAGAAGGAGGTTCAGGTGTTGGAGACCAGGTGCCAGTGGGACTGACACATGCCTTTGGGAAGAATGGAGGGCTCCCTAGATGCCAAGAGAATCTGAGGCTCCCAGTACCATTCTCCTGGGATAGTTCGGGGAGGGTAGAAGATAAATATGACGATATGTGACATAGTAGGTTTCCAAATGTTAGTTTTAAAACTAAACAAAGTAGTAGGAAATTGAGTTAAATTTTTTTTGTTATCAATGTTATAGGAATTCAGATTTAAAAGATAACCATCAAAAGCCAGAGTGGTCAGTGATAGGGAAGTAAGACTTGAGCTATCCTTGAACATTGAAGACAAGGTGATGGGCAGATAGGAACAGGAGTCCCTCCAAGCAAGAGAAGCAAGCTGGAAGAAGATGCAGAAACAGTGGGCAGGTTCTAGGTTGGAGGGGAGGAAAGAGGCAGTGAAGCTGAGTACAGGGGCTGGACAAAGGGGGTAGAAGTCCTTTTTTAAAATTTTTTTAAGAGATGGGGTCTTGCTGTGTTGCCCAGGCTGATCTTGAACTCCTGGCCTCAAGTGATGCTCCCACCTCAGCCTCCCAAAGTGCTAGGATTACAGGTATGAGCCACTGCACTCAGCCACGATGTAGAAGTTCTTGAAGGACAGATGCTTTCCTCTGAGACATTAGGAAAAAGTTACTGATATGATGACACTGGCTTAGCAAGATTAATTAGGTGATTTTGAAACATACAATGCATTATTATTTATTGTAGTCACCATCCTGTACAATAGATCACTAAAGCTTATTCTTCCTGTGTAACTGAAATTTTGTACCCATTGATAAAAATCTCTCTTTCCCCATTTACTGCACCCCCCCACCTCTGATAACCATCACTCTACTCTCTAATTCTGTGACTTTGACTTCTTTAGATTCTACACAGACAAGCATACCTTGAAGATATTGCAGATTCAGGTCTAGACCACCACAATAAAGCAAATATCGCAATAAAGTGAGACCCACAGTTGTTTTTTGTTTCCCAGTGCATATAAAAGTTGTGTTTACACTCTTCTGTATCCTATCATGCAATAGCATGTCTAAAAATGTACATACCTTAATTTAAAAATGTTTTATTCCTAAAAAGTGCTAGTGATTACCTGAGCCTTCAGTGAGTCATGATCTTTTTGCCAGTGGAGGGTCTTGCCTTGATGTTGATGGCTGCTGACTGATCAGGGTAGTAGTTGCTAAAGGTTGGGGTGGCTGTGGCAATTTCTAAAAATAAGACAACAGTAAAGTTTGCCACATTGATAGACTCTTCCTTTCATGAAAGATTTCTCTGTAGCTTATGACACAGTTTAATAGCATTTTACCCACAATAGAACATCTTTTGAAATTGGAGTCAATCTTCTCAAACTCTGCCACTGCTTTATCAATTAAGTTTATGTAATAAATCCATTGTTGTAATTTCAACAGTGTTCACACTATCTTCACCAGGACTAGATTCCCTCTCAAGGAACCACTTCTTTGTAGTAACTTCTCATGCATTCAAGTTTTATCATGAGATTGCAGCAATTCAGTCAGAACTTAAGGTTCCACATCTAATTCTAGTTCTCTTGCTATTTCCATCACATCTGCAGTTACTTCTTCCACGGAAGCCTGAATCTTCAAAGTCATCCATGAGGGTTGGAGTCAAATCTTCCAAACTTCGCTTAATGTTGCTATTTTGACCTCCTCCTTATAAATGTTCTTAATGACATCTAGAATGGTGAATTCTTTCCATAAGGTTTTCAATTTACTTTGCCCAGATTCATCAGAGGAATCACTATCTAGGGCAACAATAGCCTTACAAAATGTATTTCTTAAATAATAAAGACTTGAAAGTCAAAATTACTCCTTGGGCCATGGGCTGCAGAAAGGACATTGTGTTAGCAGGCACAAAAACAATATTAATTTTGTACATCTCCATTAGCGCCTTTGGGTGACTAGGTGCATTGTCAATGAGCAGTAATATTTGGAAAGGAATCAATTTTTTCTTTTGAGCAGTAGGTCTCAACAGTGGGCTTAAAATATTAAGTAGACCATGCTGTAAACAGATGTCCTGCCATGCAGGCTTTGTTGTTCCATTTATACAGCACAGTCAGAGTACATTTAGCATAATTCTTAAGGGCTGTAGGATTTGCAGAATAGTAAATGAGCCTTGGCTTCACCTTAAGGAAACCAGCTGCATTAATCCCTAATGAGAATCAGCCTGTCCTTTGAAGCTTTGAAGCCAGGCATTGACTTTCTCTCTAGCTATGAAAGTCTTAGCTGGGATCTTCTTCCTATATAGGCTGTTTCTTCTGCATTGAATATCTCCATGTTATCAATAAGGTTGTTTCACTTTCTCATTGTTTGTGTGTTCACCAGAGTAGTACTTTTAATTTCCTCCAAGAACTTTTCCTTTGCATTCATAACTTGGCTGTTTGGTGCAAGAGGCATAGGTTTTGGCTTATCTTAGCTTTCTACATGCCTTCCTTACTAAGCTTAATCATTTCTAGCTTTGGATTTAAAGTGAGAAACTTGAAACTTTTCCTTTCACTTAACACTTAGAGGCCATTGTAGGGTTATTAACTGGACTAATTTTAATATTGTTGTGTCTCAGGAAATAAGGAGGCTCAAGGAGAGGGAGAGAGATGGGGGAAATACCAGTCAGCAGAGCACTCAGAAAACACACAACATTTATTGATTAAGTTTGGCATCTTATATGGGGGCGGTTTGTGGCGCTCCCAAATAGTTAAAATAGTAACATCAAAGATCACAGAGTTCAGGATCAGCCTGGGAAACATGGCAAAACCCTGTCTCTCAAAAAAAAAAAATTAGCTGGGCATGATGGTATATGCCTGTAGTCCCAGCTGCTCGGGAGGCTGAGGTGAGAGGATGAGCCAAGGTAATGCCACTGCACTCCAGGAGGCAGACGTTTCAGTGAGCCAAGATCATGCCACTGTACTCCAGCCTGGGCAACAGAGCCAGACCCCATTTCAAAAAGAAAAACAAATCATAAATCATAGATCACCTTGACAGATTTAATAGTAATGAAAAAGTTTGGAATATTATGAGAATTACCAGATTTTACACAGAGACATGAATGAGCACATGCTGTTGGAAAAATGGCACTGATAGACTTGCTCAATGCAGAGTTCTCCAAACCTTCAATTTGTGAAAAATGCAATCTCTGTAAAGAGCAATAAAATGATGTATGCCTATGTTACTAAAAGGTTAACTTTACATATTTTCATCACGTAAAAATGAAAGTATGTGAGCTGATGGATTTTGTTTACATTAGTTAATCATATATCAAATGTAAATATATATGAAAACATCACATTGTACTCCATAAATATATACAATATACAATTATTTGTCAATTAAAAATAAAACAAAATATTTAAATGCAATAAAAATATTTTTTCCAAAAAGATTAATTAGTTGGCTATGGATAGATGGATTGTGCAGGTGAAAGGGAGGAGTTTGTCACAGGCACTAATAAGGTTTACATTCTACAATAAGATAATGGAAGGACCATTGGGAGGGACTTTTCTTCTAGGCAGTGATCAACAGGGCTTGGTGTGGGGATAGTGGATCCACAGGGAGCCAAAGGTTTGAGGTTTGGGGCCTAGGAGAACTGTGGTAACATTGAGAGGGACATAGTAGATTGGGAAGGGGAACTGGTCTATGGGATTAGACTTGTTTTTAAAATTGAAGTATTCACATCTGACTCAATGAGTGTCAGAGTTTTATGAACAGTTGGAGCTATGAGACCTGTGGCCACTAGTGATGTTTTGAAATCATTACAGCACAGTTGGGGCAGGAGCCAGATTGCAAGGAATAATGGAAGATGATGAAAAAGCAACATCTTCTGAGATGGCAGCTGCTTGTTTCACGAATTGCATGAAAGGAGGAAAAAAGTATATTAGTTACAAGGGACATTAAGTAGAATCCTTAAGCTGGGATAGGGCATATAAACCTCCAGATTAATTCCTTATAAATTCTTACATATGGTCACTGACATCTTATTTCTTTCATCCATCTATTCGTTCATTCACCACGTATCCGCATGCCAGGCATTCTGGTCACTTCTCCCCTTTACTTCAGTGTGGGCTAAGTGCCAGAGCAGCCCCTTAGCAGTCATTACTAGTGTAGCAATAACAGGACATAGGCTAAGGACACCTGGAATAATAAATCACCATCTTTTCTTCCCTTAATTTTAGCTAACATTTCTTTCCTTCCATCCCATAGGAAGGTTGCAGGCCTAGTGTCAGTGATTCCAGCCATGTGTTCTGAGTGCTTGAGATGTTAATGCTATACATTTCAAGAACCATTTTTAAACAATGTGGTGTGTTTTTTTTGTACTAACAGGTAGAGTGGAACCCCCAGCTATTAGAGGTCCCACCCCAAACTCAGTTTGATTACACAGTCACCAATCTAGCTGGTGGTCCGAAACCATATTCTCCTTACGACTCTCAATACCATGAGACCACCCTGAAGGTGAGCAATGCTTCCTTGCTCTGGGGAGCCCCACTGCAAAGGTTGGGTTGTTTTCTCTGGGCTGAGTTCAGCAGGCTGTCAGGTGTTTTCATTCTTCTTTCTCTTTCTTCCCTACTTTAGGGGGGCATGTTTGCTGGGCAGCTGACCAAGGTGGGCATGCAGCAAATGTTTGCCTTGGGAGAGAGACTGAGGAAGAACTATGTGGAAGACATTCCCTTTCTTTCACCAACCTTCAACCCACAGGAGGTCTTGTGAGTCACTTGAAAGGGGATGTTGCACTTAATTTAAGGTCTTGAACATGAGGATACCTGTCCTGACTCCCCAAGATGGTTCCCACTGTCACCCAAGGTAGTTTGGGGGACAACTTGTCATGCTGCATACCCTTATGTCACAGGATCTGGTGAACAGGTCGTTCCTGGAGGTCGCATTCATTGCACTTCGAGTCTCTCAGGGGCTGACATCCCACAGAAAAGTGAAGCATTCTTCCTAGTTCCATAGCTCTCCTTATGTACTCTTGAAAGACCCCTGGAGCGTATGTGGAATAAAATAGAGTGTATATAATTAAATATTCCTTTTATGAGTGTCACTATTTTCTCATTTTTTTCAGTATTCGTTCCACTAACATTTTTCGGAATCTGGAGTCCACCCGTTGTTTGCTGGCTGGGCTTTTCCAGTGTCAGAAAGAAGGTTCGTATTTGGGGTCCCAGTCAGTCCCTGTCCCTGAGGGGTCTTGCTTCTCACTTCCGAAGCCCCTATCTCTTTCTTGGTGCCTGTTCCCTTGACTTTTTTTCTCCTGCATGTGTGACTTCCAGTGTGTACCTAGTCCAGTGGGTCTTTCCCTGTCTGGCCTTATGGTGCCCCTGCCAGCCTGACCTCCACAGCAGCAGCAGTGTAGCAGCTGCTCTGATCTGCCTCTGGCTCCTGGCTTCTCCCCTCAAGCTTCTACACAAGCTGCACAAGGCAGTCCTAACCATGTTTTGTGAACAATCGAGGGGGCTTTTTATTTAGGTGAGACATTGCTGGAAAGGAAGGACACTGGGACCCAACACTGCTGCTACTGCCCTAATCTTGGTGATAATCCACAGCATGAACACTGTTCCGTCTAGCCTTTCCTAGTTGAGAAAGTCCATCGAGTTTGGGTTTTGATACATTCAGCCCCTGAATGGTTGCAGTCAGTGGTTCCCAACCTTTTCATCCCCAAGGACTGCATTAATTATTTTCCCTCATGGATCCCATGTGTTGAGAGCCTTTGGCCATCACATGAAGCTGCATTTTGTCATTTGTTATTGGCTCAAATTTACATTTAATTACTGGTCTGAGTTTCAGATCATCATGACCTTATTAAAAAGGTGCCAAAAAGCAAAGGTTCTTGTTACTTTGTTTAGCTTTTTGGCAGTATCTCAAATAGAAACAAAATTTCCATCACATTTTTTAAGAAATATGTAAAATAATGGAACCTTCAGGAAAGAGGAATCTGGTCTTGCCCTCAACTGGGTTGGATACTGCTGCTAGTTCTGGCTGTAGTTGGCTGCTGCACACAAACAGTACGTGTCTAGGTCACATAAAGCAGGATGGGCTGCCCCTTACTTCTTGGGAAGCCTTGAGTTTAGGAGTGATCCACAGCACCTGATCTTCTGAAAGCTCTCAACTGCTCAGCTTCTAAAAGGCAAAGATCTTCTCAGAAACATCAGAAGTGGTACTGAGAAGGAAAGATGTTTATTGGTGGCAACATTCTCTTTAGGCAGGTCCCAGACTGGGAATATCCCAGGTTTCCATCAGGGAAGGAAATCACTAGCCTCAGGTGCAGGTGTCTGGGTAGCAGCTCCCTGCGCTGGACCTACAGTTGTTGGGACTCCAGATTGGCTTCTTTTGTAGCTACTTCCATGCCTTTCCTATATGAAGGGACTTGAACAAAGAATCCCAGAAGGGGCCAGGCACAGTAGTTCACGCTTGTAATCCTAGCACTTTGGGAGGCTGAGGCGGGTGGATCATGAGATCAGGAGTTCAAGACCAGCCTGGCCAAGATGGTGAAACCCCATCTGTACTAAAAATACAAAAATTAGCCAGGCGTGGTGGTGGGCGCCTGTAATCCCAGCTATTCAGGAGGCTGAGGCAGGAGAATCGTTTGAACTCGGGAGGCGGAGGTTGCAGTGAGCCGAGATCGCACCACTGCACTCCAGCCTGGGTGACAGCGAGACTCCATCTCAAAAAACAAACAAACAAAAAAAGAATCCCAGAAGGTGGCACTGTTGATGGAAATGGTGCAACTTTGGGATATTGCTTTAGGAGTAAAATCCTAGAAAAATCCCAGTGGTTACGTATAGGCTACAGAGAATCAGGCTGTGGGGAAAGCTGGAGATTGTTGGTCTGCCCACTGGCCAAGTCATTTGCTCAATGTACATTTGTCTACTCAAGTGTGCCTTATTTATCATAAACTGGGTCCAAAATCCAGACACCAATATCAGACTCCAGATGGAAATATTAGAGGTTTATAATATTATTAGTGTTATAAGTTTAAGTCATAGTTATTCTAACACATAAAGGACTTAGTACAGTCATTCCACAGTATCCAAAAGGGATTGATTCCAGGACAACCCTCTCCCCGGGCAGATACCAAAATCTACAGATGCTCAAGTCCCTTTTATAAAATGGCATAGCTTTGCATATAACCTATGCCCATCCTCCCATGTACTTCAAATCATCTGTAGATGACATAATACCCAATACAATGTAAATGCTGTGTATTACCCTGTACTATTTTCTAATTTATGTTATTTTTATTGTGTTATTTTGTATTGTTCTTTTTTACTCAAATATTGTTAATCCATGGTTGATTGAATCCATAGATGTAGAATCCAAGGACATGGAGGACCAATTGTATGCAGCAAACTTTGTTCTAAGAACTTCGCATATATTAACTTGTTTAATTCTTGTAGTAACCCTATAAGATAGGTGTCATTATCCCCTTTTACAGATAAGAGAACCAAGACACAGAGAGGCTCAGTGACTTGCCCAGGGACACAAAACTGGTAAATGGTGGAATTAGGATTCAAACTCTGGCAGTCTTGGTTCAGAATCCTACTTTTTCCTTTTATGCTCAACTGTTTATTTGAGGACATGTATATCTGGAGGCGGCATCGGATCATTTGGTTTTTCCTTTTCACAACAAATCTTGCAGAACCCCAGGATTCTTCAGAGGGGTCTGAGGAAGCACAGAAAAGGAGGGGATGGGACATGCAAGTGGACTATGCTTTCGATCTCCACCTTGCAGCCATCAGCACCTCTTCTTTTATTATTATACTTTACATAATAGCCGTAGGTTGGAGGAGGTTCTGTGGCTGATATAGTCCTACCCCTTTGATTTACAGATGAACCCCAGAGAATGGTAGTGACTTCCCAGGGCGACTGCTGGTTAGTTCTGGACTGAAGACTAAACTCATGACTTTCAGTGTGGTTTCTTCTTCTGTCCAGACCAACGATGTGTGTGTGAATTCTGATATTCTAGTAAAGTTATAGGCTATTTTTAAAGCCCTTGGTTCTGACTATCAATAATTTGGGAATAAATACCCCTTTGGGACTTTGATTCAGCTGATCACTCTGTAGATGGACCTCAGTGAATCCCAAATTGCTGCTGGGGAGCTCCTTCTTTTGCCATCAGGCTTGAGCAGTGTGGAAAAAGAACCTACCACACAGAGATGGCACTTGCCATCTCTGACACAGAGCAAAGCATGGGAAGGCGTTAGGACACTTTCTTTGGGCATTGACGGGAGGGGACAATGGTACTGAGGGGGTCTGAATAGCAATGAGCTGCCATGAGATATATGAGAAACATTGTAGTTTCTTTGGTTAGATCTTTGGTTAGACCAGCAATTCATCTAAAAGCCTGGCTTTTTATTTTGGGCAAGGCTATGGGGTCTCTGAGAGGATCTGTGGCCTTGTGTCCACTTTTCTCAGTTTGTTATGTGATAAGTCACCATAGTGGCCTATAGGATCAGGCTTCAGGAAGCAACTTAGTTCTGATAACACTATTATTTATTAGAATGCCCAAATGCTGGTAGTGCTTTACAGCAGGGATTTTTTGGAAGGTGTCAGGGAGTTGCCAGTCTGTTTCAGGTCTATTACCTGCTCTAGTCTATTTGTGGCCCGATAGGAGGGCTTGCGCTAGACAGAACAAGGCTGCTGCCACTAACTTTTTTCATTGCTCAGATTATAGGAGAGCCTCCTTTGGCAGGGCCAGGGCATGTTGAAGGCATTTTCTGTCCTTAAGGAGTAACCTTGATGATCTGCCTCTCAGAGCAGATCTCTGCTCCATCTCTGTAGACAAAGAGAAGGGGGTGGAGATGCTGGGAAGAACAAGCTGAAGCCTCTGCCTGCCTGTGCTTCCTCCCTTTCTTCCAGGACCCATCATCATCCACACTGATGAAGCAGATTCAGAAGTCTTGTATCCCAACTACCAAAGCTGCTGGAGCCTGAGGCAGAGAACCAGGTAACTGCCCCTGGGTTCTTGCTCACCAGTTGGGGACAACCTTTTACAACCTTTGCTGGCAGAACTCTGTCTATACTGAGGGCCTGTCCAGGCTTACCCTACTGGCGAATAATGGATGGGAAGGTTTAAATTACACTTAAGTGTGACATCAGCTGTCTAGGAAGCGAAGAAGTCTTGTTCACAATGACAGACCCATGGTGAAGGCCAGGAATTCTGGGAAGAGCCGCACACTGGGCTAGCGAGATGATACATACAGCCACGAGTGGGCCTTTGCCATTTACAAAGTATGATCCTTCTGACAACCCCGGTCTCTCAGGTGGGGCAAATGAGAAAACCAACAGGTTAAATAAAAGATGATTGAGACTGTCTTTAACCGGCAAATCCAGTTGTACAAGCCCAACAAGACACAGATTTTTCTTCTCTTACCAATATGTTTCTATGTAAGATAGATCGGTTTGGGCTGATGACACTTTTCAGGTATCTCTAGGCTGCACTAAGACTATATGGTATTTATTCCGTAAAGAAAAGAAAATGCTGTTTTCAGACAGACCTGGGCCATGCTTGCATCATTTTTGATGCAATGCAAATGCTAGAGTGAGATTTGGAAAATTTCATCCTGTTATCCTAACCCTGGTACTTGCTAACTTAACGTTATAAGTCATTTGACCTTATAGAGCCTTAGTTTATTCATCTATAAAATTGGGATAATACCAGCTAACCCCATTGGGTTGTGGGGATTAAATGATATCCCAAATGATAACCCAAGTGTGAAGCACACTTTGTAAACTGTTAATCACTATAGAATATAAGGCTTTACTTTTTATTTTTTGTCAGAGGCCGGAGGCAGACTGCCTCTTTACAGCCAGGAATCTCAGAGGATTTGAAAAAGGTGAAGGACAGGATGGGCATTGACAGTAGTGATAAAGTGGACTTCTTCATCCTCCTGGACAACGTGGCTGCCGAGCAGGTGAGTCCTGGGGTTGGGGAGCCTGGGATAATAGCCTTGGTGGGCTGGCTCCGGAGTTAGAACCGGGTGGAGAGAAGTGGGTGGAGGCCTCCTGGTTTGAAGGCAACTGTGATAAGACCTACAGATAGAATGGGTGTGGGGACTGAGGGATAGGGAGCAATCGAGGAAGACTCCTTACCCAGGTAGGAACACAGACACTGAACTCTAGACCAGAGCTTCTTGAGGCATGTTCCCCAGAACACCCAATATGCAGTTTGTGTTTGGGCAGGCAGGGGCAATGGGTAGGGAGGGATGAGTAGGGTCTAAAAATTTTGGAATCCTTATTTATTGCATCACTTCTTGAGAGTACTATATGTACATCAGCATATTAAAAAAATCTGAGATGCCCTTCATAAAGAAAGCTGGTTAATCTTTAAATCTGTTTTCCTTAAGCTTATTTAGCCATAGGATCTTTTTTTCTGTAATAAATACATAAAGAAGACTAACAATGGGAAAGGTTTCTCTAGATTTAAAAGTTGGACATCCAAAGTTATATAGGATCCTCCCCACTCTTGTGAAAATAAAATGACTGTGTACCCTAAAGGCAGAAATGCACCTTGCTTTTATGTGTAAAATAGGTTTAAGGTTAGAAGGCAAGAGTTCATATCATGTATTTGTATGGCGTATTTTTTAGACTTCATTTTGGGAAAATGAAGATCAAGTAGGAATTTATGAATTCCTTGCTTTGTATTTTATTCATCTTTTTTTTTTAAGTTAAAAAATACAGGCCAGGCATGGCGGCTCATGCCTATAATCCCAGCACTTTGGGAGGCTGAGGTGGGAGGATCACAAGGTCAGGAGTTCGAGACCAGCCTGGCCAATATGGAGAAATCCTGTCTCTACTAAAAATACAAAATTTAGCCGGGTGTGGTGGTGCATGTCTGTAGTCCCAGCCACTCAGGAGGCTGAGGCAGAATACTTGCTTGAACCTGGGAGGCAGGGGTTGCAGTGAGCCGAGATCACGCCACTGCATTCCAACCTGGGTGACAGGGCAAGACTCCATCTCAAAAAAAAAAACCAGTAAAACAGGCCGGGCGCGGTGGCTCACACCTGTAATCCCAGCAATTTGGGAGGCCGAGAAGGGTGGATCACGAGGTCAGGAGATTGAGACCATCCTGGCTAACACGGTGAAACCCCGTCTCTACTAAAAATACAAAAAAATTAGCCGGGCGTGGTGGCGGGCACCTGTAGTCCCAGCTACTCAGGAGGCTGAGACAGGAAAATGGCGTGAACCCAGGAGGTGGAGCTTGCAGTGAGCCGAGATCGTGCCACTGCACTCCAGCCTGGGCGACAGAGCGGGACTCCGTCTCAAAAAAACCAAAAAAACAACAAAAATGCTTTTCATTTTTGAGTGGATGGGGAGTCATCAGAAAGGGAAGAAACCCTTTCTTTTTTTTTTTTCCTGGCCTTCAGGTATCTAGTAATAGCTTTGGAAGAGCTTTAGAGACATAGCTTCTTGACCTGTTAACAGACATAGCTGTTCTTGAGCCTGTCTTCTCTTCCCCAGGAGAAGATGGGCTCCTGCAGGTTCCATGGAAGCTGATCAGCTGCCAGAATCAGTAGGTAAGAAGCATTTTTTTCTAAAACTACATGTGGCCCTTTCAGGCACACAACCTCCCAAGCTGCCCCATGCTGAAGAGATTTGCAAGGATGATCGAACAGAGAGCTGTGGACACATCCTTGTACATACTGCCCAAGGAAGACAGGTGAGGGGCTCTCACTGCTGGCATGAAGTCACGCTTGGTCAGACATCCAAGTGTATGGGGAAGAGGAGTTCATCAGGCCCACTCACACCTGACAGCTGATGTCTCCTCGTGTAAGGAGGCTGAACCCCATTCTGCCCACCTACCAGTAGGCCCTAGGTCCTCGCACTTCTACAGCTGGGACTGGTGGCCTAGTGCTTCTGTTCCCTGTTATGCAGAACCAGGAGCCACCACCCTCATGACTTTATCACTTGCCTTTTCCTTTTGCTTTAAGGTTTAAAGGATTTGGGTGGGGGGAGCTGAAGAAAGAATATTCATTTCTGTCTTTAGTCATCATGTTACAATTTGCAAACCATTTTCACATTCTCACTGTGAGGTGAGAGAGATACCTTTCTCCCTGGCTTTATAGATAAAGAAACTGAGGCTGGGAGATATTGCCTACCTGGTCTAGGCCCAGCTAGCAAGTGATGGAGCCAGAACTTGGACCCAGATCCACTGACTGCCTATTCTGTGTTTTCGCTATATTACTAGCAGTTAGGGTTCTGTTTCCTGACTACCAGAATGGAAAGTTTTTCTCTCACCAAATTTCAGAAGACACCTTTTTTTCTGATTTGTTGAGAGCATTCAACTTGCACTAAAAATAGGTGACTTGATAGAGGAGGGGAGGTAGGAAGTAGCCCTGGGAAAGATGAGTAGGGGGGAAAGGCATCTAACAGTTCAAGAATTTGCACGGTTGGGTGCCCAAGGATAAGAGCCCCTGACTGCATTCCTTCCACTCAGGGTCAGTGTGTCCACTTCTGTGCAAGCCTAGGGCATCTAGAAGGTTCCTGCCAAGCCACACAGCTTGCTGCCACTCCCTGGGACTTGCCAGCTTCCCTTTTCTGCTTGTGAAGGGGTGCCACCATACCTAAATTGTTACTTACTTCCCTCTCCTTTATCAACACACACACACATATTTAGTAAATATTTTAAGCTGTCAGGATCATGCAATTTCTGTTACAACTACTCATCTCTGCCCTTGTAACATGAAGCAACCAAAGACAATATGCAAACAAATAGACATGGCTGTGTGCCAGTAAAATTTGTTTACCAAAACTGGTCAGATTTGGCCTATGGTATAGTTTGCTTTATTCTGGTGTAAATCATTTTAAACAGGACCTTGTCTATTCCATTCCAATTAGCCCTGGTTTTGTAAAACTAACATTTCTTCAAGGACAAATGGTTACAACCTCACAAGGCCATCCAACTTGGCTTTGCCTGTATACATTCTTCTGAAAAGTATGTGTTGCATACAGTGTTGGTTGCCTGCTCTTCATCCATTGCTGCAACATTCCTTGACTTATAAAGATGGTCATTTACCCAATCACCACAAATAAGGATTTGTCTAAGCCAATCATGGCAACCTTGTTTTCATTTGTCAGTGGCTGGGTTCTGGGAATTCTAGGAGGGGTGTTTTTTTCTCTTTGATAAAAAGTGAGAAGCACAAAAACAAGGAGAAGACCAGTCTCTGAAGTCTCCATGGAAGCTGATCAGCTGCTAGGATGAGTAGATGAGAAACATTTCTTTCTTCTATAGTAAGTGGACTTTGTTCACTACTGTGAGTGAACATGCTTTAAGCTGCAGTAGTCACCTGTGGCCATGATGTGACAGGCCTGAGAATGAAAGTGGTGGAGCCACACAGCCAAGCCTGGGAGCACGACCACTGAACTTCTTCTGTAAAATAAATAAGACATAAATAAGAAATGTCTTTATGGCCCAAACTCCAAAAGAAGGAAGGCTGGCACATAGGAAACAAAATTAAGGATGTTCTTGTTCCTTCTGATTATTTTTCTAAGGGCCTTCTAGAATTCCTGGAAATTATTACCCCTTCTTCTTCCCAGCTTGTCAGCTTTGTTCTTTGATTCCCCAAGGCCTAGTTGGTCACGGCTTATCCAGGTTACCACTCTCCTGCTCCCTCAGCCCCTCCCATCTCAGTTGTGTTCACAACAGGTCTGTGTGCTGGTGCCTGTGTTGTTGGGAGTCTTCATTCACAGAGGACCCCAAGACCGGACTCGGTGCCATTTCTCTCCTTCTGGCCCGTTGCTGGCCCTTATGCATTACTTGCCTTTTTCTCAGCTCTGTCTGGACTCATGAGGTCCTGGGGGCAGAATCAGTCTGTGTCCCCTGAATGCTGAGTGCCCTCTAGGTGCTTAAATGTTGTTCACTTTTCACAGGGAAAGTCTTCAGATGGCAGTAGGCCCATTCCTCCACATCCTAGAGAGCAACCTGCTGAAAGCCATGGACTCTGCCACTGCCCCCGACAAGATCAGGTACCTGGCACAGCAACTCTGCTTTGTGCAGCTAAGGGCCGTGGGAACTTCTGGCTGTAGGGAGGGAACCCAAATCTTAGTGAGGCAAGAACCAGGCTGTCAGTGACCGAAGGTAGATGTTTAACAGGCCTCAAGTGTCAAAGAGGTTCACAATCTTTTAACCTTTCTTCCTGCTGCACCCCTCCTACCATGTTTTGAAAATTTTATTTTTGCTTTCTCTCTCTCTTTTTTTTATTAATTGAAGATATGTCAAACAGTAGCCAATTATGATGTCACACTGATTTGATATGATAATAGTCCAAAACAAAGATAAATTGCTTAATGGATTGTGTAGTTTGAACCACTTTCATTGAGTGTAAAGAAGGTATGATATCCATAAGGCATTTAAAAATATTGGAAGTGGCCAGGTGCAGTGGCTCACGCCTGTAATCCCAGCACTTTGGGAGGCCAAGGTGAGTGGATCACGAGGTCAGGAGATTGAAAACATCCTGGCCAACATGGTGAAACCCTGCTCTACTAAAAATACAAAAATTATCCGGGCATGGTGGCACGCACCTTTAGTCTCAGCTACTCGGGAGGTTGAGTCAGGAGAGTTGCTTGAACCCAGGAGGCGGAGGTTGCAGTTAGCCAAGATCACACCACTGTACTCCAGCCTGGTGACAGAGCCAGGCTCTGTCTCAAAAAAAAAAAATGTTGGAAGTAGCTCATGAGCCTCCATTGCCACTTTTGGAGCCTTGAATCCAAGGTTGGGACTACGGCTGTGGAATATTATGTGTCCTAGGCACTTGCTAAGTGCGTTCTGCAGGAAAACAGCTTCACCGTTGCCCAAGAACTCATCAGGTTCTCAGGCTCCAGCCTGATCTACTAAATCAGCATCTGCAGTTTAACAAGATCCCCAGGTGATTGATAGTCACCTGAATTTTGGAGAAGCACTGTTGTGGTATCACAGCTAGAAACTCATGATGGCGTAAGAGGAATAGGAGACAGTGAGTTGAAACAGGAACTTTGGGCCAAGATTTGTAATAGCAAATCTTGTGAATACCATTTCCTGTCCTTCACAGTACCTGCAATGACAGTACATTTTTTCTGGCTTTTGCCACCTTGCCACCTTCTGCCTTGGATCTTTAGAACACCACAGGATCCAATGCTAGTCTTCTAGGATGGGGGTCCATAAATAAAATCCTTGGTCTTTCCTAAGAGATGGATACTGGTGTCAGGCAGATGTAGATTAAAATGGCATTCTTATTACAGATTAAAGCCATTTGGAGAATGTGCTGAGGGCCAAATGGGCTTGTGAATATTATTTTGAAATAAACTTAATACCCCAAAACTTCAAGCTTCCCCAACAAGGAGCCCTACTAAACTCATCCCATGGCTGAGAGTAGGAAGGGCATTCATGTAGGCTGGCAGGACCCAAAGAGAGAAGAGAGGTAGGGTCTAAGCCACACACGCTCAGTTTCTTCTTTGAAACTCACCAGGGAGGAGTGAGTAGGTGGCAAGGAGGAGGCCAGGAGAATTTCTCTGGCGGGGACCCTCCTCATGAAGACACGGGGAGTGGGAACAAGGGTTCTTCCCACGATCTACTGCAAAGGACTTTTATACCAGGCTCAGCTGATTTCTAGATGTCACCTAGTTTCTGAGGCAAGTGTGTCTTACGTAAAGGAGGCAGGCCACATCCTGACCTTCAGAGTCCTGAGGCAGAGAATTGTGGAGAGCTGTTTCCTCTTGCAGAAAGCTGTATCTCTATGCGGCTCATGATGTGACCTTCATACCGCTCTTAATGACCCTGGGGATTTTTGACCACAAATGGCCACCGTTTGCTGTTGACCTGACCATGGAACTTTACCAGCACCTGGAATCTAAGGAGTGGTTTGTGCAGCTCTATTACCACGGGAAGGTAATACCCCTGAGGTGGGGTTGGGTGGTGGTGAGGCACCCTCCTGCAAAACCCACCTACCTGAGTTAGCACCAAGTCTCCCTCCTCAGGCCCAGTGGAGTCTCTCTTGGCACAGTCAGCTCTCTGAATCCTATAGGGCAACTCCTGGCTATGGCCCAGGGGTCAGGCAGAACTTGACAGATGGTGGCAGGATGGGGCTTGAGCCTTATCCCAGTTCTGTTACAGACTCCTAGGAACAGGGTCCCCCTCCTCTTCTCCTGAGCGTCCCTGTCAGGATGTCGCCTCCTGGCTGTGAGACCTGTTTTGGAGATTGTTGGTGGTATCTTTGGGAGGTGATGTGTGCTGCTGTTAGCACCCGTGGTGTTGGCTGCTTCATCAGGGCTGGGGTCCAGGGCAGAGGCCAGAGCACGCCCCAGGGATGAGCCTGTTGGTTCTCCCAGCTCGGGGATGTAACTCGACTCTTTCTTCCCAGTCAATTCAACACTTTTTGAGTGACTTTTACAAGCAGAGCATAGTGCTTTTATTCTGGAAGCTCACCGGGTAGTGGGGCCTTCCTGTCTGTAATATGTATGCACATGTATACCACATGGATCAGAGCCTCTCAGATCTCTGGGCTTAGCTGGAAATAGCAGAAGGACAGGTTCCTCGGCGGACCTGCTGAGTTATGTTTCTTCTGCAGGAGCAGGTGCCGAGAGGTTGCCCTGATGGGCTCTGCCCGCTGGACATGTTCTTGAATGCCATGTCAGTTTATACCTTAAGCCCAGAAAAATACCACGCACTCTGCTCTCAAACTCAGGTGATGGAAGTTGGAAATGAAGAGTAACTGATTTATAAAAGCAGGATGTGTTGATTTTAAAATAAAGTGCCTTTATACAATGCCTCCTGCTTTGTGTGTTTGGGAAGAGGAGAGAGCAAGGGGTAATGTACTTTAATATAATGTAAGGATATTTCCTTTCTGTGGGTTTACTAAGATTTCTTCCTGAACGGAAAAGGGGTATAATATTGAGACCAAAAGGATATTTCTCTATTTTGTGAGTTGGTTTCTAAGGTTAGAAGCATCTTTGTGTGACACGGGCTGGGGACATCATGACCCTGTAGAATTGTGTCGGTTTTGGACTTTAGTTCTTTTCTCCTATATTAATTTCACATGTATTGAGCTACCTACTAAGTAGTGATCATTATAAAGGTGAAAACACTCTGCCCTCAAGTTGTTGCAGTCCAGTGGGAGAGGCAGCCGAGTAAATCAGTGATACAGTGCTGTATGTTTTATGCTGTAATAGGTATTTGAGGGGCTATTTGGGTATAGAGAAGAAACTTCCTGCTCACATGGCAGGGGATGTGGGGAACAGTCAAGGAAGGCTTCTGAAAAAGTCCTGGCCTGATCTGAGTAGAGAAAGGTGGGTAGGAGTTAACCAGGAAAGCAAGGATGAAAGCGTGTTGCGTTTAGATAAAGGATAGGCTTCAAGGTCAGGGAACGTTGCTGGGTGGTGAGATGGAACCCTGATGTGGAGGCTCAGCAGGAAGAAGCAGGAAGGACACTGGGCCCCTGGTGGTTTTAGTTCCAGAAACAAATGTGGGCCCCAGGGCTCTGCAATGGTAAGGCTGGAACTACTCAACATAAGAGCTCCACCTTTAACTGTGCCCCCTAAGAGTACCTGATGATCCCCCTATCTCCTTGTCAATGTTGCTGTTCTTCTCCAGAATCTATTTCAACCCTTCTCTGATTTCAAACCACCAGTCCCTTTACCTCTCAGAGAAAACAGCAACCACAAAAGCCTCTCCACTTCCTACTATCTTAATATTGACAACTTCCAGATCAGGGAGCTGAGATATCTCAAGCTCAGGTTTCTCTTCTGAGCTTCAGACACTTTTATCCACTTGGATTTCACTGGCACAAAACTTTCCATGTTAGAATCAAACCCCCCTCCTCCCAGACCTGCTTCTCCCACACACTTCCCTATCTGAATGAAAGACACCTCCACTCTCCACCCAGTTGCCAAATCAGAAATCTGTCTTTGTTTTCTTTGTCTCACATTTTCCTATGTCTAATCAGTTAAGTTTTATCAATACTACCTGTTTATTTCTTTAATCTATTCACATATCTTTATCCTCAATCTTCAGCATCCCCTTCCCATCCTCAGTCTGCTGGTTACTGTATTTCCTATTTTACTAAGAATCTAAAAGAGATCAGAAGAAAACTTCCACATCCCCCAACACCCAACCACCAAATCTGCTAACCCAGTTGCATTGGTGCTTTTATAGCCTTCCTTCCTCCCTCTTACTAAGAATGAACCAACACTATTCCTATCAAAGCCCAACCCTCTAGCTTTACATTGACTCCTAGTGTCTTTTTTCTGGATTGTCAATTTTTTTCCTGACCAATTATTCTATTAGCAATACAAATATGCTGTAAAATCTCTTAAACTTTTTTCTCTGCATCTTTGAACTGCTGTTCTCTTTTCCTTCTCCCCTTCATAGCAGAACTCCTCAAAAGAGTTGCTACCTCTAATTCTTCCCTTCCAGTTCTCTCATGAACCAGCTACAATTAAGTATTCACCCCCACCACTCCATGGAAACTGCTCTTGTCAAAATCATCAATAGCCTTTGTGTGGTGAATCCAATAGCCAGTTTTCATTCTTCTTACTAAGCTTCTCATCAGTATTCCTAGACTATTTCCTTCACTGGCTTCGACAAATGCTTTCTTGGTTTTCCTCCAATTTCTCGACTTTGTTCCTGCTGAATCTACCTTTTTCTAATCCGTAAGTGTTGGGGTGTCCCAGGGCTTACTCCTTGGACCTTTTTTCCACCTTTTCCCCTACACTCACCCACTAGGTGATCTCAAGAATTTCCAGTTTGAGGCCGGGCGCGGTGGCTCACGCCTGTAATCCCAGCACTTTGGGAGGCCAAGGCAGGCAGATCACCTGAGGCCAGGAGTTCGAGACCAGCCTGGCCAACATGGCAAAACCCTGTCTCCACTAAACCTGCCTCTACTAAAAATACAAAAATTATTATATTTTTATAAAATTATTATAATTTTATAAAATTATTATATTTATGGAGTACAATGTGATGTAATCCCAGCTACTCGGAAGGCTGTATGTGTCTATTTATGGAGTACAATGTGCCTGTAATCCCAGCTACTTGGGAGGCTGAGGCAGGAGAATCACTTCAACCTAGGAGGCAGAGGTTGTGCTGAGCCAAGATCGTGCCATTGCACTCCAGCCTGGGCAACAAGAGAGAAATAACATCTCAAAAAAAAAAAAAGAATTTCCAGTTTTAAATATTTACACAATGTCTCCTAAATTTATACCTTCAACCTAGACCTTTCCCTGTGAATCCCAGTCTCATTTCCAACAGTCTAATCAATGTCTCTATTTGGATGTTTAAGATATACAATAGGTATCAAACTTCCCATTGTCCACAATAAACTCTCAATTTCCGTGCCTTTTCAAACTTACTCCTTCCACAGGCTTTCCCATCTAGGTAAATGACACCACCATTCACCCTGTTGCTTTGGCCAAGAACTTTAGAACTGCCCTTGACTCCCCTCTTTTTCTCATATCCTACCTCTACTACATCAGTAACTCCTGTTGTATCTCTCTTCAAACTATATCCAGAATTGACCATGTCCCAATACTTCCATTGCTACTGTCTTAGTCCCAGTGTCATCTTTTACCTGGATTATTGTAAAGGCCTCGTAACTAGTCTTCCTGTTTCTGCCCTTCCCTTCTCTGCCCATCTATTCTCAACACAGTGTTGCTTTTAAAACAAAGTAAGATCGTGCCACTCTTCTGCTCTAAATTCCCCATTGGTTTCTCATCTCAAACTAAGGGCCAGTCATAATGCCCTCACGGTCCTATGACATCTCACTGCACCCCAGCCATACTCGCCATCTTACCATTCTTCTTCTTTTTTGTAATAAAAACTTTTTACTTTCTTTTTAGTTGACAGATAATAATTGCGTATATTTATGGAGTACAATGTGATGTTTTGATATATGTATGCATGAGGGAATGATTAAATCAAGCTAATTAACATATTCATCACTTCATCTACTCATCACTTTCTTGTGGTGAAAATGTTTCAGATATACTCTTTAGTAGTTTTCAGGTGTACAGTCGCTGTGGTTTGAGTGCTTTTGTCTTCTCTAAATTTGATGTTGACACTTAGTGCCCAGTACAATGTTACTGGGAGGTGGAGCCTAATGGGGATGTTTAATGGATTAATGCCATTATAAAAAGGGCTTGCAGGAATGGGTTCCTTCTCTTTTGCTTTTCTGCCATATGATGACAAAGTGTTCCTCCTCTCTGGAGGATGCAGCAACAGGCACCATCTTTGAAGCAGAGAGACCAGGCCCTAACCTTCTGGTGCCTTGATCTTGGACTTCTCAGCTTCCAGAACTGTGAGATAATAAATTTCTGTTCATTACAAATTACCCCATCTGTGGTATTCTGTTATAGCAACACAAAATGGACTAAGACAACAGTATACTGTTATGAACTATGGTCACCATGCTGTGCACTAGATCACAAAAACTTATTTCTACTGTTTAACTGAAACTTTGTACATTTTGACTAACATCTCCCTTTTTCCCATCATCCCATCCCATTCTTACTATCGTTGAAGATGGAGTATGCCAAGTAGTCCTGAGCCATGTCCTCACCTCGGGGTGAGCACCTGTTGTTCCTGTGCCTGGAATGCTCTCCTAGACATTTGCGTGGCTAGCTCCCTCTTTTCATTCAGATCTCAGCTCATTGTCATCTCAGAGAGGCCCTCCTTGCCCTCCTTCTACCTCCTGCCTTAGGTATACTCTGCCACCTTCTGTCATGGGCTGAATTGTGTCCCCCCTAAATCCATATGTTGACATCTTAACCCCTAGTACAGTAAGTCCTCACTTGATGCTATCAATAGGCTCTTGGAAATGTCGGCTTTCAGTGAAAGGACATATAGCAGGTCCTTGAATAACATTGTGTTTTGTTCAACATCGTTGCCTTGTAACACTGATGAGCAAAACAGTTGGTTCTCTAATATGTTGTTTTACTTAAAGCTACAGTTTCCAAGAACCTATCAATGATGTTGAGGACTGAATGTACCTCAGGTGTAATGTATTTGGAGATAGGGCCTTTTAAGAGGTAAAGTAAATGAGGTCATATGGGTAGGCTGTAATCCAATATGACTGGAATCCTTATAAGAAGAGGAAATGAGGACACAGACACAGAGGGAAGATGACTATCTGCAAGTCAAGGAGAGAGGCCTCAGAAGAAACCAATGCTGCTGACACCACGATCTTGGACTTCTAGCCTCTAGCACTGTGAGGAAATAAATTTCTGTTGTTTAAGCCACCTAGTCTGTGATACTTTGCTACGGCAGGCCCTAGCAAATGAATACACTTGTCTTGTCTTTCCCCCGCCCTGTGATATTTATCAGTGCCGGATATTACATATTTGTGTATCTATATGCTTATTTCCCTGACTAAAATGGAAGCTCCATGAAGGCAGATTTCCTCTTGTTCACTGATGTGTCCCCAGCACCTGGAATAGTGCCTAGTGCATGCCAGTGCTCAGACACTTGGACATTTGAATGACATATCCCCTCTGTCACTTCTCTCCGGGGCCCAAGGCCACCCTCCTAGGTTACCACAGTGGCTTCCTAATGGGCCATACCCTCACTTGCTTTCCATCACCCCCTGAGACCTGGCCCCTGCATACCTCTCCAGCTTCACCCCTCACATATCTCCCTAGCCAGACCTATAGTATGTTTAAAAAAAAAGGAAATCGCACTCCTCTGGCCTCTTTACCTTGGCACACATTTTTCCATCACCTGACCCCTGACCCACACTCCCTTTTCCTGTGTAATCCAATTATCTCTAGGCCTCCCGTGTTTCTGTTTGTCCTTCAATAGAAGGTTGTTTGTCTTGTCTTTTATTGTATTTCTAGAACCAAGTGCAGAGACTGTACAAAGTGGACCTCAGCAAAGATTTACCGAATGAATAAATGAGTTCAGAACGCTGACTTAACTCTTCTGTTGGCACCCAGGTGGCTTCTATGCACTCTCCTTCCACTCACCACCAGGGGGAAGCATGGAGTAAAGGAAAACACCAAGGCTTTCGCTGGGTTCAAATTCTGACAGCGTATTTATTTCCTTGCAACGCTTGGACGGGTGTTTCTGAGCCTGTTTTTCCTCTCATGTAAAAATGGGCATAATGATACGTACTAATTAGGGTTGTTGTGAGAATCAATTAAGGAAACGTATAAGTGCCTTCAAGTATTCTTATTTTCCCTTTTCTCTTTCATCTCACTTCCCACGAGATTCTTAACTGTGGTAGGTTTCGCAAGCCAAGGGAGCCTTTGGGGATGCTCCTCTGCAGGCAGCGCCCCGCCTCCGCCTGCCCTTCCCGGGGCACTGTGCCTGTGTGTGCAGGAGATTTGTACAGAACCCTGGCTCCCTCACTCACCAGTTGTGTGACTGTGGGCATGTCACTTAATTTCTCTGAGCTTCCATTTTCCCAACTATAAAGCGGGGAAGTTAATGTTTATCTACCTGATGATTTGTCCTGAGGATGGAAAATAGGGTGTGAAAAGCTCTTCATAAATTCCTAACCTGTCCCTGCCTTGACTCCTTTCTCTAAGGGGCCTCAGAGTGCTGTTGAGGTTTAAAGAATTCCCACAGGAGGCTCTCACCCGTGTATGGCAAAGTGAAAGGCTTCCCAGGACGGAGGAGAGCCAGGCTTGCCAGGGAAGGCCGACTTCATCTGCGGCTCCCCTGATAGCTCTTCCCGAGGGCCTCGTGGCTTATCTTACAGAGCTCTTGGCTCTGGCAGGCCCTGGGATGAAGGACTGTCATTAGACAAGACCCTTCACTGCCATGTGCCTATTCCCCTGTAACAGTTAGTTCCACGTGGATCGTTAAAAACTGCAGCAAGGGGACAGAAACCCTGAAGGGCCCAACTGAAGAGGGAGGAGGAGAGAGTTCCCGTCCCACCCTCCCCTAGTCCTCGAAGCACCGGGACCTGGAGTGCTGACCTGTTTATTTTCATTGTAGGAAACTCAGGTCTTTGTCAGTGGCACCTGGCACCCCTTTTCCTCAGCTGGAATCCTCTAGGGCACCGCCATCTACCTGCAGAGGAGGCTGGGCGGGCTGTGGGGGGAGGGGTGGGCTAAGGGCACCTACCCTGTCTACAACATGCCAGGAAGGGATCATTCTTCGGCTTTGGGCTAGAGCGTGTCCTGGGGCTGCTAGGCAGCGATGAGTCTCTTCTGCTGGGTGGGGAATTCCCCGGGGAGATGGCTGTGTGCTCTCTTCAGACCCTGCCCTCTAGTGGCCAAGGGGACTTTGCAGCCCGGCCCTTCCCAGTCCACCCTGCCAGCCTCTAGAAACCTGACCCCTGTCTAAGGCTGGCTGGGGAGAACTGAAAAACACTTTCCCCAGTAAAAAGCTGGTCTTCTCAGGATTCCGCTCTCCGTTTGGCCTTTAAATAAAATGTACCTTTTCCTGAAGAAATTGGGAGGGGGGCAGTGGCCCACAGTCACCATGTCTGAGAACTCAAGAGACCACTGATCTTGGAGTCATGTGCTCTGAGTTCAAGTCCTGCCCTGTACCTACTACCTGTGTGACTTTGGGCAAGTCCATTAATTTCCTGTTGATAAGCCTGTATATCTTTATTTGTGCAATGGGACTCTAATATAGCATCTCCCTCATGGAATTATCCTAGGAATGACATAGATTAGGTATGGAAAGCACTTCCTAATATGAAAAGTGTTATACAAATATAAGCCATTGCTCCTGCTATGCCAGAGGAGCCTCTTTGTGGCTCCTCCGGAGCATTCCTCAGGGCTGTGGGCAGTGGGTGCCTGCGGACCTAGATGGCTTGCCCCTGGGTGGTAAGATCTTGGTGGCTGAAGACTAGGCTGTTTCAGGGGTGTTTAAGCCACATGAAGGATGCTGAAAGAAGCACCTACCTTGGAGATAAGAGCCAGGGATTTGGATTCCAGTTTTACCACTTTCCTGGGCCCTGTGACCTTGGGCAACTCCTTTAGCATGGCAGAGTTTCTGTTTATCCACATGGAAGGATGGTGATACTATCTGCTGGGGTTAGGGGAGGGGGATGTAAGCAAAATAACCATGTGAAAGGGTATGGAAGGTGCTACCTCCTCAGATACAAGTTTTGAACCTGCATCTTCTTGTATTTGGGGCTTAAGGAAACTAGGGTCCAGCAGCTTACTGTAAGCCAAGAAGTTTGAGTTGCTCTGTGTTGTACAGAGATTTTTAGAGAAGGCAAGTATGTGTGCTTTGAAATCAAAGGAATAGCTAAGTCAAGCAGTAAAGGGAGTGTGCCGGGAGGCTGGGGCCAGTGTTGGTAGAGCTGTTTATATTGGTAGGAAAGCAGGGCATTTTTCTCTGAGGCAAGCCTTTCACAAAGGAAAATCTGGATTTGAGAGAGATTAAAAGTCTCAAAGGTAGGGGAAAGATGTAAGGAAATGGCCTGCACTGAATCACTGCAAAGGACAGTATTCATCAGAGAATTAATTTGGAAGGAAATAGAGTGTGAAATAACAGCAAGGCTTTCAACTCTGGGTACCATGGCCTTAAAAACCCAAGCAGTGCTTCAGAGGCTTGCCAGGACCCAGCCTGGGAGCTACCTCCGGAAAAGCAGCTGGGGGATGCCCAGAGACCACAAATTGCTGAGCTTGGGAGGAACTGATTGAGTGTGTAATTAAGGGGAGGGTTGTATAACACTTGGGTAAGTAGAACTTGATGGGGTCAAACCAGCAGGGCTTTTGGGAGATGAGAGAGCAGTCCCTGGAGCTGTTAGTAACTGAAGCCAGCTGCATAAAGGTAGGCACAGCTTACCTGGGCCTTGCACAGAGAAGAATGGAAGAGATCAGGAAGGGGAAAGGTTGAAGGAATGGTTGTTCTCTAGGTCAAAAATTCCAAAATGCTGAATACCTCAGGGGTTCAGTTCTAGGAGTAAGGTAACATTATGGAACAATGGGGAAATATCCCTGGAAACTGAAGATCAGAGAGCCTGTGGCTTGGCCAAGGTCATATAGCACCATGGAGATTTAATGGATTCTGAACTGCGATTGTACATCTTGGCCAGGTGGCTCACACCTGTAATCCTAGCACTCTGAGAGGCTGAGGTCAGAGGATCGCTTGAGCCCAGGGGTTCGAGGCTAGCCTGAGCAACATGGCAAAACCTCATCTCTACAAAAAATTTAAAATTCAGCTTTACGTGGTGGCAAGTGCCTGTAGTCTCAGCTACTCATGAGGCTGAGGTGGGAGGATCACTTGGGCGTGGGAAGTCAAGGCTGTGGTGGCCCGTGTTCGTGCCACTGCACTCTAGCCTGGGTGACAGAGCAAGACTCTGTCTCAAAAAAACAAAAACAAAAGCAAAAACCAGTGTATTTTTCTGTGCCACACTGATGGTGAAGACTGGAAGGTAATGGTTTGGAGTATAAAGGGAATGTCCTTTGATCATGTATGGGGATCAGGAAAGGAAATTGTTCGCAGTATATTTGTGGACAAGATGGGTATGTATGGGCTGGATACTGAAGCAACTAGGCATGTTCACCACTGGTTAAATTACTGGAGCCCCAATCCCTGGTATACAAGGCCTCATGGAATAGGCCCCCTGCCCACCTCTCCAGCCTCATCCTCCACCACACTCCCTTTTGCTCTCCCGCTAGATCTCAAGGAGTTGGCTGCCTCTTGTCATTTTAGATCTCAGCTTAAATATCACCCTCTCTCACATGGGAATATATGTATATACATATATATTTAATTGAGTGTTTATTTCTACAGAGACACAGTAGAAGCCCAGTGGTTAAACACACAGGCTCTACAGATAGACTACCCAGGTTGATGCTCCATCCTTTAGGATCCATATGACCTTGAGCAAGTGACAACTTCTCTGCATTTTAATCTATAAAATGGGAACAAGAAGAGTATTTACCTCATAAGGCTTTGTGAGGAATAAACACATAAAGCATTTAGAACAATGGCTGGCACATAGGCAAGCTAAACAATATTAGCGATTATTTGTTTTTAAGTGTTTATTATCCCTTGTAACCTTCTCTGCAAAAAGCAGGAACCTTGTCTGGTTGGTTCACTGCTGTATGCAGTGAACATGCTGGATGCTATCTGTAGATCATAACCTGGCATGTAGTAGGGACTCAATTTGTACTTACTGAATGAATTTGCTGAATTAATAAAGAAACTAATTCAGTGGTCAGCTGTTCTTCAGGGAAGTGTTCCATGTTGTATGATAGGCCTTTGCCCTGTTGGACACGTTTTTTTCAAAGATTTGCATAAAATACAACTGAGTAAAGATACAGGGTGCAGACTGGCCACATTTACTGAAGACATACAACTGGGGAAAATCACTTACTGGATGACTAATTGAATGAATGAATAAATGATAGATGTCTTAGATATGTTTGTGCTGATATCAGTTTTAGATCCTAGGCCAAATATTTTAAGATGGAACTTAATGGAGACAAATGCAGAGTTCTGATCTTGGGGCCTCAAAATCAGTTGCCCACAACTGAAGAGGGGTTTTAGTGAGGGATTTGTTCAGTGTGAATCCATAGTATGATGTGTTCCTCAAAATCCTAAATGTGCAATGGCTATCCTGGTACTGGAATGAAGGAAGTGATGTTCCATCCTGCACAGTTCAGAGCACAGCCAGGGAACTGTTCTCAGATCTGAGAGCCAGACTTGGTAGCAGAGCTAGACAAGCTTGTCAATTGGAGAAAGACCATCAAGAGGAAGGGATCAAAGAGACAGAGGGCATATCAAATATTTGATTTATGTGGGCACTGAGGACCACACGCAGAACAGTATTGTGTAAGTTGCAGGGATGTATAGACTTGAGATCAACATAAGGAAAACCTTTGAAATAATCAGAGCTGACCATGGATGAATTGGGCTACCTTAGAGGGTTCTTTTATAAGCTTACACTGGCATTAGGCAAAGTATTGTAGAGGGTCACACACGGGCCAGTCCCTGCCTACCATGAGAATCTGAAGTTCTAGGATTCCACAGCATCCTTCATTCTCTGTGAACAGTTTGAGTCAGAGTCAGGCCTCATTTTGCTTTTCATGTGGTCAGGGATGGAGTTTGGTCCTCTAATTAGATGATTCTGAACTTTAAAAGCAGGAGGAGAGAAGTGCTTGAGAATCTGGTGACCCCAGTGTAACCTTATTAAAGTGTTGCTGTTATCCCCACCTTGGGCTGGCTGGGCCTGGGGACTCCAGTAGCTCTTGAAAATGCCTTCCTGCTGTGGCCACCACCATCCCATCATGGAATTTCCACTGTGGTGCTTCTTTCTCTATGGCTTTTCTGTGCTACCTTTCAGTGCCCAGGAGGGCAGCAAGAGGGGTCCCTGGGTGTCCCTTCTGAAAGAAGAATCATGATTTTCTGCTTCAGCTAGAACCCTCTTACTGCCCAGCTGGTGTATCTTGTGAGCTTTCTAATTTACCAGAGCAGCCATTTCATATCTTTTTGCATTACAGCCTAAGGCATCTCTCAAAAATGCTCTGATAACTCATACTAGGCATACACACATGTTGTCCGATAACAGTTTCACAAAAAGCCTATGACATCCAAATGTGAAGCAGCCAGCTCAAAGAGATCAAAGTCAAATATCCAGGGAGAGGCAGAGGCAGGACTCAAACTTTCACCTTTGACCTGAGGATCAGCATGTTTTCCTTCCATATCTGCACATCTGGCTTCCGGGATGTGTCCCTTTGTCTCTTTGCTTTATCTGCTTCATCACACATGGCACCTTTCTCCTTTCACTTCTGGTATCTTTCTTTCCCCAAAGCTTACCGCTACCTGTGCTTCAGTTCCTGTCCCGCTTCTTGTGATCTTCCTGCCAAAGATGGCAGGACTTCTTTTGTGTCCTCAATCCTTCCCACTCAATTGGTTCCTTCCTTTCTGTCTTAAATTAGTAGTACTTCTGTTGTCTTAAACTTTGCTTATTTATATTTTTCTTCTATCTAACCATCCTATTTCTCTTGCCTGGTACTGCCAAACGTACTGAGCATGTATAACTCAGTATCTCTTTGCCTCTTTCACATTTACACCCTTTCCCCCACATGCTTAGGTTTCTCTGTCTTCTGCTTTACCACAGCTACACTCTGGGAGACCAACACATTAATCAATTTCAAGTACCATCGTTAGTTTCCTCACCTTTTTTGATTGATCAGAAGTATTTGGCCCTGTGGACCACCTCCTATTTCTTGAAAGCCACTCCCCCAACCCCTCAGGACTTATGCAACTCTATATTTTCATAGCTGCCTTAGTCACTGATTCATTTTTATCTGGACAACCATTTCCTCATCAGTTAGATGGGAGAGGTGGGCTAGATCATTTCTGTTTTCTTCCTATTCTGTGAATTTCAGTTTCTTTTGCTGGAACTTCTTCCTGCCTGCGGACTGTGCCAATCCCTCATGACTGAGTTCTTGGCCCTCCACTTGGCTCTCTATTCTCTCACTCCCATAGAGAAATAATCTATATTCATCTCCATGTGGAGGAATTCACATCTCCATATCTAGTCCAAACTGCTCATTCATCCCTGTCTCTTATTTCCAACTGTCCACACATAGACACCACTTCATCATTTCATACTCAACACTCCCTCAACCCCAACAAGGACTTCTCCCCAACTTCCCTAATTTTTACTCATGATAATACTAGAAGCTTGGGCAAGATTGGGACAGGAAGAGGAAGCTAAGGGCTCTTAAGCTGTATTCTGAGAAAAAAAGTAATGAAGAAGTAAAAGATAGGCTCAGCGTCTGGGGGAGAAGATTTAATAGAGGAGAGAGAGAAAATGAAAGCAGTTAAATCCAAATCCCTCTCTTTCCTAGTAAGTCTTTCCTAACAACAGAATCTACCTTTAAGCCACAAATGGCCCAAGATTGCTGGGAGGGATTGAAATCTTAGAGCAGTGAGGACAGCACCTGGTTGATGTCAATGAGTTCGGATCTTCCTATTTGGTAGGTAATACCCTGGAGTAGATAAAAAGTTAAGTTATAGATGTCACTTCAGACAGTAATCTATGAGAAATGAAGATACTCTCAGATTTCTAGTCTCAAAGAACCAAAATACAAAGGCAAATGTGGCCCTAGTTTTTAAAACCCATAAAATGATAGACTCCAGAATTTAAGGACTGGAGAGCTCCTTGGTCTAGAGTGGACTTTTAAACAAAGGAAAAGTCTGTGGAGCACTTAGGAAAGAAAGCAGCAATCATTATTAGTACTTGGCTGAACTATTTCCTTTCTCCTTTGGGTTAACAGACCAGTAGATAGAAGATTCTCAGGAAATTTGATAAAATATTTTAGGTTGCACTTCCCTGTCTTCAATGTGGGCAGCTTCCTTTTCTTTCATGCCATGACTGTGCTTATAATTGCTTATTCAGTGTTTGACTTCTTCAATAGACTCTGGGTTTGATGAGCTCAGGGTGGGACCACTCCTGACCAGTTCACTGCTGCATCCACAGTTCCTAGCCTTGTAGAGACTGATGAATCAATCAAAGAGCCAATTACTCAATAGGTAGATGGAGAATGTGAGCTGGATGATAAGAGGTAGAATTATAAGTGATTACACAAGTATATTTAAAACATTTAAAAATTTCTGAATTGATGTCACTCTAAAGATTAGCTCTAACTATAAAATCTTAGAAGACAACACAGGGGAAAAGCTTTATGACATTATATTTCACAGTGATTTCTTGGATATGATACCAAAAGCCCAGGCAAGGAAAGAAAATATAGATAAGTTGGATTTTATCAAAATTAAAAAAAAAACTTTTAGGCATCAAAGGACACAATCAACAGAGTGAAAAGGCACCCCATGGAATGGGAGAAAATATTTGAAAATCATTTATCTGATGAGGAATTAATATCCAGAAGATTTAAAGAACTCCTACAACACAACCACCACCAAAAATCCTCATCAAAAAACGGGCCAAGGACTTGAATACACATTTCTCCATGGAGGATACACAAATGGCCAGTAAGCACATGAAAAGATGCTCAACGTCACTCATCAGAGAAATGCAAACCAAAACCACAATGAGAAAACAAACAAAAATAATAAATGTTGATAAGAATCTAGAGAAATTGGAACCCTTGTACATTCTTAGTGGGAATGCAAAATGGTGCAGCACTTGTGGACAACAGTATGGCAATTCCTCAGAAACTTCAGAGGGAGAAATGGGGTTATTGTTTAATGGGTACAAAGTTAGAATTTTACATGATGAAAAAGTTGTGGAGATGGATGGCGATTATGATTGCACAACAATGTGAATGTACTTAAAGCCATAACACATTAATGTATACTTAAAAATGGTTAAAATGGTCAATTTTTTGCTGTATTTTTTTACCACAATTTTTTTAAATGGGTGAAAAAAGCACCTCAGTTATGAGCTCCAGGTTTTTATCCTGGGTTCTTGTATCACTTTGATGAAAATATTACCAGCTTTGCTTTTGATAGAAAAGTTAGAACCAATATAAAGATTGTTAGAATAAGTTTCTAAGGACTTTCAGACTGTGGAACAACAGATCAGAATGAATATTGAAATTAAATAGGAATAACTAGAATTCTGAATATAGGATAAAAATAAGCAAAATAATACACAGGATTAGGAGTGATGACTTTTTTTACATGAAAAAGATCTTGGGGTTTTCATTTCCTAAAATTCCAATATAACTCCATAGCAGTTAAAAAAAAAAAAAGAAACTTTTGCCTATTAGTGAAATTGTGCTCAGATAAAAGAAAGTAATAGTCTCACTGTGCTCTCTGCTGATCAGATAGTACTGGGGCACCAAACACTTTATTTCTTCTTTCAAGGTATGTGTAAACTGTGATAAAACAAGATAAAACTATGAGGGCAGTTAGGGAACTCAAAACCTGATCTCATTGGTCTTAATTGATGGACCAGGGCATTTAGCTTGGGAAAAAGAAAATTAGGAGGGAAGTAATAACTGTTTTCAACTATCTGAAGGGCTGGGATGAGAAAGAAGGACTGCTCTTATTCTGTATTTACTCCTACAGTCAGAATTGGGATGAATGGGCAAAAAACTAAAAGAAGCCTGATTCATTAGGCGGCAGAATTTTCTAAATATTAGAGCTAATGATGTTCAATAGAATGGGCTCCCATTATCGGACGGCTCAAGTGGAGGTGCTGGCCACCTGTCAGGGATACTTAGGGCAGTAGGATGGCCTCTTCCAACACCACGATTCTACCTTTCTTTCAGCTTCTCAGTCTCAAAATCACCACATCGTGTTTGATTCCTACCTCTTCTCCAGTGATTGTCCCCATTATCCAATGAAGTCTTGGGGGTTCTTCCTTCACAGCTGTCTTTGCTTCACCCTTTACTCTCCACTGAATCGCCAGGAGCCTCACCTCCTCAACCCCAGAATAGGTGCGTGCTTCCAGTCAGCTCTTCCAGCCTGTCCTTGCTTCAATCCATCCTGCTTGCCCCTGCCAGACTCACTTGATAAAACACTTAGCATGTAAGTCCTCTGATTAAGACCAAAGAGTGGGTCCCAATTGTTTCCCATATCAAGATGAAATTCCTTTTCTTGGCTTTTGGGGCTATTCATTCTTCCCTCCCTTTTCAATTTCACATTCTATTGTGCACATGATCAATTTTGTTTAAGCTGTTCCCTTCGCTGTCATTTGGCCTGCTTTTCTTTATCCGTCCATTCCCACTGCCATTTCCTCATTCGTGTTGTTCTCTGTGTGTCCTCCACCCCCAGCCTCATTATAGGGTCCACCTCATGTACCACAACCAGCATGAAATCTTTCCTGGCCACCCAAGCTCATATGGATCCTTCTTCCCTCTCATTTATTTAACAGCTATTTACTGATCTTTGATAGAGTGCAGACACTATGCCAGATGCTGGTGAACAAGTGATGAGCAAGAAAAATTTGGCTCCTGACTTCACACAGTGGGCAAGATAAAATACATAATTGCTATGAAGGATACAAACAGAGTCGTGATACAAAATGATGGTGTGTGTGTGTGTGTGTGTGTGTGTGTGTTGGGCATAGGTAGGTATTTGACAGGGTACTCAGAGAAGACCTCTCTGAGGAGATGACAAATAAGCTGAGACCTGAGGGGCATGGAGAAGCCAGCCATTGGGAAAGCCTGGAGTCAAGTATGCCAGGCCAAAGAACTGGTGTGGGTAAGGTCCTGTGGCAAGAAGGCCTTGGCACGCTGGAGATACTGAAATTAGCATGGTTCGGCTGGAGCACAGTGGGTGGGGGAAGGGCATGAAGCAAAACTGGAGAGGCGCTGGGGCCTGGCAGTCCTGCCAAAAATCTTGGGTTTCATACTAATTACATTAGGAAGCCATGAAAGGGTCTTAAGGAAGAAAGTGGTGTGATTCATACTGTTTTTTTTGTTGTTGTTGTTGTTGTTTTAAGACAGAGTCTCACTCTGTCGCCCAGGCTGGAGTGCAGTGGCACGATCTCAGCTCACTGCAGCCTCCGCCTCCTGGGTTCAAGCGATTCTCCTGCCTTAGCCTCCTGAGTAGCTGGGACTGCCGGTGTGTGCCACCAAGCCCCGCTAATTTTTGTATTTTTAGTAGAGACGGGGTTTCACCATGTTGGCCAGGATGGTCTCGATCTCTTGACCTTGTGACCCACCCACCTCGGCCTCCCAAAGTGCAGGGATTACAGGCGTGAGCCACAGTGTCCAGCCAATTCATACTTTTTAAGGTTACTTTGTTTATATTGTGGAGAATAGACTGAAGAGCTAGAGTGAAAATACTGGTTAAAAAACAAACAAACACGTAATAAATGAGGTGAAAGATAGTAACTTCATCTAGAGTGATGAAGAAAAGTGCATGGATTTAAGATATGTTTTGGAAATTGGCATGAAAGGATTTGCTGATGGTTTTACATGAGGAGTAAAGAATTAGGAATGAGTCCCAGGTGTCTGATATGAAAACTAGGGGATGGATATAATGTCATTTACTGTGATGGGGAAGTGGGGTGTGGAGATAAGATGTGAGAGAAATTCAGAGGTTAAGTTTAAGACATGTTAAGTTTGAGGTGCCTGTCAGATAATTTCTCTCCTGGGCCTGGTTCTTCCTTTGTATGGAAGTGATCCTTGTATTTCCTCATTGGTATTATCACACTTTTAAATAATGATGATTTTATTTTAAAGGACTTGCAGGTAGCAAGCATAACAGGAATGAAGAAAATTCTAGGGCTTTTCCAGCCTCATTGACAAGGAAAAAGCAAACTACTCTTCATTGCAGTGTTGACATTTCAAAACTGGCATTTAATTATTTACATACTTTCATATATTAAGGTACATATACATGTGTATAAGTAAATCTGTATGTGTATATGTGTGTATAAAAGTTTTCAATAGCTCGACTACTCACAGCTATCCTAGAGAATTTTACCAAAGCCCAGGAGATCTTCTGCAGTTTGGAGAACAAAATAAATCACAGTAATCCACCATCCCCTGTAATCAAATACATTTTGACTGAACCCAATAACAATGACTCAGTTTCTAGCAAGGTGCCAGACGCAGCCCTTGTCTTCATTTGACGCTGAGAACCGAGCAGCCAGAAGCCAGTACTCCAGAGCCCGTAAAGCACCGCCAAAAGCGTGGCCTTAGATCACAGATTGATTCATGGGGATGGGCAGGAGTCTCCAGGGAAAACAGCTCATGGGGTAGCTGTTGAGCTTCTATGTGGGAAGTGAGGAAAATGAAAGCTCCTGGAAGCTTGGTAAAGATGAGAAACAAACATGAGCTCCTGGGGTCTTTAATAAAGAGAACTTCGGCTGTAGAAAACAAAAAGATTATTGAAAACTAAATTCACCCTCAACACTAATTAATTGGACACTGGATATAACTGAGATTTGTAAGCTGTTTCTGCCCTTGACCCTGGCTCCAGCCTCTGGAGAATGGAAGAGTGTGGCTAGCACAGAGCTGCGGGTCAGCCCCTCATGAGAGGGAGTTGCTGGTCTAGGTGCAGGTGCTGAGGTATGAGAAACCCAGCCGCCCAGAGCCACACAGCAACACGCCCAGCTGGCCCCGGTGAAGACATGCAGTTTCCTAGGGCTGGGTCTCTTTAACCTGTTCTTTGGAACCCCAGGGTACCCACATAATTGTTCGTGGACACTAAGCAGGTATTTTGCAAGAGAAATCTGGTTTCTTTCGTGTTTGGTGAAATAACTGAATTTTCCCATGCTTTAACTATGTGTGAGGAAATAATTTCTGGTTCTTCTGTTTATTTTCTCTTTCTATGGTCATACATACACTCACCGTCTTCCTCTGACAGTATTGATTACCAAGCACAATTAAGCACTGAGACAGAAAGTTAACAGCTGAAGTGGGGTCACCTATAGGCAGAAAATAGATTCGTGTCTGTTTAACAGTAACCCAAATAAGAAGCCATGTTAAATAGAGACAACTTTTATTACAATCCTTATAGCATACCTTCCTTTTAACATTATTTTTATGATTTAGCTCCCTCCAATAGGAAATGTTTGGCCACCCACTGGTTTTGTGCTTTATATACTTATTGCTTTAAATGTGTTATTAAAATCTTACCACCAAATTAGGATTCCATGACTTTTCTTAAATGTAAGGGTTTGTGACTTTGAAAAAAATTACAGGTCTGAGTTAGAGAAAAGAAAGTGGCAGTGAGGCTCAAGTTGCCTAAACAGCATGGGAAATATGATACAATTTAATGTTATTTCAAGCAAAAGAGATGAGTCTGAGGATTTTGTAGAATAAGCAAATTTTTGCAAGTGATCTTCCTGTGGTTCTCTCACCCCGCCCCCAGGCTATCTTCCACAATCTGATCACCTGATCCTTTGCTTAAAACTTTGAAGTTCAAACTCTTTAGTGGGCCACACTGGGCTCTCTGTGATCCACTCTCTCTCTAGGCTTATTTCTTTTCTTTTTTTTTGAGACGGAGTCTCGCTCTGTCGCCCAGGCTGGAGTGCAGTGGCGCGATCTCGGCTCACTGCAAGCTCCGCCTCCCAGGTTCACGCCATTCTCCTGCCTCAGCCTCCCGAGTAGCTGGGACTACAGGCGCCCGCCACTACGCCTGGCTAATTTTTTGTATTTTTAGTAGAGATGGGGTTTCACTATGTTAGCCAGGATGGTCTCGATCTCCTGACCTCATGATCCGCCCACCTCGGCCTCCCAAAGTGCTGGGATTACAGGCGTGAGCCACCGCGCCCGGCCTAGGCTTATTTCTTACTTCTTTACTTCTTCCTCCCTTAAAGAGGCCATCCCATCAGCAAGCCCTTGCTGTTCCCATTTCCTCTGCTTCAGTGCTCACCACCATCCTCCAGGAATGCTCTCTCCTTTAAGAGTCAGTTCAAAAAATCACCTTTCCTTTGAGGATTCATTGAATTTTCCTTTCTGGCCCATTGCGCCCTGTCCACACCTTCACTGTAGCAATCATCATATTACATCGCAATAACTGGTTTACACACCTGTTTCCACATCCCAGCCTTTGCACAGTTCTTGATACACAGTAGGTGCTCTATAAATATTTGCTAAATAATGAGTCCTCGGGTTAAAATGCAACTTCCCTCTCCTTTCAGCACCCTGAAATTACTCAGAAAAGGAAAAGGAAATGACTGAAGTGTAGACAGTTTAAGCGGAACACAGCAAGTACCCTGCCTGAGGTGCTCCTGGCCACTAGTTAAGGAGAAAGAATAAATATGGAGACTGAGGTCCCAGCACCTCTGTGGAGCTGTTGTGATTTCTGTTTACAACAGCCTGGCTAAGCAATCTGTGGGACCCAGGGCGAAATGGAAATGTGGAGCCCCTATTCAATAATTAAGAACTCCAAACAGTGACAGCGGAGCATTAAACCAAGCCGGAGTCCTGTCCAACTGCACAGGTGGCACAGATGACCACAGTTGCGTTGTGATGATAATATCAAGAAGTATAGAGCGCAGGGAGGCTGGGAGAAATGTTGGATCCATTTTTTAAGGAGTAGCTTTAAATATGTAAAATTGTTTTCAATTTATTTTCTCATGCCGCCTCCTTCATAAGACCCCTATAATTATGTCTGTTTTCATGTATAAGTGCAGAATCGTTTCTAAAGTAAATTATTTTATTTTACATTGTTTCAGGGAAAATGCTACATACTTCTAGTTAGTCCTTAACAAATGCTATGAGCCACACACACTCCACCACTTTCCCCTGAAGTGAACAAGTCACTACTGCATTTTCTCCATTCAGTCCCAAACTTCAGGAGAGGAAAGAGAGAAGATTGGCTGGGCTTTCACAGGAATATGTTAATATGAAACATCTTTCATCACTCTTCCACTGATTTTTAAAAAATCTTGCATCAGTTCTCCATGCACTAGCATCCAGTCTCTCTAAAGGTAATTTTATTTTATAACAATCTTAGTAAATGATAAATTGTTGTATTTAGACCCTAAATTTGGCTTGTCAGACATTATCGTGATGAAATGGCATGTGCTGATAAAGTGAATGAAGTTGTATGATGGGGTATTTTAAAAACTCAGGTGGGGAAGTTGATCTGCACTGCCCCAAGTTCTCCAGCAGGGGGCTGCGAGAGGAGTGCCACACATCCAGCTGCCCACAGCAGCCAGACCCACCGGTCTCTTGCTAGCCCTCTAAGTGAGTACCTGCTCTCCTATGTGGGTACCTTTTATGCCTTGACTCCCTGCCTGTGAGAGTAACAACAGGACCACACACCATTAGTGACTGCAACACTGTTGGGTACAGCAAGGAGGGGAGCAACCCAAGAAGCCAGACCAGTAGACAAATGCCAGGTGGGACCCTTCCTTCAGGTTCTCATCTTGTGCTGCCCATGCTTGGCTGTTAGTCTGTTCTCATCTATATACTTTAAAGCCAGAGAACCCAGAAACATGGCTAAGTTCGTGAAACAAAATCTTCATTTTACTATCCTAATTTCTCTACAACATGAAAGTTTCACTACCCAGCACCAACAGAATACATCAGATTGAATCAGAATTCTTAAACTTGTGAGCTCAAGTTTTCTCATCTGCAAATGAGATCATTACCACTCACTTCACAGGGCCCCTTAAAAATCAGCAAGATAAAGTGCAGGGAGGCGACTGGTAGAGTAGGTACTCAAATGTTCATCTCCACATTTTTTGTTGTCTGGGGCACTTGTGTTACTGAGAAGACAGGGCTGCTGAAAAGGAAGAGAAAATGGCTCTCCAAAACAATTGTCGGAGAGAAAAGCTCAGACTGTGAAACACCAGCAGAGCCCAATTTGTACAAGTTTGTTTGCAGATGACTCTGCACCTGCCGCTCCTCGCTTAGATTCTCTCACCTAAGAACAAACACGCACACAGACGCCCACTCACTGAGCTAAAAACACCTACAACTCAAAGAAATACACACACCAGAACAGAATTAACTGCACAGAAGCACAACAGCAAGTCCATTAGCACATACCTTGCAGGATACACACTGATCTGCTGAAGATGTGTGTGGTGAGAAGTGAACTGTGCACAAAGACTGAGCAGCGTTAGCAGAGGTGATGGGGTAAGGGGGAGGTGGGGAGCCAGAAAGGACCACAGAAACCCACGGACTGTGGAAACCCATAATTTGCAGGTATAGTAATAATATTCTACCTTAACAAGACCAAGGGACATCTCATAGCTTATTCAAATAACTAAACATACAACCTTTGGCCTTCTTAATTACTTCATACCACTAAACTGGCTCTCACAAACATTCCTAATAAAGACCATTAATTGCCCTAAAGGTAAAGTTCAGCAATGGGACCAGGGTTGCTCTTCTGCTTATAACTAGGATTTCATGACTGAGATAGGAACAGTACAGAATAAACCTACATGAGTAGTTATTCCTTAACAGCATGGAATATGCTTTGAGAAGGTACTTTTATGTGGTTTCCCTAACCATCACCTTACTGATCAACTCCAATACAAAGAGTCTACGCTTCTGGGTCACATGGCAACCGGTATGCCCAATACTAAACAATCAGGAATCCAAATGAACAAAAAAGGCAGTTCAATTTTGTAAGAAACAATATATTTTATTTTTCTGACACCACAGCTCTGGCGAGTGGTTTTGTACCAAATTTAATGGAGGTTACACAGAACGTCTTACGCATGGGAGGGGGAGGAAAGGGAAGGAACCACAAAATTTAAAACAAACAGAAACAAAATCCTGGATAGCTTTTAGCATCTGTTCCACTCCCACATTAATAAAATTCACTTGGGAATTCCTAATAAAAGGAGAACAGAAAACAAGGTGGGCAGGGAAGGGTATGATGGGAAAGAGAAAGACTTAGGGGGAAAAAAGACCAGAGAGCATCCCAAGGACAGACCTTTCCCTCTCAGAGCCAAGAGGACGCTCGGCATGGAAGGCGAGGCTTTGCTAGATTTATTTCCCCAAAATAACACTGTGTATTGCAGCTGCCAAAGGGAAAGAGAGAGGGAAGCAGAGGGTCACCAGCGGGGGGCACAAAGGAAGGAAACACTTAACTGAGGAGACAGAGCAAAATCGGAGAGAGAAAACAAGAGAAAAATGTGCCAGTGGGTTGGTATATTGGGAGACAAGACAGTGCTGAAGAGCACTTGAACTGAAAAACAAATGTCCTAAGAGTCATTATTTTTCAAAAGAAAAATCTCCCCCCTCCCCCCACCCCTCGCTGAACTTAGTTCCTTTTTTTGTGCTTTTCATTAATACTCTGCTCTGAGGTCGTAGTTTGGTTTTTCTATACACTGCAGTTGAAAGAAAATAGTCCAAAGGTCTGAAGATGGATTCTCCACCTAAAGTAAACAGCCCAGCATTCCTGTTCTCCTCTTGCCCCAAAGACTAAAGTCTCTGCTAAAATCCCTTTTACAATATAGTACAGTACACAGAAAAAAATAAAGCCCAAATCAAAAAAACAAAAACAGAAAAGAATCCTGGGAGAAGCCAGTCCAAAGGACGTAAACATACAGAGAACGGTGCAACACATGACCGATGGCAATTCTCAAAGCACAGCTACAGATTCCCAAAAGTAGGTGCCATCATTGATACCCAAGTCCACAAAAATAATTTTTAAAAAATAAATCTTAAAAAAAACACACCTGTTGATTAAATGAATAATTTGTTTTCAGGTAAATCCATACATTCTCGAGTTCCCCCCTCCCCCAAAGCAGCCCTCGGGTCTCTGTTCTCCTATTGCATGACCAATAGTAAGTACTCCTGGAACTCCCTCAAAGCAGCTCTCAGGACCTGGAATCTCATCTTGACAAGGATCGGCACATCCCATCTTAGCAGCTTAAAACATCATGTTTCCTGGGTTGCCAGGTCCTTGGCTAAATCCACCCATGCCCACGTCAGCAGCCATGCCCCGGGGCCTCATCTGTGGGGGGATCATGATGTTCTGTTGGGGTCCCATCATGCCCTGCATGGACATCATCATGCCTGGAGAGCCCACAGGCCCAGGGTGGGTGTAGAGCCCGGCAGGCCCCCGATCCTTGCCAGGAATCATGCCCACGGCAGCAGCTGGATTGCTCATCAGGGTGGGCTGGCCGGGCATTGTAGATTGTGCTGGTGACATCATCCGATGGTGAGGTCCCATCATGCCTTGTTGGAGAAAGGCTGGTGGTCTCATGGGGTTGTGGCCTGGCATGGATGGAGCTGTACCAAGAGGGATGTCCGGAGTTCCCACTGGCCCTGGACCTCCCATGCCAGGTAATGCTAGTCCCATTCTGGGGGCTTGTTCGCCCATCATCCCCTGCATGTGTGAAAACCCAGGTCCAGGACCCTGGGGCTGTTTACGGCCTGGAACTTCCCCTCGAGGGAAATATTGCAGCGTCTGGCTGGGCTTCTCAGATGGAATAATGCGGGATAGATCAAACTCAGGTATTCCGGTGGCTCCAGGTCGGATGACCTCCTGCAGATCTGGGTCTGTAAACACCGAAGGCATGCTGTTCCCCAGGACAGTGAAGGAGTCAGGACCCCCGGGGCCTCCAGGCTTGCAAAGTGCTGCATCTGCTGAACTTTGGGGCAGGTTGCTGGGGCGGCCAAGGGGGCCTTCTCCTGGGAAACCCATCCCTCCTGGGAAGCTGCCCTGCCCCCCACTGGGGCCATTGTGAGGGAATGGAACCTGCTGTGGGGGAGACTGTACTGGAGGGAAGCCCTGGGGGAAGCCCATCCGTCCTTGAGGTACCATCGGTGGCTCCTGGGACCCATGCCCCATGATAGGATTGTGTGACATCAAGCCAGGCCCCATTGGGACCCCATGAGGAGGTATGTTGGGTCCCACGGCATTTGGAGAGGGCATCTGATTGGAGTGAGAAAGTGGCTGGGTCATTCCCATTGGGCTGAGGGTTGGCATCGGAACCACGGGGTTTGGACCTGAAATTCGAGGATTCTGTGTATTAATGCCCATTCCTAGAAAAATAAAGATATCAAAGGAATCAACTTAACCAAAAATCAACTCAGAAAAACTATAATAAATTAACAAAAAAACTATTGTGCATCCAATGTGCATAGTATAATGCTGGGAAAACATACAACACACAATCCCTGCCATCAATAAGATCATAATACATCTGGGGACATACAAACCAAGAGCTCTACAGGACAATATATTATTGAGTCTTAAACTGTGTGTAGAAGATAGCAAGGGAGAAATTGTCATGTGTGAAAAGTTATAAATTAGCACACAAATGAGTTTCGCCTTCCTCATTGGAGATATTTAATACAGAAGAAAACAATTTGCCTGAATGACTCAAGTACGGTCCTTTTGGAGAAATCAGTACTACAATCCCAATGATCAGGAATCATAACAAAGAAACTAAACAGGTAATTTTTCAATTGGCATTTGGCATTATTTTATAAGTGCCTTATAGAGAAAGCATTTAAAACTCGAGATTCCACGAAATGTTCAAGAAATAACTTTTAATAGAAAAGGAAAGTAACATATTCTAATACAGTCCCTGGGACATTGAAGTATTTGGTGTCTCTGTTGGAATTACCACCGAGTGTGGCAGGGGGCTTATGCTGTTCCTGGTACATGTACTAACCCAGTTAATTAGAGTTACTGATAAATAAAGAGCATTTGTAACAATCAGAATAGAACTGGAACCAGAAACTCATGGCTGAAAAGTCATGGTCTCTTTGCTGATTGCTTTCACCATCCTGATCATTTTCTGTTAGTCAGGTGGCAGGAGTCGAGGTGAGGGGTGGGTATAGGAATGAAGGTGTACCGAATGTGTAGGGAAGGGAAGGATTTTATTATCTCCCTAGTCCTAAAAAAAAAAAGGCTTGTCTAGGAAACAGGGGCTTTCCACTGTCTGAAATCCTGTGGCTGCTTGTGGTTTGAGGCTGCTCTTCCAGAAAAAAAAACTTGAGGACTAAAGACATTCCAATCAGCCTGTTAGAAACTACTCTCTATATTGCTACATGAGGACCCAAAGAGAAAAACAAAAACAACAAACCCTCAAAACCATCCAGGTACACAGAAGCATCAGAACTATAAAGAAACCTGCTTTCTTACAAACAAATAAGGAATCAAGCTAATAAGAAATTATCTTCCTCTAGTCAAGACACTTTCATTCTACTGAAACTACCTTAGATGGAAGATTTTTTCTACTTGTTGAACTTCCACCTATTCAGGTGTATAGCCATTGAGAAAACGCTTCAAGAGGTTTCTCTTTGGTCTAGCACTCACTCCACAACCTGCCTTTCTGATTTCTTACCTGGCATATTATTCATTGATGGCAAGTTGGGAGAACGAGCTGGAGGGGAGTCGTCATCTGAGCTGGCCACAGTCTTGATAGCATCATGGTATAACGGGGTGGAACTGGGCATTGCAAACTTGGACATTCGAGACATCATAATAGAGAGTGGGTTCTGGGAAAGGGTTGGCTCTGGAGGCATGGTATAAGGTGTACTAGAGGGAAGACTTCCAGGGATATTCACAGAGGCAGGCTGGCTGGCTGTAGGAGGTGGGGGGCCACCTAAAAGGAAGCAAAATAAAACAAAACGGGCAGGGAATTAGATTCCTTTTGAAGGGTATTGGGCCCTATGATTATGAACTAGCAAGGCCAGGAATGAGACAGATGAACAGGACAGTGTTATTAGATCCCAGACACAAATCATCAATCTTCTAGTCAAGCTCTGTGTGAGTGCAGAGGGAGACTGTGGTGTGATATGGAGGTGACATGACCGATCAGCAGATGTGAAGACAAACACACCAGGAATGTGTTAGAAATATTAGTTCAAGCTTGGGGAAAATATGGTTTACAGACAACCATTTCACTGAATAGAATGTGAAATAAGTGGATCTCTTTCCCTTGCCAATCACAGTTTAGAATTCGACTCAGGTATTAGTATGCTATGAAGCCAGACTAGTGATATGATCCCAGGTACTAACGACATCACCCTACACGCATTCTTGATTAATTTCCACAACCAAGATGTTTGAACCAAGAAGGTCTGAGGGGGCTGTTCCACTGTACTGCTTCAGTGAACTGCTACCCTACAGAGAGGCACTTTAGGCTGGTAGGATAAATCTTCTATCTTGCTCTGATTCTAGTCTTTCTCAGGTGGAGACAGCACCAACCTAGTATTTACACCTTGGCACTACTTCCACTGACCACCTCTAGTCCCACTCACAAAACCATCATCATCAGCAAGAATCTCTCCCAGGAAGAAAATCCTCCTAAATTGTAGCTGATCTGTGAAAACAGTGGTCTATCAAGGAGAAGATTTTGGAACTGTTTCTGTGGTCAACAGGTATTTACAAGAACCACACAAGTCTTACAGCAGCTTCCCCTCTCTCTGCTTAGGATTATACCCAGAATCTCGATTCAAGGGCAGCCCCTTGCAGTGGGTCCAGTATTTAAAGAAGCCACATTCATCCACTGTTAAGACATTTTATTGCATTTGTTCATTGTGCGAATGTAAATTATTCTGTGAACCCAACACATATTCCCCATTTCCCCTCTTCCTTTTAACAGTCTCTCTGACATACGTATTTTTTGCTGAGATTGGACACTTCTGCATAACCCCATGGAAGCACTGATTATGCACCTTGCCACAAATATGGCCATTTCAACAAAGACTGCCTCCTCTGTCTGTGTACTCAAGACACCAGTTTTCTTAAAGTAACTATCAGGTCTAGCAGTCTCCAGCTACTAGGTGCAACTGTGAGGATGCAAGCATACTGACCTGACTCTACATTTCCCAGCATGGCTGGGGAGGCCATGGTGAGGGGTGCTTTATGGTTTGGAGGGATCCCAGGACTCTGAAGGGGAGGTTTTGGAGAAGAGGTCCATCCAGGTGACGGGGCAGGAAGTGATGGAGACTTGAGGTGGACAGGTGAAGCAGCAGCAGACCCCAAAACAGGGGGGGACTTAATGGAAGCAGCAGCAGCTGGGCCCGCCAGCATGCCTGCCAGCTGCGATGGAGTCTGGGGGGACTTGAGGTTCCCCGAGGGCGAGCCCAGCATTGGTGACTGGACTTGGTGCATCGTGGGAGACTTCAGAGGGTTAATGCCTGGGGAATGCACCTGGCTGCCTGCCACAGATATATCCAAGGGCTTCCGCCCCAGGCCGCGCTGAACTGGAGGAGCTGTGTTGAGGCTGGTGGGGTTACTGGAAGGGTTGAGAGGTAGTGGTGGCATATGACTGAGCCGGCTGTTAGTCCTCTGGTCGGGCCCAATTGGTTCTCTGAGATTCCGCAAGCCACTGTTGCTGCCTGGACCCTGAGACATGGGAAGGAATGGTCTGGGGCCCATGCCATACTCCTGCTGGGGGTGCTCACCAAATGGCAGTGGCACCATCTTCTGCTGAGCAGGCAGCATGTCTGAGCCACCTGGGCGTAATTTCAGCATCTCCTCAGGGCCCGCCCCAGCCTCTCTCATCTTCTGAGGTATCATCTGAGAGTTGGATCCCATGTTGACATTTAGATTGACATCTCCCTTCATCCCACTAGGAACCATCCCAAACTCAAGTTCCCGACCAGGGCCCATCTGTGGGGGAATTCCTTTTGGAAAGTCACCCCTAGAAGGACTCAGAGGGCCCTCAACTGGTATTCGAGGGAAAATGGGGTTATTCCCAGGCTCCATGTGGCGCTGGGAGCCTGGAATCATCCTGTTCATCTCCATGCTGGGCCTGATGCCTTCCATGGCCATCCCTGGGGGGAGACCCAGCTGTTTCTCTGCCAGCTGCTGCTGAAACATCTCTTCAGACAATCCTTGGGGGTTTGGGAAGCGTTCCCCTCGGCCAGGACCGCTGAAAATGCCCTGGCCAGGAGGAAAATTTCGACCATCTGGGATTTTTGGCACATCATCTGGCCAACTGACTCCAGAAAGACCTGGTCTAGATGCAGGGTTGGGGACATTCGGCCCTTCCATTTCAGAGTTTATCATGCCTGCAAATCCAGGGAGGCGCATCTGGCTCCCTGGCATGTTGGGGTGGGGAGCCATGCCCCTCGGGGGCAGAGAATGTGGCATGTTGATACCATCAGAAAATGGCTCTGTACCCCCAGGTGCCCAGCCTTCACTAGGGGTCATCTGGTATGGAGGGGGGGGTCCTCGGACCACTCCCCGAGGCCCGTGCTGATGGACCATCATGTCCTGGAGGGAACACTGCTGGACAACCACTTGTTCCTGCTTCCTCCTCTTCTCTTCATAAAACTCCTGCTGCAGTTTCAGCCACGCTATCTGCTCGGGAGTCATATGGTCAAGGTGGTCGGGTCCTATGGTCCCAGACTGGGAGTTCATAGAAGGTGGAACCATTTCATCTGGAGAAAAGGGTACATCTCTATGTCCTTGAGGGCCAAATGGAGCTCCCACGTCTGTCCGGGGCCCAGGTCCCTTACCTAGGCTTTGGGATTGGGCCATCATGGCCTGTATTGGCCCTTCTGGTTTTTTCTGAGGCCCATCTAATACCCCAGGATTCTGCTGCGGTCCCCCACTTTGTGCTCCTGTGAATTCTTTCTCATCAGGAAAAAGCATGCGCTGGATATCTCTGAGAGTTTGTAAGGAGCGCTCCCGGTGCTCCAGCTGCTCCTGAGATAGGCCATCGGGATTCTCTCCCAGTGTGGGGGGCTCGCCACTGGACACTGGTGGAGGCGGAGGGGCTTTGGGATCTGCTGAAGAGCTATTGCTCCCCTGGGAGACAGGGGTCACTGCCCTATTGTTGGGAGTTGAGTTGGGCCCAGTACCATCTGGGGGCAGTGGAGTGGAGCTGGCAGGACTTCCTACAGAAGGAATCAGTTTGTTTTCTACCCCAGGACTCTCCCGGTCCAGGGGACGTGGGGGTGCGGCAGGCTTGGGTGCTGGTGCCGGAATGGGTGGAGTTGGCTGCAGTCTGGTATTCTGGGAAGAATTCTGGTCCTGGTTGGCCGGAGCTGGGGGCTGTTGTGGGAGAGGTTTCGGATCATTCCGAAGGGCAGATATCTGTGTGTTCTGAAGACAAACAAATAGTTTAAAAATCATTAGTAAACTGAACAGAAGGGCAATTAAAAGAGCAAGATATGTTATAAAGGAATTGTCCCCAGGCACATAAATCTAACTGACACTGGCTGTAGAAATTGCTCACGTACAACCCTCTTTTGGGCATGGAGACATTTTGATTTTTTTTTTTTTAAACTTACTGTCAAATGGTATCCTCTTTCCCTTGCTGAAGATTAGGTTTCAATAACTTTAAAAGTATGCCAGGGGAGAGCCACTCTGCCAAAGTGAATACATTTCAGTATCTATTTTGAGGAACAGGTTTGATATCACATGTCTACTATGTGTTTCTGATTCAGAGAGAGATTAGTTTCTTGGTATGTGGGAGGCTGTACCTAACACCTTTTTCTTTTCCCTGAAAGTATAACTGGGTATGTAGACTTCTCATTGTCAATCAAAAGGCCTGATGTTGCCATCTTGAGAGAGAAAGCGTAAGTCACTTGCAGCTCTGTATTCTACCAGCCGAGGAAGCAGCTGCTCCATTTCAACGTCTCCTCTGGCAGGGTGACTACTGAGGCACTCCCCTCCTGGAGTTTCCAGGAGGCCTGACATCTCTGGTTTCCGTTTTTGGTTGGTGATCACTGATTCCACATTTGATAAGAATTTGTACATTAACTGTAGTGAGATAATCTGCAGGCAGGAAGCTTCTGTGGAGAAATCTGAGGCTATCTAGCTCATGGTGTCTCTTGAACTGTTCTTTCCAATAGGCAGTAGACTGCCCTTTTTTAATATGCTGGATGATTGCCTTATTATTGTTTATTAAGTACCACTGCTATACTAAGTCCAGGGTAGAAGCACACTCACCTACAATAGGTGACATGGACACCTTGAATGTTTGGAAGAGAGATGTGTATGTTCTGGGTCTAAACCAAGAGCACTGCTGAAATATAAGAGGGCACTGATGAACAGAAGGACTTGATCTACAAACCCTGTCTCAGAGACCTTTCACCAAAGGCCTTTCTCCAGACCCTTTTTTCCGTGTTCATTTGCTCCTACTTGTTCGCTTAATCCAGTCTGTATTTCCAAACCCTTCAGGCTCTTACCTCCTCACCTACTCTCTGGAATGTTTACCTGTGTGCAAATATGTAAACAAATAATTACGTGTATCTCTGCATATGAACAATTTGTGTTGTATACACATGAAAACATATCTTTGAGCACTTATATTCTGTGAATATATATATAAATGTTGGATTTTGAGGTATCCATGCACTTCTGCCTATAGGTAAAGAGTTGTGTGGGTAAGATCAGCTGAATCTTGTATGATTCTGTACAGTTAAAAGTATATTTCATATCCACACTCCTAACTGGAGTGTAGAGGTCACCTTGATTTTCCTTCTAGTGCCATTTTAAGTTTGGTTTTGTTGGTCAGGTTTTGTTTGTTGTGGGTGGATACTGATTTCATATAACGAAACCATGACGTCAGAAAACATTTAGATGTGGAACAATGGATTATTCCCAATTCCTTCCTTAACTCCTTTCCTGATTTTAGTACCAGAGAAGGTGTAGGTGTAGGTATTAAGGTGTAGGTATTAAGAACTGCCATTAAGTCAATAAAAGGTTGGTTTCAGTTACACTGTACTATATTCATTCCAGGACAATAAGCATTTTAAATATAACTGTATGCATCTTCTACCCTTGAGTAGTCAAGATGCATGGGGAATATGAAATTCCTTTTCTAAGTTTAGGAAGGCCTAAGCTCTGCTTATGTCTACAAAGATGGAGACTTTTCTGATACACAAAATAGGAAAGATGTCACCTATTTTATCTTGAATTGTCACTTTGATCATTTATTGTCAATTAACTTTTCCCATGTTTAAGACTCATCCCAGTATTAGATTTCATGCTCCCTGAAAGCAGGGACTGTGTCTTGAACTTCTTAGTATCCCCCATAGCATTTGGTGCAATGGCTTGACGATGCCAGATACAAGAAGTATCTTTTGGTTCAATTTGGTAAACTACATGCATTAAAACATCCACTGTATGCTTTTTTTTTTTGAGACAGAGTCTCACTCTTATCACCCAGGCTGGAGTGCAGTGCAGTGGCACAATCTCGGCTCACTGCAAGCTCCGCCTCCCAGGTTCAGGCCATTCTCCTGCCTCAGCCTCCCAAGTAGCTTGGACTACAGGCACCCGCCAGCATGCCCGGCTAATTTTTTGTATTTTTAGTAAAGACGGGGTTTCACTGGGTTAGCCAGGATGGTCTCAATCTCCTGACCTTGTGATCCGCCTGCCTCGGCCTCCCAAAGTGCTGGGATTACAGGCATGAGCCACCACGCCCGGCCACTGTATGCTTTTTCTAATGGAGTTTATAGCAGGTGCTTAAGATCCAGATAGAAAACAGACTAACATTTATTACAATTTTACAAATATCAAGCAATTAAAAACATTCAATGGTCTTATCACTTTGAAATAAATATGAATCACTCTGAAAGTCGATGAGGCTCTGATTATGATACTGTCATCATGTACTCTAGAAGTTTTAATTGTTGCTTTTTTTCTGTTCTTTCTTTGTTATTCAACTAGCTCAAGAGTGTTATTTTTAAAAAACCTGCTCTGTACACAGGGTCTGAATTTAGATTTTCCCAGAGACGATTACATGAAGGAAACCCAAAGATATCTGTATAGCTCCTCTTTTAGTTTGCATCTTCTTCCCCCTAGTAATTCATCAATCTACCAGCTTTCTCGTAGAAAAGGCTAGTATAGTATGATATGCCTAATGCCCCACAATGCCAGAATTAGGTTAAATGCCAAGAATGCAACTCATGCCATCAAGACTACCTTCCTATCAATTAAATTCACCACCTCCTTTCCTTTGCAGTCACTGTAGAATCATTAAACCATTACTCAGTTTCTGAAACAACATACCAGAGGCGCTGTGCTTCTCTCTGTCTTGTTGTTAGAAATGTTCTGGATGTGGAAAGAGACGATAGTTTCAACCTGGCCCTTCAAAACAGCTTCTGCAGCTCTGCAAAGATGGAAGAGACAGCACACACTAGAACTTGTTTCTATTTCACTAACTGTAATTCCAAAGCACTTTAACCACACAATAAACTTGTAAGGGAGAGGAAGGAATAGAAAGAACCACCAGAAATGTTGAAGAAGAAATCAAGACAAACATGTTTCATTATTTATATTTACCACTTATCATCAAACTTCTAAAATTAAAAGACAGCCATTAGCAAATCCCAAAAGAGGCATTAAAAGACAAAAACCAAGATTTTCTCCTGAAACTAATCCGCTGTGGTAGGTGTTTTATAGAGAATCCGAGTTCAAAATCCCAACCCAAGAAGGGGGAAGATGAGATCGTACAATACCTAGTGATAGTTTAAGGCTGTTAAGATTCACTTTTTATCTTAAGTGGAAAAAAAGTCAGAAAACCATATATGTAGGGTATAATCACAATTCTGATAAATAAAAATTGATGCATCCATCCACTAAAAATTTATATATAAAAATGTTTACAGTAGTTATCTCTGTGAATTCCAGAGATATTAATTTTTAGTTATACTTTCTAATTATTCTAGAATGGACATTTGTTACTTGTGTTGTTTAGAAAATAATAATAGGTAGGTTGCAGAAAAGTGTGTATTGTGCAATCAACTTCTTCTGTTTAAAAGAGGTATATATGGCCAGGCGCGGTGGCTCATGCCTGTAATCCCATCATTTTGGGAGGCTGAGGCAGGCAGATCACCTGAGGCCAGGAGTTCAAGACCAGCCTCGCCAACATGGTGAAACCCCATCTCTACTAAAAAATACAAAAAATTAGCTGGGTGTAGTGACGGGTTCCTGTAATCCCAGCTAATCAAGAGGCTGAGGCAGATGAATTGCTTGATCCCAGGAGGTGGAGGTTGCAGTGGGCCGAGATCTGCCACTGCACTCCAGCCTAGGCGACAGAGACAGACACCATCTCAAAAAAAAAAAAAGAAAAAGAGATATATATGTATATTTGTACAAGCACGAAAAATTTCTGAAAGGGAAGCAAAGGATGTATTATCAGTGGTTGCCTCTGGGGGAGTTTGGGTTGGGGAGGTTTTATGTTTTATCTGTACTGTTAACTTTAGGTGATAATAAAAGATCAATCTGCAATGGGAATAAGAATTTAGGTCCCCAGACAAGCCCTGCCCAACAGCAAGACACAGCCATCAACTTACTTATTGGCCATCTCAGTAGAAAACACGTACACCACTTTGGCTGGAGTCTTCTGAGCAGGTGTGGGCTCTGTGGCAGTAGTTTGGCCATGGGAGGGGGTAGAAGACCTGGGGGCTGTAGCATTTGATGGGGTCATCGAGTGTGGTGTGTGCTGGGAATCCTGGGACTTTATGTGGTCAGCAGAATTACATTCTAAAAGAATAAAATGACTCGTCACAGAAAGAATAAAATTTCCTTTCTTCTGCCAGCATATATAGCATCACAACACAAACCCACCTTGAGAATTTCAAGGAAGTACCACCTTGCTAAGAGGAAACCTCTTCTACTTATAAAATTTCAAATACTCTTCTCTCTCAAATGACTAACCATAAAGCAGTCTTCCCCAGCTTCCTTACCTCTCTATTACACCTCCTTCATATATTAGTGTAAATGTCCCTTCTTCTGGTAACCTTTTTGAAACCTCCTAGACTTAACTGGGGATGGATCTCACAGCCCTCTAACTTCTCTTATTTCAGCATTTATCATATTTTACTGTAACTGTCTAATAATCAGCTTTCTAGGTGCATTCAAATCTTTGAGGACAACAGCTGTATCTATCTTGCTGACCATGGCCCCCCAGCATAGTGCTGGCACTCATAGCAGGCCTGCCAAAACACTTGAGGGAGGAGGGGAGGAAGGAGGGGAGAAACAATCACCCAAGTTTCCATTTCTAATTTGGGTTGGAAAATCATACTTCCATTCCTTGAATACTAACTTCATGTTCTGGCCTACAGTTAAGACTTTTGGTCTTATACTAGGAGGAAAAAGCCTAAAACCACAGCTGTTGGTCCCATACCCTTCTTGGCTCACTCCATTTTGGTGCCTGCCAAATCTCTACACATCTGGTAGCCACTCATTCCTGCTACACTAAAATCAGCTGTAACAAATCTGGACTACTGCCAGGGCCATTAAGGCTTCCTCTTGTGTCTGAAGTCTGGCAAAATGGCAACTAGAGAACACAAGACCCAAGCCTTGGAGGATTGCTCTGATGGAGAAGAGAAGGGGATACCAGAAAAACTACCCCAGTGGGGGCCACTGGCACAGACAAACTAGAGCTACTGGCTTGAAACTAAAGTACAAACAGCATAGAGGCCAGAAACGTGTACGAACAGGGATAGGCCTGTGAAACATCCTACCATAACCCCTAAACCGTTGCATCCTTAAGGGCAAGAACTCCTCAACTAGGAGGTTCCAAACAATTCTTCAGTTAGTAACAAAATGAGAAGAAATAGTTCCATCATAAACTGTGAGAACTCATGAATCTGATACCTACTCTCCCCACTTGTCTGATATTAGGCTCTCTGGCCTCTGTCGAATGTCAGAGGCCTTCCCTCAGGAACACCTACTTCCCTCTGAGTCTCAAAGATCTTATAGACATACCTTTAATGTCAGAGTCATCGTTTGGAGTCCCAGGATCTCTCTGATCAAAGGAGTCGGCGGAAATACTTCGCTCCCTTTTCCCCTTGCCCTTGGCACCATTTCCAGCCCCATTCTTCAGCCCCATGCTCCCACCTGGGCCAGGGAGTGCTTTAGGGGTATGGCCCCCACTCTTGGAGTCACAGGGGGATGGCTGGGATTGGCTGGCTGAGCCCCCCTGTTTACCCTGATTGGAGAATTTGGAATCCAGCTGGGGGTTTCCAGATGGGGACATCACTGTAGGGGGACGGACCATCACCTCCTGCTTTGACTTAGGGCTACTAAAAGAAACAAATAACAAAGGAAGATCAGACACCAGATACAGCTGGTCAGCACAAATTAGAGAGAGGCAGTTTCTATTGGGGGTCAAGGAGACCCTTAGGACTAAAATAACCACCCCATGATTCACCTCAGCCATTTGCTTGCTCCCGCCACCCCTGATCCCATCTCAGAGCTATCAACAGAGAGGAGGATCAAGCAGAGTGGCCTGCCAGGTTTCAGGAACCCTACAGTCACATGGGGACCCATCTCCAGGGCTTCTGTCAATAAAGGACAACGGTTTCTATGTACATAGAGAGGTGACTCTTACACTAAGACTAGCTCAGAGTAAACAAACAGGCATCGTTAAGATCAAAATACTACCCACCCCCAGGCTGATGACAAGGAACAGCTGTAGGAGAGCCTCACTTCCCTGCTGGAAAATGCAAGCTGGTCCCAAAGAGCACGGGAGCTGGTGACTGTCAGGTTAGGGAAATCCTCCAGGATACTAATCCCTCCCAACAAGCAGTATTACACCAAAGCAGATAAACCAACCACTGCCCTCAGGGAGTGAGGACAAAATTCTTTTAAAGTAACAATTTAACTACTGTGAAACCGAGGAAAAAGTGTCACAGTGGGAGTCCGGGGAATAACGTTTTAGTTCTACGACATTAGGCTTCCTCACCATTCCAGGCCTCAGTTTCCTTGTTTGCAAACTTAGGCAAACTGTACTGGTTGGTCTCTATGGTCCTTTCGTTTGTGCTTTGGCAGGGAGGTGCGGGGAGAGGTCAGGGAATGATGGACAAAAGAATAACAAAGGAAAACTCTAACATAAGCTTTGATTACACTGTATCCTGCTTACTGTTATATTACTATTTACTAGTCTATTTTCTCTTCCTTTCCCATTTGGGTTTCATTTATTTCTAATTCAACATACTGTTTCACCAATGAGTGTTCATGATGTGCCTATGGCATCCCCAAGGGGCTGCAGGAAGAGGCCCCAGCCCAGCCCTTACCTCTGTGTGTTTCCTGATGGAGAGCTCCTCACTTTAGGGTTACTGGAATGCATTGATTGAAATCCTGAGCTTGCAGTCACAAACGGGACAGGCTCACCGAGTTCCTCTCGGGTTGCAGCAGAAACAGCTGCTGGGGGCAGTGGCACTGGCCCACTGCTTGCTGGGTGCGTCCCTTAGCGCTCGCTGCCTGTATGCCTTTTTCCTCTTTGTTTTTCTCTGCTGTGGAAGTGGGTCCTTTCCCCTTGCAGCTCCAGCATTCTCTGGGTGCGTGCCTCCTGCTGCCAGAGGAAAATCTCGCATCTCCAGGGCATACTACAGGAAAAGGCCACCCAAAAAAAGTTGGGAGCAAAAACAGAGACATAAAACACCCTCACAACAGGATCAAGGTGAAAGCACTAGCCAACTCAGCGAAGCAGCTAGACCATGCCTCCACTTCCATCAGGGTGAAAGGGTGATGCTCCCATTGTGGACAAAGGCTCAGGGGCCACACCAGCTGGAGGGTGACTAGGACTTCCTGCCAAGCATGCAAGCCTCCCCCGCAAGCAGCATGGACCAGGCAAGGGTGAGCAGGTGAAAAAGGCAGTTTTCTCTTTAGCTATGTATTCTCCCTTACATTTCTGTAGTTTTGAATACAAAACCCTCAAAAACTTGTGTCTTTCTTTTTTCAAAACAATGCTTTGAAACCCCTAGGTACCGCAGATCCATAGTGACTATCTGGTGTTTCAGTTCTGATGGCAAACAACAGCACTGAAATGAAACAACCCCCCCAATTTCAAACCATGATGCAAATTAATCTATGTTTACACTCTCAGGGCCTTGGGGGCGGGGGGACTTTAAAGGAGGTACTTCTGAAATCAAATATTGAACCAACATCAAATACAATCAGTTCTGCCCCCTGATTTCCATGATCTTTCTATTAAATTATGCCAAGTATGTGTCTAGTGTTCTCACTGCTTAATGACAGGGACTGCAGGCATGGGTAAGCATGGGAATGATCCATAATTCTGAAAGTAAAAGAACATCTTTGAAGGCTAAGATATTTTTTGAGCCAATTTGCAAGGCTAATTTGAAGCATAAAGGTCAAGAAAATATTCCCAAACCTAGCTAGAGAACAAATGAGAAAGTCCTTTATTCAGGGAAGCCTAGACAAATTCAGGTAAAACCAAGACATACTTTAAGTCTCTGCTCCCTCCCAGGGTAATTCCATTATGGTTTTCTTGTAACCACTATCCCATTATCAACCCCCTTCCAGCTTCTAGTATCTTACTGACAAAGTATAGGAATGAAGGAGGAGAATATTAGGTGCAGGACTAGTGACTACAGAACCAAAGGGAGTTAGAAACAGCTCAGGTGTTGCAGCTTACATGTACTTTGAGAGAATGGAGACTGGGCTAAAATTGGGAGGATCAATTATATCCTAGGTTGTAGCACTATGATCACTGTCACATGTTAAAGGTCTATTTCTTCATTTAGAAATCTGCAATAGTCTCAGCTATTTTACCTGGGACAGTGAAAGAAATTTATGGAAGTTCTGAGTACACTCAATTAAATTTTTTCCTTTTTAAATAAAAAAGTCAGGAAAAAGAACTAGAATAAAAACATTATGAATGTTTCTATGCTGACCTCAGGAGACAGCATGTTAAAAAACATTTTGGTCTTGATCATATTTAAGGTTCTATTTTTATCCCCATCAGCTTCCAGCTTTTTTTTTTTGGTTTAGACTAAGAAATGGATTCTGGTTGTCAAGTTGGACATATATAATCATAAACCATTTTGTAACCTCTCAATGAACATTAGAAATCACTGGGAAAATAGAAGTAGAAAATGAATCCTGCATGGACAAAGCCATCAGAAAACATTTACCTCAGGAAAAGAAAAGCAGTTACCACCTATATAGTCCCCCTCCACAACTTCTTCTAGTACTTTCTGTCTGCATCACGTATTCTAGCACTCAATCACATGTCGTACTGAATAATACTAGGTGTATATTTTATCACCCTGTGAAAACTATATTCTTAGAAGCCAAGAACCTTGTTTTAAAGTTCTTTTGTTTTTCTATAATACTCAGCATGATGTACTAAGCATGTAGTTAGATCCTCTGTGACTTATTCAAGTTCTCCCATAACAGAAACACCTGGCATTTGTGTTACACACGTCTTCCAAAGAAACTCAAAACATTACAATTATCAAATCACCTCATTAATCTGCCAAGCATTTATGATGAGCTGGTAGCAAAGATTATTTCTAATAATAATGCTGTGAACATAAAACACTTTTATTTTCGAAGTACTTCTACATACAGTTTCATTTTCTCACAATTTGCCTGACTTTGATTGACAGGCATTTTAGAGATGAATGAATGGAGCACATGGGGTGTGAATGGCTTCTTCCAGGTTTCCAATCACTGCTCTCAGACCCTGGCTCTTTCCTTGAAGCCATCTTCCTTCCCATTACTTTATGGAGGGAGAGACAGCACAGAGGTTGAAATAAGCATGTGGGTTCACCCAGTGACTGGGATCAAAATCTAAGTTTTTCAATCCCTAGCCCAAGGAAATAAGTTGTCCCTACTTTTAGCCTTTCTGATGATAAAAACGACTGAGCAAAAAATCTGCCAAACATCTTCTATAGTTCCAAAGAATAAAATTAGGCTCTTCAGGAGGTTAGAGTTCAACTGTTTAACCACCTTTAAGGACTGGAAAGGATCCTCCACAGAATCATTATAGCCAGAGAGATTTTTTTCCCCCAACATAACTACATCTCCTAACACCTTAGATCTACTTATACAATGTTTTTCTCTTCTCTTCTTAAATTAGTACTTAAAATTTTTACTATGTGCCATGCATTGTTCTGAGTACTGTACAAACATGTTAACCCAGTCACAACAACCCCAGGAGGCAGGTGCCACCACTATTTCTATTTTAGAGATGGGAAAACGGGCTCTGCAATGTTAAGTAACTTGACCAAGCTCACACCCTAGTAAGTGGTAGTGGGCATTTAACCAGCACTCTGGCCACTCCGGCCCCAAAGTCTATGCTCTTCATCACTGTAGTGCCTGTTAAAGTAGAGCCTTGGTGGGCAAGGTGAGCTAGTTCATATAAAGTGCTCAGCAGTATAATGTAAGCACTCCAGTGTTAAGTATTACTATGACTACTACACTCTCTAGCAAGCACGCTGGCTTATCATGCCAGAAGCCACTTCAAAATACCTTCTACGTCTCCTAGGTACCCCGTTTCCTCCCTTCCTTCCCACTCCCAATACCTGGACTTGCCCAGTACTTAATAGGAAGAGATGTTGCCAGGCAGAAAGTTCTTAACTGCTAAATACACAAACCAATTTTCATCAATATCTATCTCCTCTTTCTTTTCTATTACTGAAACAAAAAATAGCCCACTTTCTCCCAAAAGTCAATCCAGCCACAGGTGGACTAAGCCTATCCCTTCCAGCCTTCTGAGAGCTCTCATTTTCCCCTCTGGCCATCCCCTCTGTCTGTTGGATCTTTCCAATCAGCATTCAGACAGGCTGTAGAATCTTTCCGTGCTAAAAAAAAAAAAAAAAAAAAGCAAAACAAAACCCAGGTCTAGCATTCTATTACCCCTTAGAGCCAAATTTCTCCACAGAGTTGACGAGACACAGGGTTCACTTCCTCACTTGCCATTCGACCTTTAATCATTTTAAACCAACTTCCACCCCCAGATCATAGTGACCACTATTTTTGTTAAGGTCACCACTGGCCACTTTGCTAATCTCATCTTACTCCATCTCTTAGATTCTGCCAGTTGCTCACTTCATTCTTGTTAACTCTTCTCCTGGTTTCCATAACACCTCATTTTCCTAGCTTTCCTCCCACCTCTCCAGGCCTTCTTTATCTGCTTCCTTTGCAGGTCCCTTTTTTACCTGATCTCTCAACTTTAGAGTTCCTCTGGACTCTACTCTGAGTCATCTTCTCTTCTCATGCTGCAAGTTCTCTCCATGCCAACAACTCCCAAATTTGCAGGTCCATTCCAGCAGATCTGTATACACATCTACCTGCTTGACATCTCCCTGGATGTCTCAAACTTAACAGGATCAAACATGAATTCTTCAATTCTGTGTATAGCCTTCCTCCTGAAACCTTTTTCCTTCAGTTTTCCATATCTTAATAAATGGCTCCTTTATCCACCCAGTTGCTCATGCCAGAAATTTGGAAGTAATTCTTGATACCTCTCTCCCTAAACTTCAACTTTCCCATATCAAGTTTGAATAGTTCTGTTGAATGAATGAAGTCTTGGCTTAAGTGTTTCTTTTTCAGAGGAGAAGAATCCCTTAATGCCATCAATCTACATAAAATTTTCTATTACATTCTTTTTAAAGCATCTAGGGTTTTTCAACATTTTTCATGCTTTGTAATTACATATGCAATTTATGTGATCATCTGTGTAACATTCATCTCTCCCACTAGACCATAAGCTCCATGAAGGTAGGGACCACAACTGACTTACTCATCTCTGTATACACAGCAATTACTATAGTGCCTAGCACATAGTATTTGCTTTAAAAAATTTTCATTGTTAATCAAAGGAAATGAAATCAGTATATGGAAGTGATATTTGCCCTCCCATGTTCACTGCAGCATTATTTACAGTAACTAAGACGGGATCAACTAAGTATCCATCAACAGAGAAATGGATAAAGAAAAGGTGGTATATATGCACAATGCAATACTATTCGGCCTTTAAAAAGAAGGAAATCCTGTCATCTGCAACAATGTACATGAACTTGGAGATAGTATGTTAAGTGAAATGAGCCAGGCACAGAAACACAAATAACACATGATCTCACTTATACGTGGAATCTAAAAAAGTTGGTAGTAGAAGCAGACAGTAAAATGGTGGTGACCAAGGGCAGGAGCTGGATGGGGAGGCAGCGGGAGGGTTGGGTGATGTAAAGAAAAAAAAATCGTTAAATAAAAGCTGAAGCTTTTCCCTAAGCTCGTTCTTCTAAGCCAGGCGTGTGCTCCAGTGCTATCAGCCATCAGTGTACTCACCAAAACCCCAAGGGTCACGACACTGCAGTGCTCATCCTGGAGGTGAGGAGTCCAGGAACCCCCTTCTCAAAGATGACCCTTGTCTAGACGAGGAAAAAAAGAAGTCCTAAGCAGATTTTTAAAAAAATCAACAACATCAATTTGTCAATGAATATCTTAAGAGAAAAACAGGTTTCTTATTTATTCCAGAATATCAGTTTAAGACGAAGCTGTCATCCCCCACACAAATAGAATCAACTCCCAATTTTTGAAGGATTATATCTGATCTGTAGCCAGTTCAAGGCTCTTGTGGCTTTTCCTCCTTCCCAACTGCACATTTTATTTTCAGAGGCTGGAGAAATATAAACTGCAAATCAAGTTTTCTACTTTTTAGAATTCTGGGAATTTAGTAGAAAGAAACTCCTCATAATTTTGCTTCTTTCCATTCCTTATTAGTATAGAGATTTGAAAGCTGACTGTAAAGGTGAGAAGAGACAAAATTCCAGATATGTCTCTGAATTTACAAAGTGAAGATCATTCACAGTTCTCCCTGCTCTCCACCATAACTCTACATCCAGCAAGAACATTTATTTTCATATACTTGTGGGGAACTTAAGAGCTGAATAATGTGGCCAGATGACTTCCTTTTATTCAGTGCCTACTGTGTGCAAAGTGCGGTACTGAATTGAGCTGGCTAAGTCAATAAAACACTAAGTACTGGCCAAGCAGAACAATTTCCACCATTAGTCCTTGTAAACTAGAATTATGACACTGAGCCTCCCTCTTTGCCCAGAATTTATAGTTTTGAAGTGGCAAGGGAGAAGCAAGTTGCAGACTGTCTTAGGGCTAAATTATTTAGGAATCTTTAGAAGGATTCCTAGAGAAGCATGCCATTAAGTTGTTAAATTCACAAATTAATCTAACCAAGCTCAGAATCACCTCTATGATTCCAATTTCAACTCTTTCAATGATGCTTTCCCATTTCCCTGCTCTAAGAAGTCCAGTTTATTAGAACGATGTCATGTTTAACAAATTTCATTTCTATGCTATGACCACTACTCCATAAAAGGCATAGTATCAAACTTAGAATGTGGAACTAAAAAGCCTCAGGATTCCATTCCTAGCTCATTCTTAACTTCTGGCATACCGACTACTAAAAGGCTTCCTCTCAGAAAAAGTACACAATAGGAAAAACCAATCTTTCCCCAACATGTGGAGAAAGTAAACTATGCAATGGGCATGTAGAGAAAACCTTGGTCCAAGCAAAATATTAATGTACATTTTAGTACTCATGGGGTAAAAATACCTCTGTCACCTTTTAATAGCTAACTTTAAGCAAATTAAATTTTATATCAAGCTAAAGATTTTTGACAAAATTCAAGCATTCAAAATGAATTCCAACTATCACCATCTGGAATAATGGCTACCCAAAATATTATTTCAGCACAGATGTCCCTTCTCTGTGAAATTCTCCTTGATTACCAACTCTCCTCTGTATGTCCTCCATGGCCCCCGGCATTATAATCACAAACTGTTATAACACAAAACTGTATGTGTAGACACGGAACTCTCTGAGGGCACTGTCATTCCTCCTCTCAGCACCTGATACCTGGAAGAAACTCAATCAATGCTGTTTGATCCATGTATTATAATGAGCTTGGGGCTTGTGTATTGCTACCTTTACCTTGCATTCACACACAACGATGGTATGATAAATACCTGTTTAACTTCTCACCACCTGCCTTTATCCTTGGCCCTATGAAATGAGTTATTGTACAAGTCCCTGCTCACAGAAAGGTGTAACTGCTCTTATATTTTTGACTTGCATTTAGTTTGATGACTTTTGCCTTGAGAATTCTTAGAATAATGAATAAACGTAGTTTTAACTTACAAGAGGCCCTATAGAAACAGAAACAAAAATCCAACATATTCAGATTGAATCACAAAAGGAACTGACTTATCAGAATATTCTTTACCTTTCAATATGTCCAATTTGCTATTTCTTCTACATCGGGACACGGAAGAACTTTCCAAAAATGATCTCTGCCACCCAATCAGATGGGAATGTTTAGGTCAAAGCAGAATGACGCCAACTGGGCCCACATTCAGTCCTATACAGATAAGGAAAAAGAAAAGTTCATACTCCAATTCATGCTGATTCCAAGGAAAACCACCCATTCCCCAGTGCTCTGCAGCCAAAGCAATCTTTGGAAGAAGAAACAGTAAGAAAACAGTTAGGTCAAAAAGGGAGAAGGAAGGCAAAACCACTAAAACTCAAAATACAAGAAGTCCAAGATAGGGTCACTGCAGCCCAAATCCATCCCACTGAGGCCTAACCACGCTAATGGATGACTGGGAGTTTAGAAAAGCAAAAGCCACCAGATACAAAAGCCTCATTTTAATCATTGTTTTTAACATTTTCCACCATCAAAAACAGTCATCACAGGTTGTGAAATGGACTTTTGTTTCATGTCTTCTCTATGCTCCTGTTCTTAGCATAGTGGAGATGCTAAAAAATACTGCAAAACCTAAAATGCAAGTGGCCATGAGATAATATAACTTTCAAAAATCAGTTGGTCTAGGGTAAGAGTTCTTAACTTGGGATCCCACGGACTCCCAAGAGGTCTGTGGATAGACCTGGGGGACGGGAAAATGTTTGTGAACCTCCTGGGGAAAGCTCAGATGTTCATTTTGACCAACCTCTAAGTAAAAATTTGCATGGCCTTCAATGGCGAATGGAAGTAACCATCCCTGGTATTATTAGCAATTCTGTGACCTTGTCACCAACAGAAACCACAAGACATTTTCATGTCACATAGTTGTTGCAGATATCTTGGCATAATATATACACTACTTCAAAAATTACAGTCTCATTAGACCTGCAGCTATATTTTATTATTTAATGTGTTATAAAGAAACATACTGTTACAATTAATATTTTGATGACTGTTTCCATTTGATTTATAATTCAATGTATTTTATTTTGTGCATTTAAAAAACGTTCTCAGAAGGGGGTCCTCTGTTTCACTAGATTGCCAAAGGAGCACATGGGACATTATAAGGTTAAGAACCCTGATCTGGCCGGGCACGGTGGCTCAAGCCTGCAATCCCAACACTTTGGGAGGATGAGGCAGGCAGATCACAAGGTCAGGAGTTCGAGACCAGCCTGGCCAACATGGTGAAAACCCCATCTCCACTAAAAAAAAAAATTTACAAAAATTAGCTGGGCATGGTAGCGTGTACCTGTAATCCCAGCTACTTGGGAGGCTGAGGCAGGGGAATTGCTTGAACCCAGGAGGTGGAGGTTGCAGTGAGCTGAGATTGTGCCACTGCACTCCAGCCTGGGCAACAGAGCAAGACTCTGTCTCAATTTAAAAAAAAACAAAACAAAAAACCCTGATCTAGAGCAAGTAATCTTCACCAAGGCAGACAGAGAAGTTATTCTGCCAACACTATTTCATAGCTGAAGAAAATTAAGCTGCCAGGAAGCCAGGAAACACATCCAAGGCCTCAGACATTTGGGGTTGGCGTAGCCCATGTTAGTACTCAGCAGCATCTATCTTCCATCTCCATGGGGACCTTTGCTTACATTTCTACAATTGTCATCACTATTACTGTCTTGCCACTAAAGGGAGAGAGGCATTACCTTTCAAAACTAATATAAAACAAAAACCCAAACAACAGAACAAGACAGATGTACAAGATACTCCTTTTTGTTCCTTGATCAAGCACATTACCAAAGCTGAATTTGGTCTGTTAGTAAGACTGTAGTTTTACAGAAATTGGAAGAGTTGGGCTACATAATCTCTCATTCTAAGAGATGTTCAGAGCACTTTGCAGTTAGGCATTAACCTGTTAGGCAGAAACGCCATTATGAGTGGTTAGGGCAGGTGGTTTTACTACTTTGTAGATGGGAGAACTGGAGAAATATAAGGGATTTGTTCAAAGTCACACATAAGTCAATGGGAGAACGAACTTCCTGATTCTACATCCAAGGCTCTAACTACTGTACCAAGTCACCATGAACAAATATTTAGTTTATTATAATGCTTGTGAAACATCTGTATTCTTTTCCCCCCACAAACAAGAGAGCATTTTCTTTTATTCACAGGAGCAGACACTTCTGAGGAAGCAAGTGACATACACTTGCCTTATACAATGAGAACTCTATGGAAATTGTTCTTTTATCTTTTAGCCAATGACCTCCCTGTCTATCTACCATCTCTTTTGAAACCATTATCATCTTATATTCAACATGGTTATTAACAAAATGTTTTAATGGTTCAATTCCAAATCTCTAAGTCATAAAACTTCCAAATCTCATACTCCCATTCCTCATATCAACTTTTCTCAAATTTACATTAAAATTTCTCTTCTAGGCCATGCGCAGTGGCTCACACCTGTAATCCCAACACTTTGGGAGGCGGAGGCAGGCGGATCACGAGGTCAGGAGTTCCAGACCAGCCTGGCCAACATGGTGAAACCCTGTCTCTACTAAAAATACAAAAATTAGCTGGGCATGGTGGTGCGTGCCTGTAATCCCAGCTACTGTGGAGGCTAAGGCAGGAGAATTACTTGAACTGGGATGGGGAGGCGGAGGTTGCAGTGAGCTGAGATCGTGCCACTGCACTCCAGCCTGGGCTACAGAGTGAGACTCCATCTACAAAAAAAAAAAATTTCTCTTCTAGCCGGGCGCGGTGGCTAACACCTGTTAATCTCAGCACTTTGGGAGGCTGAGGTGGGTGGATCACCAGAAGTCAGGAGCTCGAGACCACCCTGGCCAACATGGTGAAACCCCATCTCTACTAAAAGTACATAAATTAGCTGGACGTGGTGGCACGTGCCTGTAATCCCAGCTACTTGGGAGGCTGAGGCAGGAGAATAGCTTGAACCTGGGAGGCGGAGGTTGCAGTGAGCCGATATTGCACCACTGAACTTCAGCCTGGGCAACAGAGCGAGACTCCGTCTCAAAAAATAAACAAATAAAAATAATAATAAATAAAATAAAATACAATTTCTCTTTTTATCCAAGCCCTCAAACAACTAATGGAACCTTCATTGCTCAAAGCATCCTTATGCCATTTAACTAACAGCTCCTCTTATAAACCCATCTGTGTCTTTAATAGTTTGGGTGTTTTTCAATAGTGAATAAGGATGTCTTTCTTAAATTTTTATGTAGGGCCTTCACATTATTCACGCAAACATCTCTCCTTGCTAAAACTTTCCAATCACTAGTATTCAGTAGAAAACACAAAACAGGACAATCATGTTGCACAATTTCCACAAAGGTTCTAAACCCACATGAGTCTTACCTCCAACATCCTTTTGCCCCCTCCTCCCATCTCTCAATGATTTTACAATTTATCCTTACTGTCTGTTAGTTCTAATTCATCACTTTGCTCAGTGCACAAATCCAAATCTCTGCCCCAAAACGAACATTTAATTCCTGAATATATCAAGTGCTAACTAATACTCCAATACCCATCATTGACCAAAATGTAACTCTTTACATAGAAAATCATTTCCCCACTGAAATCACTGCCAGGGATTTACCTATGTTTGCTGTAATCAAAGTCAAATTTTGCATCAATTCTATCCCATCTTACAGACTCTCCACTAAGAGATAGTTATGTCCATTTCTCTAACTTATCTAGTAACTTTATTAGTCCCCAGCTGGACTCCAATCTAGGCTCTAAGTCTCTCCTATCACTAAAAACCCATTTTTCCTTCCCCCTCCTTCAGACCTCTTGGAGGACAGATTTCTGGCCTCCTCCTTCATGCTTGGTAGCCTTCCCATAAGGCCCCCAGCAATACTATTACAGGCCTCTGGCCCCTCCCTCTCCTTCCCTCTGGACATAATAACCAACCCTGCTGTTGTTTTACTTAGGATATCTCCATTTCACCAGGCTCACCCAACACTCATCAGTGACATCTTAATAGTCTTTGCAACTTTCAAAGGCCAGTGACTCAGGCTCCACTTTGGAAATCACTGGTGTGTCCCAAGACCCCCACAATGACTCAGTGACCTAGACATCACCAATTCACCTGCTTGGGCCCTTAACTACTCACACATTCTTCCTAGCTTCCACCTCCCCTACCCTTCAACAAGTCACTGGCCTGCAAAGTCCCCTTTACCTCTATCCATCTCAGGGGTCTTACAGACCTCATCAAACTCAATCCCAATTCCCTTATTTAGCTCTCCATCTCGCCCCTCCAACACTCCTGCATCCCAGGACCCTGGGACTGTCCTCACTCTCCTGGTTTAACCTCTCCAAGCACTGCTTGGGACACAACCTTTGAAAAAAAGAAGAGATGCCCTCTCTCTCCACCGCCCGTGAAGCACCCCCACCTCCCCCCACAGGTTCCTCCAGACTCGCCTCACTAAATCCGCAACCCTGGCCCCCGCCCCTTTTCTGCCCCCCTCCACCCCGCTCTTCGCGGCTGTGGCTACCCCTGCCCCCAAACCGGCTCAAAACACGCGGACGCGGACCTGGCCCCCACTACCCCCGGCTCCGGTCCTTCCCCTCCCCCTCCCCCAGGTGCCACTTACCCCGGAGGCAGGAGTGGGGGAGGGGAGAGGAGGTGCGGAGCAGGGAAAGAGGCTTGGGTCCGGGGCGGCTCTCAGCCCCGCGGGGCCGGGGCCAGCGGCAGCGGCGGCGCAGCGTCTCCCCCCGGCGGCGGCAGCGGCGGCGGCGGCGCCGTCCCACTCCGGCAAGCACACATAGGCTCCATTGTCCGCCGGCGCCTCCCCCTTTCCGGCTCCCCCCTCCCGGTCCCGCCCCTTCCCTCCCTTCGGCCCTCCCCCGCCGCACCGCGCCACGAAAGGTACAGCCGGCCCCGCCTCGGACGCGAGCGGAGGGTGCCCCCTCCCCACCGGCCCGACGTCCCGCCCGCGGGGAACCGGGACCGCCCCGCCCCGCCTCAGCGTCCGGCCCCGCGACCAGCAAGGGCCCGCCCCTCCAGGGAAAGTCGCTCGTGCCCCTTCAGGGAAAGTCGCTCGTCCCCCTCCCCAGACGCGCGCGATGGTACCAACCCGCCGCGGCCTCCTCCCGCCCCCAGCTTCCCGCAGGGCCCTGCCCACCAGGCAGCCGCACCTCCCGCCGCCCCGCCCCCGATATTTTACTACGGGCCCGCCCACCGCCGGCACCACCTCCTGGTTTGCATAGGCACGCCCGCCAGGGCCCGCCCCGGACCGTCACCCGGCTGGAGGGGACGCCCACTCCCCCCTTAAAGCGGCAGAGCTCTAGTCCCCAACTCCAGAGCCTCCTGAGGGGCCGGCGGGGCGGGAGGTTCGGCACGGGAGGGTCTCCTCTTCCCGTCCCCTCCTCCCCACGCGCTCACTCTCCCGGACCTTCCCGCCGCCTCGCGCAGTCCTGGGAGCAACCGAGGGGGGCGGGGGGCCAGGAAAGGCGCGGAGGGGGAAGGGCAGCGTGGAATTTGGCCATCTTTTGACAGAAACGAATTGAAGAGCCGGTCTTTCCCTCACTCTTCCCTGCTGCCCAGGTCCCGGCCTAGCCCTCAACCTTCAAGGCCACCTCCTCACACCTTCGGGACGCAGTTCCACCCCGCTTTCCTGTCCCTTCTCTCCACCTCTGAGTCTGCACCGCCTGGGCCATGGCCGGCTTTCTCCCCTCGCAGGAGAGCAGCCCCCACCCAGGACTGCGCTCTCCTCCGCCCTCTGCGAAGTGCAGGAGTCCCGCTGATGCGCCGGGGGTGCAGGGGTCTCCTTTCACATCCGGCCCAGCCCAGCCTGGCTCAGGCATCGCTGCCTGGTGCCCACAGAGGGAACCTCTGTCCAGGACCTCACGTCGCTTCACAGCCGGGCTAGCTCCCCTAATTTTTCGGAAGACCTCTGCTCTGAAGGGGTCAAAGCCTGAGTATCCCGGCGCTGTTGTGAGAGGGTAGCCCATTAGATTACACTTTTTCTCAGAAGGAAAAAATGACGGCATCATGGTTAGAGCATGTTGCTGAATCAAAGCTCAGATTCGGGCTATTCTGCTCCATCTGTGTGGCCCCGGTTGCTGCGGTGAACAACCGTTATTATAGATCTGTCTGCTCTGCACCCTCCCCAGAATACACTGTTGTTACACCTCTGTCCTTGTGCCTTGTGGGGTCTTGATCTAAGTTAGCTGCTTCGGCAACTGTGTGCACTGACCCCGCAGCTCTTCTGGATCCGTTAGGTGAAGACTGCCCATGTTAGAGTGTACTGCGTGTTCTCCCTGGAGACAGATGGAGGCAATATGGCCAGGAGGACGAGATAAATCTTCTGCTCTTGCTTCTATCACCCATGGTTTTAACCAGGGTACTTATTCCTGTGTCAGTTTCCCTTCCTAAAGGAAACCTTCCTTGGGCAACCTTTTAAGGAATGGTGCTAGTTGTAAAGGATGGTCAAGAGAGCCCTAAATGATAAAGCCGATCTGCTTTCGAAATCATTTAAAACTCTTTAACTGGTCAACGTAAGTTACCATAGCCGCCTCCCCTGCTTAGATCCTATGAAAAACTGTGGCAAGGTATTTTCTCTTTGTCTTCTGTCATGACTGAGGATATAAATTAAATAAAGAAGAAAGGCAATAGTTGGTATAAACAATATCAAGATCAATTGAAGAATTCCAAATAGAAAATAATTAAAATGCCTTTTGTCAAGTTTGGGGCATAGAATATTTGATGTAACATAGCTAAGAACCCCTGTAAAAGAAGGCAGGAGGAAAAAGTCAGGTATGGACTTACGGACTTTTCTTATGGTATTAGAAAAGACAACCAAATCAGCAATATGCAAGAAACATTTGGGATTGCTAATGTAGGTGGAAAGAAGGAACTCACAGAACTTGTCTATAAGAGAAAACCACTGCCAAAATAAGCTCTGGCCTGGGGGGAATCCCAGACCAGATCACCTCTGCTCAGCAAGCTCAAAACAAACTCATTAAAACAATAATACACATGTTAAAAGAAAGTCTTAGCCATTTTACTAAGCGTTAAGCCCTCATGCAGCCATTATGTGTCAAAGTTCAAAATTATTATTGAATCAGAAGAAAAATGCAAATGAATATTAAACATACGACACTAGGGTAAAAGAATAATACTATTGAGAATTTAAGCACGCTAAAAAGTCATGAAATCTAAAGGTTAGAGGTTCCATAGAAATGGTAATTTAGCTACATTGCACATGGGATAGAAATGTGTTTTAAACTAGGATTTATTCTATTAAATAGGTTATTTTACTAGAATTTTTGCCCTCTGAATTTTCTACCTTGTATGCATTTTCATCTCACTTGAGAAAGAATTCTATTTTGGTGTATAAGGATTTAACACACTGTATATACATAAACATTAATGGATAATGAAATGCTTTTTTAAAAGCATCCTATGAATAAGAGCTTCAAACTGGTACTGCTACTCTAGAAATTTTAAGATAAGAAATCATTTTTTTACCCAAATGGTAAAATTGCTAAAAATAAAGGATTTTGATGCTAAAGAGACTTGGTTTTGATTTTCTCACTTACTGAAATTTGCTTCTCATAATGATGAGCACTCACTGTGTTGCAAACATAGATGATGTAAGTTTGACTTCTTAGTTCTTTAGCTAATCATAGCATTTATGTTAGGTTTGCCTCCAGTTTTTCCACCTGTAAACTCCACTTTCAAGTTGAGGCAACAAGTGCTTTTGTTTCCTCCGTTCTTGATAAACTTAAACCTAAATTTTAGGATTGGAAGGAATTCCATTCTGTCTTACAGAATGCTAAGGCATAGAAGTTCAATGATTTGCCAAGATTATGCTCAGTTTTAGGGACTAGAATTTGAGTCCAAGACTCCACAGCAGTATTCTAAATTCCAATGATTGTTCATTCCTAACAATATTTATTATTGTAGGAGAGAATATGAAAGTCTTCCTCAGAAATGATGAAACCAAGACTAACAAAGGTTGAGCCCACTCAGCCAGCTAGTATCAGGGTTATAAGAGGGCTTAACAAATTCTTGCCTTGGTCAAAGCCCTCAGCTTGTCCATGGGCTCCTGCTGCTTGTACTATTAATATTTATTACCGATTCATCTACCTCATTGTTCACCAAAACTGGTGAATTTCAGCTCCAAAAGAATACTACCAAGAGAGTCATTAATAATTGAAAATGATGGGTTAGAATGGAATAGCATCTAACCATTAGAAAGTCAGTCTAATCTCGGCCAGGCGCGGTGGCTCACGCCTGGAATCCCAGCACTCTGGGAGGCCGAGGCGGGCGGATCACGAGGTCAGGAGATTGAGACCATCCTGGCTAACACGGTGAAACCCCGTCTCTACTAAAAATACAAAAAATTAGCAGGGTGTGGTGGCCGGCGCCTGTAGTCCCAGCTACCCGGGAGCCTGAGGCAGGAGAATGGCGTGAACCCGGGAGGCGGAGCTTGCAGTGAGCCTAGATCGCTCCACTGCACTCCAGCCTGGGCGACAGAGCGAGACTCCGTCTCAAAAAAAAAAAAAAAGAAAAGAAAAAAAAGAAAGTCAATCTAATCTCTTGACTTTCATAGTGCTGTGCCCCAATGCTGTAATAACATAGCCAGGAAATTATTTCTTTTTAGGTTTTCCAGGCAAAAGAAACAAATCTCCTTATCCTACCTTTCACCAGTCTATTGAAGTCAATGGGGGAGTCCCAGAGCTTCATCCCTGGCTGGAAAATTTAAAACTAATTGTCTCCTTCGTTAGGTGGAAATCAATTTTCCCACCTCCTTTCCTCCTGCAGCTTCACCTGAGGCCCTTGGCATTCGATGAGAGCTTGAGTCTTGTTCTGTGTCACCACATACCTGCTCTTCACAACTTGAGAATCAGAGTCACCATTCTTAAGAAGCTTTGAAGTGACACTCAGATCCCATAAGAAGGCACCACCAATGCTTCCCCTTTGTTTTCATGCTCAAACCTTTATGGTTGTGCCTCCTACTCTCATTACTCTACCTTCTAAAATTCAAGTTTTGTGACATTCTCATTTCCTGAGTCCTAAATGATTGACATAATGATCCTGATCCTTCCCCACTTTTCCAATTTAACCATTGTCCATCATGCCTTACCAAGGGACAATCTACGTGTTCCACATGCTTTAACCATTTATCTCCAAATCTCTTGACCTTCATACCAGTTCTTCACATCCATTCTTAGAATCCCACTTTCCTTTTCTTCCTCAATTTCCACTAATTTATTATTTATTTATTTATTTATTTTTTGTAGAGATAGTCTCACTATGTTGCCCAGGCTGGTCTCAAATTCCTAGCCTCAAGCAATCCTCCTACCTTGGCCTACCAAAGGGTTAGTATTATAGGCATAAACCAGTGAACCCAGACTCATTTCTTATTCATAACTGCTTTCCCAACAATAATTCCGGATGTTTCTACTACTTCATTTTGTTTCATTCTCCTAGATATTTCCCTAGGAATTTTGCCCTCCAGATGACCTATTTTGTTTTTCCTGATTTCAGCCTGTGCTACTGGACTCTTCCCAGCTCACACAATCAATCTCTTCCCAGTTTCTCTAGAATTACTACCCAACTATTTCAGCCTTGATTTCACCTTTGTGGTTTGCATTCAGGTTGCACCCACTGGCCACTTTGTCTCCATAGAATCCTTGACCATCCACCATTCTGGCCACGGAAATTTCTAATGCTAAGATGTACCTTCACTTCCTTGTTTCCACATCTGGTCAACCAGACCTTGCTAGAAAAAACATGAAGCCAATAAAATGGATCCCAACCAAAATTAAGGTGATGATGCTGAATATCTTTACTTACCACTTTGTAATCCTTTTATGTATCCTCATTGTTGCCGCTATCATTTTCCACAGCAATTACTCCAAATTCTATCCACACTTCTTCTACACTGCAAGACCAACCTTGTCATCTCATCTCACCTCTGAAGGACGCTGCTCACTCTTCTCCCATCCATTGGCTTCTTACTCTTTGCTTTAGAAACTTCAGTAACATTTTTCTTACATTAGTACCCTTTTTCCCCCTTTCTTTTTATTCCCAATTTATCCAAAGGGCAACCTACATTCTCTGCCACAACTATTGTGTTTCCTCCTCTGTAATTAACCCAACCATTCTACCAAAATGCTCTGTCCAATATGGCCAAACCTAATTGCCAAATTCACATAATGAATATCCTTTCCTCCCTGAATCTCTTTTTAGTTGTTAATTCCAAGATGTGATGATACAGTTTTGCCTTCTTTATTGATTTAAATTCTTCCCATTGTCTCTTAATTGTTGTTCTTTAAAGTTGTTTGTTCTTGATCTTGTCTCTCTCCAATTTTCCCTAAGTCATTTCACTCTCCTAACTTTAGCTATCATCTCTTTGAAGTTTAAAGAACTTTAACTATGACCAGCACATCTACAAGTCTAGCTCAGGCCTCTCTTGAACTTAATCCTGCATTTCTATCTACTCAGCTTGCTCATCTAAAGTGACTTAACATATCAAAAAGCAAACTCACCATCTGTCAAGATTAAGTCTCACTTCTGAATTCCCTATATCTTTCACTTAGGCTTAAAACTCTGTGGTAATCCTGGCTCAACATCTTCTGTCTTTGTCTCCTCTCATCACCAGTGTCCACAAATTCCTCCTTAAATCAATTTCTTGTTTTCTGTTTCCAAGATGGGACCGTTGCAATAGATATTCCTGCCTCCAGCCTCTCCCCTCGTCAGTCAATTCTACATGCTCTTGCCAGATAGATCTTTCTTTAAAAAGTGGTTTATGTATACCACCATTTTTTACATAATTCGTGAATTGTCTATTCCTTTCTAATTATTTAAGCCCTACTGGTTCTGCTGAGCCCAATGAGGGCCCCTCTATCTACCTTAAGATCTCAACAGTATTGTATAACAGAAACAATATTGGTTTTAGAGTCATATGGACCTGGGTTTAGATATTAAACTATATTTTTGTAGCCAAGTAATTTTGGTCAAAAACAATGTTTTCTTTTTCATCTATTTTAGTGGTAGATGTTTTTATAATCAACTTAAAAATATAGCCTAGATAGGCAAATTTTACTCTAGGTCCCAGTCTTCCCCCATATCCCAAGAGCAGAATCTCACATATCTTTTGTTTTTCAATTACTTATTCATTGCAATATTTATTGAGCAACTACTAAGTACAGGGCTTGGGGGATACAAAAAATGAATCCAACATTCAATTCTGTTTTCAAAGTATAATCAAATTTGTATGGAGGGCTCATTCATTAATAAGAAAAAAAAGAGTTTACTAAGTGCCTACCATGTGCTAAGTATTGTGCAAAGTACTGAAGATTCAAAAAAGTATAACTTAACTCCCCTGATGTTGGGATCAGTGATCTAGCTTGTTAAAAATATTGACAAGCAAACACTTATAATCACTTATAATAAGTGGCATAATATGAATAAATACCAAGTGTTTTGGGCGTACAGAAGAGAGGTATCTAGTTCAGGCAGGAGAGTCAGAGTATGCAATAAGACCTGAGTGGAATCTTAAAGAATGCGTAGGAGTCAGCCAGGCAAAGGACTCAGCAATGTGCAAAGGCTCAGATGTGTGACAATGTATATAATTAACCACAATGCAAGATAGAAGGCAATAAATAAATAAATGGCAGAGCAGAAGCAAAAAGTAAATCAGCAATCATAGGAGATACATTATTTGAGGGAGAAGACATGAGCAGAAACTACTTCATGGAGGTGGAAGCACTTGAGGCAATCTGAGGGTCAGGATTCAGGCATGCAGTGGGGCTGGATGCCTCTTTGTCTTCTCAGCACCTCGTGCAGTGCCCTGCACACAACAGGGACAGCACCTTGCTTGCTGTGATGATGATGGTGATGGTAATAATGATAATATCTAGGTTTGTTTCTCATGAAGTTTGTTCCTCTGTTTTTCCAGAATGCTTACAAGGGGAGACGCGTGATTCAAAAACCCACTTCAGGGTGGAAACCACCTGATTTTGAATCTTACCTCTGCCATGAGCAGGCTATATAACCTTGGAAAAATTACCTAACCTCTCTAGGTTTTTTTTTCCCCCATAAAGTGGAGTACTGGTAATAGGTATTTGTCTCCCAGAGTAGTGTGGGAATAAATGAATGACTGTAGACATGTAGGAATAGTGCCTAGCACATAGTTAAGTGCCCGATAAATGTTGGTTCTTATTATTGCATTTGGTCATCTCTGGATTTTCCAAAATGGAATTGGCCTGTGGGGAGATTTTAGGGACACTGAAAGGCTATCCCCTCAATACCTTACTCATTCTCACACCCAACATCACTTACTGATATCTCTTCAACTCTCCTGACACACTCTTTTAAATTCTGCCATTAGAAGTTCATACTTTGGATTTAAGATGTCACTTCCCCCAGCCCTTGGGGGTGGATAACATAATAAAAGGTTAGCCTTGTTTCATTTTAATAAGTTATCTGGCCAGACCTCTATCCTCCTTAACTGCTAACTGCACTGAGGGAATATTGAGGGGAAGAAAGAAAAGGCTAATTTTGAAGCTTGGAGAACTCTCCCCAGAAATTCAAGATAGAAGGAAAGATACTCAGAGGGCTTTCTGAGGGCAGCAAGTCCTCTGGGATTGCAAAAAGTGGTTGAGATTGGCGAGAGATGCCAAGAAGTGGTGAGGAAAACAAAAACAAGGTCATCTGTGCCAGTAAAGACAGGCTTTGCTAACTTAAACAGTGCTGACCTTGATTTGGGGGTTCTGTATCAACTGCTCTTTTCTCTACTCTGTGCTAGTGTTTTGGAATAACACTGCTCAGGATCACTCTTGATTCACAGTCATTGAGGACACTATCCAGGTGGTTAAGGAACCCCTGTTTGTAAAATCTCATAGTGACTTTTACATGTTTGCTTTCTTAGTTATAGTTTATCAGTCAAGCATTAGTAAGCACCTACTATGTGTCTAGTGCCAAACTAAGCAGAGTGAGAGCTTCATTAGAAGCTGGATAAATACCCCTCCTCCAGAACCTTACAGTCCAGTTGAGGAAACAACTACAACAGAAGATGTTTAATAATTAATTTCTAAACAGAATTACAGACACCGCACAAACCATAGATTTCTGGGGAGTGGGAGGGCAGGACGGGAAGCAATGATTAGAATCTGGACTAGTGTGTGATAATTTTGTGAAGGATCAGAAGCCAAACTGGCTTGAAGAATAGGATTTGGGCAGTTCCAGGAGGGGAGGATGGCCAGGAGGGAGAGACAAGGAGCCAAGCCAGAGACTGAAAGGAGCACAGCATATGTGTGGGCAGTGAATCAGAAAATGATAGTGGTAAAGGTTATTAGAAACAAACATAATGGCAGTCGCTGTTTATTGAGTATTTAGTATGTGCATGTGCCAAGCACTATTCTAAGGACTTTGTATGATCTTATTTATATACGCAATAACCCCATGAGGTATGAATTGCTCTCCCTCAACTGTTTTGCAGTTGAGGAGCCAGATACTTAACAAGGTAAGGTAACTGTGCTGAGTCATGTGTCTAGAGAGTGGTGGAGCTGAGATTAAAGCCAAAGTCAGCCTGAGGTGAAAATGTTTAATCTTTCCACATTATAGCCTCTCTTCAATGTATGTGTTGGGATCAGTGGGGAATACAGATAGATAAATAAGGTGGGAATTAATTATGAAGAATATAATTTAGATAAAGTATATAAGAAGAATACACTGAGTTATTTTTTTTAAAAAGCTACAGTTTACAGAATACTGCCTATGGAATAGGCACCATCCTGACAGCATTATCCTGAATGTGATTTATAATTATACCCATTTTACAGATGAGAAAACCCAAATGGAGAGGGTAAATGACTTGTTCAAGCCTCTCAACAGTTAAAAAGCACAGTCCAGATTTGAATGCTAGGCTAATGGCAAAGCCTGTATTCTTGCTGCTATCCTGCACTGCCTTTCTCCTTATGCAAGGGAAAAAAACATGTAAAAATAACATCAGTGCAATTTGCATGGTATTTTTCAAAGTATTCTTTTATATTCACAGCCACACTTGATCCTTATGACAACCATATGATAGGCGTAGTAGATAGCTCCCATCATAACGATTAATAATAATGGGCATAATAATCATTAAAATAACAACATTCGCCAGCACTGATTGAGTGCTCTTCATACATCCATGCACTGTGCTAAGGGCTTTGCATGTATTATGTAACAACTCTATAAGAAAGGTTCTACAATTATCCTTAATTTGCATATGAGGAAACTGGGGCTCAGAGAGGTTAAGTAACTTAATAAAGGAGCTGGGTTCAGGTAAGTTACAAGACTAGTTCAAGGTCATGTGATGATGAGTGGTGATTCCTGAACTAGAACACAGATCCTCCAATTCCATATCCACGCATGCTCTTTTCATGTTACTATTTTAACCATCAGTCTGCAGCTACAGGAAGGAAGATTTGAAGAAAGAGCTACAACAGGCAGAAGAAGAGAGAAGAGAGAAGAAGCCAGGAGAGAAGCCAGAAAACGGCAGAAATTCAGGTGTGAAATGATGCAGATCCAGGTAGGGCAATGTAAAGGTAAATGAAGAAGTAGGAAATTCAGGTGCTAGCTGAAGAAGATTGTAGCAGCTTACTTCCGCAGCATATAAATGTAAGAGGAAGGAAGAATAGTGTAAGTTTGGTTTCTAGCCATAAAATTGGTGGAAAGCAGGGGCAGTGTGGTCAGAAGTGAGATGAATTCAAAAATGACACTAGGCAGGATGTGCTGGTGGCTCATTCTGGTAATCTTAGCACTTTGGGAGGCTGAGGCAAGAGGATGGCTTGAGCCCAGGAGTTAGAGACCAGCTTGGGCAAGATGGCAACACCTCGTTTCTATAAAAATAAAATAAAAAATGACACTGGTCTACAGTGAGCTACCACTACACATCAGCTAGGAATGCCTATAATAAAAAAGAAAGACAATGGCAAGTGTTGGTGAGAATGGAGAGAAACTAACACTTTCATGCATTGCTGGTGGGAATGTAAAATGCTGTAGTCACCTTCAAAAACAGTTTAGCAGTTTGTTAAAAAGTTCAATGTAAGTTTACCATGTGACTCAGAACTTCTACTTCTAGGTGTCTATCTAAGAGAAATAAAAATGTATGTCTACACAAAGAATTGTATGTGAATGTTCATAGCAGTATTATTCCTAATAGCCAAAAAGTGGAATCAATCTGAATGTCCATCAACTGAAGAATGGTTAAATAAAACGTGGTCTATCCCTACAATGAAATATTATTCAGCAATAGGAAATGAACTGCTAACACACACTACAACATGGATGTACCTCAAAACCCCTTTGCTAAGCAGAAGAAGCCTGAAAGAAGCCAGATGCAAAAGACTACATATTGCATGATTTCATTTACATGAAATGTCCTGAAAACGTAAATCTATAGAGACAGAAAGCAGATTAGTTGGGGTGGGAATGGGGATCGACTGCAAATAGTATAGGGATCTTTTTGGGGTAAAGTAAATGTTTTAAAAGTGGATTTTAGTGTTGGTTGCACAACACTGTCAATTTACAAGAAATCAATAGATCATACACTTAAAATGGGTAAATTTTATGGTTTGTAAATTATACCTCAATAAAGCTGTGTTTTGGAAAAGTGAAGCTGATTTGTAGAAGACAAAAGAGGTCGAGTTTTAGAATTATGGGTGACTGAACACCAAAACGGAGATGTCTTGCCAGGTGAGAGGACAGGCTGGAGGTGCAGAGGTGAGAGCTGAAGCCAGGAAAATGAATGAGCTCACCAAAGGAAAACATATGCAAGAGAAAAGGAAGATGTCAAGGGTAAAGCTTTCAGTGTCACTACCATTAGGGACAGGGATGATGGTTTGCCTGGGCTAATATGGTGCTCACCCTGGTAACAACATGTCCAGCTAATATTAAAATTCACTGATATCCTCCAAGCATGCATCCACTGAGAGCAGAGGTATAAGCCCCAAGGCATGGCAAACAGTAGGGTAAATCTGCCTGGAGGAAAATTGCCTCTAAATGACTAAAATACACAAAGATAACTGGGAAAGGATTGAATATGTTCCCTGTATTTTGGGTTTAAAAAGAGAACTGCACAAACACTTTAACCTAAATTAGAAATCACATCAGCATTAGGGAGTGCAGGGTCTCAAAAGCAATATTTCACTTAGTCACTAACTACCAAGATGGATATGATGCTGGACCACCCCTAGAATCACGCTCTTTGGTCCCAATATTGACTTCTGAATTTAGAAAGAGCCAGCAGAGACTCTCAGGTAAATTCTGCAACTGCTTTCCCACCTCTGAATTTGGGACAAATCCTCCTCTTCCTCCTGGCCTCGCCCCACCCCGCCCCATGGATAGCACTTCTGGGAGGGGGTGCTCCCAGGCTAGGAAACTAGCGAGCCTCTCTTTCTCCCATAGTCTGACATCTTGATGCCTTGGCTGATGGAGGGAGAACCCAAACAATCCTTTTTGTTTCACCTTATTTCATATTTCTGTAAATGAAGTAAGTGTATACTGTCGTTTTTTGTTAAATAAAGGGTAAAAAATAAGAATCTGAGAGTTTAAGGTCAAAGTAGTGGAGAGTAGGAAAGGAAGCCTAGGATCCAAAATGGCACTGGCTTCAAGACCACCCACATCATATTGAGGGTTCAGCCAAGTCAGGCCTCTTAACCCTGGGTCCGCAACGGAAACTAGGGCTAGAACTTGGATGCAGAAAAAAAATACATCTTTGCTTCCACTAACTTCTAGTTGAAAATTATCATTTCCTTCAATTATGGATCCAGGCAACAGATCAAGGTGGTATGAGCAGCTCATGACTTTTTAACCAGCAGAATCACAGATATCCCAAATACCGCTTATAGTCATCACTATGACATTACAATAATTATAAGACCTGCCAGTAGACTTTTTAATTAACGTTCTAATAAAGAAGCACATATTACTATATCACAAACTTGACGTTTTTAATATTTAGATCATTATATTTCATTATAACCTATTTTTGTAAACCTACGTAATTTATTTTATGTGTCTTAAATCATTATTCTGTTCATAGGCTTCACGAGACTGCTCATGGGGGCCCATGACACAGAAAAGTTGAAATACCCCTGGGCTGGAGGAACTCTTCCCTAATCCCCATCAAACACCACACACACACACACACACACACACACACACACACACACAGGCCTCACTACAAGGCCTGAAATCCCACCATTAGAGAACATTTCCTTTGGGTTTTTAAGATTCCCATTAAAATGCAAATGCCCCCTAAGGAGAAGAACTTCTCTGAGTGTTATTAGTTAACCCCTTAAATGAGGTTGTTTAGCAGCTAGCTGGGCACAACATCCTACAACTCAATTAAACAAACGTTTATTGACCTCCTGCCATGGTTAAGGAGCCAGACTTGGGAATAGGGAGCAAAATCCCACGAGGTTTCTCCCCTCAAGGGGGCTTGCAATCTAGTACGGTGAGTAAAACAAGTACAAAAAAGACAGGAAGAGAAATGCAACGGCAGAGGTGCAAAGAGCAAAGCCTGTTCCGGGGGAGGGGCGGCTGGGAAGCAAGAGATTCATTCATGCGTGCATTCTAGAAGGACTGACTGCCTGTGGACTCCGGGCTAGGTCCTCAGAACACAGCCTGAGCCAAGTTCACTGCCTAGTGTTCAAATTAAACAGATAAACCACAAGTAAGCTACTGTCGTTGGGTTCTCTCGGGCGTATAAAGTCTGGAGAAGCACAGGGGAGGGAGTGACTTAGCGGCTATGGGGGCGGGGAAGAGTCTAGAAAGACTGTCGTTGTGATGAATGTGGCACGGAGTAAGTGACATATGAGCCGGGTCTAGCAGGGTAAGTTTAGGAGAGACGGGGTTGGGTGGGGAGAGAGGAGATATGTATATACATATATAGAGAGAGAGAGAAAGAGAGAGAAAACGAACCACATTCCTGGAGGAGGTATGTGTAAAGGGCCTATGCTGAGAACCATTTCGGTGTGGTGGGCTTAGGGATAGCGGAGGAACCAGGCAGGAAGGCAGGAGATGGGCCTGGAATTGTAAAACAGAGCATCTTAAATTTAAGGCTAAGGAGTTTGCATCTTATCCATTTGGAACAATCAGAAAATGCTTCACGAAGGAGATATTTGAGCTGGGCCTTAAAGCATGAGAAAAATTTCTACAGGTGGAGAGGGGGCTGAGAGCGTTTCAGGGTAAAAGAACAGCATAGCCGGGCACAGGGGCTGAAGACTACGGGCTTGGGAAAAGCCTGCGAGAGCAGTGTGTGGTCCATAGGGTCCCGAGCACTGGGATCACATGGAGGCCTATTAAGGGCGGGTCCCCTGGCCCCGGAGCAGACCCGCCAAATCAGAATTGCTCACGGCAGGCGCCTGCTAGCCAAGCTCTTGATGCGCAGTAAAGTTGTTCAGTGGCTTAGTAGGCGAGAAGGCCAAAAAGGAAGGTGACCTCTGAGTGCAGGATAAGAATCTGCACTTAAATGGGAAGGCTCCTGAGAACGGACCCAGTGGGAGAGTGGTATTTATCAGAGCCTTACTTCAGGAAGGTTTACCAGACAGAAGAACTTAGGATGGAAAGTGTGGGGACCCAGTTAAACGGCTATTACAGTAGTCCAGGTAGGGGGTAATGAGGACTGAATTTTGGTAGTGGGAGGGGGAAGAATAGGGAAGGGACAGATGTAAGACATTTGGGTGGCAGAATCTACATGGCTCCCTGGGCAACTGAAGTGGGTGGAAAGGCTGAGTCACACATGACTTTAGGGAGCTAAGCTGGGCTGTGGGGAAAACGGCAGAGCTTTTAAAAGAAAAGCAGAGTTAATAAGGTGAGTTTAGGAAGGTGATCAGTTGAGAGATAAAGTGCCAAGCACAGAGAGGCCAATAATAGTGATGATTTTTATTTTGCATCCCACTGTAGTTAGTGGGATACAGGATGGAGCACAGGTGGTACTCGTGGGCTGAGAGCAGGCAGAGCAAGGGCTGAATTTATCACCATTTTGTTGAGGATCCCCTAACAAAGTGGCAGGAGCTCTGAGCTATAAACCCAGGCAAGTCCCTTCTCCTCTTAGGAGCTTCTGTTTCCTCCTTGGAAAAGCAGGTGATAATAAAACTTATCACCCACTCATCCCTTGGGAGTGCTGCGAAGAGCAACCAATATAAATACATAAAAACGCTTAAAGCACTCAGCAAGAACAAAGTGTGCTAGAAATGCTAAACAATAATAAATTCAGCCACCCCCAGTTCACCATAATAATAAACAAGGTGTCTTTTTTAAAAGCAGGTGTAGTTAACCGGTACTAACTTTGAGGTTGTCTTATATAGCCTCTAACAACAGGTAATTAAATCTGAACTCGATTTTCAAGAGTACTCTCATCAGAGGGTCTCAGAATGACCCTAATACCTCCATGAAACCGAGGCCTGGACTACATAGCAATTAATTAACATGAAAATTACTTTATCATCCCCTCCCCATCGTTAGCATCTTGTGTGACTAATATCAGCATCCATACTACAGGCAATCCCCACAATCCCCCCAAGCTGTACTCTTTGTCACATGTCACACCCCTGAGGTCCGTCTCTTGGCAGAATGGTGCCATATAAAATATTCAGATCCTAGGTAGGTTGTGTGCAACCTACATGGAAAAGAAGGCTGTCAGAAAAACAGAAGGCAAAAAACTGCATTTCTAAAATGACAAAGATTATAAATCCAGTTTTAAAGGAACACATCTCTAATTATATGTTCCATGCATAGCAAATCTCTTTTAATAAATCCCACCACAATCTCCGCTCCCCTAAAGAGCAGACCTGATAGGTAATAACTCCCCTCCTCTGTGGTAAAATCCAATTTTCACACCTGGTAAATGAAATAACTCCACTATGAACCAAGGTTGGGTTGGGGTGAGCCATTAACAGAAGGTTAGGGGCTGTGCATCATGTAACAGCTCTTCTGGGAGCCCCTTCCAGAGATTTGCTCTTTTTATGCCGGTTGATGCTATTTGGCCAGAAAACCTCCAACCTCCGAGGTTACAAATAGAGCCTTTGTCACCTGGAGTGGTTATGAATGAGAACCACGGTTCATGGTTCACCTATGTGCAAGGGCCGGCCCTGGCCCTCATCTCTTGTTTAGTAGGAAGGTTCCTTACCATTTGTGTACTTTAGGAGCTAAACTTCTACTGCATTCCTGACAAATTGACCAAAAGAAGGAAAGATGCTACTGAAATTTACAGTTGCAAAGGAGTAGTACCTGGGAGGCGCACACAAGACATAAGTCTGAAAATCCAGCCAGGGTCTGTATTCTGTGTAGGCCTAATCAGGAACAATAAGGTGGACATCCACAAGGAATCAGCAACAAAAACAAGAGACACATACACCATTGAACATAACTGGGAATTGATGAAGGTGACATCACAGATAAGTGGATTAAAAAAAAGATTAGTCAACAAATAACATTGGAATAATAATTCTACTGTCTGGAAGAAAATTTAAGATCCTCATCTCATACTATAAAACAAATAATTCCAGAGGTTCTGTAGGCCAGAGTTGAAGAAAAAAAAGTTACAGAGGGATGAAAGAGGCAAATATAAAAATGAATCCGGCTGGGTGCGGTGGCTCACACCTGTAATCCCAGCACTTTGGGAAGTCCAGGAGGGCGGATCACCTAAGGTCAGGAGTTGGAGACCTGTGTGACCAACATGGCAAAACCTCGTCTCTACTAAAAATACAAAATTAGCTGGGTGTGGTGGCGTGCGCCTGTAATCCCAGCTACTTGGGAGGCTGAGGCAGGAGAATCACTTGAACCCGGGAAGCAGAGGTTGCAGTGAGCTGAGATCACACCATTGCACTCCAGCCTGGGCAACAAGAGTGAAACTCCATCTCAAAAAAAAAAATGAATCCATTAAAGAAATGAAAGAAAATAAAGGTGAATATTTATCTGAACTTGGGGACAGGGAAAGATATTCTTAAAATAAATTTTTCTTTTTTTTGAGACAGAGTCTCGCTCTTGTCATTCAGGCTGGAGGGAGGGCAGTGGCGCAATCTTGGCTCACTGCAACCTCCACCACCCTGGTTCAAGCAATTCTCCTGCTTCAGCCTCCTAAGTAGCTGGGATTACAAGTGCCAGCCACCATGCCCAGCTAATTTTTGTACTTTTAGTAGAGACGGGGTTTTGCCATGTTGACCAGGCTGGTCTCGCACCCCTGACCTCAGGTGATCTGCCCACCTCGGACTCCCAAACTGCTGGGATTACAGGTGTGAGCCACCTTGCCTGGCCAAAAATTTTTAAAAATTGAATAGACTTGATTACATACAAATGTAAAATTCTGTATGTAAAAAAAAATCATAAAATTAAAAGGCAAACGATCTAGGCTGGGCATAGTGGCTCACGCCTGTAATTCCAGCACTTTGGGAGGCCAAGGTAGACAGATCACCTGAGGCCAGGAGTTCGAGACCAGCCTGGCCAACATGGTGAAACCCCGTCTCTACTAAAAATACAAAAATTAGCTGGGCATGGTGTTGCATGCTTATAATCCCAGCTACTTGGGAGGCTGAGGCGGGAGGATTACTTGAACCTGGGAGGTGGAGGTTGCAATAAGCCGAGATTGCACCCATACACTCCAGCCTGGGGAACAGAGCAAGAGTCCATCTCAAAAAAAGTAAAAATACATAAATAAATAAATAAATAAAAGGCAAACAGTCTAATAAAAGCAAAATATTTCCAACAACTATGATTTCAACAAATGACTGAAAAGACATTAATATTCTTAGTATATAAAGAGCTCATACAAAGGGGTATGAAAAATGTAAATGCCTGAGTTGAAATGTAATATTTCATATACACAGAATGTGAATACAAAAAAATTTACATGAACTTATGGAAAAACTCATCCTAACTAGTAATCAAAGAAATGCTAAGTTAATTGTATTTTTCATGAGGGCCTGTTACGTGGCAAACACTTGGTAAATATTTGTTGACTTGCTCAAATTAACAAAGAATTAAAAAATTCCAGTGTTCAGTGTTAGTATGTGTGTGGTCAAATGAACACTCTCATATGCAGCTTGTAGGATTACATACTAAAGCAGGGATCAGTAAACAATTTCTGTAAAGGGCAGATTGTAAATATTTTTGGATTTGCAGGTCATACAGTCTCTATTGCAACTACTCAGCTCTGCCATTGTACGGTGAAAGCAGTCATAGACAATATGTAAATGAATGAGCATAGTTTTGCTTCAGAAATACTTTATTTATGGACACTGAAATGTGAATTTCATATAATTTTCACATGTGATGCAGTATTATTATTCTGTTGATTTTTTCCCTAAGCATTTAAACATGTAAAAACCATTCTTAGCTCATAGGCTGTACAAAAACAAGCCACAGGACAGATTCGGCCCTCGGGTCCTAGTTTGCCACCCTGTACTAGAAGAACATTTCTGGAAATCAATTTGGCACTAATAGCAAGAGGCTTTTAAAAGGCCATACACAGGGTGTCTGTATTAAAATAACCAAGTATAAATACATTTTTAAATAAAAAATTAAATGTTCATACTCTTTGCCCTAATTGCCTTAATAATTCCCTGTCTAGGAATAAGTTACAAAGCAAAAGGAAATGGAGAAACTTGGACAGAAATTTATACAAAGAAACATCTAAACATAGAGCAGAATAGGAATGGTTAAATAAACCTTGGTACATTCATATGATGAAATATTATGCAGACATAAATCTTTCACAGAAACGTTTTATCACATGCAAGAAATGCTCATGATATAAAGTTATATGAAACAGTAAGATACAAAATGCATACATGGTCTTATCCCAATTTTGCAAAGCATATACATACATACAATTTATATAGACAGAAACATATGTGTAGAGAAAGGATGGAAGAAAATGCAATAAAATGTGAAAAGTGCTCTGGATGCTGGGTTTATGGGTGATTAAAATCTTTTCTTCTTTTGTTTTAGTTCTCTACAATGAATAGTTATTAATTTTGTAATCAGGAAAATGTATAAATATTATGTTTAAAATAAATTGGAAAAAAATCCAGAATCAGAAGTTCACAGAGAATAGTCAGAGAAGAAAAGCAGAAAAGCTTTCAAAATGCAACCTAGATGTAAAAACCTGACAAATATCTGCAATGAAAAACAGACTCAGGCAATAGAAAGTCGCCAGCGTCTAAAATTCATGCAAGATCACCACAGGAAGAAAAAAAAGTTCTGATCAAAAGCAGCTGAGACCTGGAATCTACAACTGGCCCTACACTGAATGTATCCAGAAAAAGAAGCATGAGATTAAAGAGCTGACGTAGGTCCTGTGCACAGTGTGGCTTGGGGACTCACAGGGTTTCCTTTTTCCTACCCTACAGCAACCCACCTTCCCCCAAACAAAAGACCAAAAAACAACCTTCGGTTCACACTTTAGAAGGATGAAATTCTACAGCTAGCACTTGCTTCTTTTGTTTTATTATCGAAGAAGTATGACTTCTCTCTTCCAAGTGTTCATAGCCACTTACACCTTGATGCATTTTTCTAGAAGCTGAGAGTGACAGGAATGAGGATGAGGAATTTAAGAAAACAGAGGGTTCCCTTAAGCGGAGTTCAGCTATTTCACAGTTTGGTCTAGAAACTGACCTACACACAATTAGCGTATAGCTGTCATTTTGGGAGTTTACTGTTTGCTAGTTGATATGCCATGTCTTTACATCTGTTGCTTCATTTAATTCTAAGAAGAAGCCAATAAGGAAGCCTTTTCCCAGTGTTATCTAAGCAATTGTCATACCAGACAAGACATACCAGATAAGACTTTAGAGAGGTCAAATAATTTGCCCAGGGTCACATTGGTAATTAGAGGCAGAACCAGGTTTCAAACCCACTTCCAAGTTTGTGACACCGATGGCCAAAATACTTCTAAAACCAGATTTGAAGAAGAGGCAGGGAGGAGCACCAGTGTTATCATCAAACACACCTGGATGCAAGGCTTCAGGTCATAGTTGGGCAATGGTTTTTTCTGAGCCCCAGTTTTTTTCACTTTTAAAAATGGTAGTAATAAAATCTATCTCTCAGAAGTTTTGGAAGTTCAGAGATAATACAAGAAAAATACCCAGCACATAGTAGGTCCTCAATTATGGTGGCTATTAGAGGAATGGAGCTACTAATAATTTCCTTTGCTAAGTCAAAACAGGCACAAGGTCTCCACCAGGAAAACAAAGGAAAATTAAGGTGAGGTAGGGAAATTGCTTAGGTAACTTGGGAAAGGGGCTTTTCCTTTCCTTCATTTCCCAGAGAGCTTTAATTCTTCGCTTTTCTATTTACAATAAGAGAAGCATGTTTGGGACAATGGATTTAGAAATGGAGGTGCTTTATGGCATGTTTATGCTTTCAAAATTAAGTCTAAACTCTTTAAGACCACAAACCACTGTGCACGATGCTTTTCTAGAAGGGTAGGAGGGATAAACATATTCCTATAGGAAGACTCAGTCTCACAGAGCCCATTAGATGAGCCCAAGGAGAATCTTCTACCCACAAAGAGGAAAGTGGTAACGTCCTTCACTTCCTTTGTGGTTTTAATCTAAACCACAACTCCTCCCTTTTAGTTATAAATCTTTTCTTTACGTACATTCAGATGTGTGTTAGGTGTCTTCCATCTCATCTGTCACTCCTTTCCCTGCCACATGGGAAAATATCATATGCTTCTCTTCATCCAAGGAAAGCTTCTCTAGCACACAGGATTGGTTTTGAGAGGCTTTCACAATCCATCTATTCTATCCATAGCTGCCTGCAATGAGAGTCTGTTCCCCAAGACCTTTGGAAGACTCCAGAGTTCTTCCAATGCCCAGACCTATGGCATGGAGGCAGGGAGGATGAATAAACATGTTGTACATCGCTTAGGCAAAAGAGGGAAAGCCTTCTGTCTGAAATGAATGAGAACATCAGAGTTTCCAGTCAGAGATGAATGGAGGAAATATGTCTTGTTTTTGCTTTCTAAGAGAAGAGGAAGAATGAATGAAAGGGGGAATAAACACAATGCTCAAGCCAAGGAAAGAAAAATCAGAAAAACCCAAAGTGATAGTCAGGAAGGTGGGTAGACTGCTTGCTGCCTCCTAACTGCTGCTGTGGTTCGAGTTAATATTTGCCAGACTTAGCATTCCTGTGAGTGCCGTTGGGATAATGGGCCCCACTCAGCATCACGTGAGTTCTCCATCTCAGCCGAGGGACAGGATTTCAACCATATCACACACAGCTCTCATTACGTGCAAGGAAATGATCTTACTGAGGAAAGCAGCACAAACCATAAACACATTTACTTAAAAAGGCAAAGCTGTTAGGTGTGCCCCTATTCATGACTAATACAGTGTGCTAGTCTCAGTTTCTGATGTCTAAGTCCAGGATAGCATTTCCCAGCATGGGTCTGAGAGCCCCTTTAGGACATGGGCTATAAGAGGGGCACCCTCAGGTTTAACTTCTTGCTAGCAGGGGTAGAACAGCAGTCATTTTCTAAGGAAGCATTTATTAAGCACCATCTGTGTCAAGCAGTGTATATATTCCATATAGTAGAGAAAGGCAATTCTCTGCATTTGAGAAGTTTGTGATTTTGTCAGGGAATGAATATGCCAAAAATCAAAATGCTAAGGTTAGAAAGAATCCTAGGAATCATTTGATCCATTCTGCCTCACCTCTCCTTCCATCTTTTGGATAAAAAAATTTGAAATCCATGGAAGTTGAATGGACTGTCCTTGGTCACTCAACTAGCATATTAGGAAAGATGAAAACCAAGTTTCAGCTGGGCGCGGTGGCTCACGACTCTAATCCCAGCACTCTGGGAGGCCAAGGCAGGTGGATCACTTGAGGTCAGGAGTTCGAGACCAGCCTGGCCAACATGGCAAAACCCCGTCTCTACTAAAAGTACAAAAATTAACTGGGTGTGGTGGCAGGCGCCTGTAATCCCAGCTGCTTGGGAGACTGAGACAGGAGAATCGCTTGAACCCAGGAGGCAGAGGTTGCAGTGAGCCGAGATCGTGCCATTGCACTCCAGCCTGGGCAACAGAGTGAGACTTTATCTCAAAAAAAAGAAAAAAAAAGAAAGAAAACCAAATTTCCTGACTCCAAGTCTGGGTACCTTTCCCTTATACTTCACATAAAATTCAAAAGGAATAACAAGAACAAATAACCACACAAGTTAATATGACACAAACCATGTGCACAGAAGTGTTATGAAATGCAAATTAAGGGAATGCAAAGTTTGAATAGAGTTAGTCCAGAAAGTTTCTTTGGAGGAAGGTCTGAAGGATTCCAGGGGTAGGAAATTGTCAGAAATTCAGTTTAATTCAACAACCATTTTCTGAATGCCTAGTAGAAGATTGAGTATCCCTTCTCCAAAATGCTTATGATCAGAAATGTTTCAGATTTTTTTTCACATTTTGAAATATTTGCATATACCTGATGAGATATCTTGGAGGTGAAATCCAAGTCCAAATACAAAATTCATTTATGTTTCATATACACCTTATACACATAGCATCAAGGTAATTTTATTTTTCCCTTGAGGATGCTGAATAAACTGCTTTCTGACTGTGACCTGTCACATGAAAGTCAGGTGTGGAATTTTCCCTCATGTTGGGGCTCAAAAACTTTTGGATCTTGGATTTTTGGATTAGGGATGCTCAACCTGTATATGCAAACACTTGACATGGGAGGAGGAAGTCCAATAAGATGAGTATCACATGGTTCCTGCTGTAAAAGAAAGCAGTACTGACTAAATTAATGGGGAAAGGGGAATAATTGAAGTCAGTCACACAGTCATTCGCCAGCAGGAGAAAGGCAGACTTTTGGAAATGCCGTGATGGCAAATAGAAGCTGGCCCATGAAGAGCTATTCCTTGAGAGGGAAAACTCAAATCGTATTAAGGTTTCAGAGGGGAAGGTTTTCTACATTTAAGCTGAATAAAAGGGGAAATAATCAATTAACTCATATATCAAAACTAATTGGAATTTGTCTTTACAGACATAATGTCTTCATTTGTCATATCAATTATAGCCACATTCATTCAGAGCTTGATATCATGAAGACATTTATACACACACACACACACACACACACACACACACACACATTGGTAGAAAAACTTTAGAAGCACTGCTCCAAAGCTTGGATGGTAGACTCGGAGAATGGCAAAGACAGAAGGGGCCTTAGGAATCAATTGATCCAACATATCATTACAATGGAATGATCCAGGTCCAGAAAAACAAAACACAAAATTATCTTTCCACTAAGGAAAGCAAAAAGAGTTGGGCCCAACTCTAGAGACACTTTGTTCCAGCTCTAGTGGTTATATTTTCTAAGCCAAAAATTGAGACACAAAATACAAGTGAACACAATGGAACAGAGTACTTAAAATAGAGACTAAAGGTTACTGTGGTCTTAGATGATACCTCCAGAACATTCCACGGCATTCGTCCTTTTGTTTGCCAAAGACACATTCCAGAAGAAAATCACACTCTACTCAGACATGAGTGCCTTCCATAGTCATAAGAGAAGAGCATGAGAGTCTGTCTCCATCCAAGGCAAGCCCTTGGTGAAAAGAAAAGCCACAGGGACTGTAGGCAAGTCTTTGATAAGCAAAATGAGATGATAAATAACTGAAGACTATCAGTTCACAGGCCACCAAGTTTTCTCCAGAGCCGAGCATGTGCAGGGCTCAATAAATTCTAAATATAAACTATCAAAAGCTGACGAGGACCTTGGCTAGTGTACTCCTTGGGTATCGTAAGATACTCATGCTGCAACTACTTAAACCCAGTTTATCTGTAGGCTTGTCCAAATGCAATTCAATTATTTTAATTTCTTGGTTCGATCACTTCTGATTATTCAAAAGCCAGAAACAATAAAAAAAAATATAGCGTACTAACTGCAGGAAGCTTTGTGAATTTTCTTGCACTAAAATCATCATCCAAAGATTCATCAAGCCCTGTCCACACAAAATAACGTAATGATGGTACCTTTTATATCAACAGGCATTTCTCTTTTGACGATAACGGATAGATTCTGCAAACCTATTACAGTCAAAAGAGAAATGTCTGTTGATATAAAAGGTATCGTCTTTACATTATTTTGCACACTGTAGGCAACTTAAGGTCACCAGAGGAGGCGGGTGAGAAAGTGACAAGAGACCAGCAGTAAGTTTCCTCACATAAGTTCCCTACAGTGACTGGAACCTATCAGCTTGGCTTCTTTATTGCTGGTATTGAGATAAATCGCCACACAGAAACATCATCTAGGAGTTAATCAGAACAGAAAACTCAGGAAGATTCAGGACCCACACTGGATACCATTATTGTCATAAGTCAAGCAGCATTTCTCCTTCATTAGTACCATATTTCATTACAGTATATCACCACAATGTTTAGTAATAGTTTTACAAGAAAATAGACTTCAAAGCTTTGTGCCTTTGGTTTCTATGTAGTGAATTTCTCATTATAACTTTTTATCTTTGCTTAAACTGAAAAGTGAACGAATTGACCTTTATGAGTCAGTGTGCACTCCGGTGTTTTACCAAGAAATAATACCTTTAAAATGATATATTTGCGTATGCATAGAATATTCCAGAAAGATATGCAAAACTGATTATCTCTAGAGTGGCCGGGAGATGAGAGAAAGGTGGAAGGGGCCTTTTCACTTAGACATTTTTGTGAATTTTATACTTTGTGCAAGTATCATCTACTAATTTTTAATAATTATGTTAAAACTTTTTTAAAGAATAAACAAAAATTCTTGTTAAGGTTCTTAATCCCTGAATATATTTCAGCAGTGACCAAGATTAAATAGCAATGATTTCCCAAGGGTCAAAGGCATTGGCTCCATTCTGATCTAGCCTGTTTCTTATTCCCCCGCAATGCATCATGTGGCATGTTTTCTTTTAAATATCCAAAAAAGTTAATTTGAAAAAAAAACTGAGAATTTTATGTCATCATTCAAAATAACTGGAGATTCTTAGGGTGTGCCAAAACCACAGCTGGGAATCACTGAAATACAGATTCTGAAAGTGTTAGGTACATTTTTAAAGATTGCAGAATCCAGTGATGTATAAATGCATATAAGTTCTACCTGCATTTATACATCACATTAGTTTACTCTAATTCTCTTGGGCTTATTAAATTCAATGACCAATTATTTGAATATGCACACAAAAATCTAAATTATAACATCAGGCTGAAGCATTAAGTAGATAAATATAGTGAATGGTTAAGGCATGTATTGCAAAATTTTTAAACAGCACTTTGAAATGAGAGGAAAGAAAATCTCTATTCCCCTATCCTTCCTCAAAATACATGTTTATTATAGTTTTGCTACCTAGAAACTTTGGAGTTTTTAACATTAAAAAAAAGGAAGCATGATGTAATGGAAAACACAGGACTACAGAATCACACAGAGTTGGGTTCAAATCATCCAACCTGTCAGTTGGGTAACTTCTGACAATTCATTTGGCTCTTACTCCTCGAACACCTGCTACATTGCTGGCACTTAGCTTGGTGTTGGGCACTGGGCAAAAGCAGTGAACAAGGCAAAAATGAGCTTATGGTTTGGTGGGAAAGGCAGACAATGAAATTATATTAAAGTGTATGAAGGAAAATTACAAGGAGCTGTGTCAGGAAACCAACATGGTCTAGGGATCAGAAGTAGCTTTCTAGAGGAGTGATGCTCAAGGCAAGACCTGAAGGGTAACACAGACTTAGTTGGGTGAAGCAACTCCCTCATCTTCAGGTCCTTATTTGTAAAACAGGGACTGTAATAGCTGCCTCAGAGGGCTTTTTGAAGTTTTAATGAATTTGATATTGAAAGCATTTAGCACAGCATCCAGCACATAGTAAATGCTCAATAAACAGTAGCTATTATTATTCGTCTTTTTTGTACAGTCTTCTCTGGTTATATATGAGTCAGCCCTCAAAGGTTTAAAAGTTACAAAGTGGCCCCTCAACCATATACTTCTGTTTTCCTATACTTGCTACATGGGAGTCAAAGTGTGGAGTAGACCAAGGGCTCATCCTCTCTGGAAAAATGCCTTTGGCTCAGAGCTGTACACTCACCTTGGCCACTGAGGTAGGTCCCCATATCTTTTTTGTCACAGGGTTAACATGTTATGTGAGTCAGATCTAAAATTTTGGCCCCTTCAAAGGCTGCTGGGTCTCTCTGTTTAATCAGACATGAAACAAATCGCGTGCTGTGGCAGAGGCGTACAAACACGCTTTAATTACAATATTGTAACACCAATTAGAGATCTATCTAATCGAGGACTCGGCACTTCCTGCTCGGATATTACTCCCATGTTGGGATAATTACTGCTAATTAAGCTTGGAACTAATTAGGCTAAATGATCTCATTTATACCAACAAAGATGACTTCTAGGAGTTCATAAGAAAAACTAGGGTGATTTTATCATTCCTGGACTATTTGGCATTTCACACTGGAAATAAAACACCTTCCCCTGACATGGAGGTGCACAGATGGTTGGTTCCTCTGGAATTCTGGTCCTAAATGGCAGTAGGTTCTTCATTTGTCTACACAGATTCTCCTATACGGTGAAACAAATACTGTAAAAACATTGTCCACTCACATTGCACTACGTTCTTCCACAAATGACAACTGCGGTGTCAGGAAGGGGCTGCCACTGAGAGTGGACACAGTGGCAAAAGCTGACCCCCACACAGCCTTGTCCAGAGTGCCTTTTGCCTTGCAGTTATATTTATAAGACCTCAATATTCTTACCACAGTCATCACAGGATAGAGTGATGGGTTTGAGGGTCAGACAAGCCTAGGTTTATGTAAACTAGTCTGCCTAAGCCTCAGTTTTCTGTCTCTAGAGTAGGGATAATAACAATGTCATATAGTGATTCTGTGAGGATTAAAGAGGTAACATATATATAATGCAGGATAGTACTTGGCACATAGTAGCCCTCAATGAGCCCTCACTAGGATTTTTTTTTTCCCTTCAAGGCACCATAATATCCACCTCTGAACTAAGCTCCACATTTTATCTGTCTTGCTACTCTTTTGTGGCATAATGCAGTGACAGTGGGAAAAAAACACATGACTGAGAGTTAGGAAACCTAGTTAAGTTCAGGTTATCTCTAACTAACCAGCTGTGTGACTTAAAGAAGTCACTTCTCCTTCCTGGAAAATAACAATATTCACTGCATATAGTGAACCAGGCATTGTGTTAAATGTAGTACATGAATTTTCTGACCTAACCTTTACAGCAATGCTCCCCATTTTAGAGATAAGGAAATTGAGACCTAAATAAATAAATAATTTAAAACAAAACAAAACAAACCCTCACTTCTATTAAATGACAGGGTCAGAAATTGAACCCCGGTCTCACTCCGGAGCCTATCCTCTCAATCACTGTCCCACCGAGTTGCTTCCACTCCCTTTTGTAACTGAAGGAACTAGAGAAAACATCTTCAAGGGTGAGCCTTTCAACCTTATTCTTTTTTTTTGAGACAGAGTTTCACTCCTGTTGCCCAGTCTGCAGTGCAGTGGCATGATCTCAGCTCACTGCAACCTCCGCCTCCTGGGTTCAAGTGATTCTCCTGCCTCAGCCTCCCGAGTAGCTGGGATTACAGGCATGTGCCACCACGCCAGGGTAATTTTTTTGTATTTTTAGTGGAGATGGGGTTTCACCATGTTAGTCGGGCTGGTCTTGAACTCCTGACCTCAGATGATCCACCCACATGGTCCTCCCAAAGTGCTGGGATTATAGGAGTGAGCCACCGCTCCCGGCCTCAACCTTGTTTTTAACAATATTCATCAATTATTAAGTCTTTATTGTGTGTCTAATAAGTCCTCCATCCTATGGAGAATAAGATGCTCACCCCAATACAAAACACCCTGACAAGGCTAATAAGATGTTCCACAAATATGTGGGTACACAAACACATGTGAGTACACACATACAGAAACACACATAGATGTTATTTGCTGGATTGTTCCATCCGGAGAAACAAAAATGAATGAACAAAGCCCCAGCTTCTCATTAAATGTTACCACTGAGGATTGAATTCTTCTACCTGTGGCCATGTGTAGCGGCTCACGCCTATAATCCCAGCAGTCTGGGAGGCCGAGGTGGGTGGGTCACTTGAGGCCAGGAGTTCGAGACCAGCCTGGCCAACATGGCGAAACTCCGTCTCTACTAAAAATACAAAAATTAGCCAGGCTTGGTGATACGCACCTGTAGTCCCAGCTACTCAGGAGGCTGAGGCAGGAGAATCGCTTGAATCCAGGAGGCAGAGGTGGCAATAAGCCAATATCGTGCCACTGCACTCCAGCCTGGGTGACAGAGCAAGACTCTGTCTCAAAAGCAAACAAACAAAAACTTCTACCTATGAACCTTTCCTTCTAAAGAGGTGTTAAGGTGATTAGAATGCATACTGGCTGGTCACCTATGGTCAGCTCAGGTCAAAAGCTTTCCCATCCAGCAGAGCTCTAGCCTGTCCTGGAAGTGATGTCTATCAATGCTAGGAGAGGCTGAAATGGAAACACATTGGTCACTTGTCTCTTAGGAACCTTTTCTGAGAAAGCCTGCTCCATGCCTGGACTTTAGTCTTATACCCCACAAGAATGTAAACTCCAGGACAGAATTGTGTTTTACGGTGTTTTATCTCTTTTACGTTTGTTTTTGTTTTGTTTTTGTTTTTGTTTTTGTTTTTTTGAGACGGAGTCTCGCTCTACTTGCCCAGGCTGGAGTGCAGTGGCGCAATCTTGGCTCACTGCAAACTCCGCCTCCTGGGTTCACGCCATTCTCCTGCCTCAGCCTCTCGAGTAGCTGGGACTACAGGCTCCCGCCACCACGTCCAGCTAATTTTTTTTTGTATTTTTAGTACAGACGGGGTTTCACCGTGTTAGCCAGGATGGTCTCGATCTCCTGACCTCATGATCCCATGATCCGCCCGCCTCAGCCTCCCAAAGTGCTGGGATTACAGGCATGATGTTTTATCTCTTATACCCAAACAGGGCCTGGCTTATAGTAGGTGCTCAATAAACGTATGTGGATCAAATGCATAGAGAAAATGAATAGAGTCCTGGGTTCTGGTACAGGAGTTTGGGGCAAAACCAAGGAAACTTAGATGCTGCTTCAGGTATGCAGAGGTCTGGGAAGGCACATATTCTCTCCTCTTCCTGTGTTATCTCTGCAGGAGGCAACCCTCAGCAGGTCCAGCTTTTCTTACCAAGTGTGTCTGGAGGGCTGCCTACCACCACACCTTGTTGTGAGGCCATTTCCTCTCTCTGATTTCCATCACCCTGAGGTCCCTCTGTAGGAAAATGGGAGTGGGATACAGGGAAAAGGGTGCTTTTTCACCATTTGAGGAAGAACTAAGGGACTTCAACATAACCTGGGGAGGGGCTAGTGGTAAACTCTCCCCCAAATTCCCAGTTCATTGAGCTCCTCCCAACCCAGGAGCTTTGCTTTGATGAAGAGGAGGGTCTCTAGCTGCAGCTACTTTTTTGGAGATTAGAAAACCTGAAACCACTCTTGCCTATGTCTAAAATACACCACCCAAGGGTGGTGTCAGGTTGGTCTTTCTCTGCAGAATGGGAGTATCAGTGATGGTTGGCCAGAAGGCTCAAGAAGGAAGGAAGGATTTGGAATCAGAAGACTCAGATCTGAGACCAGATTGTCTCATTTTTTTTCTAGGTAAAATGGGGATAATAAAAACAATCCTACCCACCTCAGAGCAGTCAGAATCAAAAATGAAAAGTTCTGAGAACAAATGCCACAACCGATCACACACTGCAAATGCTGTAACAATGAGCTATTACCTCCTGACCACGAATTGTCTCTATGATGAGACATGCCTTGGAACGTGTGTGACCTACTATGTTCTCAGGGGCACCTGGTGGGTCCCAGGGTGTACAGCCTGGTGGATGGGAGATGCATGCAAATACCCCGATAGCAACAAGAGCAAAACTCCATCTCAAAAAAAATAAAAGGAAAAGAAAAAAAGAAAATCAGTCAATGGGCTGGGCACAGTGGCTCACACCTGTAATCCCAGCACTTTGGGAGGCTGAGGCAGGCAGATCACCTGAGGTCAGGAGTTCGAGACCAGCCTGACCAACATGGAGAAACCCCATCTCTACTGAAAATACAAAATTAGCCAGGCGTGGTGGCGCATGCCTGTAATCCCAGCTACTCGGGAGGTTGAGGCAGGAGAATCGCTTGAACCCGGGAGGCAGAGTTTGCAGTGAGCTGAGATCTTGCCATTGCACACCAGCCTATGCAACAAGAGCAAAACTCCATCTACAAAAAAAAAAAAGAAAAAAAAGAAAATCAGTCAACAATTTTGTGTTAGGAAGAGTGGGAATGGGGGGCAAAGGGATAGGATGAGGAACAGAAGCAAAAGGCAGAGAGTGTAAATAGACAAGAATTTGAAAATAAAATTTTTGCCCCAAAGATGATACTGCAAAGCTTCCACCTGCCCTGCTTCATAGAAACTGCTTTCGCCAAGGTCACAAATGGCTTCAAATTGTCAAATCTAGAAGGCACCTTCCTGCCTACATCTTGCCCAACCTCTTTGTGGATTTGGACTATTGACTCCTCAATGCTTCCTGAAGTTCTCTTCCTGACATGGCTTCTGTGACACCATCTTTCTCCTTTTCCTTAGCTATTTCTTCCACCTTTTCATTAAATATCGGGGATCTCCAGAGTCCCATCCCAAGACTTTCTCTTTTCATTCATCATGCTCCTTCTAGGTGATTTTCCATAGTTTCAATTGCTGCTTACAAACAGATGGCTCTCAAACCAATAGCTCCAGCTCAGACATCCTGTTAAACACAATATTTAACACACAGAAAATAAGCAGTAAATGCCTGACGAAACTAACTAGAGTTCTAGCTAGATTTTTCCAACCACAAGCTCCGTTAGACATCACCATCAAGATGTCCCACAGAGTCTTTATATTCAACATAAATAGAACTAATCTTCTCCTGTGACTGATTCTTCTTTTTTAACTCCTTTTTTTTCCCTTCAGAAAATGGCCTCTTTAATATTCAGATGCCTAAGCCAGAAACCTGATTCATCTTAGACTCTTTCTACTCCCTCACTCCTACATTATCCTGCAGATTCTATCTCCAAAATGTTTTAAATACATCCCTTCCTCCTCTTTCTCACTGCCATCGGCCCTGATCACCTTTCACCTGTTTCACTATGACAGTCTGCTAGTTAATATCTCTGTCTCCAGTCTTGCTCTATTCCAAAGTACTGTAAGAATGATTTCTTTTTTCTTCTTTTTCTCTTCTTTTTTTGTGAGACGGAGTCTCACTCTGTTATCCAGGCTGGAGTGCAGTGGTGAGATCTTGGCTCACCACAACCTCTGTCTCCCGGGTTCAAGCAATTCTCCCACCTCAGCCTCCTGTGTAGTTAGGATTACGGGCACATGCCACCACACCTGGCTGATTTTTTTCTTTCTTTTTTTTTTTTTTTGTATTTTAGTAGAGACAGGGTTTCACCATGTTGCCCAGGCTGGTCTTGAACTCCTGAGCTCAGGTGATCCACCCTCCTCGGCTTCCCAAAGTACCGGGATTACAGGCGTGGGTATAGTTACCCAGGCAAGTTTAAATTTCTTATCATGAGACAGACCCTTCCTCTTCTGGCCCCTTGCTCATTTCCTTTTACTCTCTCCAAAAAGAATCTTTTTCAAGAAAATACTTATTTATTAAAAAGGCTTTTAGTTCTTTAATAGCTCCATGACCTTGCACATTCTGTTCCCTCTTCCTCGCTGCCCTTCTTCTACTTGACACCTTTGTCCATTTGTTCACCCATAAGCCTCCTCCAGACCTGTAGAACTCATTCTAAGAGTGTTCTCCTTCACCTGCTTCCACCAGCTACCTGTTGGTTAGATCCTTCTTCCTCCAGGCTTCTATTAATAATTTTTGTCACTTTATATTGGACTGCTTATTCATCACTACTCTACACAGTGTGCTCCCTGAAGGGAAAACATTTATCTTATGATTTCTAGAGATACCTGGCACTTGGCAGAATGGTAGGTACTCAGGGAATGACTGACTGAATTAATGAATGAATGAGAATGGTAGGAGAAACAAGACAGACATAAACTCCTGAGAAAAAACTAAGAACCGAAATAATGATACATTTAAAGAAATGTATTCCTTCTTTTGGAACGCCCAATGCCCTGGGGCTAGACACAGCTGACATTTTTCAAAGATGGCCTCACATCTTACTATCTAACTTACCATGTCTTTTAGAAAGATCTGTAGGGAGGGAGGGAAGCAGATAAGAGAAGGAGATTGTTAATAGTCCTCTTGAATCAGCTCTCCTATTTTGTCTAACCCCTTTCTACATTTGAAAAAGAGAAAAAAAAAATCCCCCTCGGTAGGTGTACAGAAATCACAAAATATTAATTCTTGTTCTGTTTGGATCCAAGTGAAATGACTAAGAAACTTGTTTTTTTTTTCTTTTTTGCTTTTTCTTTCAACAACCTTTGTATTTGAACAGTGCCCAACTATGAAATTTAATGATAGAAGGAATTTAAGCCTTCAGTTAGAATACACTGTGATTCCTTCTAACTCAAAACTTTGTAATTCCATAATGAAGTGGAGCATTCTAGGTTGTATCAGTCAACAGGGCATTTATTAGGAAGATTTTGCTGTTAGATTTTAAAGCCTCTCAAGGCTATAGAACTGCATTTCTTAGGAGATGATCTGACCACAATGCTTCCCCATAAAGTGCTTCAATCCTATGACAGCCTATTGGGAGAAGTAACAAGACTAGGACTTTCTTGAGAATAACAGGGTAGCTTGGACATTTCCAAAAGGAAGAGGCATTGATTACAGAGGTAGGTGAGATCATTAGCATTTCTAAAGCTTGATATGCAAGGGCTTCCATAAGAAAGGAGTTAGCATGCTTTGTCACAGAGAGATGCAGCTGTATGAGGTTTGCTAGTGTTTGTGTGTGCATGGGAGTTGCAGAGCAGTAAGGAACACACTTTCAAGGTGTGATTGTTAGAGCTGCAATGGGATATAAAATTTGAAATAGATCGCCAGCAATAGAGCAGAAAGGCAGTCAGACCTGCTGGGTCACTAGCAATGCCACCCTGGAAGTAGATAAGGGGATCTGCACATTAGAAGGAAGGAGAGATTGGTTCCTAGCAGGGGGAGGGGGAAGGGGCAGGCTCCTAAGACAAGAACGGTTTTAAGCTTCATTGTGCAGGAACACTACTTGCTTTCACTTCTTGTGGTCTCATTATTTCCCCACATATTTTCCTTCAACAGAGTTAGGCATTATTCTCATTGAGGGTCAGTTACATGCCAAATTTGATGCTTTAAAGATATTGAATTTTGTGCCATTAATTGTTCAGCATACCTTTTTCATAAGTGAAATATTTTATTCCTGCTTTTGCTCGACTTAAAAATAAATGACTGGGTTCCATTTTGTCTTTCCCTCCCAAATTTCCTTTAGGCATATACCAAGTATGTGTGGAAATGTCGACTCAAATAGAATATTTTGGAAATAAGTTATCTACAATTGTACAAAGCAGGCCAGAGTAGCATTCTCTTCCTATACTTACTGATGATGTTACTATTGCAATAGTATCAATAATCTCCATTAAGGAGATTTAAACAAACCAAAAATTCTCTTCTGAAAAATTTCACTTGATTTCTTCAATTCTGTACAGTCCACGAATTCACTCGTACAAGAAAACATCACCAAAGCCAATGGGTTTGTAAAATCCACTTGTTGAAACTATGTGTGTGTCAGCAGAAGGAGGGTTGGGAAGGGGTTGCTTTTCTTAGAAAACAATAAATTAATCAAATAATACATAATCATTTCACTAAGTAAAATAAAACTGTAAACAGATAATATCAGTATTGGAATGAACTCCTTACCCACGTTGGAAGAGGTTCTTGTCCTCCTATTAAGCTTCCCAACCACCCAGACTCTATTTCCCACAGGGCCCAATTTAATGCTTTTTTTCTAGCTTCTGTACAAGATTAGTTAGTAAAAGGTGCCTGATGCAATAACTTTACATATTCAGACTTTCTGTGATTAGCTTCCACCTAGCATTCCCTCTTCACCCCAAATGTATCTTAAACATAAACAAACACAGTTCATCCTTTACACAAAAGCCAATGAAACTTTAGCTTTATGGCCCATGACTTTCTTTTTTTTTCTTTTTTTTTGAGACAGCGTCTCGCTCTGTCACCCAGGGCTGGAGTGCAGTGGCGCGATTTCGGCTCACTGCAAACTCCGCCTCCCGGGTTCACGCAGTTCTCCTGCCTCGGCCTCCCGTCTAGCTGGGACTACAGGCGCCCGCCACCACGCCCGGCTAATTTTTTGTATTTTTAGTAGAGACAGGGTTTCACCGTGTTAGCCAGGATGGTCTCGATCTCCGGACCTCGTGATCCGCCTGCCTCGGCCTCCCCAAAGTGCTGGGAATACAGGTGTGAGCCACCGCGCCTGGCCATGGCCGGCCCATGACTTTCATAGTCTCCTTCCAAGGCCCTGCATCTAAGTAATTTTGAATATTATTTTCTTCAGGGGGGTCCCCTGAATTGAGGAAGCTTCAGGCTCCACAAAACCTAGACCCACTCCTGCCTATACATACATTTTATTCTCAGGTACCCAGCTAACCTCTTTCCCAGTAGGGCCCCAACATTCAATTTTCACCTGAAGAATGGACCCTACAGCTACAATGCATATTGGAGAAATAGAGAAACTACACAGTGAAGTTTTTGGCATATTTCCTGCCTCAACTGTGGTGCCCTGTTGTCTTTAGAAATGCTTTTCCAGCAACCAGCTCCTCTGTCTTGATGCTAAATGTCTTCATGATAAATGTTACAAATATTCCCCCTCCCCCACCAACTTTACAACTGTTAGGTACACTGTGCCCTTGATTATGGGCTCTCAGTGAAGATTAATCAATGGGAAAATAATTGTAAGAAACAGTAGTTTGGGGTTCTAGCAACAAGAAGATGGGAATTGCAAGTATTGTGTTGGTTATCTAGAAAAGCGCTGGCCTCTGGTAAGAGGATGGGGGTGAAAGTGGGTAGATCTGGAGGGGAGGAAATTAATCACCTACCAAGCACCTACTATGTCCCAAGAGCTATGTCAAATATCTACTGGGCACCTACTACATACCAAGAGCTATGAGCAAGAGTGTTTTATATCTGTATTGCATGCAATCCTGGGAGACAACAATCTCCATTCCAAATTCTCTAGAAGTTTGCTTAAAGATCCAATATTTCATAATTTAAGTGAGTGTGTAAAGAAGAAGTAAGGCCTATCCCAGGGGATTTTAGCTGGGTCTGGGGAATTCTGAATCACAGAACACTCTAGCTCCCAAAGCAGCCAGCCTTCTAGGACACTTGTAATTTAACAGAGGTAGAAGTGGAAAGATGTGCTATCCAATTTTCATCGTATCTTCACTGTGACATAATGAGCACTCACCAACAGCACTTGGCCAGGCAAGAGGAAGAATGCCCACTGATAACAGCTAGCAAATTGTAAGTTCTGTCTCAGGCATATTTTCTTCTGAGATGGAAGGTATTAGCACTTCTGTGAGAGGAATGTAAGCCTCCTCTATTACTCATGTATTTGTAGTTACATTGTGGAATCAGTAGTGGGAATCCATTGAAGAGTTGCATGGGCTTGAGCGAGTGATTTTGCCTCTTTGAGCTTACATTTTCTCATGTATAAAATTAAAAGGTTAGAGTAGAGGATGGCTAACAGCCTTTAGATTCTTGACAGTCTGTGATGTAGTCATTGGCAAGTACACTGGGTTATTAACTAAAGAATAACTAGCTTGGTTTTATCATGGCTAAAGTTGGGAGAGAAAGCATTAAAAAAATGGAATTCAAGAGAATCAACAACAGTGTTGTCCACTAGAACGTTCTGCAGAGATGGAAATGTTCTCTATCTGCACTGCCCAATATGGTAGCCACTAGTTACATGTAGCTATTGAGTACTCGAAATTAGGCTAGTGTGACTAAAGAGCTGAATTTTTAAATTTTTATTTATTAATTTAAATTTAAATGGCCACATACGGATAGTGGTTACCATATTGGACCGGGTAGATATTAACTTTATGTAAGCCAGACTTTAGGTATAAAGATAAAAGAACAAGGGAGTGGTTTGAGAACTGTTTCAACAGAAGAATAAAGGAAGGCACAGGTTTAATTTAGGCAATTCACAAATAGAGCACATTTATTCTTTTAGACCTTCTAAAAAGAAGGATAGACCCTCGTTTTGTAATGCAGGCAATGATAATAGTACCTTACAGTTGTAATTAACTTTATGCTCTCCAAAAGTCCTTCACAGCTACAGTTTGATCCTCAAAACAACTCTCAGGATGTAGAAGAGAAGAAATATTTCCTCATTTTACAGATGAGGAAATTGAGACTCAGACGTTTTCCCCAAGGTCTCAGACTTCAAACATAATAAAGCTGTAATTTGAACCAATCACTTCAGACTTTATTTTTCCAGTTCCTTTCACGGGCAGTACAACCTCCAGTCCCTCACCTTGCCTGACTTCAACATGGAAATGGTAACAATTTATAAAATACTAAATATGATAATAGGAAAGATGAGAAAATGCCAGGGGCTCAATAATCCACCAACTAGATAATCAAACCCTGACCGAATCAAGAACTACTTGTGTCTGTTATGAGAAATGAAAAGGAGCAAAAACTTATTTTCCCACAATGTGCCAGGGGTTTTACAGTTGCACTCAACAGAACAATCCTACGAGAGAGCATTAGTAGCATCATTTTATTGTTGAGGAAGTTACTAGTCTGAGATCACACGCCTATAGAGTGGCACAGCCGCGATTCTGTTCTATAGCTTCTGTCTGTTTTCAAGTCACATCCACGTTCGAAGGAAGTGAAGATTCCCACCCTTTCACCCCCACTCCTCCTAGAATGCTGCAAAGTAGTTAACAAGCCAGCTTTGGAGTTATTCAGAATGAACCTGAACCTCAGATCTCACACAGTTCAAAGGATTTAACGTTTCTGAGTCTCAATTTCCTCAACTGCAACATTGGAGAATCATTTTACCTGTTTTCAGGATTATGAAGTGGATTAAATGAGATAATGTGTGACAACACTTAGCACGGTGCTTGGTACAAGTGTGTAATGAGTAGTGGTTGTTAATATTTTACATTATTAAAGTGCTGCTGACTCTATAGGCAATTCTAAAATAGAAATTCCAAAAATGACTTCAGACGTGGTAGCATTTCTGCTAAAGTCTACCAAGTAGATGATCTCAGGACACTCACTTGGACACTGAAAGTTAAGTTGGATGGATATCACAGGTTTTAAAACAGTCATTGATAGGATCGGTGACTATGGCAGAAGCACTGAAGTGATGCCTTTGTTCAAAAAGGCCCACAAATTGTCATACCTTCCCCTGACTTTCCATATCCTGAAAGCAGATGTTAAATCTAGCCCTCTCTTGAGTCCTAACCCCATGTATCTAGGTCCTTGTTGCCCATGTCTACCTGAATGTTGTTATACCTGCATGAGAAGCCAACATTCCCTTAATAGAACCCACTCATTTATTCATCCATTCAATGACTATTTATGGCTATGTGTTAGGCTCTGTTCTAATCATCAGGGCACAGCAATGAACAAGACACACTCTAGGGGCTTACTTTTGGTGAAGAGGAGCCGACATAAACAAAGTAAACAAATAAATAAGATCATTTCAGATTTTAGTAAGTGCTGTGAAGAATAAAAAGCAGGACCATGTGACAAAGAGTGGCTGTGAGTGAAGAGTAAGAGAATTGATTGGTTAGGAACGGCTCTCTGAAGAGGTGACATTTAAGCTAAGGCCTGACTGACAAAAGGGGCCAACCATGTGAAGATCTGGGGACACAGTGTTCTGGGCAGAGGTTACAGTGAATGCAAAGGCCCTGAGGCAGAAATGAACTCAGTGCACTTGAGGAACTGAAAAAAGGCCAGTGTGGCTAAAGCTAAACCAAAGGAGAGCGTTTTAAGAGATGAGGTCAGAGAAAAGCAGGGACCAGATCCTGTAGGGCTTCCACCACGCCATGGTAAGGGGTTTGGATTTTATTCTAAATGCAGTGAAAGCCATTTTGATATTAAGTGGGACAGCAATGAGATTTGATTTGCCTTTTAAAAAGATTACTTCTAATCCTGCCACCCCCCGTCCACACTCCTAAGTATAAATGTGCAAGTGCATGCACCCACTTTCTCTTAAGAGCATCATTATTTTGCCAGTTAGGTAGTCACATGTGAGTCTCTCCCTGCCTCCATTCAGTCTATTCCCAAATCCCATCAAGTCAGCCTCAGTAGTGTTTATGAAGCTCAACTCCCCTTTGCATTTTTATTGCCAGCTTTCTAATTCAAGTCCTTATCATTTCTCCCTAGAATTACTTCAGTAACTCTCAAACTGGTCTTCTGATCCTTCTGCAATCCAACCCATGCACTACTGTCAGATTATGTCTCTGAAAAATAAAGGTGTGCATATGTCACTCCTGCTCAAGAACGTTTAATGGCTCCCCAGTACCGAAGAAATGAAATTGTAATTCTCTAACCCACTGTTTAAGATCCTCTACCAGGTACCTTTATTTATTTATTTATTTATTTTTGAGATGGAATTTCGCTCTTGTTGTCCAGTCTGGAGTGCAATGGTGAGATCTCAGCTCACCGCAATCTCTGCCTCCTGAGTTCAAGCGAGTCTCCTGCCTCAGCCTTCCCGAGTAGCTAGGATTACAGGCATGCGCCACCACTCCTGGCTAATGTTGTATTTTTAGTAGAGACAGGGTTTCTCCATGTTGGTCAGGCTGGTCTTGAACTCCCGACCTCAGGTGATCCGCCCGCCTCGGCCTCCTAAAGTGCTGGGATTACAGGCGTGAGCCACCACGCCCGGCCTCTACCAGGTATCTTGAACTGCTCTTCTCTATCCTCTCCACATTTGCCTACATTTATCCTATGTTCTGGCCAAACTGGTTTACTTCCTCTTCTCAGAACATGACTCTTTATTTATGCCATTTTCTGGGTCTGAATTGACATTTCCTCCAATAACATCTGTTGAGCTCCTATACTAGTCAATCCCTAGAGAGTCAAATGATACCATCTCCATGACACTCTCGCTGCTCTTTCTGACTAGATGTGAACCTCCCATAGGATTTTGTCTGAACCTGTTTAAGGCATTTATTATATTCTTTGTATTACAGTTATCTGTGTACATGTCTTACTCCCCTATTATATTATTAGCTCCTTAAGGATGGGGACTGAATCGTATTCATTTTTTATGCCTATTAAGTTCCTAGCAGAAAACATGATGTGAAGGAAGTGCTTGATAAATATTCGTTGAAGAATGAATGAACAAATGAATAAATAGACAAATAGACACTAAAATTCATGTTTGGGCTGCATCACGCAATAAGATGATTTTAGAAAATTATGAATAATCATAAGAGGGAATGAGAAGGGTCTAGTCCTTTAATCTTCACAATGGCATTGAAGGGCCCCTAGGAAACACAAATAAGCCTGGAAATAGGTTTCCATTGTTTTACATGGAATGGATGTCAGAACAAGTCACTTGGGAGTTGCTGAAAATTATGCACTGTGTTAACAGTGCCCTAGGACATAGATTCCATGTCTGTGCCTCCCCGCTATCCATGGTCCTTCAATCCCCGTGGTAGGTTTATGGGAAATAATGTAAAACCATCTCCCTTAGCAATTAATTTTGAGTTGAGCAGTTTCTTTTGAGAAAAAAAGATAAAAGTTTCAGCTAATTTCCTAATTCTTTGCTGTACTATATTAGCATTCCAGAAAGACTAAAGTGTGTGTTGGGGTTTACCTCAATCAATTGCATTGGTGAGTTCATTTATCTTAAGTGACTTTGCTTTGGAACAAAGATAGTGAATGAACCTCCTCATGGAGCAAAGACTTCTATTTATGTAGAAAATGGGCGTAACATTTGCTTGGAAAGCAATGAGGCAACTTTTCCTCACTCACTGTCTTTTGCCTCAGGCACTGACCTTGACTCTCTTTATGAGTAAGAGGATACCTAGGTGTCCCTGTTGTTATTTAAATTACATATATTGTTAATATATTGTAAACCATCTATTATTAATTATGTCTGAGAATCATGAAACTCCATGAAGTAACGATGCCTTGTTTTTATTACTTTAAAAAAATTATTTATGTATGTATTTATTTTTATAAAGATGAGGTCTCACTATGTTGCCAGGGCTGGTCTTAAACTCCTAGGCTCAAGTCATCCCCACAACCCCCCTTAGCCTCCCAAAATGCTGGGATTACAGGAGTGAGCCACTGCTCCTGGCCTTATTCTTTTTTTTTTTTAGATGAAGTCTCGCTGTTGTCCCCCAGGCTGGAGTGTGATGGTGCGATCTCGGCTCACTGCAACCTCCGCCTCTCGGGTTCAAGCGATTCTCCACCCTCGGCGCCCTACCCCCATCCCGCCCCTGAGTAGCTGGGATTACAGGCACCAGCCACCAAGCCCAGCTAATTTTTGTATTTTTAGTAGAGAGGGGGTTTCACCATGTTGGCCAGGCTGGTCTAGAACTCCTGACCTCAGGTGATCCACCCGCCTCATCCTCCCAAAGTGCTGGGATTACAGGTGTGAGCCACCGCGCCCGGCCTGGCCTTATTCCTTTTTAATAGTTAAAAAGACTCCCCTCCTGAAAGATTAAGGAATCCACCAAAGATCAGTCCCTCAGTGTGAGAGAGAAGCATGGCATTTGACACTCACCTTGGGCTACTGCTTCTCATGAATTTCGTCTATCCCACACACCTTGCCTACCAACAAGCTTGATAGCAGTTGTGGTCTGAATAGCACAAGTGTTTCCCTGCATCATTTACATTCTTTTTCTGTTCTGTTCTTTTAACTTTACAACAGTCTGTACTTACTCTGAAATATGAAGTTCTCTTAGCATATCCTAGAGGAAGAGAGTGAAAGCAAGGCTTTCAAACTCTGGTTTCCAAGAGTTTATGTAACCAGGGTTTTACTAAGCTTCTGAAAGTCTCTGTTTTCTCTGGGTCTTAGTTCCTGGCCTTCAGGACCCAACAACTGTTCCATTGCTCAGACAGCCCAGAAAAGAATCTTCTTTTTCAAATACTATTTTTCTATCTGTTTCTAAAAGAAGTCAGTGGGGAAAGTAAGGGTGTGAGTACCGTCCTTAGAGAGGAACGAGGTATTTACTCTCTTGCTTGTGGTTCTCTGAAGGAGGAAGGAAGAGAGTACATTTCTATTATAACATTTGGCTCCTTGGGGTCAAAAGCACTCTCTTGCAGTCCAGGAAAATGAGGTAAAAATACCATCTCTGCATTTCATCAAGGTAATCCACAATGGGTACAACCAC